>NC_000006.12:85148261-85773261 GCF_000001405.40 Homo sapiens | reverse complement strand
ACTGCCACTGAGAACTGAGATTACTGGTGCACTTGTAACAGATCTTCAGAGGGAAGGCACCAAGAGTAGATGAAGGGAAGACATAGAAGCTGAAATGGAAGGGGAGGAACTGGGAACCATGCACAGGGCTACTGAGCATGAGGACTTTTTCCAGGCCCCCAGTGACTCTAGGGAAATGGGAGCATTGAACTGGCAAAGAGCAATGTGCTCTCACAAAGGGCATCTGGAAGCCCAGCAGGAGGCAACCCTTGACCACCACAAACACTCAAGCTGGCAGGGAGAGCTGTTTAGAGAAGTGGTAGCACAGCAAGCCAGCTAATGTGTAGCCCAAAGAGTTTGGTGTAGGAGTGTCTGCAGTGGAGCATGGCCAGAAACAGCCATCTCCCTAGGTTCAGCTTGCTCCCATAGGAGACTTTAGCCCTCGAAAAACTGTAGGGCCTGAACTTTGCATGGCAGTCTTGCCTGTCAGACTGGGCCAGTCCAACCTGAGCCCCCCTTGGTCTGCTGTCCTCCCCCAGGACTTCAGCCCGGCAACACCTGCTTGCAGTGCAGCCTTGGATGCCCTGGAGATCTGCATCATAGCTTCTGCACTGGCAGACCATGCTTGACCAGCAGAAAGCTCCAGCAGAGCAGCCCCCGCAGCCATGCACAGACTGCCCACCCCCTCCCCACACTGCAGGTTCCCCTGATCCCAGAGCAATCTTGCACATCACTTTGCCAGCACATGTGTGTATAGGCAGATTTTGCTTTCCTTGACCCACTAAGACACACGTGTGCATACAACATGCCCTGCCACTGCTGCAGCAGAAGTGCAACCTCATTCCCCCTTGCCCACCAAGCACCATTACAGTCAGAGCCTTAGTGGGCCCTGAATCTGCCAGCACCTAGTCCTTGTATCAACACTACTGCAGGAGTGAAATTAGGCATGAAGAACAGTGAACCCTCCCTCACCCTGTGCAATCATCCCTTACTGCAGTGCACAGAGAATGCACACAGACTTGCACCCACCACCGTCCTGCCTCCATGCAAACACCACCACCAGTGTGACCATACACATGGTTGCACTCCCCAACCCCTCTGAGCCTTATTGCCTCAACCACTGTGGTGAATGCCCATATAAAGGCAGGCATCTCAGCATGTACTAGCACCCTGCTACAGCAGATGAATGTGCACCCCGCCGTGCTGCCACTGCTGCTGCTGCTGGCATGCATAAATGAGGACAGATCCTGCTCTCACTGCACTATAAAATGCTTTGGCTGACACCACACCATCACCTCAGCCCAAAATTAATGTGCAAAAATCACAAGCATTCCTACACACCAATAACAGACAAACAGAGAGCCAAATCATGAGTGGATTCCCATTCACAATTTCTACAAAGAGATTAAAATAGCTAGAAATACAATCCAAAAGCTTTTTAATAAACTTTTACTCCTGCTTTAAAACTTGTGTCCACCTCTCCTTTCACCTTATGCTCCTCAGTCGAATTATTTCTTCTGAGAAGCCAAGAATTGAGGTTGCTGCACACCGTGTGGATAACTACCACCACTAACAAGGGTACTCCTGTTGAGGAGGTGAAGAAGACTGAAATCTAACTCAAATTCCAGACACCAAACCCTGCAGGAAGTGCCCAGAGGGAGGGGCTAGCACTGTAGGGGATAATGGTAGCATATTAAAAGAGGTTTTTTCACTAGAAAAAAAAAATTAAAATTTATGTGGAACCAAAAAAGAGCCCACATAGCCAAAGTAAAACTAAGCAAAAAAAAAAAAAAAAAAAAAATCTGGAGGCATCACATTACCTGACTTCAAACTATACTATAAATCTATAGTCACCAAAACAGCATGGTACTGGTATAAAAAAAGACACATAGAACAATGGAAGAGAATAGAGAACCCAGAAAATAAGCCAAATACTTACAGCCAAATGATCTTCAACAAAGCAAACAAAAACATAAAGTGAGGAAAGGACACCCTATTCAACAAATGCCCTATTCAACAAATGGTGCTAGGATATTGGCAAGCCACATGTAGAAGAATGCACCTGGACTGTCATCTCTCACCTTATACAAAAATCAACTCAAGATGAATCAAGGATTTAAATCTAAGATCTGAAACCATAAAAACTGTAGAAGATAACATTGGAAAAACACTTCTAGACATTAGCTTAGGCAAAGACTTCATGACCAAGAACCCAAAAGCAAATGCAGCAAAAGCCAAGATAAATAGATAGGATTTAATTAAACTTAAAAGCTTCTGCACAGCAAAAGAAACAATCAGCAGAGTAAACAGACAACACACAGAGTGGGAGAAAATTTTCACAATCTATGCATCTAACAAAGGACTAATATCCAGAATCTGTAATACAAGGAACTCCAACAAATTAGCAAGAAATAAAAAACAAAAATCCCATCAAAAAGTGGGCTAAGGACATAAATAAACAATTCTCAAAAGAAGATATACAAATGGCCAACAAACATATGAAAAATGCTCAACATCAGTAATAATCAGGGAAATGCAAATCAAAACCACAATGTGATACCATCTTACTCCCATAAAAATGTCCATAATCAAAAAGTAATAGATGTTGGCAGGGATGTGGTGAAAAAGAAACACTTTTACACTGCTGGTGGGAATGTAAACCAGTACAACCACTATGGGAAACACTGTGGAGATTCCTTAAAGAACTAAAAATAGAACTACCATTTGATCCAGCAATCCCACTACTGGTTATACACCCAGAGGAAAAGAAGTCATTATAAAAAAAAGTACTTGCACACACATGTTTACAACAGCAGAATTTAACAATTGCAAAAATCTGAAACCAGCCCAAATGCCCATCAAGCAAGTGGATAAAGAAACTGTGGTATATACATACCATGGAATACTATTCACCCACAAAAATGAATGAAATAATGGCATTTGCAGCAACCCGGATGGAATTGGAAGTAATTTGGGAATGGAAAACCAAACATCATATGCTCTCACTCATAAGTGGGAGCTAAGCTATGAGGATCCAAAGGCATAAGAATGATGCAATGGACTTTGGGGACTCAGGGGAAAAGATAGGAAGGGGATAAGGGATAAAAGGCTACCAGCTGGGTACTGTGTATACTGCCCAGGCGATGGGTGCACCAAAATCTCAGAAATCACCACTAAATAACTTATTCATGTAAGAAAACACCACCCATTCCCCCCAAAACCTATGAAAATAAAAAAAATTTAAAAAAGTTTTAAAAAGAGGTTCTTTCAACATAGACATCCAGAGGATTAACTTTCTATAGACTTTCTATCCAGCCCAATGAGAAAAATTTGAAAACAGATGTGACCAGAGAAGAGAATACACCTGAGGTTTATCTATCAGCTTTCCATTCCGTAGACCCAGGACAACCCACTTCCTGCAGGCTGATAAGCTGGTGAAGTTCAACCTTATAATATTAGGAGACTCAGAGAAGTAGCACTTTTGAATGTCAAGGTTGATTTCCCTCCAGTTACTTCTCAATCCATATGGGGACAACCATGTACTTATCAGATATGTAAATGTTTATTTTATCAAATAACTATTCCTAGAGCAATTGTAATGGAATACAGTTAATAATCCTTACAATATCCACTACAAAATGGAAAAGAAGGAATAAAGGAAAAAAAAGTTATTACCACCAAAAGAATATTGATCATATTTTAATTTTATGGGAGAAAATATTTGCAAACTACCCATCTGACAAGGGATTAATAATCAGAATATATAAGGAGCTCAAACCACTCTATAGGAAAAAATCAAATAACGGGATCAAAAAATAGGGAAAAGATTTGAACAGACATTTCTCAAAAGAAGATATACAAATGGCAAACAGGCATATGAAAAGGTGTTCAACATAATTGATAGTTAACGGAGTTTAAATGTGCTCACATAGCACGGTCCACCCTGACAGTCATGAATTATATGTACTTACAAAGGCATCTGATTTCTACTTATCTTATTTTCTTCTCACTTTTTCTTTTTTTATTATATTTTAAGTTCTGGGGTACATGTGCAGAAGGTACAGTTTTATTACATAGGTATACGTGGGTCACGGTGCTTTGCTGCACCCATCAACCCATCACCTACATTAGGTATGTCTCCTAATGTTATCCTCTCCTCACTTTTTCTAATGGAATCTTAGATCCAACAGAAAAAAAAAAAAAAACAGCTACTTCATAAGGCAAAAGAGAATTTGTCTAGTATGTTCTGAAATAATGCGTGCCCTTAAATTTAGGGTCTAGAACAGTAGGACTCCGTAGCCCAGAAATTCCCTAATTCCTCTATGATCAACACCACAGAAAGGTGAGAAGGAAAGGGAGTTGCTACTCTGCCATATCATTCTTTCATAAGATTGTACAGGGCCCCAAGGGTCAGACTGGGCCTTTTGCTGATAGCAATGTGAGTCAGGCCACAACAAAACCAATGTGTGCATGTATATTCAAATTGGAGTTCTTTTGTTTTGGGGTTTCAGGTTTTTTTTGTAGAGACAGGGTCTCCCTATGTTGCCCAGGCTGCTCTTGAACTCCTGGCCTCAAGCAATCCTCCCACCTCACCCATCCAAAGTGATTATAGGCATGAGTCCATGAGCACATACTGAAATTATCAATCAATCCAAAAAAAAATCATCACTATCTCTCTGTTTTATACAAAAAGGAAATGATGCTTCCACTGTGCTCTCCCTGCAAAATTATACCTATGTTCTTGCCTTTTAGCAGGATGTTGAGAGGTCCCAGAGAAAAATTACACTTCGCTGAGGACTGCTCCAACTCCATAATCTCACCACCAATCTCCTACTATCTTTCAGCACCTTTCCATACTTCTCTTGGGAGCTAATCCAAAACTTCTCTACTTTTACCAAACCTTCTTTCCCTTCATTCTTAGGTAATCAGTTTACTTTCTACCCAGAAAAAAAAAAAAAAAAAGAAGGAAATTCCATTAAGTATTCCTTCCATCTCCCATTGTCATTTATTCCCACACCCATTTTCCTTCTTAATTCACTAGAAGGTTCCCTCCTACAGCCCAGAGATAATCTCATCGCCTTTGTTCTAGATGAGATTGAGTTCTTCCTACCTCTATAGATATAAGGAGGAAGCTATGGAATAATTTCCGTAACTCTCTCCTCTACTACATTCCTACCTCTCCCTTCTACTGGCTCTGTCACTTAAGCATATAAATATACTCAAGTCTCTCACCTCCTTCCCACCCACTCAGGAACTCATCACATATCCAATGGGAAAAGAAAAAAATTCCTCTACCCCAGAATTTGCAGATTAGAGTCCATAGTCTTCAGAGGCTTCCTGAAATTATATTTAAAGTTATATTATTATATGTATGCATTCTATAGAAAAAGAACTTAACGGCTTTTCTCAGAGTCTCAAAGTCTCAAATGAGCTAGTAATCTAAAAATGGTAATGAGCTGTGCTAGATCTCTCTAAAATGCAAACCTGCTTGTATCACTCCCCCAATTAAAATAATTCAATATCAGCTTTAAGTTACAATCCAAACACTTGATCTGACACCTGCCCAACTTTCTCAAACATTTATGATGTGCCCAAATTTCACTACTAGTAAATGGCAGAACCAGAATTCAAACCTCTCTGCAAATCCAAAGCCCATGTCTTAAGTAAAGTGACTTACAGAAAACCTGACTTACATTTGTTTGAAATCATCCACTAAATAGAATTGATTCTTCAGAAATAAACAGAAGACATTTCATCAGCCTCATCAGGGATGGGAAGTCAAAGCTTTGACTATGAAGTCAGGCACCTTCTATCCCCAGGGGGCTAGACAGGCTGATTTGTGTTTCTAAATATAAGTCTTTTTCTGAATTTTGAAGTGTTTTTTGATGAGCCCTCAAAATCTGTTGTAGGAGAAGGTGGAGAATGAACACTTGGCACTTTGAGGGATTAAAAAAGAAAATTTCTTGCATAAAACTAAATACGCATACACACACATGCACACACACACACTAATATAAGAAAAACTGGTGAAGTCTGAATATGATAGGTTAATTGTATCAATGTCAATATCATGGTTGTGATATTATACTATAGTTTTACAGGAAGTTACCATAGGGAGAAAGCAGGGAATGGTACACGAGATCTCCTTCTCATATATTTCAACTGCCTGTGAATCTAAAATTATCTCAAAATACAAAGTATAATTAAAAAGAAAAGGGAAGGCAGTCTCCCAACACCAATACCCAGGGTAGATCTCAGGGAACATAAATGGGAATTATGTTCTCAGATTCTCCACCAAGCAAGGGTTGGAACCTGCTCTAGCATCATACCTCTTATGTAACAAGACCTTAGAAAGAAATAGCTCTGTGAGGTGCCTGAAATCGGTAGGCACCAAGAGGTGTGATCTTGAGCACCAGGGTGTAGACCCCTGCAGCATGGAGTTTTATTTGATCTGCCTCGTTTGAGGAGCTCTCCACATCAGATTATAAGCTGATGTGAAAGGTATATAGGAACTCCCTGTGCTCTTTGCGATGATAGTGGTTTGAATACAGTCACCCAAGAGTTCCTGTCCATCCAGAACCTCAAAACTTGGCCTTATTTGGGAATAAATTAAGGATGTTAAGACAAGATCATCCTGAATTTAGGAATCATCTAAATCTAATGACGGATATCCTTATAAGAAGAGGAGACCACACCACGAAACACAAAGAGAAGGCACCTGCTGTGGTATGAATGTTCATGTCTGCCCAACATTTATATGTTGAAACACAATCCCCAGTACAATATTATTAAGTGGAGCCTTTTGGAGGTGATTAGGGAATGAGGGTAGAGCCACCATGAATGGAATTAGTGTTCTTAAAAAGAGGCTGGAGGGAACATGTTCACCCCTTCTACCATGTGAGGACCCAGCAAGAAGTGGCCATTCATGAGGATGGGACCTCAACAGCCACTATCTGCTGGCACCTTGATGTTGGATTTCCCAGCCTCCAGAACCATAAGCAATAAATTCCTGTTATTTATAAGTTACCCAGTCTAAAGCATTTTGTTATAGCAGCCCAAACATACTAACATAGTGGCTATGTAAAGTTGGAGAGAGAGATTGGAGTTATATTGTCACAAGCTGAGGAACACCAGGAGGCACTAGAAACTGGAAGAAGAAAGAAACAATTCTCCCCGAGAGCCTTCAGAGGAAGCATAGTGCTGGCAACACCTTGATTTAGGACATCTGGCCTCCAAAACGATGAAAAGAATAAATTCTTTTCATCGTTGTTTTGTGGTGGTGGTGTTGTTTTCTGAGATGGAGTCTTGCTCTGTCGCCCAGGCTGGAGTGCAGTGGTACCATCTCGGTTCCTTGCTACCTCTGCCTCCCAGGTTCAGCAATTCTCCTGCCTCAGCCTCTGGCTCACTGCTACCTCTGCCTCCCAGGTTCAGCAATTCTCCTGCTTCAGCCTCCCAAGTAGCTGGGATTAAAAACTCATGCCACCACACAGGGCTAATTTTTGTATTTTTAGTACAGACAGGGTTTCACCATCTTGGCCAGGCTGTCTTGAACTCCTGACCTTGTGATCCACAGGCTTTGGCCTCCCAAAGTGCTGGGATTAGAGGTGTGAGCCACTGCACCAGGCCTAAATTCCTGTTTTTTTAAGCCACCAAGTTTGTGGTAATTTGTTGAGATTGTCCCAGAAAACTAATACAACTTTTTTATAAATCTAAAATTATTTCAAAATAAACAGTTTTTTAAAAACCTAATGTAAGGTCTGATAAGGCATCAGCACAAAGGGCAAGTCCTGCAGAGATGAACGTCAGAGCAGAAGGAGGCCTTACATTATGGGTGTGGTAACAAAAAAAGATAGAGGCAGGACCTGACCCAGCTACACAGATGGACCCTGCGAAGAAGGTGTGGAGTGTCACAAGTCCAGTTGTGCTCCCAGAAGCAGTGGAACTAGATGGTTTGAGCTAGTGAGACTAGAACTCAGGGACTAAAAACTCAGGAGGTGGACAAGGCTTTGGTAGCAGGAGATGCCAACATTCATTACATGATGCCCACCCAATGTCAGACTCCGAACAGTTTACCTGTGATATATCAATACTCTGGAGTGTCTGTAAGAATAAGGCCCAGGCTGATGAGGGGCTGACTGGACCTAGAGTCTTCTCAAGGCCCAGAAGCAGTCCAGTTGAGCAGGGATTCAGGACAGAGCTCCAGACAGACCAAAGGAAAGGAAACAATTGCGAAGGCAAAATCAGCAGAAAGGCACGCTTGGAATCTGGACCAAAGGCCTTGGGAAGGGGCACAGGAGTAGAGAGGGGAGTTTGGAAATACTGTACCTCTTGGGCTACACATTTCTTTAACAAATACTTACTGAGTACCTTTTTCTGTGTGTTTTGTATGCCAAACTAAATAAGATACAGTTCTTGCCCCCAAGGATTTCAGACACTCAGTTCAATCTCAAGTTTCAGGGTTGTGGGAAAATACATCAGACTTTCAGTCTTTCTGCAGTTTGGTTACTCCAAATGCAAACCCACTGATATTTGTAACACAATTTTTCTTAACTGAGAAACAATTCCCTCCCCTGTTCATATTCTCTCTGTTAAGTGATAGAGAGACTTTGTAAATGAGAAGGAAAAAACAATCTTGTATCATTCAAATGTGTGACTTGCACATTTTGCAGTATTTTTTCTCTCTCTTTCTCTCTCTCTCTCTCTCTTTCCCTCTCCCTCTCTCTCTTTTTTCTTCTCTCTCACACACACACACGTACACACACACACACACACAGAGTCAGGCAGAAATAATATGCTATTGCCAAAAACGTACAATAGATTTATCTAATCTTTAAAACACTACAGAAAGAAAAATATTCACTGCCAATAATCTTTTTATTAGTCAAATCCAGGTTTTCTATTTAGAGGTATTTTTCATTTGCAAGTCATCTCTATTTAAGGAATGTTCCCAATAAAGAAATGTGTCCCTTAGTCCCATGTGCTGATTCTGAGTTCCTTGAGATCAGAGATTACAGCTTATTTTTAATGACTAGACCTAGACTCTTAACCAAAGAAATCTTTGAATCCTTTGAACTTCTGAAAGTGTGTGCAAATGTTTGAATGAATGTTCATTTTTCTGGCAGAAGGGTCTGTAACTTTCATCATATTCTCAAAGACTTTAATTAAAAACATTCAAGTAGCTTGGAATCCCATACTACAATTTAATGAATGTTTGCTGAGCCAACTAATTACTAATTTATTTATGTATTCTGTCAATGCCCTCTACCTAGGAACCACCAGCAACACACTTTTAGCTGAACAAGTTGGGTTTATTATTTGTGGCAGAGAGGGGGAATATATACCCTGGGTAACTGAAAGATGTCTAAGAGAGGGGTAGAAAGAACAAATTATATATTTGGACTTTGCTGGGGTGACAAGAGAGAGTCAATGATTGAGTATATCAATCTTAGACTATGGGAAAGAAGACTAGCACAAAGAAAAAACTGTAACTGGCATAGAAATAGCATTTAATTTTTGAGAAAGGAGTGTTTTGTGGATATTTGTGGGTGGCACAATGACCTTGTTTTTGCCTCTACTTAGACAATATTATGATAGTATTATGAAGTGGCCTTGTTTTGTCTCATTTTACCATGGTTTCAGCATAACTTGTCTGAGATTAGTGTTCTGTGAGACTGATTATGTCTAATAGGAGGCTAACATGGCCTCCCTGTGAGTGCAAGTCCAGCATCTGGATGTCAGGGGCTGCTCTTTTTTTTTTCTCAATTCCCAACAGTGGGAAGATTTTCTGCAAGGTAAAGTACTCAGTATGGTGTTAGTAAAGCTTATAAATTTACTGATTTAAACATTGCTATTGAAATCTAGGGTAGATCTTACTCCTGCAAGAATGCCCATAATTTAAAAGTCAAAAAACAGATGTTGGCATGGATGTGGTGAAAAGGGAACAATTTTACACTACTGGTGGGAATGTAAACTAGTAAAATCACTATGAAAAACAGTATGGAGATTCCTTAAAGAACTAAAACTAGAACTACCATTTGATCCAGCCATCCCACCACTGTGTATCTACCCAAAGGAAAAGAAGTTATTATATGAAAAGGACACATGCACACACATGTTATAGCAGCACAATTCACAATGGCAAAAATATGGAACCAACCTAAGTGCCCATCAACCAACAAGTGGATAAAGAAAATGTTGTGTATATATACATCATAGAATACAACTCAGCCACAAAAAGGAATGAAATAATGTCTTTTGCAGCAACTTGGCTAGAGCTGGAGGCCATTATTCTAAGTGAACTAACTCAGGAATGGAAAACCAAATATTACATATTCTGACTTATAAGTGGGAGCTAAGCTATGAGCACACAAAGGCATAAAAATAATATGAAATTTGAGGACTCCAGGGGAAAGGGTGGGAGGTTGGATAAGGGATAAAAGACAATATATTGAATACAGTTTGCACGGCTTGCATGATGGATGCACCAAACTCTCAGAAATGACCACTAAAGAACTTATCCATATACCCAAAAATCACTTGTATCCCAAAAACTATTGAAATAAAATAAAAATGTAGGGGCAGACTGACACCTCACACGGCCGGGTACTCCTCTGAGACAAAACTTCCAGAGGAACGATCAGAGAGCAGCATTCGCGGTTCACGAAAATCCGTGATTCTGCAGACACCGCTGCTGATACCCAGGCAAACAGGGTCTGGAGTGGACCTCTAGCAAACTCCAACAGACCTGCAGCTGAGGGTCCTGTCTGTTAGAAGGAAAACTAACAAACAGAAAGGACATCCACAAAAAACCCATCTGTACATCACGATCATCAAAAGTAGATAAAACCACAAAGATGGGGAAAAAACACAGCAGAAGAACTGGGAACTCTAAAAAGCAGAGAGCCTCTCCTCCTCCAATGGAACACAGCTCCTCACCAGCAATGGAACAAAGCTGGACAGAGAATGACTTTGACGAGTTGAGAGAAGAAGGCTTCAGACGATCAAACTACTCCAAGCTACAGGAGGAAATTCAAACCAAAGGCAAAGAAGTTGAAAACTTTGAAACAAATTTAGACGAATGTATAACTAGAATAACCAATACAGAGAGGTGCTTAAAGGAGCTGATGGATCTGAAAGCCAAGGCTCGAGAACTACGTGAAGAATACAGAAGCCTCAGGAGCCGATGCAATCAACTGGAAGAAAGGGTATCAGTGATGGAAGATGAAATGAATGAAATGAAGTGAGAAGGGAAGTTTAGAGAAAAAAAATAAAAAGAAATGAGCAAAGCCTCCAAGAAATATGGGACTATGTGAAAAGACCAAATCTGCTCTGACTGGTATATCTGAAAGTGACGGGGAGAATGGAACCAAATTGGAAAACACTCTCCAGGATATTATCCAGGAGAACTTCCCCAATCTAGCAAGGCAGGCCAAAATTCAAATTCAGCAAATACAGAGAACGCCACAAAGATATTCCTCGAGAAGAGCAACTCCAAGAAACATAATTGTCAGATTCACCAAAGTAGAAATGAAGGAAAAAATGTTAAGGGCAGCCAGAGAGAAAGGTCGGGTTACCCACAAATGGAAGCCCATCAGACTAACAGCGGAACTCTCAGCAGAAACTCTACTATCCAGAAGAGTGTGGGGGCCAATATTCAGCATTATTAAAGAAAAGAATTTTTCAACCCAGAATTTCATATCCAGCCAAACTAGGCTTCATAAGTGAAGGAGAAATAAAATACTTTACAAACAAGCAAATGCTGAGAGATTTCATCACCACCAGGCCTGCCCTAAAAGAGCTCCTGAAGGAAGCACTAAACATGGAAAGGAACAACTGCTACCAGCCGCTGCAAAATCATGCCAAAATGTAAACACCATCGAGACTACGAAGAAACTGCATCAACTAACAAGCAAAATAACCAGCTAACATCATCATGACAGGATCAAATTCACACATAACAATATTAACTTTAAATGTAAATGGACTAAATGCTCCAATTAGAAGACACAGACTGGCAAATTGGATAAAGAGTCAAGACCCATCAGTGTGCTGTATCCAGGAGACCCATCTCACATGCAGAGACACACATAGGCTCAAAATAAAAGGATGGAGGAAAATCTACCAAGCAAATGGGAACCAAAAAAAGGCAGGGGTTGCAATCCTAGTCTCTGATAAAACAGACTTTAAACGAACAAAGATCAAAAGAGACAAAGAAGGCCATTACATAATGGTAAAGGGATCAATACAACAAGAAGAGCTAACTATCCTAAATATATATGCGCCCAATACAGGAGCACCCAGATTCATAAAGCAAGTCCTGATGACCTACAAAGAGACTTAGACTCCCACACAATAATAATGGGAGACTTTAACACCTCACTGTCAACATTAGACAGATCAACGAGACAGAAAGTTAACAAGGATATCCAGGAATTGAACTCAGCTCTGCACCAAGTGGACCTAATAGACATCTGCAGAACTCTCCACCCCAAATCAACAGAATATACATTCTTTTCAGCACCACATCACACCTATTACAAAATTGACCACATAATTGGAAGTAAAGCTCTCCTCAGCAAATGTAAAAGATCAGAAATTATAACAAACTGTCTCTCAGACCACAGTGCAATCAAACTAGAACTCAGGATTAAGAAACTAACTCAAAACCACTCAACTACATGGAAACTGAACAACCTGCTCCTGAATGACTCCTGGGTACATAACAAAATGAGGGCAGAAATAAAGATGTTCTTTGAAACCAATGAGAACAAAGACACAACATACCAGAATCTCTGGGACATATTCAAAGCAGTGTGTAGAGGGAAATTTACAGCACTAAATGCCCACAAGAGAAAGCAGGAAAGATCTAAAATTGACACCCTAACATCACAATTAAAAGAACTAGAAAAGCAAGAGCAAACACATTCAAAAGCTAGCAGAAGGCAAGAAATAACTAAAATCAGAGCAGAACTGAAGGAAATAGACACACAAAAAACCCTTCAAAAAATTAATGAATCCACGAGCTGGTTTTTTGAAGGGATCAACAAAATTGATAGACTGCTAGCAAGACTAATAAAGAAGAAAAGAGAGAAGAATCAAATAGATGCAATAAAAAATGATAAAGGGGATATCACCACCGATCCCACAGAAATACAAACTACCATCAGAGAATACTACAAACACCTCTACACAAATAAACTAAAAAATCTAGAAGAAATGGATAAATTCCTCGACACATACACCCTCCCAAGACTAAACCAGGAAGAAGTTGAATCTCTGAATACACCAATAACAGGATTTGAAATTGTGGCAATAATCAATAGCTTACCAACCAAAAAGAGTCCAGGACCAGATGGATTCACAGCCAAATTCTACGAGAGGTACAAGGAGGAACTGGTACCATTCCTTCTGAAACTATTCCAATCAATAGAAAAAGAGGGAATCCTCCCTAACTCATTTTATGAGGCCAGCATCATCCTGATAACAAAGCCTGGCAGAGACACAACCAAAAAAGAGAATTTTAGACCAATATCCTTGATGAACATTGATGCAAAAATCCTCAATAAAATACTGGCAAACCAAATCCAGCAGCACATCAAAAAGCTTACCCACCATGATCAAGTGGGCTTCATCCCTGGGATGCAAGGCTGGTTCAATATATGCAAATCAATAAATGTAATCCAGCATATAAACAGAACCAAAGACAAAAACCACATGATTATCTCAATAGATGCAGAAAAGGCCATTGACAAAATTCAGCAACACTTCATGCTAAAAACTCTCAATAAATTAGGTATTGATGGGACGTATGTCAAAATAATAAGAGCTATCTATGACAAACCCACAGCCAATGTCATACTGAATGGGCAAAAACTGGAAGCATTCCCTTTGAAAACTGGCACAAGACAGGGATGCCCTCTCTCACCACTCTTATTCAACATAGTGTTGGAAGTTCTGGCCAGGGCAATTAGGCAGGAGAAGGAAATAAAGGGTATTCAATTAGGAAAAGAGGAAGGCAAATTGTCCCTGTTTGCAGATGACATGATTGTATATTTAGAAAACCCCATTGTCTCAGCCCAAAATCTCCTTAAGCTGATAAGCAACTTCAGCAAAGTCTCAGGATACAAAATCAATGTACAAAAATCACAAGCATTCATATACACCAATAACAGACAGAGAGCCAAATCATGAGTGAACTCCCATTCACAATTGCTTCAAAGAAAATAAAATACCTAGGAATGCAACTTACAAGGGACGTGAAGGACCTCTTCAAGAAGAACTACAACCACTGCTCAATGAAATAAAAGAGGACACAAAGAAATGGAAGAATATTCCATGCTCATGGGTAGGAAGAATCAATATCATGAAAATGGCCATACTGCCCAAGGTAATTTATAGATTCAATGCCATCCCCATCAAGCTACCAATGACTTTCTTCACAGAATTGGAAAAAAATACTTTAAAGTTCATATGGAACCAAAAAAGAGCCTGCATGGCCAAGTCAACCCTAAGCCAAAAGAACAAAGCTGGAAGCATCACACTACCTGACTTCAAACTATACTACAAGGCTACAGTAACCAAAACAGCATGGTACTGGTACCAAAACAGAGATATAGATCAATGGAACAGAACAGAGCCCTCAGAAATAATGCCACATATCTACAACTATCTGATCTTTGACAAACCTGAGAAAAACAAGCAATGTGGAAAGGATTCCCTATTTAATAAATGGTGCTGGGAAAACTGGCTAGCCACATGTAGAAAGCTGAAACTGGATCCCTTCCTTACACCTTATACAAAAATTAATTCAAGGTGGATTAAAGACTTACATGTTAGACCTAAAATCATAAAAACCCTGGAAGAAAACCTAGGCATTACCATTCAGGACATAGGCATGGGCAAGGACTTCATGTCTGAAACACCAAAAGCAATGGCAACAAAAGCCAAAATTGACAAATGGGATCTCATTAAACTAAAGAGCTTCTGCACAGGAAAAGAAACTACCATCAGAGTGAACAGGCACCCTACAAAATGGGAGAAAATTTTCACAACCTCCTCATCTGACAAAGGGCTAATATCCAGAATCTACAATGAACTCAAACAAATTTACAAGAAAAAAACTAACAACCCCATCAAAAAGTGGGCAAAGCATATGAACAGACACCTCTCAAAAGAAGACATTTATGCAGCCAAAAGACACATGAAAAAATGCTCATCATCACTGGCCATCAGAGAAATGCAAATCAAAACCACAATGAGATACCATCTCACACCAGTTAGAATGGCAATCATTAAAAAGTCAGGAAACAACAGGTGCTCGAGAGGATGTGGAGAAATAGAAGCACTTTTACACTGTTGGTGGGACTGTAAACTAGTTCAACCATTGTGGAAGTCAGTGTGGCGATTCCTCAGGGATCTAGAACTAGAAATACCATTTGACCCAGCCATCCCATTACTGGGATGAATTATAATACCCAAAGGATTATAAATCATGCTGCTCTAAAGACACATGCACACGTATGTTTATTGCGGCACTATTCACAATAGCAAAGACTTGGAACCAACCCAAATGTCCAACAATGATAGACTGGATTAAGAAAATGTGGCACATATACACCATGGAATACTATGCAGACATAAAAAATGATGAGTTCCCGTCCTTTGTAGGGACATGGATGAAATTGGAAATCATCATTCTCAATAAACTATCCCAAGGACAAAAAACCAAACACCACGTGTTCTCACTCATAGGTGGGAATTGAACAATGAGAACACATGGACACAGGAAGGGGAATATCACACTCTGGGGACTGTTGTGGGGTGGGGGGAGGGGGGAGGGATAGCATTAGGAGATATGCTAAATGACGAGTTAATGGGTGCGGCACACCAGCATGGCACACGTATACATATGTAACTAACCTGCACATTGTGCACATGTACCCTAAAACTTAAAGTATAGTAATAATAAAATTTAAAAAAACAGTTTACTGAAGTTGAAATTCAATGTGTAGGTCTAAATTTTATTTCAATTTTAATTCCTCCAGAATTGATGCCTGAAATAAAACTTGCTTTGAAAATGGAGCTTGAGTGCCCTCTTGTGATGGAATAGGCACTTAAATTTATTGGTAAATATTTTTCAGTTGCATATGAAATAATTTGAACCAAATCATTTAGCAAACACAAAATGCCCTCTATTGCTAGGCCAATTTATGTCAGTACATTTTAGTGAGGGAAAGACAAGTACCTGAAAACTTGGTTAGTATTAATAGACAATATGAATAATTCACAATAAAATGCTGTTCCTTTTACGGTACTGGTAACTCAAACAAAAACTTTGTAAAATAGAGTCTCTTTCAACTCATCATCAATTAATTGTCTAGCAAGTGCTCTCCATTCCTGCTTTGAAACATAGACTCACAAAACAAGAGGAAGTCTTGGGACCAAGCAGGTAGGCTCTGATGTGCTTCCACTCCCTAGCTCCCACTGAATGAAGTGCCCGTTTTCGAAGCATCAATCGTTTGATCCTGAACTATTTATGTCAATTGTACTTGTTTTAAATTTGTCTAATTAAATAACATACAGATGAATTATTCATTGAAAAAGAAAGAAAATGTTGTTAAAGAAAACTAAGTTGGATTCTTTGGGATGACTTCAGGAAAAGATAATTGGAGAAAAAGACTTTCTTTTGAAACTACACAGACAAGAAAACTATAAAATATAGAAAATAAAGTAATAAAAACTTCAAAAAATTCTAAACCTAAAAGCCTCACATCAGCAAACTGCTTAAAAATAATTTTTAATAAAAGCCTTCACCGGCCGGTCAAGGTGGCTCACGCCTGTAATCCCAGCAATTTGGGAGGCCGAGGCAGGTGGATCACCCGGGGTCAGGAGTTTGAGACTAGCCTGACCAACATAGTGAAACCCCATCTCTATTAAAAATACAAAATTAGCCGGGCATGATGTCACATGACTGTAATCACAGCTGCTTGGAAAGTGGAGGCAGGAGAATCGCTTGAACCCTGGAGGTGAAAGTTGCAGTAAGCCAAGATCACATCATTGCACTCCAGCCTGGGCAACAAGAGCAAAACTCCATCTAAGAAAAAAAAAAAGGCTTCACTCTCTATCAAAAGATTGGTAAAATATTCATTTATATATTTTATTCTAAAGTAAAACATTTTAGGTACTTATTGTCTTTTGAAGGATTCTCCACTTAATGAACTTTTTTGATTCACTAACACTAAAGGGTTTTTTCTTTAGATGCTCATTTTTTATATACATGTATATTTAGATAAAAACTTCTGTGGAATGTATATATGGTCTGATTCTAAAATGAACTTGGGTCTATATGACCTGAAATACAAAGTCTGTCTGTGGTTAAAAATCAAATCATAACATCTGGCATTATCTGGGAATATTTGTGTAAACTTTTGACCCTTAAAAGTACACTGCTCTTACACTGCTGACCTCAATATATGGTATAAAAGCTTTATTCTGACAACTGCCTGGAATTCTCACAAAAGGAGGGCAGAAAATTTGGGTATATTAATCTTTAAGTAAACCCAAATGACTTATCTGCAAGTCTGAGCATAGTTTTTCATGGTGACAAGACCAAATATAGAATCAGATAAGAGGGCTTCTACTTCACTTTTTACATTGTTTTTAATTATCCAGAAAATGATGAATATAATAAGCCCAAATTGCTGTAAATGGCCAATATTTCTCTGAAATACATTTATTTTAAAATTTTTGAGCACCTACAATGTACTCCTTCTGTTTTTCCCTTGAATTTACACATGAGCCTCAGTAACAGTCACATCTATTATCAGATTTTAGTAAACAAATTTCCTACTTTGGACTTCATAAGAATTGTTAAAAGATAAAATTACAACAAATATGGTTTTATAGATCCTATGGCTTTTATTTGTGATTCTAGAATCAGGCAGCAGTCTGGACAAAAATGGTTCAAACTGTTCTGCCCCATCACATGTGCAGGTTATATTTACAGCCATAGAAAAGTAAGTGATATACAGAAAATGAAAATGAGGTACAGTGACATCTAGATTAGTTAGAATTCAGTGTTCACCTGAATTCAACTTCATTTTTACAGATGGCTGCCTATGATTGACTGAAACTCAACTGCTGTGATTGGCTGAGACTCAGCTACTTTTTACAAGAGTGGATTACAGTCTGTTGACACAAGTTAGATTGCAGTTTACTCTATATGGAGAAACCTTTAGGACAAACGTAAAATATGCACAGAGGCAGTTTATTTGCATAGAGGTGTTTATAGTATTCTCTGACGGTAGTTTGTATTTCTGTGGGATCAGTGGTGATATCCCCTTTATCATTTTTTATTGCATCTGTTTGATTCTTCTCTCTTTTCTTCTTAATTAGTCTTGCTAGCAGTCTATCAATTTTGTTGATCTTTTCAAAAAACCAGCTCCTGGATTCATTGATTTTTTGAAGGGTTTTTTGTGTCTCTATCTCCTTCAGTTCTGCTCTGTTCTTAGTTATTTCTTGCCTTCTGCTAGCTTTTGAATGTGTTTGCTCTTGCTTCTCTAGTTCTTTTAATTGTGATGTTAGGGTGTCAATTTTAGATCTTTCCTGCTTTCTCTTGTGGGCATTTAGTGCTGTAAATTTCCCTCTACACACTGCTATAAATGTGTCCCAGAGATTCTGGTATGTTGTGTCTTTGTTCTCGTTGGTTTCAAAGAACATGTTTATTTCTGCCTTCATTTTGTTATGTACCCAGTAGTCATTCGGGAGCAGGTTGTTCAGTTTCCATGTAGTCGAGTGGTTTTGAGTGAGTTTCTTAATCCTGAGTTCTAGTTTGATTGCACTGTGGTCTGAGAGACAGTTTGTTATAATTTCTGATCTTTTACATTTGCTGAGGAGAGCTTTACTTCCAACTATGTGGTCAATTTTGGAATAAGTGCGATGTGGTGCTGAGAAGAATGTATATTCTGTTGATTTGGGGTGGAGAGTTCCATAGATGTCTATTAGGTCCACTTGGTGCTGAGTTCAATTCCTGGATATCCTTTTTAACTTTCTGTCTCATTGATCTGTCCCATGTTGACAGTGGGGTGTTAAAGTCTCCCATTATTATTGGGTGGGAGTCTAATTCTCTTTGTAGGTCTCTAAGGACTTGCTTTATGTATCTGGGTGCTCCTGTATTAGGTGCATATATATTTAGGATAGTTAGCTCTTCTTGTTGAATTGATCCCTTTACCATTATGTAATGGCCTTCTTTGTCTCTTTTGATCTTTGTTTGTTTAAAGTCTGTTTTATCCGAGAGTAGGATTGCAACCCCTGCCTTTTTTTGGTTTTCCATTTGCTTGACAGATCTTCCTCCATCCCTTTATTTTGAGCCTATGTGTGTCTCTGCACATGAGATGGGTCTCCTGAATACAGCACACTGATGGGTCTTGATCCTTCATCCAATTTGCCAGACTGTGTCTTTTAATTGGAGCATTTAGCCCATTTACATTTAAGGTCAATATTGTTACGTGTGAATTTGATCCTGTCATTATGATGTTAGCTGGTTATTTTGCTCATTAGTTGATGCAGTTTCTTCCTAGCATCGATGGTCTTTACAATTTGGCATGATTTTGCAGTGGCCGGTACCAGTTGTTCCTTTCCATGTTTAGTGCTTCCTTCAGGAGCTCTTTTAGGGCAGGCCTGGTTGTGACAAAATCTCTCAGCATTTGCTTGTCTGTAAAGAATTTTATTTCTCCTTCACTTATGAAGCTTAGTTTGGCTGGATATGAAATTCTGGGTTGAAAATTCTTTTCTTTAAGAATGTTGAATATTGGCCCCCACTCTCTTCTGGCTTGTAGAGTTTCTGCCAAGAGATCTGCTGTTAGGCTGCTGGGCCTCCCTTTGTGGGTAACCCGACCTTTCTCTCTCACTGACCTTAACATTTTTTCCTTCATTTCACCCTTGGTGAATCTGACAATTATGTGTCTTGGAGTTGCTGTTTTCGAGGACTATCTTTGTGGACTTCTGTGTGTTTCCTGAATTTGAATGTTGGCCTGCGTTGCTAGGTTGGGGAAGTTCTGGATAATATCCTGCAGAATGTTTTCCAACTTGGTTCCATTCTTCCCATCACTTTCAGGTACACCAATCAAACATAGGTTTGGTCTTTTCACATAGTCCCATATTTCTTGGGGCTTTGTTCATTTCTTTTTACTCTTTTTTCTCTAAACTTGTCTTCTCGCTTTTTTCATTAATTTGACCCGCAATCACTGATATCCTTTCTTCCACTTGATTGAATTGGCTATTGAAGCTTGTGCATGTGTCACGAAGTTCTCATGCCATGGTTATCAGCTCCATCAGGTAATTTAAGGTTATCTCTACACTGTTTATTCTAGTTAGCCATTAGTCTAACCTTTTTTCAAGGTTTTTACCTTCCTTGCGACAGTTAGAACATGCTCCTTTAGTTTGGAGAAGTGTGTTATTACCGACCTTCTGAAGCCTACTTCTGTCAACTCATCAAAATCATTCCCCATCCAGCTTTGTTCCACTGCTGGCGAGGAGCTATGATCCTTTGGAGGAGAAGAGGCACTCGGTTTTTAGAATTTTCAGCTTTTCTGCTCTGGTTTCTCCCCATATTTGTGGTTTTATCTACTTTTGGTCTTTGATGTTGGTGATCTACACATGGGGTTTTGTTGCAGATGTCCTTTTTGTTGATGTTGATACTATTCCTTTCTGTTTGTTAGTTTTTCTTCTAACAGTCAGGTCCCTCAGCTGCAGGTCTGTTGGAGTTTGCTGGTAGTCCACTCCAGACCTTGTTTGCCTGGGTATCACCAGCGGAGGCTGCAGAACAGCAAATATTGCTGCCTGATCCTTCCTCTGGAAGCTTCATCCCAGAGGGGCACCCACCTGTATGAGGTGTCTGTCGGCCCCTACTGGGAAGTGTTTCCCAGTTAGGCTACAATGGGGTCAGGGACCCACTTGAGGAGGCAGTCTGTCTGTTCCCAAAGCTCAAACACCATGCTGGGAGAACCACTGCTCTCTTCAGAGCTGTCACACAGGGGCGTTTAAGTCTGCAGAAGTTTCTGCTGCCTTTTGTTCAGGTATGCCCTGCCCATGGATGTAGAGTCTATAGAGGCAGTAGGCCTTGCTGAGCTGCGGTGGGCTCCATCTAGTTCAAGCTTCCTGGCCGCTTTGTTTACCTGCTCAAGCCTCAGTAATGGCAGACATGCCTCCCTCCGCCAGGCTGCAGCCTCACAAGTTGATCTCAGACTGCTGCACTAGCAGTGAGCAAGCCTCCATGGGCATGGGACCCACTGAGCCAGGCACAGGAAAGAATCTCCTGGTCTGCTGGTTGCTAAGACCATAGGAAAAGTGCAGTATTTGTGCAGGAGTGTCCCGTTTTCCCAGGTACAGTCTGTCACGGGTTCCCTTGGCTAGGAAATGGTAATCCCCTGACCCCTTGCACTTCCCAGGTAGGCGATGCCCCACCCTGCTTTGGCTCACCCTCCATGGGCTACACCCACTATCCAACCAGTCCCAATGAGATGAACCAGGTACCTCAGTTGGAAATGCAGAAATCACCCATCTTCTTCATCGATCTTGCTGGGAGCTGTAGACCAGAGCTGTTCCTATTCAGCCATCTTGGAATGGTGACAAAAAGTTTTTAATTAGCAATAACTGCACCTCGGATAAACCTCACTAGCTACACTACTGCCACTGTGCAAAGCTAATGACTCATTCATAATAACTATGCTTGAATTGCTCCTTAAAACTAGCCAAGGACAGGATTTATAGCTTTATGATCTCATATATCTAGGAGATAACAAGCTCATTTGATATTAAATCTAGGTTTAAAAATGCACACTTATAATGTAAATGCTGACAATTTTGAAGACATTTCTGTTTTTATTTTATCAACATTTTTAAAAACTAGCTTTACTTACTGAAGGTTATCTCAGCTCACAAGAACTAAAAGCCATTTGAGTTAGTTTTTATTTTTGTGAGAGAATATTTTATATTAGCACTTTTTTTACTTTAAGCTGAATAGAACTCTTTATAAATTTTGGCAATATCATCTGAGGTGGAAAAATATCACACAAATACAACATACACACACATACAGACATATATAAAAATACAGGCAGAAGCAGATCATATAGCCTTCATTAAAACTTTTCATTTTCCCAGTTTCCAAATAGTTTACCTTCCCCTTTCAGACTGTAAGTCTTTTAGTTACATCTTCCATTGCCCTAAGCAATCGCTATCCCAACAACCCAAAATTTTTACTTCCAAAGGGATGACTCTTAGGTGAAACAAGGTAGGAAATTTACATCTTAAAGGCACAGAACTTAAACACCATTATTTGCCGGCACAAAGATCTAAGTAGGAAACCTTGTTAAGACAAAATTGTCAAAGGTGAGACTTGTTATATAAACTTAAGCCAATGCCTTTTCCATTGTAAGCGTTTCTAGTGACATTCTCTCCTTTCTAGCTCTCTCTCTCTTCCTGGTGCAGAGAGGGACACAGTCCTACAAAGGGAGATTTCTTTTATAGTTGTAAATTTCTTACAAAGAATTTCAAAATAGCTAGCTAAATTCCCATAAAGGTGTATTTTGGAGACTGGTTTAGTTTGATAGGTGGTCTTTAAACTTAGCTTTGTTTCTTAACTAGATAACTGACTCCAGGGCCAAGAATACATTCCCTATGCCTAGAGTTAGCATGGATAACTCTGAAAAAGAAGCCAATTCACTTGATTTGTCCTTCATAAATACTTTATCCAGCTTTCTTTTTGACTTCATGGTGGGAGAGTAACCAGGAGAAAAAGTTGGCAGATTTAATATTTCTTTTCTTTTTTTTTTTTTTTTTTTTTGAGATGGAGTTTCACTCTCTCACCCAGCTGGAGTACAGTGACATGATCTTGGCTCACTGAAGCCTCCGCCTCCTGGGTTCAAGTGATTCTCCTGCCTCGCCTCCTGAGTAGCTGAGACTACAGGAGTGTGCCACCATGCCTGGCTGATTTTGTTTTTTGTTTTTTTTGTTTTTGTTTTTTTTAGTAGAAATGGAGTTTCACCATGTTGGCCAGGCTGGTCTCAAACTTTTGACCTCAAGTGATCTCAGCCTCCCAAAGTGCTGGGATTACAGGAGTGAGGCACCACACCCAACAAAAGAGAGTAATTTTTGTCATAAAGTAGAGTAGTTGTTTCGAGATGAAAAATAAGAAAATATAGGGCAAAAATTGAATGGATAAGAAAGTTGTAAAACATTTGTGAAAAATGAATCTTGTGAAAGAATTTTTATGTGCAATCAAACTGGCTAAGATTATGAAAAAAGTTCTAAGTTTTTTCTAAAAAATGAGAATTAATATCAAAAGTACACTGATGCAAAACTAGAATTTGGTTCTGTATGTTAAAACAAGGTTTTCTTGGAATATTGATCTGCTCTTAATAGAAAATAGTGAAAGGTTTTTCTTTACCTTTTAGGTAATTGGCTAGGAAAAAAAGATTTTGTGTTTTATCAAGATAATTTCTTGTGCTTTGTGCTGTCTTTTATCAGTTCTTTGATATTTGTTTAAAAAGTGAGTCTTCTCAATATCAAAAGAATGAGGTTTTTGCTCACAACTCTGTAACTATTACTGGTGGAAGGTATCTGTGTTACTGGTGGTAAATCCATATGGGTCTGCAGCAACCTCAATTCTTGCCTCCTTAGAAGAAAGAATTCGACTGAAGGCCATAAGGCAAAAAAAGAGAGCAAGGTGTGGATGTTTTGTTTTAAAAAGCTTTAGAACAGGAAAGAAAGGAAAGTACGCTTGGAAGAGACCCAAGAGGGCAACTTGAAGGACAAGTGCCCTGTTTATCTGTGATCCTAGGATTTTACAGGCTGTCCTTTCCCATGAGTCTTCCCTTAGCGGGGGCTGCCCTCATGCACAGTGCCCTATTTAGCCTTGGAAAGTGAGCACATGCAGTGTGCTTAGGAAGTTTTATGCATGCCCATCTCAGGGTTTCCTCCTTTTTCTGGTGTCGTACCCTTGAAAGGTCATAATCCACCATTTGTCTTTTAATGTGCATGCCCAGGAAGTTGCTTCTCTGTGGCACTTGCATTCAATTAATACTTTAGCACAACAGGTGTAAACCATCAGAAAATGGCCTCTCCCTGGTGCCAGCTGCCAGTTTATCACTTTTAGACAGACAATGTGATAATTGTCAAACCATCACCCAAAATTCCTAGTGAGTGGGAAAGCCCTGTCTGCCTAACTACCTGTAACATAAACTTCTATATTTGCCATAAAAATCTGATAGTGTCACTCTGATTAAATAAACAACTATAATAAATGTTTTTCAACTTTTAACATTTTGGACAAACTTCCCAAAATTAAATCCTAAATTAAGTCTTTTTTGACCTGAAATTAACTTCAGGACTTTCCAGTTCAGCCCCCGGAAAACACTGAACATTTACAATTTTAAAAGAGCATGTTAATCCGTCTTGTTTGATATGTTATATGAGAAGTATTGTCAAAAAAAAAAAGTGATGCACTTGTAGTCCTGATACTCAGAAGTCTGAGGCAGAAGGATCACTTGAGCCCAGAAGTTCAAAGCTGCCGTGAGCTATTCACAATAGCAAAGACTTGGAACCAACCTAAATGTCCATCAATGATAGACTAGATTAAGAAAATGTGGCACATATACACCATGGAATACTATGCGGCCACAAAAAAGGATGAATTCACGTCATTTGCAGGGACATGGATGAAGCTCGAAACCATCATTCTCAGCAAACTATCACAAGGACAGAAAACCAAACACTGCATGTTCTCACTCATAGGTGGAAATTGAACAATGAGATCACTTGGACACAGGACGGGGAACATCACACACCAGGGCCTGTCGGGGGTGGGGGGTGCTGGGGGAGGGATAGCACTAGGAGAAATACCTAATGTAATGTAAATGACGAGTTGATGGGTGCAGCAAACCAACATGGCACATGTATACCTATGTATCAAAACTGTACATTGTGCACATGTACCCTAGAACTTAAAGTATAATAAAAAAATAAAATAAAATAAAAAGAAGAATTATGGATTTTTCTGAGTTTTTTATTTGAAATTTTGCTGGTTCTTTGGTTTTCCAGGAAACATTTTTCCTTTTAAGCTATCTATAGATCACAGCTATATGGTAAAGTATAAGTATACTCTTGTGAATAAAATTGAAATATTTACTTTTTCTCTCGACATGATCCCTCCAGAATTCAGAAACTACTCATGAATGTTCTTATTTTTATGGCAATACAGTTATTTGTACAAGTTCAAAAAGAACTCATTCTCTTTATAACAGGATACAACTGGAAATATTGGTTTGGTTTCCTATCCTTGAGAGGCTTTTGCAAGTTCTCTCTGAAATTTCTTATCCAAAGTTCCAGCAAAGCAAACTTTAAAAGAGCCTATGTGGTGAATCACTATTCCGGCTGTACTTAAGTAAATAATCAGGCCAAGTTTGATTCAGCTCAAACAAATTAGTTTTACTTTGATTATCTTTGGTAGAAATGGGGGTGACTGCTAAGAGAAAAATTATGTTTCAGAAAAAAAACTAGCCTGACCAACATGGAGAAACCTCATCTCTACTAAAAATAAAAAATTAGCCAGGTGTGGTGGTGCACACCTGTAGTCCCAGCTACTTAGGAGGCTAAGGCTGGAGAATCGTTTGAATCCTGAAGGCAAAAGCTGCGGTGAGCCAAGATGTGCCATTGCACTCCACCCTGGGCAACAAAAGTGAAACTGTGTCTCAAAAAAAATTTAAAAAGAAAAGAAAAAAGAAAAACTATACTATACCTTTTATTGGACTGTAGACCTGTCCATTGTTTCTGAGTTTTTATCATCTACCTGTAGACTAAACTGGATCCTAAATTTTTCTAGTTTCCTTTAATATCTGGCTACAACTCTTAAGTTTTCCTTGCTGTGCCTAGCTTTTTCTCTTGGCAGAATAATGCTGTAGTTGAAATTTTGCAATCTGTGGGTAACTTGACAAAAATGTTGGATTTGTCATGCCAAATTAAGTTAGGGAATATTAGATAACAGAATTGCAACCTACTAGCTGAACAGAGAAGAATCTGTGCAGTTGCTAACATTTCTTGCTGCATATGAATAAATAGAACAAACAGGCTACTTGCCTAAAATAGGTAGATTTCCTATCTGGTTCATTCTTTGATCTATTTGATTGCAGTTAGCTTGATTCATGTGGACCCTGACTAAGGGGCATACTCTAAACTCTTAGTATTATCCTCCTTATAGTCATATAGTAGTATCCCTGATGCACTATATCCTCTCTAAAAGTCTTAAACATCTATGTGCAACCATTTGTTCAATACTAAATGGTCTCTTTCCAGCTGGAATAATGAAAACTCCAAAAAAATGCACAATAATAAGGACATCATAACCTACGAATGATGTGCTAGGACTGAAAACCAAAAATGATTGTGACTAAGAGTATCACTGGTACCTTAAGTTTTTGTCACACTCTCACCTTGGTGACCAAAAGGGGGAACTATTAAATAAAAGTTACAGGAGGCCATTGGATTGGACTGAGCTCATACACTATGCCCAGTAGACAAAACCAAAATGGGGTTACTTATGCTTAAGTTCCGTGCCACAAAGACACTTAGATCTTTATATGAGCTTTGAAGAAATCAGAAGAGAGAGAGATAATAGCCAAATCTCCAAACAGGCCCATTTTAGCCAGCATATTAAGGAAGTCTTCTTTGCTTTAACCTTTACAGGAAAAGTAACTTTGAAATGACCAGTCCACTTTTTGTTTTCTGTTTCTGCTTTTCTCCATTCTTTTCTGTCTATAAGACCAACCTCTTCTGTTAGGCTATCAGAATACTCATCCTAATTTATAAAATAAGGTGTTGTCCAATTCTAGAATCACAAATAAAACAAATTAAGATATTTAAATTTGTTATAATTTTGTCTTTTGATAGTGTCTGTACATATAAATGCTCAAATTATATTCAGTGTATTTTTTAAAAAAGAAGACTTGTTCTAGAAAACTCCACTCTCCACATCCAATTGACTCCCAGTGAAAAATCTAGCGCCCTCAAACCAGATTTTTTAACATAGCTAGCATAATAATTACATAATCATTCTCTGTTCCTATCAAATGGTCCTAATGGGTGTGAATATTTGAATTAGTCTGTATTAGTTCATTCTCACATTGCTATAAAGGGAGCCTCTAGATTTTTAGAATATCCATTTGTTTTCTGAACATCAACATTTCTCAGAAGAAAAATCTGAGAAAACATAGTAAACCACAGAGGAAATCTCAATACAGAATCACCATACTGAGAGAGAAACACTGTTCACTCTTGGATGATGTATTAGTTAGGGTTCTCCAGAGGGCCAGAACTAATAGGATATATGCATTTATGAAAGGGAGTTTACTAAGAATAATAGGCTGACAGTTCTACAAGCTTAAGAAACATGACCAGGAGTCCTCAGGAAACTTACAATGATGGCAGAAGGGGAAGGGGAGGCAAGTACATCTTACCATGGTGGAGCAGAAGAGAGAGCAAAAGGAGAAGCGCAACACACTTTTAAACCATCAGATCACATGAGAATTCACTCAATCTTATGAGAACAACAAGGGAGAAATCCGCCCCCATGATTCTATCACCTTCCACCAGGCCCCTCCTCCAATTTGACATGAGATTTGGGCAGGGACCCAAATTCAAACCATATCATTCTGCCCCAGACCCTCCCGAATCTCATGTCTTTCTGACATTGCAAAATACAATTATCCCTTCTCAATAGGCCCCCAGTTTTAACTCATTTCAGCATTTACTCACAAGTTCACAGTCCAAAGTCTCATCTGAGACAAAGTAAGTCCCTTCTGCCTATGAGCCTGTAAAATCAAAAACAAGTTAGTTACTTCAAATATACAATGGGGATACAGGAATTGGGTAAATGCTCCTGTTCCAAATGGGAGAAATTTGCCAAAACAAAGGGGTTACAGGCCCCATGAAAGTCCAAAATCCTGCAGGCCAATCATTTAATCTTAAAGTTTCAAAATGATCTCCTTTGATGCCATGTCTCACCTCCAGGGCATGCTGATGCAAGGGGTGGGCTCCCATGGCCTTGGGCAGCTCTGATCCTGTGGCTCTGCAGGGTACAGTCCTCCCAGCTGCTTTCACAGGCTGGGGTTGAGTTCTTGTAGCTTTTCCAGGCACATGGTGCAAGCTGTCAATGGATCTAACATTTTGGGCCTGAAGGACAGTGCCCTCTTCTCACAGCTCCACTAGGCAGTGCCCCAGTGGGGACTCTGTGTGGAGGCTCCAACTCCATATTTCCTCTCCACACTGCCCTAGTAGAGGTCATCCCTGAGGGCCTCACCCCTGCAGCAGACTTCTGCCTCGACATCCAGGTGTTTCCATAAAACCTCTAAAATCTAGGTGGTGGCTTCCAAACCTCAACTCCTGCCTTCTGCGCAACCACAGGCCCAACACCACGTGGAAGCCACCAAGGCTTGAGGCTAGCACCCTCTGAAGCAATGGCCTGAGTTGTACCTTGACCCCTTTTCACCACAGCTGGAGCAGGAGCAGCTGACATGCAGGATGCCATGTCCCAAGGCTGCATAGAGCAGCTGGACCATGGGCCTGGCCCACAAAACCATTTTTTCCTACTAGCCTCAGGGTTTATGATAGGAGAGGCTGCCACTAAAGTTCTCCGGCATGCCCTGGAGACATTTTCCTCATTGTCTTGGTTACTAACATTGGCTTCTTTTTACATATGCAAATTTCTATAGCCAGCTTAAATTTCTCCCCAGAAAATGGATTTTTTCTTCTCCACCACATTGCCAGGCTGCAAATTTTCCAAACTTTTATGCTCTGCTTCCCTTGTAAATATAAGTTCCAGTTTCAGAAAATCTCTCTGATTATGCTTATGGGCATACACTTTTAGAAACAACCAGGTCTCATCTTGAAAGCTGTGATGTTTAGAAATTTCTTCTGCCAGGTGCCCCGAATCATCTGTCTCAAGTATAAAGTTCCACAGTCTCTAGGGCAGGAGCAAAATGCCACCAGTGTCTTTGCTAAAGCATAGCAAGAGTAAACTCCAGTTCCAAGTAAGTTCCTCATCTCCATCTGAGACTATCTCAGTCAGAACTTCATTGTCCATATCACTGTCAGCATTTTGGTCAAAACCATGCAACAAGTCCCTAGGAAGTTCCAAACTTTTCCTCATCTTCCTGCCTTCTTCTGAGCTGTCCATACTGTTCCAACCTCTGCCCGTTACTCAATCCCAAAGTTGCTTTCACATTTTCAGGTATCTTTATAGCAATGCCCCACTTTCCTGGTACCAATTTTCTGTATTAGTTAGTTTTCACAATGCTATAAAGAACTACATGAGACTGGGTAATTTATGAAGAAAATAGGTTTAATTGACTCACACTTCCACAGGCTTAACAGGAAGCATGACTGGGAGGCCTTGGGAAATGTACAATCATGGCAGAAGGTGAAGGGGAAGCAACCATGTCTTACCATGGTGGAGCAGGAGAATGAAGGTGAAGTGCCACACACTTTTAAATCATCAAATCTCATGAGAATTCACTCACTATCAAGACAACAGCAAGGGGAAAATCCTCCCCCATGATCCAATCACCTCCTACCAGGCTGTTCCTCCAATTCAACATGAGATTTGGGCAGGGTCACAAATCCAAACCTTATCAGAGCCTGTGAGGAGCCTTTTGCCCTGGCAACAAGATTGGTATAAAACTTTAATGTTGCGGCTGGGTGCAGTAGCTTATGCCTGTAATCCCAGCACTTTGGGAGGCTAAGGTGAGTAGATCACTTGAGGTCAGGAGTTTGAGACCAGCCTGGCCAACATGGTGAAACCCCATCTCTACTAAAAATACAAAAATTAGCTGGGAATGGTGGACCACATCTGTAGTCCAAGCTACTTGACAGTCTGAGGCGAGAGAATCACTTGAACCCAGGAAGTGGAGGTTGCAGTGAGCCGAGATCATGCACTGCACTCCAGCCTTGGTGACAGAGCAAGGCTCTGTCTCCATCTATGACAAAACCAAGGCCAACACAATACTGAATGGGGAAAAGTTGAAAGCATTCCCCCTGAGAATGGGAACAGGACAAGGATGCCCACTCTCACTACTCCTTTTCAACATAGTACTGGAAGTCTTAGCCGGAACAATCAGACAACAGAAAGAAATAAAGGGCATCCAAATTGGTAAAGAGAAAGTCAAACTGTCAATTTTTGCTGACAATATGATTGTTTACCTCGAAAACCCTAAGGGCTCCTCCAGAAATCTCCTAGAACTGCCAAACGAATTCAGCAAAGTTTCCAGATAGAAGATTAATGTACACAAATCAGTAGTTCTCCTATACCCCAACAGCGACCAAGCAGACAATCAAATCAAGAATTCAACCCCTTTTACAATAGCTGTAAAAAAAGTAAAATACTTAAGAATATACCTAACAAAAGAGTTGAAAGACATCTACAAGAAAAACTACAAAATACTGCTGAAAGAAATCATAGATGACACAAAAAATGGAAACACATCCCATACTTATGGATGGGTAGAATCAATATTGTGAAAATAACCAAACTGCCAAAAGCAATCTACAAAGTCAACACAATCCCCATCAAAATACCACCATCATTTTTCACAGAGTTAGAAAAAACAATTCTAAAATTCATATGGAACCAAAAAGGAGCCCACACAGCCAAGGCAAGACTAAGCAAAAAGAACAAATCTGGAGGCATCACACTACCTGATTTCAAACTATACTATAAGGCCATCATCACCAAAACAGCATGGTACTGGAATAAAAATAGGCACATAGGCCAATGGAACAGAATAGAGAACCCAGAAATAAACCCAAATACTTACAGCCAACTGATCGTTGACAAAGCAAACAAAAACAAAGTGGGAAAGGACACCTATTTCAACAAACAGTGTTGGGATAATTGGCTAGCCACATGTGGGAGAATTAAACTGGATTCTCTTCTCTCACCTTATGCAAAAATCAACTCAAGATGGATTAAGGACTTAAACCTAAGATCTGAAACTATAAAAGTTATAGAAGATAACATTGGAAAAACCCTTCTAGACATTGGCTTAGGCAAAGATTTCATGACCAAAAACTCAAAACCAATCACAATAAAAACAAAGATAAATAGCTGGGACCTAATTAAACTGAAGAGATTTTGCATGGCAGAAAAAACAGCAGAGTAAACAGACAACCCACAGAGTGGGAGAAAAACTTCACAATCTATATATCTGACAACAGACTAATATCCAGAATCTACAATGAACTCAAATAAATCAGTAAGAAAAAAAATAATCAATCCCATCAAAAAGTGGGCTAAGGACATGAATAGACAATTCTCAAAAGAAGATATACAAATGGCCAACAAACATATGAAAAAATGCTCAACATCACTAATGATTAAGGAAATACAAATCAAGACCACAATGCAGTACCACCATACTCCTGTAAGAATGACCATAATCAAAGAATTAAAAAACAGTAGATGTTGGCATGGAATGGCCATAATCAAAGAATTAAAAAACAGTAGATGTTGGCATGGATGCAATCAGGGAACACTTCTACACTGGTAGTGGGAACGTAAACTAGTACAGCTGCTATGGAAATCAGTGTGGAGATTCCTTAAAGAACTAAAAGTAGAACTACCATTTGATCCACTAATCCCACTACTGGGTATCTATCCAGAGGAAAAGAAATCATTATTTGAAAAAGATACTTGCACACACATGTTTATAGCAGCACCATTCACAATAGCAAAATCGTGGAACCAACCCAAATGCCCATCAATCAGCAAGTGGATGAAGAAATGTGAAATACACACACACACACACACACACACACACACACACACACACACGCTGGAATACTACTCAGCCATAAAAAGGAATGAACTAACAGCATTTGCAATGACCCGGATCAGATTAGAGACTATTATTCTAAGTGAAGTAACTCAGGAATGGAAAACCAAACAACGTATGTTCTCACTGATATGTGGGAGCTAAGCTATGAGGACACAAAGGCATAAGAATGATATAGTAGACTTTGGGGATTTGGGGGAAAGAGAGGGAGTGGGGGCAAGGGATAAAAGACAACAAATAGGGTGCAGCATATACTGCTCGGGTGATGGGTACACCAGAATCTCACAAATCTCCACTAAATAACTTAATCATGTAACCAAATACCACCTGTACCCCAATAACTTATGGAAAAATAAAATTAAAAAAATTTTTAATGTTGCTCCTAACAATTTTTATAAGTTTTTTTTATCATAACCCTTTGACTCTCATTAAATTTTTCCAACCCCTGGGCTTTGTTAACTTCCTAGCACTGATATTTTTACATTAGCATATTCTATATATTCTGATACTGCCATAAAATAGCCTCCCAGTAGTTAACCCAGCTGGAAAGACAGAATTGCACAGGCTGTTATTAGAATAGAGCAGAGAATTTGAGGAGCACTGCATTGCCCTCTAAGGGGTGAGAATTCAAGACCAGGGGCTATGGCTTACGGAGACCTTAAAGAAAAACAATAGTCTTGCTTGACTATTCCAGGAATCCAGACACTAGAAACCAATATAAACCAGAGAGAGAAAAAAAAATGTAGGAGGACCTTTCTAAAAGGATACCAAACACACATCAGGGAATTGATCCAAGCCGTTATAAAGAACAAAGTGGAGTTCTCAAAAGTGAGAATAGAAGATTAGAGTTGAACAAGTAAAGTTAATTGGATCAATGGAATATCTGTGGCCTGAAGCCACCTTATTAAATTTAAAGGGGCTTCACCCTAGGGAGCAGTTCTGGGCCTGACAAAATAGTGCTAAGCTTGAGGGTGTTTATACATATCAGTAATTGGTCTGGATTGGCTTTGATTTTCCTGCTTCTCCTTTCGTTTATCTCTGTAGTTGAAATGTCTGCATTCCTTTATTCTCACTTAATTAAGAGGGATTAATTTGGTCATTTTACCAGGCCCAGTTTCATTTTAAACAGGCTTTGATCTAATGGGCTCAGTCTTGGCTTAAAGTTGTTACAGAAGTGGAGTAAGGCACAGCACAGCAGAAATTAGAGACCAAGATGGCAGCCTAACAGAGAAACACAGCCAGGGAAACAGATGAGAAGCAGCCTAGAAAAAGAGATTGAAACAAAGGCCTAAGGAGTCGGAAAAACAATATTCAGTCCTCTTCATCATACTCATCCTAGCATCCAGAGTGGGAAGCCAGGGAGCTAGGTGAAAATGGAAGGTCAGTGGGACCATGGTAGAGAAAACAGATTCAAGCAACAGACGCCAAAGAGCTCTCCAATAACCCAAGCATTGGAATCACTGAAAAATGTCTCAAACAGTGTTATCTGCCATCTGCCCAGAATGTTTTTACCCCCACAAATCCATAGGACTTACCCTCCCACTTCCTTCAGACCTTGACTAAATATGTCCTTCACAGCAAAGACTTCCCTGGTCATCCTATCTAAAATGTAAACACTTTCACACAAACACAAAAACACTCCCTATTCTCTTTCCCAACTTTCTTTTCTTCTTAGTTCTCATCAGTATCTAACATACCTTATATTTCCCTTTATCCTTTGTTCTTGCCCATTAAAATGTAAATTCTATGACAGAGATTTTTGTCTGTTCATTGCTGTGTTTCCAACACCTAGAACAGTGTTAGACATATATTGTTAGTTGATATTTAATAAATATTTGTTAAATAAATGTTGAAGACTTTGTAAGCTAATCATGGCAATAACATCTTAAAAATTATTAGAATTACCAGAACACAATTTATGCATTTTGACAAAAACTCTCCCTTTTGACCAAAACTTTAGTCAGTCTCTTTTGTGTCCTCTGACCATGCCTGATCTTGGGCTACCCTCTCTGTCCTTGTTGAATTCAGTTTGAGCAGGAATACTACTAAGTCAGTTTTTGTATCTGACCACCCTCTATATCTTGTAATACAGGCCTGCCTCCAGCCATAATCCCTATCAAGTCAGTTTAGCCAAAAACCTCTTATCCTTGATGTTTCCTCTGAGTAATTTTCCAATCCCTGACCCCCCAACTCTGCTTCTTAGTTATGAAACTCCACCTGTTCTTGTTGAAGTCAGAGTTGAGTCAAATCTCTTCCCCTCACTGCAAGACCCCATTGGCATGTTCCCTACACCTATCTCCATGGCCCCCTTGAATAAAGTCCTCCTTGCCATCTCTGTTTTTTTTTTTTTCTTTAACAGAGTCTCACTCTGTCACCCAGGCTGGAGTACAGCGGCATGATCTCAGCTCATTGCAACCTCCACCTCTCAGGTTCAAGCGATTCTCATGCCTCAGCCTCCCAAGTATCTGGGACTGCAGGTGTGTGCCACCATCCTGGCTAATTTTTGTATTTTTTAGTAGAGACGGGGTTTCACCATGCTGGTCAGGCCAGTCGTGAACTCCTAACCTCAAGTGATCCACCCGCCTCAGCTTCCCAAAGTGCTGAGATTATAGGTGTGAGCCGCTGCACCCAGCCCACCTTAACAATCTTTAACAAGTATCATAAATAATTTTTAGCACTCCTTTTTGGGGGAAGAAAAGGAAGGGATAGTTCTGAAAATACTCATTTGATAGAGGGTATTATGAATCTTCGAATTTGAAAGAGACTTTGGAAATCAACCAGTTGGAAATTATGCCAACTATCCTAATTATATCAATAGGAAACTGGTTAAATAAATTACAGTATATCCTTATAACCAAATACTGTGTAGCTATTGAATTTAAAAATGAGGAAGCTATACACTGTTACAAAAAAAAACTTGAGGTATGCTATTAAGAGAAAACAGCAAAGTGCAGAAAAATATGTATTATCTTAGTCAATTTGGGCTGCTATAACAGAATACCACAGATTGGGTGACTTCAATAATAAACACTTACTTCTCACAGCTCTGCAGGTGGAGAAGTACAAGAGGAAGGCTCCAGCAGATGCAGTGTCTAGTGAGAGCACTCGTCCTGTTTGCAGATGGCTCTTTCTCTCTCTCTCTCTCTCTCTCTCCCCCTCTCTCCCTCCCTCCCTCTCTCTCTCTCATCTTTCCACCAACCATGTGAAGATACAATGAGAAGATACCAAGGATAAGGGATTTTCCCTAAACTGACTGTCCAAACTGGATTCCACAAGGACCAAGAGGGAAGATCAAGGCTGGACCTAATCAAGCAGAGGACCTGTAAGAAATAAATGTTTGTTGTTTAAAACACCCAGTCTATGGTATTCTGTTATAGCAACCCAAACTGACATAGATACCTCCCAATGGCCTCACCTACTAATACTATTATATAAGGGGTTAGGATTTCAACAAATGGATTTGGGGGAAGTCAAACATTTAGCTTATAATATACATATAAATATTACTTTTGTGTAAAATGGAGTGAAAACAAGCATGTGTATTTGTATATGCTTGTACAGGCATAAACAAACTTAAAAATATTTTCACACGTGGTAAAATATAGATCTAAATAAAGAAACTTTATTAAATATAGATCTAAATAAAGAAACTTTTGAGGATACATAAGAAACTAAGAAGGAAGGGAGTAAAGTAGGAACTAGAGAAATGAGAGACAAACATAGAAAAAGACTTTGAATTTTATGATATTTTACTTTTTGATGTTTGAAACATGTGAACAAATTACCTTTTTCTAAAACATGTAAAGCCCTAACTTCTCTGTGGCATTCAAGACTACTTGCCCAACATCTCCATTGAGATTTCTAATAGGCTTCCCAAAGATGACATGTTCAAAACAGAATATTTGAGATCTCCCCTCAAAGCTGCTTCTCTCCTGGTCTTCTATAACACAGTAAACACCACTACCAACTACTTTGTTGCTCAAGTTCAAACTCTGAGAATTATCCTTAATCCCTCTTTCTCCTACCTCCATGAATTTTTAAGCAAATCCTTCTGTTTCTACCATCACGATAGAGCCCTAATATATCCACTTCTTACCATCTCTACTATTATTGCTTCAGTCCCAGTCACTGTCATCTCTAACTATTGCAATAATCTAAGAAGTGTTACTCAAAGTGAGACCCACAGACAAGAACTGTTTGTTTCTAGTCCATGACAACATAAGAAACTTGAAAATCAACTACTTTGCTAAGCGCAATGTTTAGGTCAGCTGAAATTTATTTTCCTTTTCTTTTTCTTTTCTTTTCCCTTTTTTTCTTTTCTTTTTGAGACAGATTCTCACTCTGTAGCCCAGGCTGGAGTGCAGTGGCATGATCTTGGCTCACTACAGCCTCTGCCTCCCGGGTTCTGGCAATTCTCCTGCCTCAGCCTCCCGGGTAGATTACATGCATGCACCACTACGCGGGGCTAATTTTTGTATTTTTAGTAGAGACATGGTTTCACCATGTTGGCCATGCTGGTCTTGAGCTCCGGACCTCAGGTGATCCTCCCGCATTGGCCTCCCAAAGTGCTAGGATTACAGGGGTGAGCCACCATGCCCAGCCTTTTCTTTTTTTTTTCTTTTTTTTTCTTTTAAACAGGATCTTGTTCTGTCACCCAGGCTGGAGTACAGTGGCATGATCATAGCTCACTGCAACCTTGAACTCCTGGACTCAAGCAATCATCCTCCCTCAGCCTCCCAAGTAACTAGAACTATAGGCAAGTGCCATGACACCTGGCTATTTTTCTAATTTTTTGTAGAGATGGGAACTTGCTATGTTGCCCAGGTTAGTCTTGAACTCCTGGCCTAAAGCAATCTTCCCATTTTGGTCTCCAAAGGTGCTTGGATTACAAGCATGAGCCACTGCACCCAGCCCAGCTAACATACTTTTTTCATAGCAAGCTTTCTTGATGAAACAAGGAATAAATCCTTTTGTATTCTGAGAAAGCTCTTTATCTCTTTGCAGACCAGCACTTTAAGTAGCACCATTACCGGTCTCACTGTTTCCATTCTCACTGATTTATACATATAACCATTCTTTATATGATAGTCAAAAAATATGTTTAAAATTAGTCACATCATGGCTGGTCATAAACTATGTTAACAGTTTTAGAATAGTAACAACACCAATATTTTCTCACAATTTGGATCATTTTACCTCTTTCATTATAAGTCATGGAGTGCAAAGCTTTTTAACAATGGGAGTTTTAATGACTCAGGAAGGAAAACTCATAGGAAAACTCTATCTGTCCATATTTACCATTGGATTTACATCCTCTTAAATATCAGTTTTGGATGGTTTGTGTGCGGCCAGGCACAGGAGGCTCTGCCGTTGGGAGCAATGAGACCTTCCAGCTCCCTGGGGCTGACCTTCCCGCCGCCTCTCATGTACTTGTCTGGTGGGGGTTTGTGTTGATCAGAAGTGAATTCATAGTTGGTCTACCATGAATTGGAAGGTTCTCGAACACGTGCACCTGCTGCTGTATATCTTGGCAGCAAAAACATTAATTCTCTGCCTGGCATTTGCTGGAGTGAAAATATACCAAAGAAAAAGGTTGGAAGCAAAACAGCAAAAACTGGAGGCTGAAAGGAAGAAGCAATCAGAGAAAAAAGATAACTGAATATTCTGCAATGTAAATGTCAGCTTGAGTGGACTCCGGCTGAGAAGAAAGAGAAGAAATACTTAATTATTGAATAATGTGTCAGAGGATAAAGTCCCAACCTAGACATTTCACTTAAAATACTGTGAATTTATATGTGCTTTTAAAAGAACCAGTATTGGCTAGGCATGGTGGCTCACGCCTGTAATCCCAGCACTTTGGGAGGCTGAGGAGGGCAGAACGCTTGAGGTCGGGAGCTCGAGACCAGCTTGGCCAACATGGTGAAACCCCGTATCTACTAAAAATACAAAAATTAGCCAGTGTAGTGGTGCACGTCTGTAATCCCAGCTACTCAGGAGGCTGAGGCAGGAGAATTGCTTGAACCCAGGAGGTGGAGGTTGCAGTGAGCCTAGATCATGCCACTGGCCTGTTACTCCAGCCTGGGCAGCAGAGCAAGACTCTGTCTCAAAAAACATTTTTTTAATTTAAATTTTAAAAAATAATAATAAAAGAATCAGTATTTTGTTTACTAAAATAAAATACCTTTGTAAAAAAAAATATCAATTTTGTTTCTCTAATTAAGGTGCATGGTACTATGCTTCAGTGATTTGATTTGGGTCATGGACTTCATTCAAATTGTGTATCTTAATAATAATTTCAGTACTGACTCATTTAGAATGAAAATCTGCCACTACCAAATATTTCCTTGGTATATAATCCTTGTTCTGCTTGATGTTGAGTTAGCAGTTTTATAAAACAGTCAGTTTTTTAGAGTTCTTAGAAATCTTACCCAGTTCAATGGCATAACATTAAGGTTATTCAAAAACTGTATTTATCAGAATTCTTTCCATCCTTACTTGTCATGAGTTTCCTTGAAGAAGAAGCAACTTTGGACTATAGTTGATTGCAAATGCTTTTAGAGAAGAATCAAAACCACTCTCTATGGATGACAAAGACTTAGGATGACCATGGTTAAAATATGATGAGTTCATTATAATCAGCAATTGGTCAGAAAATTTAGTTATTTCTGTGTCATACAACATTTCAACATAATAACCAATATTGTGATTGACAACATATCAGATTTCTAGGAATCCCATACGATTTTTAGAACATTCATATAAATAATACACCCATAGATATAACTCAAAAAGTCCAGTATCACTTATTATTTGACAATGCTTCCCCTATAACACAACACTTAATATAAGCCTAATTAATATCTTTACAAGATGAGAGACACTTCCTTTGTAGCTTTTCATGGGCCCAACTGAAAAATCCCAAAGTTAATTTCAGGTAATTTTTTTTTTTTTTTTTTTTTTTTTTTTGAGACAGAGCCTTGCTTAGCCACCCAGGCTGGAGTTCAGTGACGCAATCTTGGCTCACTGCAACCACCATCTCCCAGGTTCAAGTGATTCTTCTGTCTCAGCCTCCTGAGTAGCTGGCATTACAGGCACCCGCCATCATGCTTGGCTAATTTTTGTATTTTAGTACAGATGGGGTACAGGTAAATGTTTAAAAAGACTTAAGAGTTTGCTCTTAAAAAGCTTGTCAAAATATCAAAGTTTAAGACACCTGATAAAAATAGAATTACAGGTTGGTCAAGCACAGTGGCTCACGCCTATAACCCCAGCACTTTGGGAGGCCGAGGTGGGTGGATCATCTGAGGTCAGGAGTTCGAGACCAGCCTGGCCAACATGGTGAAACCCCATCTCTACTAAAAATACAAAAAAATTAGCCAGGCATGGTGGTGGGCGTCTGTAATCCCAGCTACTTGGGAGGCTGAGGCAGGAGAATCGCTTGAACCCGGGAGGCAGAGGTTGCAGTGAGCCAAGATCACACTATTATACTCCAGCCTGGGCGACAAGAGCAAAACTCCATCTCAAAAAAAAAAAAAATAGAATTACAGGTCACTGTGAAATAATAGTTACTCATTTAACCAGAGTGATAATGAAAAGACTTTAAAAGGCAAACACTCTGTAATCCCAGTGCCTTGGTGGGCTGAGGTGGGAGAATCCCTTGAGGCCAGGAGTTCAAGACCAGCCTAAGCAATATGGCAACATGCTGTCTCTAAAAAAAAAAAAGAAAAGAAAAAAAAAAAAGAAAAATTAGCCATGCACAGTGGCATATCCCTGTAGTCCTAAATACTTGGGAGGCAGGAGAATTGCTTGTGCCTAGGAGTTCAAGGCTGCACTTAACTATGATCACACCACTGTGCTCTAGCCTGGGCAACAGAGAAAGACCCTATCACTAAAAACAAACAAAAAAACAAACCAGGGCAACATGGCAAAACCTCATCTCTACAAAAAAATTAAAAATTATCCAGGCATGGTGGCACACACCTGTAGTCTTAGCTAGATGGGAGGTTAAGGTGAAAAGATCACCTGAGCCCAGGAGGTTGAGGCTGCTAGTGAGCCATGATCATGCCACTGCAATCCAGCCTAGGTGACAGAGCAAGACTCTGTCTCAAAAAGAAAAGAAAAAGGCAAACACAGGGTTATATATTTCTTTTAAAAAATGCCTACTTGTAGAAAAACGTGAGCTCTTTAATAGAGAGGACTCAATTTTCTTAAGTAATCAAAGGCTTAATAAAGGCAACATAAAACACAGGAACTATTATGATAAAACACATACTTTTTTCCTAGACCAATTACCTGAAAGGTAAAGAAAAACCTTTCATTATTTGCCATTAAGAGCAGCTCAATACTCCAAGAAAAATCTTGTTTTAATAGAGAGAACCAAATTCTAGTTTTGTATCAATGTATACCTTTGAAATTAATGTTCAATTTAAGGAAAACTTAGAAAACTTCTCTTCTAACTTTAGCCAATGTGATCACACTTAAAATTTATTTTATAAGATTAACCTTCCACAAGCCTTCTACAGTCTTTTTTCTTTCTAGTTTTGGAACAGCCAGTCATTCTACTTTGGTACAAAAATTACCTTTTTTTCCCTTAACCAAAAACACATCTTACTTTCATCACCTAAGGAGTTATTTTATTTTATTTTATTTTATTTTCTAATTCTTTTTCTTTTTTTTTTATTATACTTTAAGTTTTAGGGTACATGTGCACATTGTGCAGGTTAGTTACATACGTATACATGTGCCATGCTGGTGCGCTGCACCCACTAACTCGTCATCTAGCATTAGGTATATCTCCCAATGCTATCCCTCCCCCCTCCCCCCACCCCACCACAGTCCCCAGCGTGTGATATTCCCCTTCCTGTGTCCATGTGATCTCATTGTTCAATTCCCACCTATGAGTGAGAATATGCGGTGTTTGGTTTTTTGTTCTTGCGATAGTTTACTGAGAATGATGATTTCCAATTTCATCCATGTCCACCAGCTAACATCATAATGACAGGATCAAATTCACACATAACAATAGGAGTTATTTTAATTGCCATATGTTAATTAGAAATTTTTCAATTTTGCTAACCTTTTGCAGCATTTTTTTTGGAGTCTCACTCTGTTGCCCAGGCTAGAGTACAGCGGCATGATCTCGGCTCACTACAACCTCCACCTCCCAGGTTCAAGTGATTCTCCTGCATCAGCTACCCGAGTAGCTGGGACTACAGGTGTTGGCCACCATGTCCAGCTAATTTTCATATTTTTAGTAGAGATGGGGTTTCACCATGTTGGCCAGGCTGGTCTTGAACTCCTGACCTCAAGGGATCCACCTACCTCGACCTCCCAAAGTGCTGGGGTTACAGACATGAGCCACTGCAACCAGCCTTGATTTTCTTTTTCTTATCCATACCACTGTCATCCTCTTCATCTGAAGCCATATCTTCAATCTTGGGCTTTTCTTCATCATCTTTTTCTTTTTCTTTCTCACCTTTCTCTTCCTCAACCTCATCATTAGTGATTTATTTCTCTTATTCCTTTTCCAAATAAAAGGTAATAGAATAGCCTATGAACTTCAAGTCCTTCTTTACTATTTCTTTGACGCAACTCTCTTATAAGTACTCTGTCTGGTCTTCTTTAAGGCAGAGGATCACTTTGGTACCACTACCAATGAGCTCAACATGGTCAGCATATACAGTAAAGGAATACCTGGCAGAAGATTCCCAGGCTTACTGTTCATCATCATTGTGCTTTATGATCACAACCACTCTATCAGTCACCAGATAGGCAGAATAAAAGTAAACACCAAACTATTTGCCTAATCATGAAGATGTCTGCACCAGCCTGAAGAGCCTCCATAAATGCTTTATGACAGAACTTGTTAATAGTTCCCAAATTATTTGTGAGATCAGCCTTGGTCATGCCAATGCCTCATCATTGGTGATTTCCTTCTCTTGTTCAAAGTCAGGCTGTTTTCATGAGGGTTGGGGGGATGTCCATGTTCAGCTGTTTACCACTGTCTAACTTGAAGAATTCTGTCATACTCTCAGAAAATCTTGTCTAAGGTATCAGAAGCATTAGGATCAACTTTCAAAGGAAAATCTTCTTACAGGTATAGAAGGTATTCTGCTCTGGGGAGTTTTCTGTTTTTTGCATAGGAATACCATAGCTTTACCAATGTACAGCTATTAAGGCCACAGTTCTAAATAAATAAATGAAACACATGATAAATTTCACAAAACTACAGTGAGGTCTTGTCAAGATAGCAGAGTCCAGTAGGTTCTTTGAGAAACAATTCTGTAGGTGTGGGAAGACTCACCTCCACCACAGATTTCTTAGATAAACTTAAATAAGCTATTTGCCTTTTCCATGCCTATCTTCCCATTTTTAATGGAAAAAAAAAACTATGCATTTTTCACTGTACAATATTAATCATCCCCATCAGCCTGCTTTTCCCCTTTAAATGTTGAAGGCTTCACAATCATCTTTGGAGAAAGGCACGGAACACAGACTATTCCTGTCATTCCATGTTCTTTTTCCTGAACGTTGTTCTTAATTAATCTTGGCAAAATAAACTTCTAAATTGACTGAGACTTGGCTTAGATACTTCTTGGTTTACAAACTCGTGACCACAAAGGGACTATGAGTAGAGGTGACCCTGACTTTTGACAAATCTCATATCAGTACTTGGTACCAGATTGAGCTATCTTTATTGTTCAAATCAATAGGACAATTTGCTGAAGTCCAGGAGCACTCCCTCCAGAGAATCCCTGATCTCCCAAAATTTTGAGTCTAAAGTTCATTTTGCCATACAATTCCTTTTCTGGAGTTTTACTCACTTCCAACAAGGCAGGTGAGTTTTCTTGCTTCCATGAAGAGGGAAAGCAGGCAACTCTTATTTGGAGTTTCAGCTCACTTCTAACAGGGAAGACAAGTTTTAGTTTTTTCTTGCTTCTAGGATGGTAGAGAGTAGTCTTCAGCTTGAGCTCCATTCCTAGGTAAGTAGCTGAATTGGAGTTTTGTCTTGGGAATTCTCCTTAATGACTAAAATTTACGATTAACAAACAGCTGGTCTTAATTTCTTCTTACCATTAGAAAGCCCAGTAATTTTATAAATTGTGCAATTGTTTGTTTTGCTTAACTTTTTTGGTTTTTTTTTTGTTCCTGTTTTTGTTGTTTTTGTTGTTTTGATCTTTTTCCCCTTAGGTTTGATTAACTATACCTGACTTGGTCAAATCTGAAGGAAAGTTCCAAATTATGGGGAACAAGGCCTCAATTGTAGAGACATGGTTTCAGTATGCTGCCCAGGCTGACTCAAACTCCTGGGCTCAAGCAATCCACCCACTTCAGCCTCTCAAAGTGCCGGGATTCTAGACAATTCCCAAAGAAGATATACAAATGGCCAACAAGCATATGGAGAAATGCTCAACATCACTAATTACCAGGGAAATGCAGATCAAAACCACAATGCGATACCATGTTATACCTGCAAGAATGACCATAATCAAAAAATTAATAGACATTGTCATGGATGTGGTGAAAAGGGAACATTTTCACACTGCTGGTCAGAATGGAAACTGCTACAACCACTGTGGAAAACAGCATGGAGATTCCTTAAAGAACTAAAAGTAGATCTATTATTTGTTCCAGCAATTCCACTATTGGGTATCTACCCAGAGGAAAAGAAGTCACTATATAAAAAGGACACTTGCACACGCATGTTTATAGCAGCACAATTCACAACTGCAAAAATATGAAACCAATTCAAATGTCCGTCAAGCAACGAGTCTGTAAAGAAAATGTGGTTATATATATATATATATACACACACACACACACACACACACACACACACACACCATGGAATACTACTCAGCCATAAAAAAGAATGAAATAATGGCATTCACAGCAACCTGGATGGAATTGGAGGCCATTATTCTAAATTAAGTCATTCAGGAAAGGAAAATCAAGCATCATATGTTCTCACTTATAAGTGGAAGCTAAGCTATGAGGATATAAAGGCATAAGAATGACACAACGGACTTTGGAGACTCAGGTGAAAGGGTGGGAGGGGGGTGAGAAATAAAAGACTATACATTAAGTACAGTGTACACTGCTCAGGTGATGCGTGCACCAAAATCTCAGAAATCACCACTAAAGAACTTATCCATGTAACAAAAAACCACCTGTATCCCCAAAACTATTGAAATTTTAAAAAAAGAAAAAGAAAAAAAGCTTAATGGTTAAAAGCTTACGAGTTAATGGGTGCAGCACACCAACATGGCACATGTATGCATATGTAACAAACCTGCACGTTGTGCACATGTACCCTAGAACTTAAAGTATAATAAAAATATATATAAAATAAAAATAAAAAAATTTAAAAAGCTAATATCCAAGATGTATACACATATATGTATACATGTCATACATATATACATGTATATAAAAATATATATATTTATAAATATATGTATACATATATAGACATATATGCATATATAAATATATATATAAGAGCCCTCTATGCTTTCCTTCACTCCTAGAATCTTTTTTTTCTGAGAAAGTTTTTTTTTCTTCTCCAGTCAATTGAATTCTGTTTTCTCCATTTACTTATGCCTGTCTCTCTTTTCTTTTGCCATTCTCTGCTGCATGAGGGACCTAAAGTTTCTAACAGCCTAGGATTCCTTAAAGAAAACAGAGATGGTAACAGATTCCTTTTTGAAAAGAAACCTCCGTTTTTCCTTATAGAACCCCAAGAGTATAAACAGACAAGTTGCTCTTAGATCTTAAACTTCTTGCTTTTGTACTCTGTTACCTGATTTCTTTTTTTCTTTTTTTTTTTTTTTTTTTTTTTGCAATGGAGTTTCACTTTATCGCCCAGGCTGGAGTACAATGGAGTGATCTCAGCTCACTGCAACTTCCGCCTCCCAGGTTCAAGCGATTATCCTACTTCAGACTCCCGAGTAGCTGGGATTACAGGCATGTACCACCACACCTGGCTAATTTTTGTATTTTTAGTAGAGATGTGGTTTCACCATGTTAGCCAGGTTGGTCTCAAACTCCTGACCTCAGGTGATCCACCTACCTTGGCCTCCCAAAGTACCGGGATTACAGGTGTGAGCCACCACACCAGGCCCTGATTTCTTTTTTGAATGAAATAATTATTACAACAGGAGCTACTCTTAAGTGTTTAAGATAAGGGTGGGGTTTAGACAGATAAAAAAGTCTTTGTAACAAAGTTCACTATAAAATCATTACATGACCTAATTCCATGTTATCGCTATCATTTTGGATAATCAGGATTCAGTGTTAGCTCTGCCGAGAGCTCAAAGATGCATCTAAAAGATAGAGGCTAAAGGCTAAATTTAAAACTACCCATGTAAATACAGTTGGTCTCCTTATGCAATCCTATGGTAGATTTCTATAATTTTATGATTGACTTGGCATCCATTTTTAATCTCCACTGGCATACCAGACTCTCTCTCTCTATCTCTTTCTCTCTGTCTCTGTATCTTGAGAAGTAAATTTTGCCGTGATCTTCACCAAGGACTTATTCATTTAGTATACAAACTTAGGGATATCTAGATGACAATTGCCTAGGGTAATGAAAGAGGTTATCAAGAAATTGGAAATCTAAAATAGGAAAAAAAAAGGAAGTCTTATAAGTCTATAAGATTGGCTTCTATCTGCATGTCTAATGTGTATATGAATTTATGTGTCATGTATATAATGTTTCACTACCAAAAATATATAAAAGAGTTCTGATTAATTGGCATTAAAAAACTTAAATAAACTCTGTATCAGAAAAATAGAAATTTTGAGCCCAAACGCTTTTTCAAGTTCATGTGACTTAAGTAAATTCTTAATAAATAAGCTGGTTTGGGCCAGCAGCAGTGGCTAATGACTGCAATCCCAGCACTTTGGGAGGCTGAAGTGGGCAGGTCACCTCAGGTCAGGAGTTTGAGACCAGCCTGGCCAACATGGTGAAAGCTTGTCTCTACTAAAAAATACAAAAACTAGCCAGGCGTGGTGGCATGTGCCTGTAGTCCCAGCTACTCAGGAGGCTGAGGCAGGAGAATCACTTGAACCTGGGAGGCAGAAGTTGCAGTGAGCCAAGATCGTGCCACTGCACCCCAGACTGGGTGGCAGAGGGAGACTCTGTCTCAATAAATAAATAAATAAACAAATAAATAAGCTGGTTTGAAATTATTGGTAAAATAAAATTAGAAATGGCTTCAGAATAGTCAACATATGTTATTGTTTAGATTTACTGGTCAAGCAGTCTAATATTTATCTCTGCTAGACATTATAAGTGTCAGAATTTAGCATGAGGGTTATAAAGCTTGCAGCCCAAGAGAAAATTATCTTTGTGTATTTTTAATAAATAAGAAATTTAATATTGTTGATTTACTAGAAACAACTAAATCCTGAGTTACTGACAAAAAAAAAAATTCACTTAATCTTAAAGTTCTTATTTAAGAAAAAGCCTGATATTCACCAGCTATTAAAATGGTTAACAGGGAAATAACTTCAAATGATGACTATCACAATTTTCATAAGTAATCTAGTTAAACTATTTTTAATTAATTAGATAAATGTAATGGAATAAATTCTTGTAAATAAACTTGCCATATAAGTTAGAATCTAGTTATATTGAATTAAACAACTGACATTCATTAAATATCTGCATTATTTTAAATTTTTAAAATGACTTTATAGGAAAACATTTTCTTTAAAAAAAGTGTTCTTATTTAAAGAAAAATTATTTTTGTCTAATTCAAAGGTTATTTAAAGCTTATTTATGAAAATGTGCAAAAGAAACTAGTAAATAAGAGTGATGTAAAGGAAGTTATAAATATAAAGAGATTTTTTTGGTAAGAAAAGTTAAAAGGAAAATAATTTTATACAAAAAAGAATCTTGCAAATTTTTGCCCTAAAATAAAATGACTGGTTATTTAGAAAAGAGGGATGTTTAGAATAAAACAGGCAAGTCCAAGCACATTGTAAATGGTTTGTGTAAGTTGTAATAAAGTTTGTAAAAAGAGAACTTGTGATTTAAAAAACTTGATCAAGTTGCTTATAATTAAAAGGAAATTATTTATAATATTTATATAAATTTATGCAAATAAATTTGTATGAATTATTTGTAATAGTCCTTCTAGAGATTGGACTTAGATATTAAAAATACACTAATACACTAAGAATTGGTTAGAACAACAAAATTTTCTTAAGGTATTAATTTACTCTTAATAAAATTAGAAGAGATTTTAATTTTGTACTTGTTTTTCTTTTTTGAGGCAGGGTTTCACTCAGTCACCCAGGCTGGAGTTCAGTGGCACAATCTCAGCTCACAACAGCCTTGACCTCCGGGCTTATGTGATTCTCTCACCTCAGCCACCTGAGTCGCTGGGACTACAGGCATGTGCCACCACACTCAGCTAATTTTTTGTATTTTTAGTAGAGAGGGCATTTGCCATGTTGCCCAGGATGGTCTTGAACTCCTGGACTCAAGTGATCCACCCAACTTAGCCTCCGAAAGTGCTGGGATTACAGGCGTGAGCAACTGTGCCTGGCCTTAATTTTGTTTTTAACCCAAAAGTTCAACTTTTATTGTGCCTCACTGTTTTCAGCTTTATGTCCCCTTTGAGAAGGCCTGAAGTAATACCTCTTTCTTCAACTTCTTCATCAGCTGTTGTAACTTTTTTCCTCAGGTTCCAACTGCTGTTGTTGCCTGATGCTAAAAATGTTTTACATTAAAAGTCTAAAGAAAATGTTTTCTTCCAATATAAAATTCTGTGCTTTGGCTTTCAACTTTTCTATAAAACTGAAAAATTTCACTTATGACCCAGAGTACATTCTTCCTATGTCTAACTAATTCAAGTACTATTTTCATTAGTTTTGACTTCCAAGTTATCTAAATGGACTCCTCATAGGGAAAACCAATCATATTTCAGAAGGACTTTTTTGCCTTTTGGTAACTGACCTAACAAACGGATTTTATGTTTTATCAAAATAATTCCTGTGTAATTGTGATTGTTTTGGTTTGTTTACGAAAATTGAAATTAAAATTTTTTAAAGTAAGATTATTACATATATGTAACTTTTAAAGTCCTTGTGGTGATAAGTTACAGGGCTTTGACTCTTGGATCTAAAAACAGTACCAAGTTCTGCTGAATCTTAAACATTGACAGTAGTTAAAGCCTCATCTTCTGACCCAGGAGAAGTTGACAGTCAGAATAAACTGTGTACATGAGACACAGGGCCAGAAATTAAAACTATTCAGCCCCTCTAGGCCAGGGACTATCAGGGAAGAGGTGAACACAGGAGATTGTAAGGGCCAATTTTGAGAGATAAATTAGTTCAGAGTCTATCTATAAATTAAGTATTAATATCAAAGGCACACTGATGCAAGACTAGTATCTGAGCTCCTGTGTGAGCTTAAAAAGGGTTTCTTGGAATATTAACACATTTTTTAATTATAAAAGTTTATAAAAAGGTTTATGGCTGGGCACAGTGGCTCACATCTGTAATCCCAGCACTTTGGGAAGGCAACAAAGGTGGGAGGATCACTTGAGCCCACGAGTTCAAGACCAGCCTGGGCAACATGACAAAACCCCATCTCTACAAAACAAAAAACAAAAAACAAAAAAATTTATCTAGGTGTGGTGGCACATGCCTGTAGTCCCAGCTACCCAGGAGGCTGAGGCAGGGGTATCACTTTAGCCTGGGAGGATGAGGCTGCAGTGAGCCATGATCATGCCACTGCACTCCAATCTGGGCAATAGAGACTCTATCTCAAAATAAAATTTAAAAAAAATTAAAAATTAAAAAAGTAAAGGTTTATTAAAATTAAATCCTGGGGCTGGGTGCAGTGGCTCATGCCTGTAATCCCAGCACTTTGAGAGGCCGAGGCGGGTGGATTACCTGAGGTCAGGAGTTCGAGACCAGCCTGGCCAACGTGGTGAAACCCCATCTACTAAAAATACAAAAATTAGCCAGGTGTGGTGGCGGGCGTCTGTAATCCCAGCTACTCAGAAGGCTGAGGCAGGAGAATCGCTTGAACCCGGGAGGCAGAGGTTGCAGTGAGCCAAGATTATGCCATTGCACTCCAGCCTAGGGGACAAGAGGGAGACTTCATCTCAAAAAAAAAAATTAAATCCTATGATCAAGATGCTCACAATTTTATAGATTTGTTTATCAGATTTGAGAGGCAGATTTAATTGGCCTCATGCTGTCTTAATCAGGCTTATGATTTGGGAAATTAAGTCTCCTCTCTGAAGAATAAAAGTTTTTGCCTTTGTTAAATCTTTGAGTTTTCATTTTGGCTAACTAAATGATAACTTGAAATATCATTATAGTGATGTGGATTCTATTTTGTAATATCAAGTGTTTTAAACCTTTGACATTTAACAAACTTTCCAAAATCAAATTCAAAATAAGTTTGTTTTACCTGATTAACCCTTTTAGATATTAGATCCTCCAATGTCCAAAAGAGACATATTTGGCTGTTTGATATATTAAAATCATGTAAGAAGCATTGCCAAATGTAAAATGACATTTAGCTTTCTCTGAGTTATATTCATTTAAAAATTTTATTAGTATGTTACAAAATTATATAAAATTTGTATAATTCTGATATGTCTCAGTATATATTATCAGTAATAATTATAATTGGTATGTTAAATTGTTGTGTGCCACAGAGATGACCAGATTTCCTTGTCAATTGTGTCTTTAACTGTGGCTGTCCAAAAACTTTTGTCATTCACAGACAATTGTCTTGTTTCAATCCTTTTCAAAAAGCAGTTTATAATCAGCCATGGGACTCCAATGGGTACTCTTAAATGCAGATCTCTGGTACTTTGAAAATTGTGCCATTAAAATAGAAAAGGACAAAACAAAAACAATTTCCAGGACTCTCATAGAAAGCTAATATATTCATAAAAACTGCTGGCCCAATATTGGGGAAAACAAAAATAGCATGGACTAAACTAACAAAAGACCAAGAGAGTATTTTTATAATTTTTTTCTTAAAATGCTGCTGATCCTTTCTTTTCTGTTTTCTAAAGTCAAGAAAACTTTTTACTTTTGAGACATTTATAGCTTTTAGCAATTGGGTAAAGTAATACTCTTGTGAGAAGAATCTGGATCATATTTCTTTCTCTCTACCTGATTTCTTTAGAATTTGGAAGCCATTTGTGATTATCCTTAACTTATGGCATTATAGTTATTTGCATACGTGCAATAAGAATCTGTTTTGTTTTGTTTTGTTTTGTTTTGTTTTTTTGTAACAGGACACAATTGGAGGCTATTTTACCAAGGCTTTCACTGCAATGGCATGTTTTCAAATATAAACAGACTGCTTTAAGGAATCAAAATTGATTTATAGAGCCAATGAAACACCCCTGGGAAAACTGGCCTCATACTTTGTCTACACAGTCCCTATATAGGGTTCCTAGCCTGTAGCAAGTAAAGAATGTCACTTTCTGACAGGCCCAAGCACCCCAAGTTATCTTGGGACCTTGAGAGAAGAATTTACCCAACTCATACAGGTATTTTCAGGCACAAATAAATCTGTGGCTTGGCTCAAAGCTTTAAAAAATCTAATTTGAGATTTCTGTAAAGTTCCATCAAAGCCAATTTAAAAAGAGCCTATGTGACAAATAATTGTTCTTGCTACACCTTATGCAAATAATCAGGCCAAGTATAATAAGACTAAAACTTATACTGCAACAAATTGGTTCTACTGTAATTTTGTCTTAAAATAGGGATGGAGAGAGAAAAATCATGATTCAAACTATAGTATGACTTATTAGATTCTAGCCTTGAGTAAATTTTTTTATTTTTATTATTATTTAGAATTGAGACCAAATTCTAAAGTTTTTCCTGGCTCTGAGACTCCAAAATAATGGGGTTTTTTTCTTTTTTCTTTTCCCTTTTTTTCCTATTTTTTTTCCTCATCTCAAATTACTAAAAATTAAGCTATGCTTTCCTTAAAGCCTTGTAAACTGAAGCTGGACAATTTAAACTTCAGAAGAAAATAACAGCAACCTATTTTTACACATAAACCATTTTTATGCCTGCCTATTGATGTATGAGCTTCCGAGTAATATGACCTATATCACTTTTCCAGGATTGTTCTTCCTTTTTTTGTTTGTTTACAGTTGTCTTTCTCTCTTCCTGTCCCTATTTTTTTCTTCATAAGACATGAGGCTTCATAACCTGCTAAAAATGAGCTTTCCTAACAGTGTGGGACCTATTTGTCTGGGAATAAACTGTCCTAGCCACAAGAGATCAGACAAAACCCAAGACCAGAAACTCATTTTCTTCTAAAATACTGCCTCTGAAAGATTTCTAAAAAGAAGAGGAGGAAGAAATATAAAAGAAAAATAAAAACTTGGGATTCCAATTTTCTATGCCAAAAGGAAAAAAATGATCTGAAAGCTGACTCATGCCAGAAGCTGCCTTTCCTTTTGTTCTTAAGCAGATATCTACAGATAAAAGGTTTTAAAATTTTTCCACAGGTAGCTATTCTATGTTCACTTTATCTTAGGTAAAGTGCCTGGGCATGAGATGAAAACTTGACTATTCCCCTACCTAATCCTTTTCTCTTGCAACAGGTGGATTCAGTAATGTGATCATACCTTCCATTTTTACCCACCAACCTGTTTTACCCCTTTAAATACGAAAGCCCTCAAAATCATCTTTGGAGAAAGGCACAGGCCACAGACTGTTTCTCTCATTTCATGTTTTCTCCCAGTCATTGTCCTTATCCTTGGCGAAATAAATGTCTAAATTGATTGAGACCTGTCTCAGATACTTTTTGGGTTACATTGTAAAAGTGTTAATCGTTTTAAAAATTTTCCTGAAATACCTGGGTAAAATGAAGTGATATTAAAATAATTGTTTAGTTGTAACTTCCCAATGTATATTGTGTCAACAGGTAGATTATTATAGACTTCTCTTTCCTTCCACACATTTATAAACGTCAAGCCACAGCCCTTTTCATGGAGCTGGAAGATTTTAGTGAGACACAGTTTACCATTGTACCTCCAGCTCTGTTCACTCTTCTTTCTGGACTTTACCCCATCTGGCCATGCTTTTTTCTTCCAGATGTTCATTTTAGCTTTCATCTCACCACTTATTTTGTACTGCATATGTTATCCCTTGCTTTTCCAAATCTGCTGCCACTGAAAAGAATTGTTCTAAATCTGGCCTGGGACAGAACTTTTTACGTGATGTAATTGACAACTTATTTCTGGGAAGAAATGACAATGCCTGATAAAATGATTAAGCAATTTTCAGATAAAGTTTAATGAAATTAAGACTTATTCTAGGAAAGTCAGGTTAGGTAAGAGTGGATATGAATACAAACAGGAAGTTATTGGTGAAGAGCAGTTCTGTGATGACATAAAGCAGCAGCCAAAATACAGTGGGTTGAGAAATTCAAAATAAGTAAGGAATTGGAGACCATGAAGGTAGGTTTCTGTTTCAAGAATCTTGGTTGGGAAAGGCAGGAGAAAGGGAAGGGATAGCCATTTTATAAGGATGATGAACACTTGATCATGTTTATATGTAGAAGGAATGGAGAGTTGTAACTATCTGTTAGATAAAAGCTTTTGCCTCTCATTACATGTAAGATGGCATGTTCTGATTTGGTTTCACTTCTTTAGGTAAGCAATATAAATTTAGGAATGGAGAAAAGCTTATTTTCGTTACCTAATATTAGAGAGTATAGTATATAGCAAGATCTCCTATATTCATTTACCCAGTAGACTAAACTATGGATCTTGATAAAAATTAAGATTTCAGGACTTTGTGCCAGACCCACTAACCCAAAATGTCTAAGAAAGAGGCCTAGACACATGTATACATATGTAACTAACCTGCACATTGTGCACATGTACCCTAAAACTTAAAGTATAATAATAATAATAATTAATTAATTAATTAATTAAAAAAAAGAAAGAGGCCTAGAAATCTGCATAACATGTACCTTATGAGCAAACAAAGTTGGGAAAAAAATGTTGCACTGATGAAAAGCACAGGCTCTGTAATCAGAAAAATCTTGGTTGAAAATCTTCTCCATCACTATATGACCTTGTATAAATTATTCTATCCCCTCAGTGGTTGTTGAATGAACAAGATGATATAATACAAGTAAAGTGTTGTTAAATAAATGTTATAGGAGGCCATTGGTTTGGACTAAGCTCCTACACTACGCCCAACAAACCAAACCAAACCAAAATGGGATTACTTATGCTGAAGTTTCATGCCACCAAGCTACTAAGAGTTTTATATGACCTTCCAAGACATCGAGAGAGAGATAATAGCCAAATCTCCAAGCAGGACTGTTTTAGCCAGTATGATAAGGAACTCCCCTTTGCTTTAACCTTTACAAGAAAAGTAACTTTGAAATGACCGATCACTTTTTGTTTTCTGTTTCTGCTTTCTTCAATTTATTTCTACCTATAAAACCAGCCTCTTCTGCTCAGCTCATCGGAACTCTCATCCTATTTTACAGAATAAAATATTGCCCAATTCTAGAATTACAGATAAAAACCAAGAAAGATATTTGAGTTTGTTGCAGTTTTGTCTTTTGACAGTCCTGGTAGCTATAAAAAGGGACCTTAAGAACATAGTTGGCAACTCACAAGACCTCTTGAGAGATGCAGGAAAGACACTGTTTACCCCTTTTGAGGTCCCCTGTCTTCCTCACGGAGTCCTTAGGGCTGTAAGTTCCTGTAAGGTTGGACTCTGCTCTTTTTGGATTCAGCTCCCTGATATTATTGGCTTTTGAATACAGGGTTAGTTTGTCCTGTAAGAGAGCATTTGACCTTGGGGTAACAAGTATTAGTTTGTGCTCTAAGAGGCAACTTGACTTTTGGGTTTCTGGTGGCCAATGAGATACCAGCCCAGGCTAGTCTCAAACTCCTGGACTCAGGTGATCCACCCTTCTCAACCTCCCAATGTTCTGGGATTGCAGACATGAGCCACTACCACTGGCCTCAGTTTTTCTTTTTGTTGTTGTTGTTTTTTTTTGTTTTGAGACGGAGTCTCGCTCTGTTGCCCAAGCTGGCGTGCAGTGGCGCAATCTCGGCTCACTGCAAGCTCCGCCTGCCGGGTTCACGCCATTCTCCTGCCTCTGCCTCCGGAGTAGCTGGGACTACAGGCGCCTGCCACCACGCCCGGCTAATTTTTTGTATTTTTAGTAGAGACGGGGTTTCACCATGTTAGCCAGGATGGTCTCGATCTCCTGACCTTGTGATCTGCCCGCCTCGGCCCCCAAAAGTGCTGGGATTACAGGCGTGAGCCACCACGCCCGGCCCAGTTTTTCTTATCAATTAGTCACTTAAGCTTTTCATTTGTGTTTTGTAGTCTTTTGAAAGAGACAATAAAAACATTTTTGAAATATTTTAGAAGCTTCTGCACAATAATGGGCATCTCTGGGTGGGCCTAATCCAGGAGCCCTCATTTTATTTTAGGTTTTTTTTTTTAGAGAGAGGGTCTTACTCTGTTACCCAGGCTGGAGTGCAGTGGCATGATCATAGCTCACTGTAATCTTGAACTCCTGGGCTCAAGTGATCCTTCTGCCTCAGCCTCCCAAGTAGAGATAATTTTTTGTAGAGAAGGGGTCTTGCTATGTTGCCCAGTCCTGGCCTCAAGTGATCCTCTTGCTTTGGCCTCCAAAAGCATTGAAATTAGAGGTGTGAACTACCATGCCCAGCCAGGAGCCTCCATTTTTAAATGTACATCTTAAAGTGTAGTGTTGTTAAATGGCCATGATAATTCTAAATTATATTTAGTAAGATTTCACCATTTTTGTAAGTGTATGTAGCTTCTGGGAGCTAATATTCGTAGATGTAAAAGGCAGGCATAGACAGAGTACTTAGTTTAGAAATTAATGATTCATTTTTTTACCTTGAATCTTGGATCTCTCAGAGCTGAAATAAAAGCCTAAGAGGGAAATGCCATAGGGTTGGGTTGTATAATGCTTTCACAGCGTACCTTGCTACACAGACATTTTCTCGAGACTGGGAGCTTAATGTCAACTAGCCCATTCTGTGAACACCTTATCCTTTCACAGAAGCCTTGTTTTTTTTTTTCAGTAGCAACACTCTGGAAGCTCTTAACTGCCTTACCAGTGCCCACTAGACAAGCCTTGGCTTTGGCTCTAACATCCCCTTGAACAACTTAGCCAATGGCTTTACAGTTTCTGTCTGACTCAGTCAGACATCTGAGACCTCTCTTACCTAAATGCCCAAGGAGAAATGAAGAGGGTAGAACCCAATTACCTGTGATTCTGAAAGCTCACAGTTCATCCCTTGCAGTAATAACCACTTACTGCCACTGCTATCATTTTTTTTTTATTACACTTTAAGTTTTAGGGTACATGTGCACAATGTGCAGGTTAGTTACATATGTATACATGTGCCATGCTGGTGTGCTGCACCCATTAACTTGTCATTTAGCATTAGGTATATCTCCTAATGCTATCCCTCCCCCCTCCCCCCACCCCCCAACAGTCCCCGGAGTGTGATGTTCCCCTTCCTGTGTCCATGTGTTCTCATTGTTCAATTCCCACCTATGAGTGAGAACATGCAGTGTTTGGTTTTTTGTCCTTGCAATAGTTTACTGAGAATGATGATTTCCAATTTCATCCATGTTCCTACAAAGGACATGAACTCATCATTTTTTAGGGCTGCATAGTATTCCATGGTGTATATGTGCCACAATTTCTTAATCCAGTCTATCATTGTTGGACATTTGGGTTGCTTCCAAGTCTTTGCTATTGTGAATAGTGCATTTTAAAAACTGTAGCTCTTGACTGGGTAAGGTGGCTCAAGCCTGTAATCACAGCACTTTCAGAGGCTGAGGCAGGCAGATGGCTTGAGCCAGGGAGTTCGAGATCAGTTTAGGCAACATGACGAAACCCTGTTTCTACAAAAAATACAAAAACTGGCCGAGTGTAGTGGCTTACCCCTGTAGTCCCAGCTACTCAGGAGGCTGAGGCTGGAGAATCCCTTGAGCCTGGGAAGCAGAGGTTGCAATGAGCCCAGATTGCACCACTGCACTCCAGCCTGAGTGACAGAGTGAGACCCTTTCTCAAACAACAGCAACAACGATGACAACAACAACAACAAACCAATAAAACACTTTAGCTATTGCCAGTATCTACAAAGAACTCAAACACTTCTCAAAAGAAGACATTTACGCAGCCAAAAGACACATGAAAAAATGCTCATCATCACTGGCCATCAGAGAAATTCAAATCAAAACCACAATGAGATGCCATCTCACACCAGTTAGAATGGCAATCATTAAAAAGTCAGGAAACAACAGGTGCTGGAGAGGATGTGGAGAAATAGGAACACTTTTACACTGTTGGTGGGACTGTAAACTAGTTCAACCATTGTGGAAGACAGTGTGGCGATTCTTCAAGGATCTAGAACTAGAAATACCATTTGACCCAGCCATCCCATTACTGGGTATATACCCAAAGGATTATAAATCATGCTGCTATAAAGACACAATGCACACGTGTGTTTATTGTGGCACTATTCACAATAGCAAAGATTTGGAACCAACCCAAATGTCCATCAATGATAGACTGGATTAAGAAAATGTGGCACAAATACACCATGGAATACTGTGCAGCCATAAAAAGTGATGAGTTCATGTCATTTGTAGGGACATGGATGAAGCTGGAAACCATCATTCTCAGCAAACTATCGCAAGGACAAAAAACCAAACACCGCATGTTCTCACTCATAGGTGGGAATTGAACAATGAGAACACTTGGACACAGGAAGGAGAACATCACACACCGGGGCCTGTCGTGGGGTGGGGGGAGGGGGGAGGGATAGCATTAGGAGATATACCTAATGTAAATGACGAGTTAATGGGTGCAGCACACCAACATGGCACATGTATACATATGTAACAAACCTGCATGTTGTGCACATGTACCCTAGAACTTAAAGTATAATTAAAAAATTAAATAAGAAAAAAAAAGGTGCTCAACATCACTGATCATCAGAGAAATGCAAATCAAAACTAAAATGAGATGTCATCTCACCCCAGTTAAAATGGCTTATATCCAAAAGACAGGCAGTAACAAATGCTGGCAAGGATGAGGAGAAAAGGGTACTCTTGTACACTGTTAGTGAGAATGTAAATTAGCACAACTATGGAGAACAGTTTAGTGGTTCCCCAAAAGACTAAAAATTTAGCTACCATATGATTCAGCAATCCCACTGCTGGGTATATATCCAAAAGAAAGGAAGTCAGTATATCAGAGAGACATCTCCACTCCTATGTTTGTTGCAGCACTGTTTACAATACCTAAGATCTGGAAGCAAGCTAAGTGTCCATCAACAGATGAATGGATAAAGAAATGTGGTACATATATACAATGGAGTACTATACAGCCATAAAAAAGAATGAGATCCTGTCATTTGCAACTGATAGTGACAGAAGAGAGACAAATTATTAGGCAGACAAGAATGGGTCTGGTGAAACCTGACCTTCAAGTCAAAGACAGCCTGAAGCCTGAAAACCAAGCTGCTAGTTCCAGGTGGAGTCCATGACCAGAGTAAGAACTTCCTCAATGCCTTTTAGTCAATCAAATGGTGCTTTTTCCACGTCCACCCATGGATCAATCAGCATGTACTCCCCCATTCTGAGCCCATAAAAACTCCAGACTCAGCCTCACAGAGGGCTACTGGCTTTCAGCTCCCCTCTCACACGGAGGGCTACCAACTTCAGGTCCCCTCTCATTGACGAGAGCTTTTCTGTCACTCAGTACAATTATTCTTTTCCTTGTTCACTCTCCATTGTCTGTGTACCTCATTCCTTTTGGTCTCAGGACAAGAACCCAGAAGGACTGGGTGCAAAAAGAGCTATAACACTGTAACCCTCCCTCCTGCTCACTGAGCAATGAGGAAGAAAAAAAACACTGGGAATCACATGCCCTGCTTGCCGAGCTGCTGGTGATGGAACCGAAAAAGCTGTGACACGCCCCCATACACTGAAGCTGTGGGTGGCAGGAACAAACGAGAGCTGTACCACTTCCTGGGGGTCTGAACTCTAAAGCTCCCTGGGGGCTCAGACCTTGGGACTCCCTGAGCAAAACCTGTAACACCACTTGGGGCTCCACAGTTGCTGACATCTCTGAGTTTTTGGGCAATGCCACATCCCCCTTGTCCGGACACTGGCAAGCAAGGCGGAAGCCAGTCGTGGCACACCAGACCAGTTCAAAGCTGCGGCAGGTGCAAGATCCAGGCTGGTAGTGCAGCCTGAGTGCAGCCTGCCAGGCTGAGCGGGAAGGGTGAGCCCAGCAGGCCCCAGTAAAGTTCTGGCAGGGGTGCCACCAGCCACAGAGATTTCCAGCTGGTGAAGCAGCACTGAAAGAATCCTGTGTCACAACAACATGGATGGAACTAGAGATCATCATGTTACATTAAATAAGACAAACATTGCATGTTCTCACTTATTTGTGGGATCTAAAAATCAAAACATTTGAACTCATGGATTTAGAGAATAGAAGGTTGGTTACCAGAGCCTGGGAAGGGTAGTGGGGGTTGCAGGGGGGTGGGGATGTTTAATGGGTACAAAAAAATAGAAAGAATAAATAAGACCTAGTATTTAATAGCACAACAGGATGACTATAGTCAATAATAACTTAATTGTACAGTTTAAAAATAAAGAGTGAAACTGGATGTTTGTAACTCAAAGGATAAATGCTTGAGGAAATGGATACCCCATTCTCCATGATGTGCTTATTTCACATTCCACTACTGTATCAAAACATCTCATGTACCCCATAAATGTATACACTTACTATGTACCCACAAAATTTAAAATAAATAAAACAATGTTTTTAAAAACCACATTGAGGCCAGGCATGGTGGCTCACGCCTATAATCCCAGCACTTTGGGAGGCCGAGGCGGGTGGATCACCTGAGGTCAGGAGTTCAAGACCAGCCTGGCCAACATGGTGAAATCCTGTCAATACTAAAAATACAAAAATTAGCTGGGAGTGGTGACGGGCGCGTATAATCCCAGCTACTCAGGAGGCTGACACAGGAGAATCACTTGAACCTGGGAGGCAGAGGTTGCAGTGAGCCAAGATCGCACCACTGTACTCCAGCCTGGGCAACAAGAGCAAAACTCTGTCTCAAACACACACACACACATTGAGCAGCACAGTCACAACAGAGACAAAGGAAAGAGAAAAGTGAAAATAGGGGAAGGAAGCAGAACTTAGGGAGCTCAAGAAATAACCCATTATATTTTTAACACTTTGCAAACATAATAAAAGAAGGAACTGCTGAGCTAAGAATTTAGAAAACCCATCCTGCAACAGCCTCCTTTTAAAAGTCAGGTAAATTAATTTTATATAAAAATGAGCAACGTAAAAGTGATCAAAGACAAATTCCACACATGCAAATTACTATAAGAAGAAACGAAAAGGCTGAGTGCGGTGGCTCATGCCTGTAATCCTAGCACTTTGGGAGGCCGAGGCAGGTGGATTGCTTGAGTCCAGGAGTTTGAGACCAGCCTGGCCAACATGGGGAAACTCGTCTCTACAAAACAATACAAAAATTAGCCAGGCATGGTGGTGTGCACCTGTAAGTCCCAGTTACTTGGGGGGCTGAGGTAGGAGGATCACTTGAACTTGGGAGGTTGGGGCTGCAGTGAGTCAAGATCGCATCACTGCACTCCAGCCTGGGTGACAAAATGAGACCCTGTCTCAAAAGAAAAGAAGTAGAATACCGCACCTATAAATGTTGGAAACACACAAAACAGTTAAAAACTATAGATTAGTATTTCAAAATGAGCTAAAATATAGTACAGTATGAAAAAACAATGGGTTAAAAAAAGCTCATAAATGAGATGATAAAACTCTGGAGAGAATTACAAATTAAAAAAAAAATTCAGAAACAAAGACCAAACTAGAAGGAACACAAGAGTGAACAAAAATCAGATTGTGACTTTAGACAAATAAGTGGATAGGATAGCATTTTTTTAAATAAAAAAGATATTAACAATGAAATAAAAATGATTCCATATAAAGTGACATGTAGATAATAGTAACAGCATCCATTATACCTATAAGAAGGAATTACCAAAGAACAAAACTGAAACAGAGAACAGAAAAAAATAACAAAATCTACCATTTGAGAAAACTTTCTTGAAATAGAAAAAAGATTTGGAATACATAATGAGGGGGCATAATAGCTGAGAAAAATCGACCCTGAATTTCTAGTATCAAGAAGTACTCTAGTAAAATTATTAGGTTGTTAAAAAAGATGAAAAAAAATTATTTAGGCACCTAAGACAAAAATAAAAAGTAACTCATAGGCCAGGCATGGTGGCTCACACCTGTAATCCTAGCACTTTGGGAGGCCGAGGCGGGCAGATCACCTGACGTCAGGAGTTCGAGACCAGCCTCACCAACATTGAGAAACCCCTCTCTACTAAAAATACAAAAATTAGTCAACCCCGTCTCTACTAAAAATACAAAAATTAGCCAGGCATAGTGGCACATGCCTATGATCCCAGCTACTTGGTAGGCTGAGGCAGGAGAATGGCTTGAACCTGGGAGGTGGAGGTTGCGGTGAGCTGAGATAGCACCATTGCACTCCAGCCTGGGCAATAAGAGCAAAACTCCATCTCAAAAAAAAAAAAAAAAAAAGTAATTCACATGGGGAAAAAATTCAGATCGTCATTATACTTATCTTTTTAGAGTTTTTTTGTTTGTTTGTTTGCTTAGAGACAGGGTCTCGCTATGTTCCCCAGGCTGGAATGTTGTGGTGTAATCATGGCTCACTGCAGCCTCCAGCTCCTGGGCTCAAGCAGTCCTCCCACCTTGGCCTCCTAAGGCACTGGGATTACAGACTTCACTAGGAATGCTTTATTCCAGAAGAAAACAAAGTAGCATGATTAAGAAGGAAGGAAAATATGACCCAAGGACTTTATACACATCCAAATTGACTTTCAAAAGTAAATGCCATAGGTAAACTATCATAAAAATGCAAGAATTCACAGAATATTGTTCACATGCATCTGTCCTGTGGAATCTACTACAGAATGAGCTCCAGATAACATAACGACTAGAGAAATATTGACATAATTGTTGGTCAACATTAAATATTTATGTACTTGTAGAACTAAGATTAGATGAGAATTATAAAAGCATATTGTATGCAAGGATTATATATGCATTAACATTGTTGATACAGTGCAATTGTGCTATACATCTATTTTTTAAAAGTGGGGAAGATGAAGAAAGTATATACAAAAATGATTTAGCTGTTTTCAGTAATTACATGAGCGGTGGTGGTATTGGCATTATTGTTCTGAGACTGTTGTATGTATAATGTGGAATAAAACAAATGTGTAATTATGAGATATTATAATTATGTCATTCCCAATACTCTTGAGAACGAAGATTATTCTTGCTGTGGAAAGGAGATACAGATGCAAAGTAAAAAAGGTAAAAATCATGTAATCCTGAATTTAAATTGGAAGTATCAATATAATCTCATGAGGTAGTTTATTATGTGTGTATACACACACACATATACATATATACATATTATATTAGTTGGCTTTGGCTGCTATAACTAAATACCATAGACTGGGTGGCTTAAACAGGAGAAATTTATTTCAGGAGCCAGGTGTGGTGGCTCACACTTGTAATCCCAGTACTTTGGGAAGCCAAGGCAGGATGATCGCTTGAAGCCAGGAATTTGAGACCAGCCTGGGCAACATAGCAAGACCCTGTCTCTACAAAAAAAATTCATTTCTCACAGTTCTGGAGGCTGACATCCAAGATAAAAATGCCATCAGGGTTGGTTTCTCGTGAGTCTTGTCTCCTTGGCTTGTAGACAGTGCCTCCTCCACTCTGTGTCCTCACATGGCCTCCTCTCTGTGTGTGCAAATGAAGAGAGAGAACTCTGGTGTCTCTTCCTCTTCTTATAAGTACACTAGTTCAATTAGACTAGAGTCCCACACTTATGACCTCCTTAAAGGCCCTGTCTCCAAATATTGCCACATTGGGGGTTAGGTTTTCAGCATATGAATTCGTGGGGGGACATAACTCAGCTCATAACATGTATGTGTGTGTGTGTGTGTGTGTGTGTATCCTAGTTCTGTCCATAGAAAATAGCTAGAAACAAAAACTAGCCTAGTAGCATCTGGGTTGTAACCTTGAAGCACCATGTTCCACTAAAAGAAAGCAGGATTTCTTAGAGAACTACTAACTTTAGTTCTGGGCAGGAAATGAGGAGCCCAGAACATCTTGTCAGACCCAATAGCCATAAAACTACAAAGACTACTATGGTGTGGAAAAATGATTCAGAAGCCAACTTGAAGAGGCTCCCTTGGCCATAGGTGGGCATCTATGAATTATAACTGTGTGGATGGAGGCACATGAAAATATACTTAAATCCATTATTTCATAGTAATACTAAAAACAAAAATTATGATAGGGAACCAGCTAATTGTTCTGAAAACTGGTAAACATAGGAAAAGGATTGAGTACAGTATTTACTCTGCTTTCCTGTACCAATTTTGCCACAGGATAACCAAACTAAGATTAAAGAAAATACTTTATTGAAGTATTGCAGCAAATAAATTAAGAAGAAATAATTGATTTAGAGATCATAGTTTTGAAATTCCTAAAGAATTAAATTCATAGACATTGAGATTCAAAGTCAGCTAGAATCAAGAAAGACAGCCAGAAGAGAGGACACAAACAAATGGAAAAACATTCCATGCTCATGGATAGGAAGAATCAATATTGTAAAAATGGCCATACTGCCCAAAGTAATTTATAGATTCAATGCTATCCCCATCAAGCTACCACTGATTTTCTTCACAGGATTGGAAAAAACTCCTTTAAAAGTTATATGGAATCAAAAAAGAGCCCACATAGCCAAGACAATCCTAAGCAAAAAGAACAAAGCTGGAGCCATCATGCTACCTGACTTCAAACTATACTACAAGGCTACAGTAACCAAAACAGCATGGTACCAGTACCAACACAGATATATAGACAATAGGAACAGAACAGAGGCCTCAGAAATAACACCACACATCTACATCTACAACCATCTGATCTTTAACAAACCTGACAAAAACAAGAAATGGAGAAAAGATTCCTATTTAATAAATGGTGTTGGGAAAACTGGCTAGCCATATGCAGAAAACTGAAACTGGACCCCTTCCTTACACCTTATACAAAAATTAACTCAAGGTAGATTAGAGACCTAAATGTAAGACCTAAAACCATAAAAAAGCTAGAAAAAAAACCTAGGCAATACCATTTAGGATATAGGCATGGGCAAAGACTTTATGTCTAGAACACCAAAAGCAATGGCAACAAAAGCCAAAATTGACAAATGGGATCTAATTAAACTACAGAGCTTCTGCACAGCAAAATAAACTATCTTCAGAGTGAAAAGGCCACCTACAGAATGGGAGAAAATGTTTGCAATCTATCCATCTGATAAAGGGCTAATATCCAGAATCTACAATGAACTCAAACAAATTTACAAGAAAAAAACAAAAAAACCCATCAAAAAGTGGGCAAAGGTTATGAACAGACACTTCTCAAAAGAAGACATTGATGCAGCCAACAAACATGAAAAAAAGCTTATCATCACTGGTCACTAGAGAAATGCAAATCAAAACCACAATGAGATACAATCTCATGCCAGTTAGAATTAAGATCATTAAAAAGTCAGGAAACAACAGGTGCTGGAGAGGATGTGGAGAAATAGGAACACTCTTACACTGTTGGTGGGAGTGTAAATTAGTTCAACCATTGTGGAAGACAGTGTGGTGATTCCTCAAGGATCTAAAACTAAAAATACCATTAGACCCAGCAATCCCATTACTTGTTATATACCCAAAGGATTATAAATCATTATACTATAAAGACACATGTACACGTATGTTTATTGCTGCACTATTCACAATAGCAAAGACTTGGAACCAACCCAAATGTCCATCAATGATAGACTGGATTAAGAAAATGTGGCACATATACACGATGGAATACTATGCAACCATAAAAAGGATGAGTTCGTGTCCTTTGCAGGCACATGGATAGAGCTGGAAACCATCATTCTCAGCAAACTAACACAGGAACAGAAAACCAAACACTGCATGTTCTCACTCATAAGTAGGAGCTGAACAATGCGAACACATGGACACAGGGAGGGGAATATCACACACCGGGGCCAGTTGCGGGGTGGGGGGCTAGGGGAGGGATAGCATTAGGAGAAATACCTAATGTAGATGACGGGTTGATGGGTGCAGCAAACCACCATGGCCCGTGCATGCCTATGTAACAAAACTGCACATTCTGCACATGTACCGCAGAACTTAAAGTATAATAAAAAAAACAAAGACAGCCAGATATTATGTGTCTCCTGAATCACAGTTAGATTATATAATCAATGTACTGAAAGTATAGAAGATTGAAGAATGTGTTAAAATATTATAAGGCTCGGTATGGTGGCTCAGAATTAAATTCATAGGCATTGAGTTTCAAGTCAGCTAGCATCAATAGACAGCCAGACATTATGTGTCTCCTGAATCACAATAAGATTATAGATTCAGTGCACTGAAAGTACAGAAGACTGAAGAATGTGTTAAAATATTACGAGGCTGGGCATGGTGGCTCACACCTGTAATCCCAGCACTTCAGGAGGCTGAGGTGGGCAGATCACTTGAGTCCAGAAGTTCGAGACCAGCCTGGCTAACATGGCAGTAGGGACAGTAGCCTGTCCCTACTAAAATACAAAAATTAGCCAGGCGTGGGTGGTGCAAACCTGTAATTGCCATTACTTTGGAGGCTGAGGCACCAGATTCACTTGAACCCAGGAGGCAGAGGTTGCAGTAAACCAAGATTGCACCACTGCACTCCAGCCGGCGTGACAGAGCGATTCTATCTCAAAAAAAATATATAGGCTGGGTGCAGTGGCTCACTCCTGTAATCCCAGCACTTTGGGAGGCCAAGGCAGGTGGATCAATTGAGGTCAGGAGTTCGAGACCAGCCTGGCCAATATGGTGAAACCCCATCTCTACTAAAAATACAAAAATTAGCCAGAAGTGGTGGCACACACCTATAGTCCCAGCTACTTGGTAGGCTGAGGCACAAGAATCACTTGAACCCGGGAGGCAGAGGTTGCAGTGAGCCAAGATTGTGCCACTACACTCCAGCCTGGGTGACAAAGCAAGACTCTGTCTCAAAAATAAATAAATACATATTTAAATAAATATTATGAACATAAAATCTGTAAACTCAAAACTGTAAGAAGCAATAAATCAAATGACTCAATTTCTTCAACAGATAAAATATGAGGGGAAACAAAAAAAGAAGATGAAGGAGGCAGAGCCCTCATGGCTTAGTCACTTCCCCCAAGTCTCCACCTCTTAACATACCACATTAGGGATTAAGTTTCAACACATGAATTTTGGGGAGTGATACAGCTTGGCTGTGTCCCCACCCAAATCTCAACTTGAATTGTATCTCCCAGAATTCCCACATGTTGTGGGAGGGACCCAAGGACTCAGAGGGAGGTAATTGAATCATGGGGGCTGGTCTTTCCCATGCTATTCTTGTGATAGTGAATAAGTCTCATGAGATCTGATGGGTTTATCAGGAGGTTCCGCTTTTTCTTCTTCCTCATTTTCTCTTGCTGCTGCCATGTAAGAAGTGCCTTTCACCTCCCACCATGATTCTGAGGCCTCCCCAGCCATGTGGAACTGTAAGTCCAATTAAACCTCTTTTTCTTCCTAGTCTCAGGTGTGTCTTTATCAGCAGGATGAAAACAGACTAATACAGGGGGACACCAACATTCAAACCACAGCAGGCAGGAAAGGGTTTGTGATTGCACTGAGGTACACAGAGAGCACCTCGGCTGCCTGCCAAATTATTTATCTCGGCCTAGGTAGGAGTCACAAGAATGCTCAACTTTTAATAATTCATTAATGCATACATTGATTGTATACAATTTTCTGTCTCTAATATGTTAGGCAATAAAAAAGATTTAAAATAAAAATAAATGTTTAAATGTAAATCATATTAGGCTGTTCCTGTGCCTGAAACTTTCCAATAACTTTCCATCACAATCTGAACAAAATCAAAATTCCTTCCTTCCAGCTGGACACGGTGGCTCACGCCTATAATCCTAGCACTTTGGGAGGCTGAGGCAGGTAGATCACCTGAGGTCGAGAGTTTCAGACCAGCCTGACCAACATGGAGAAACCCCGTCTCTAATAAAAATACAAGCCTGCAGTCCTAGCTACACGGGAGGTTGAGGCAGGAGAACTGCTTGAACCTGGGAGACAGAGGCTGCAGTGAGCCAAGATCGCACCACTGCACTCCAGCCTGGGCGACAGAGTGAGGTTCCATCTCAAAAAAAAAAAAATTCCTTTCTTCCAATCTCATATTCTTCCATTCTCCGTTTTGTTTTGTTTTGTTTTGTTTTGTTTTAATAGAAAGAGGGTCTCACTGTGTTGCCCAGGCTGGTCTTGAACTCCTGGTGATGGCAGCAGTGACCCATCTGGAGTGGCTGCTGTGAAGATGCCTCTGCAGCAGGGGAGGCATGACCAGGACTGCACACTCCACAGAACCGGCAGGTGCCAGGAAAAGACAAGAGCCCTGCCCCCTAACAAGTTGGCAGGATGGGAGCCCCTCGCTCCTGGGTGCAGCTGTGGCTGCCCAGTGATGGCTCCAGACCTGAGCATCCCTGCACTCAAGGGCTCAGGAAACCCACCTGCCCCCACAGGCTCGGAAGTGCCTGCTCCTGCTCTCTGGCCTCTCCCACTCCCTGTACCTGCTCCAGAGCAGAGCTAAGTGTGACTGAGCCCAGGTGCTGTCACAACCTGGCTGGGTGTGCACACTCAGGGCCAGGCTGACACACCAGCTCCCTGCCACCTAGGTCCCCTCCTGACTTTGGGCACTGACGTGCACAGGAGGGAGGCTGAGTGGGGGCTGAGGGCAGCTCAGTGTGGGCCTGCAAGTGCCCCTTGGCACGAATGGCCTGGGCACAGTGGATGGCATGTTGATGGCAGCAGGAGGCAGACAGGCTCCTAAGCAGAAAGGGGTAGATCCCCAGTGAAACCCCACCTTCAAGCCAGGAACAAAGTGGTGCTTTTTCTGGGCCTGCCCATGGCTGCCCATGGACCAATCAGCATGCACGTCTTCCCTTCTGAGCCCATAAAAACCACAGACTCTTCCAGATTTAAGTAGACATTGGGACTACCAGCAGCAGGAAGGAGCTGCAGGTCTCCTCAACCCATCGGGACAACCTACCTGAAGAAAGGAGCTACCCAGTGTGGGTCTCCTCTCTGCTGAGAGCTGGACACTTGTCAGGACAACTTGCCTGTACAAAGGAGCTACCCACTGTGGGCCTCCTCTCCACTCAGAGCTGGACACTCATCAGGACAACCTGCCTGCGGAAAGGAGCTACCCATCTTGGGTCTCCTGAGAGCTGTTCTGTCACTCAATGAAGCTTCTCTCCACCTTGCTCACCCTCCAGTTGTCCACATACCTCATTCTTCCTGGAGTTGGGACAAGAACTCAGGACCAGCCAAATGGTGGGACTGAAAGAGCTGTAACACAAACAGGGCTGAAACATGTACCCTCATTTGCCACGTTGCAGGTGACAAGAAGGAAAGAAAAGCTGCAGCCCCTCAGGGAGCTCAGACCTAGGGGCTCCCCAGGCCGGAACTGTGACATCCTCTTTTGGGCTTTGCAGCTCCTGGCATCTCCAAGCTTCTGAGCACCACCATGTTCCCCTCATCCAGGCGTGGTGCCTGCAGTGGAAGCTGCATGCAGTAGTCTGGTCCAGATGCAGACTCACACGGAGTCGGCACCATGTCAGTGCCTGGAACTGCCTGCCCCACCGCAGCAGCCAGCATGCCTGGCTGTGTGCAGTGGCTGGACCCCATGCTCACCGGCCCACACCTCCCTGGCTGCTCCGTGCCTGGCTCACCCTTGGCAGGTGTGGGATCCGGGCCAATAGCACAAGCCAAGCACAAACTGCCAGGCCAAGTGGGCCAAAAGAGCCCAGCGGGCACAAGCAATACTCAGGCAGAAGGCACTGCCAGCCACAGAGGTTTCCAGCTGGCAAAGCAACACCCCAAGGATCCCATGACACTGGCCTCAAGCAATCCTCCTGCCTCAGCCTCCCAAATTGCTGGGATTATAGGCATGAGGACTGTACCTGGCCATTCTTTGCCTTTTTAAAGGTACTGCAGTCACATTAGCTTTCTTTCTGTTTCTTGAGTAAGCTAACTTTATTTTACATTAACTCTTCCCTCTGTCTGGGGACTTCACATGTGTCTTTTGTTTAGAGCAATTTTACCCCACATCTTATAAGAAGAGGGCTTCTGTGCTCCCTCGAATCCATTATCTGTTATATCTTCCTATTTTATATTTTTCGTAGTACTTATCATTATCTGAAATTACCTTCCTTAATTATTTACTTTTTCTGTCTTCCACTAAAACAAAAGCATTATGAGAGCAACGACTTGTCTGACCAACTCACTGTTGTAACCCCTGCTCCTAGAACAGTGCCTGGCACACAAAAGGTACTCAGTGAATTAAATCACTCAGAGACAGTGTGTACTATAAGAAGAGAAAAGAACCAAGAACATACCATAGGAAATGCCTACATTTAAGAAAGAGATAGACAAAGAGAAGGAAGCTAAGAGACCATCCAAACCAAGAGGTGGCCCAGGAGCCAGAGAGTAAACTGATGATTCCTTATATTATTTACTGTTAATAATGAACTTGTCCCTTGGACCATGTATTAGTCCATTCTCACACTGCTATTAAAAAATACCTGAGACTGGGTAATTTATTTTTTAAAATAAGTTTTTTTGTTTTGTTTTGTTTTTCTGAGACAGGGCCTCCCTCTGTCGCCCAGGCTGGAGTGCAGTGGTGCAATCTTGGCTCACTGCAACCTCCACCTCACAGGTTCAAGTGATTCTCCTGCCTCGGCCTCCCAAGTAGCTGGGATTACAGGTGCCCACCACCATGCCTGGTTAATTTTTTGTGTGTGTATTTTTTAGCAGAGACGGGGTTTCACCATGTTGGCCAGGCTGGTCTCAAACTCCCAACCTCAAGTGACCCACCCACCTCGACCTCCCAAAGTGCTAGGATTACAAGCGTGAGCCACCACACCCAGCCTGAAAAATAAGTTTAATTGGCTATTAGTTCTTCAGGCTGTACAGGAAGCAAAGCAGCTTCTACCCCTGGGGAGGCCTCAGGGTGCAAGGTGAAGGGGAAATAGTCATGTGTTACATGGATGGAGCAGGAAGAGAGAGAAGAGGGAGGGGCTGCACACTTTTAAATAACCAGATTTCCCAAGAACTCACTATCATGATGACAGGCCCAAGGGGGATAGTGTTAAACCATGAGAAACTGCCTCCATGATCCAATAACCTCCCACCAGGCCCCACCTCCAACACTGAGGATTACAAATGAACATGAAATTTGGATGGGGACACAGATCCAAACCATATCAGACCTGATGTTTGATATTTGTCCAATGCTACTGACTTCTGGACTTCCCCTTCCCCAATTACCTCTTGAACTGAGAGGTTTCCAGCTGTCCAGGAAAAGCTGATTCAGCCCATCTCCCTCAGAACCCACCTTTGGGTCAACCCTTAGGACAAAGTTGACAGCAACAGAAAAGTCTATTCAAGAAAACTTATGGTCATTGTGAAATGCACCTGACTCATCTCAAAGAACACATGACTTAAGATAGAGGACCAGCTTCAGAAAAGCTGCATCAGGTAGCAGAAGTTTCAGTAATGCTAGCAATCACCTTGGATTAACAACCTAATCTCTTCCCTAGTGTTCTGATAAGACTGACATTCTTGTATAAACAAATAGAATGGGTAAGGAGATCCCCCAGCTGAGTGCTATGTTACAGGAGGAGGCTTAAAGCAGATTTGATTATTAAAGAAATGAAACAATGTGACACTCTTTGTATGCCAACATTTTGGACTAAAATTCCTAACCATCACAGACATTAGATAAAAGAATTTAAAGGAACTCAATAAGAATACAACACTTGATTTCCAGAGTTTTGAAAGAGTTAAGAATAACAGACAAAGGCTAAATTTCCCAGTAGAGGCAAGTAATTGAAGAAAGAATAGCAAATAGCAATAAAATAAATCATATGTATTGATTAAGGCTCTTCAGAGAAACAGAACTAACAAAAGTATGTGTGTGTGTGTGTGTGTGTGTGTGTGTGTGTGTGTGTGTGTAGGAGGGAAGAGAGAACATGGTAAAATACATACATATATGTCAGTGTGCCTACACAGATACACACATGTACATTGCTGAACCATTTCCCACATATTATACATAGAAATAAAACAAATATATGATAAGTATATATATTTGTTTGAACCATTTGAAAGTGAGATACAGACATCATGAAGTGAGGTTTAGACATCACCTCTAAATATTTCTTTTTCTTTTTTGAGATGGAGTCTCACTCTGTTACAAGGCTGGAGTGCAGTGGCACGATCTCAGCTCACTGCAACCTCCACCTCCCTGGTTCAAGTGATTCTCTTGCCTCAGCCTCCCAAGTAACTGGGACTACAGGCACATGCCACCACGCCCAGCTAATTTTTGTATTTTTAGCAGAGACAGGATTTCACCATGTAGGCCAGGATGGTCTTGATCTCTTGACCTTGTGATCCACCCACCTTGGCCTCCCAAAGTGCTGGGATTACAGGCGTGAGCACCGCGCCCGGCCAACATCACCTCTAAATATTTCAACATATATGTTCTAACATTCTCCACTAGGCTGGGTGAGGTGGCTCAGGCCTCTAATCCCAGCACTTTGCAGGGCTGAGGCGGGCAGATCACTTGAGCTCAGGTGTTCAAGACCAGCCTGGGCAACATGGCAAAACCCTGTCTCTACAGAAAATACAAAAATTAGCCAAGTATGGTGGTTTATGCCTGTGGTCCCTGCTACTCAGGAGGTTGAGGTGGGAGGATCACTTGAGCCCAGGAGGTCGAGGTTGCAGTGGGCATGATGACACCACTCAGTGCACTTCAGCCTAGGCAACAGAGTGAGACCCTGTTTCAAAAAGGAAGGAAGAAGGAAGGAAGGAAGGAAGGAAGGGGGGGAGGGAGGGAGGGAGGGAGGGAGGCAGGGAGGCAGGCAGGAGGGAAAATACACTGTAAAACAACTTATTTGGAAAAGAGTTTCAGTAAATCCAAAGATTCATTAACAATACCAACAGACTTTATGTACACACTGCATTCCTGGGGGGATCAAATATCAGCTATAATTTATACTTTTGAGGCCATTAGAAAGCCTCTGTGAATTAAGATAGACTAAAGAGACACAACAACAAAATACAGTGAATGAAGCTTGGTAAATTCTGGCCAAAAAACATTAGTTAAAAAGACATTTTGTAGACAATTGAGAAACATGAATTTGAACGAGATATTATACAGTATTATAATTTTCTTAAATGTGTTAATATTATTGTTTATAGAGGAGAATCTTGTTTTCTTTTTTTTTTCTTTTTTTAAGAGAAGGCAAAGTTGCACTGGCATGATCTCAGCTCACTGCAGCCTCGAACTCCTGGGCTCAGGCGATCCTCCTGCTTCAGCCTCTTAATTAACTGGGATTACAGGTGTGAGCCACCATGTCCAGCTCACATGTTCTGTTCTTATACATAAGCATCTTCTAGAAAGAAATTCTGAGTTTCCTTCTATTTAACAACCCTCGTTGTATAATCATTTGACAAAGTTGACAAGCTCTAATCATTCACACAACATAAGCTAGGAAAATTCTCTTAATGACAGGCCATTAAGTCACATTTCTGAGCTGAAGGCTCCTTGATCCATTGCCTTGACATAGTACATACAAGTTCCTCCATGTACCTGAAATAAGCCATCCAGAACATAACAGGAAAATAAGCACCAGTGTGACAAGTGTAAAGTGAAAAATATATCTTTAGGAAGCCACACACTATAACCCATTCCCAACTCTATTGTAAATTTTGTAAAGAAATTAACTATCCACAGTCAGGCGTGGTGGCTCACGCCTGTAATCCTTGTACTTTGGGAGGCCGAGGCAGGTGGATCACGAGGTCAGGAAATCTAGATCATCTTGGCTAACATGGTGAAATCCCATCTTTACTAAAAATGCAAAAAATTAGCTGGGCATGGTGGCACGCGCCTGTAGTCCCAGCTACTTGGGAGGCTGAGGCAAGAGAATTGCTTGAACCCAGGAGGCAGAGGTTGCAGTGAGCCAAGATCACACCACTGCACTCCAGCCTGGGTGACAGAGCAAGGCTCCATCGCAAAAAACAAACAAGCAAAAAAAGGAAATTAACTAAACATTCATGACATTTGGTACATGATAGCTTATAATTCTTTTTAATTATAAAGTACTTACAAAATATAGATAGTCATCACAATGGCTGCATGATAAAAATGGCTGGCAAAACTTTTAACTGTATTGAAAAATTACTGAAGATGGCCAAATAGGAACAGCTCCAGTCTACAGCTCTCAGCGTGAGCAACGCAGAAGACGGGTGATTTCTGCATTTCCAACTGAGGTACTGGGGTTCATCTCACTGGGGCTTGTTGGACAGTGGGTGCAGGACAGTGGCTGCAGCCCACCGAACGTGAGCCAAAGCAGGGTGAGGCATCGCCTCACCCGGGAAGCACAAGGGGTCAGGGAATTCCCCTTCCTAGCCAAGGCAAGCTGTGACAGACGGCACCTGGAAAATCAGGTCACTCCCACCCTAATACTGCACTTTTCCTATGGTCTTAGCAAACGGCACACCAGGAGATTATATTCCGTGCATGGCTTGGAGGGTCCCAAGCCCACAGAGTCTCGCTCATTGCTAGCACAGCAGACTGAGATCGAACTGCAAGGCTGCAGCAAGGCTGGCAGAGGGGTGCCCGCCATTGCTGACACTTGAGTAGGTAAACAAAGCGGCTGGGAAGCTTGAACTGGGTGGATCCCACCGCAGCTCAAGGAGGCCTGCCTGCCTCTGCAGACTCCACCTTTGTGGGCAGGGCAGCAGAAACCTCTGCAGACTTAAATGTCCCTGTCTGACAGCTTTGAAGAGAGTAGTGGTTCTCCCAGCACAGAGTTTGAGAACTGAGAATGGACAGACTGCCTCCTCAAGTGGGTCCCTGACCCCTGAGTAGCCTAACTGGAAGGCACCCCCCAGTAGGGGCATACTGACACCTCACACGGCCAGGTACCCCTCTGAGATGAAGCTTCCAGAGGAATGATCAGGCAGCAACATTTGCTGTTCAGCAATATTCGCTGTTCTGAAGCCTCCACAGCTGATTCCCAGGCAAACAGGGTCTGGAGTGGACCTCCAGCAAACTCCAACAGACCTGCAGCTGAGGGTCCTGACTGTTACAAGGAAAACTAACAAGCACAAAGGACATCCACACCAAAACCCCATCTGTACGTCACCATCATCAAAGACCAAAGGAAAATAAAACCACAAAGATGGGGAAAAAGCAGAGGAGAAAAGCTGAAAATTCCAAAAATCAGAGCACTTCTCCTCCTCCAAAGGAAACTAGCTCCTTGCCAGCAACAGAACAAAGCTGGATGGAGAATGACTTTGACAAGTTGAGAGAAGAAGGCTTCAGATGCTCAAACTTCTCCGAGCTAAAGGAGGAAGTTTGAACCCATCACAAAGAAGCTAAAAACCTTGAAAAAAGATTAGATGAATGGCTAACTAGAATAAACAGTGTAGAGAAGTCCTTAAATGACCTGATGGAGCTGAAAACCATGGCACAAGAAGTACGTGACGAATGCACAAGCTTCAGTAGCCAATTCAATCAACTGGAAGAAAGGCTATCAGTGATTGAAGATCAAATGAATGAAATGAAGCGAGAAGAGAAGTTTAGAGAAAAAAGAGTAAAAAGAAATGAACAAAGCCTCCAAGAAATATGGGACTATGTGAAGAGACCAAATCTATGTCTGATTGGTGTACCTGAAAGTGATGGGGAGAATGGAACCAAGATGGAAAACACTCTGCAGCATATTATCAGAATATTCAGAACTTCCCCAACCTAGCAAGGCAGGCCAACATTCAAATTCAGGAAATACAAAGAATGCCACAAAGATGCTCCTCGAGAAGAGCAACTCCAAGACACATAATTTTCAAATTCACCAAAGTTGAAATGAAGGAAAAAATATTAAGGCAGCCAGAGAGAAAGGTCAGGTTACCCACAAAGGGAAGCCCATCAGACTAACAGCAGATCTCTCAGCAGAAACTCTACAAGCCAGAAGAGAGTGGGGGCCAATATTCAACATTCTTAAAGAAAAGAATTTTCAACCCAGAATTTCATATCCAGCCAAACTAAGCTTCATAAGTGAAGGAGAAATAAAATTCTTTACAGACAAGCAAATGCTGAGAGATTTTTTCACCACCAAGCCTGCCCTACAAGAGCTCCTGAAGGAAGCACTAAACATGGAAAGGAACAACTGGTACCAGCCACTGCCAAATTGTAAAGACCATCAAGGCTAGGAAGAAACCGCATCAACTAACGAGCAAAATAACCAGCTAACATCATAATGACAGGATCAAATTCACACTTAACAATATTAACCTTAAATGTAAATAGGCTAAATGCTCCAATTAAAACACACAGGCTGGCAAATTGGATAAAGAGCCAAGACCCATCTGTGTGCTGTATTCAGGAGACCCATCTCACATGCAGAGACACACAAAGGCTCAAAATAAAGGGATGGAGGAAGATCTATCAAGCAAATGGAAAACAAAAAAAGGCAGGGGTTGCAATCCTAGTCTCTGATAAAACAGACTTTAAACGAACAAAGATCAAAAGAGACAAAGAAGGCCATTACATAATGGTAAAGGGATCAATTCAACAAGAACAGCTACCTATCCTACATATATATGCACCCAATACAGGAGCACCCAGATTCATAAAGCAAGTCCTTAGACACTTACAAAGAGACTTAGACTCCCATACAATAATAATGGGAGACTTTAACACCCCACTGTCAATATTAGACAGATCGAGACAGAAAGTTAACAAGGATATCCAGGAATTGAACTCAGCTCTGCACCAAGCAGACCTAATAGACATCTACAGAACTCTCCACCCCAAATCAACAGAATATACATTCTTCTCAGCTCCACACCGCACTTATACCAAAATTGACCACATAGTTGGAAGTAAAGCTCTCCTCAGCAAATGTAAAAGAACAAAAATCATAACAAACTGTCTCTCAGACCACAGTGCAATCAAACTAGAACTCAAGATTAAGAAACTCACTCAAAACCGCTCAACTACATGGAAACTGAACAACCTGCTCCTGAATAACTACTGGGTACATAACGAAATGAAGGCAGAAATAAAGATGTTCTTTGAAACAAACAAGAACAAAGACACAACATACCAGAACCTCTGGGACACATTCAAAGCAGTGTGTAGAGGGAAATTTATAACACTAAATGCCCACAAGAGAAAGCAGGGAAGATCTAAAATTGACACCCTAACATCACAATTAAAAGAACTAGAGAAGCAAAAGCAAACACATTCAAAAGCTAGCAGAAGTCAAAAAATAACTAAGATCAGAGCAGAACTGAAGGAGAACCTTCAAAAAATCAATGAATCCAGGAGCTGGTATCTTGAAAAGATCAACAAAATTGATAGACTGCTAGCAAGACTAATAAAGAAGAAAAGAGAGAAGAATCAAATAGGTGCAATAAAAAATGATAAAGGGGATATCATCACCGATCCCACAGAAATACAAACTACCATCAGAGGATACTATAAACACCTCTACACAAATAAACTAGAAAATCTAGAAGAAATGGATAAATTCCTCGACACATACACCCTCCCAAGACTAAACCAGGAAGAAGTTGAATCCCTGAATAGACAAACAACAGGCTCTAAAATTGAGGCAATAATTAATAGCCTACCAACCAAAAAGAGTCCAGGACCAGACAGATTCACAGCTGAATTCTACCAGAGGTACAAGGAGGATCTGGTACCATTCCTTCTGAAACTATTCCAATCAATAGAAAAAGAGGGAATCCACCCTAACTCATTTTATGAGGCCAGCATCATCCTGATAACAAAGGCTGACAGAGACACAACAAAAAAAGAGAATTTTAGACCAATATCCCTGATGAACATCGATGTAAAAATCCTCAATAAAATACTGGCAAACCGAACCCAGCACCACATCAAAAAGCTAATCCACCATGATCAAGTGGCCTTTATCCCTGGGATGCAAGGATGGTTCAACATATGCAAATTGATAAATGTAATCCAGCATATAAACAGAACCAAAGACAAAAAACACATGGTTATCTCAATAGATGCAGAAAAGGCCTTTGAAAAAATTCAGCAACCCTTCATGCTAAAAACTCTCAATAAATTAGGTATTGATATAACATATCTCAAAATAATAAGCTATTTATGACAAACCCACAGCCATTATCATACTGAATGGGCAAAAACTGGAAGCATTCCCTTTGAAAACTGGCACAAGACAGGGATGCCCTCTCTCACCACTCCTATTCAACATAGTGTTGGAAGTTCTGGCCAAGGAAATCAGGCAGGAGAAAGAAATAAAGGATAATCAATCAGGAAAAGAGGAAGTGAAATTGTCCCTGTTTGCAGATGACATGATTGTATATTTAGAAAACCCCATCATCTCAGCCCAAAATATCCTTAAGCTGATAAGCAACTTCAGCAAAGTCTCAGGATACAAAATCAATGTACAAAAATCACAAGCATTCTTGTACACCAATAACAGACAAACAGAGAGCCAAATCATGAGTGAAATCCCATTCACAATTGCTTCAAAGAGAATAAAATACCTAGGAATCCAACTTACAAGGGACGTGAAGGACCTCTTCAAGGAGAACTACAAACCACCACTCAATGAAACAAAAGAGGATACAAACAAATGGAAGAACATTCCATGCTCATGGGTAGGAAGAATCAATATTGTGAAAATCGCCATACTGCCCAAGGTAATTTATAGATTCAATGCCATCCCCATCAAGCTACTGATGACTTTCTTCACAGAATTGGAAAAAACTACTTTATAGCTCATATGGAACCAAAAAAGAGCCCGCATTGCCAAGACAAGCCAAAAGAACAAAGCTGGTGGCATCAGGCTACCTGACTTCAAACTATACTACAAGGCTACAGTAACCAAAACAGCATGGTACAGGTACCAAAACAGAGATATAGACCAATGGAACAGAACAGAGCCCTCAGAAATAATACCACACATCTACAACCATCTGATCTTTGACAAACCTGACAAAAACAAGAAATGGGGAAATGATTCCCTATTTAATAAATGGTGCTGGGAAAACAGGCTAGCCATATGTAGAAAGCTGAAACTGGATCCCTTCCTTACACCTTATACAAAAATTAATTCGAGATGGATTAAAGACTTATATGTTAGACCTAAAACCACAAAAACCCTAGAAGAAAACCTATGCAATACCATTCAGAACATAGGCATGGGCAAGGACTTCATGTCTAAAACACCAAAAGCTATAGCAACAGAAGCCAAAATTGACAAATGGGATCTAATTAAACTAAAGAGCTTCTGCACAGCAAAAGAAACTACCATCAGAGTGAACAGGCAACCTACAGAATGGGAGAAAATTTTGGCAATCTACTCATCTGACAAAGGGCTAATATCCAGAATCTACAAAGAACTCAAACAAATTTACAAGAAAAAAACAACCCCATCAAAAAGTGGGCGAAGGATATGAACAGACACTTCTCAAAAGACATTTATGCAGCCAAAAAACACATGAAAAAATGCTCATCATCACTGGCCATCAGAGAAGTGCAAATCAAAACCACAGTGAGATACCATCTCACACCAGTTAGAATGGCAATCATTAAAAAATCAGGAAACAACAGATGCTGGAGAGGATGTGGAGAAATAGGAACACTTTCACACTGTTGGTGAGACTGTAAAGTAGTTCAACCATTGTGGAAGACAGTGTGGTGATTCCTCAAGGTTCTAGAACTAGAAATACCATTTGACCCAGCCATCCCATTACTGGGTATATACCCAAAGGATTATAAATCATGCTGCTATAAAGACACATGGACACATATGTTTATTGCGGCACTATTCACAATAGCAAAGATTTGGAACCAACCCAAATGTCCATCAAAGATTGACTGGATTAAGAAAATGTGGCACATATACACCATGGAATACTATGCAGCCATAAAAAAGGATGAGTTCATGTCCTTTGTAGGGACATGGATGAAGCTGGAAACCATCATTCTCAGCAAACTATCACAAGAACAAGAAACCAAACACCGCATGCTCTCACTCATAGGTGGGAATTGAACAATGAGAACACTTGGACACAGGAGGGGGAACATAACCCACCGGGGCCTGTCATGGGGTAGGGGGAGGGGGGAGGGATAGCATTAGGAGATATACCTAATGTAAATGACGAGTTAATGGGTGCAGCACACCAACATGGCACATGTATACATATGTAACAAACCTGCACATTGTGCACATGTACCCTAGAACTTAAAGTATAATAATAAAAAAAAGGAAAGAAAGGTAAAACCAGAAAAAAAGAAAGAAAAAAAAGATAAATTACTTTAATAAAATACATAACTATGGCCGTGACTTCCTCTTAAAACATCTTTGAGCAATCTATAATAACTGTTTGTTATCTGTTTGTCTTTTAAAGAATTGTGAAACTATCTAAACCAGAGCTCAGCTCAAAATACATAACACATGGTCATATATTGTAAAGCTAAGGGGTGAAAGGGTCAATGTAACATCATTTGCAAACCTTATTTCAGGGATTTAAAATTCTAGGATGTATGTCACAGAAGTTAGAAACAACATCTAACAGCAATTGTATAAAATTTACCAACAAGTTATAGAATTCAACAAGGTATAAAATTGGATTACTATAAGCATTCTCAGCCAGTTTCTAAGCAAGCATTTGCTTGCAGCCGTTCTAATCAGTGCTTAAGAATGATCTGAACATTTTATTTAACACTGCCTATAATTGACTTGTGAGAAGCTGCAGTAGAATGGACAGATGTAAGGTGCTACCCAAGGACATACTGAAAGATAGCTTTCCTTCAGACAATGTTGCATAACACTGGAGGATGGGGTTAAAAATATATGTATCAACCATGAGGTCAAGCTGGTATACAGAAACCGAAAAGATTAACTCAAATTGGCCAAGGTGACAAGACAAGAATATTCTTTATTATGTATATGAGTGCATGTATGCTTTTAAGGGTACTTAAAACTAGTTCATCAGGTAAATATTAGTTAGATTCCCAACAGAAAACATGGATAATTTGAGAAAAGTTCAATAAAGAGGCTATTTACAAGGTGAGTAAGGTGTAGGGAAAAAAGAGAATAGTATCTCTGTTAGCCTTTACTTTCTGTCTTAAAGAAATATTTAGTAATAGTATCCTGGGCCTCGGTGAGCTTTACTTCTGGGCCTGAAGGTGCAAGGGAAAGGGGGAAAGGTATGAGATGGCCACCTTGACAGAAACTTCCCTTCAATGGATGTCAACAGCAACTCCCTCCTCCCTCTAATCTCCTGCTGCGGCTCCCTATTAGCCCAAACCAATGGGAAGCCAGAGGACAAGGGAACTCATTAGTGCTGTTCATCTAGGTCAGCTTCCTGTAGCATAAAACACTGTGGAAAATGTTGAGGAGTTGATCTTGAATGAGAAATGTAAGATAATTAGCATAGCTGATTTTTTTTTTCTTGTATGGGGTAAAGTGGGATTAATTTATCCCTTTGCACCACGGATGAGCTTCAAGGGGTCTAAGAATTAGTAGAAACAGATTGTCAGAGACTGTTATAGTAATGGCTCTGATGCATTATACCTTTCAGTATTCACACCATTCAGTATCCATATCCTGTGTATCCCTCTTCCATACTGACTGATTTCTGGGGGAACCTGATTTCTACTAAGGAATGGCTAAATGCCAGTGCCACAGGAATCAATCAAGTTCAAATGCTATGCCTACAACCTTGTTCTCTCCACCTCACAGCTCAGCTGTTCTCTCTTCCTCTCAGAGTGTTGACTTAATTCTCAAATGGAATAGATTCTTCTCTCATGGTTACAAGAAGGTTGCAGCACTCTCAGATTTCACATCCTCCATGTTTAATGCACAATAGGAAAAAGAAAGTTTCTTTTTTCCAATAATTAGGCAAAAATGTCCAGTCTAACTCTCACAGTGAGTTGTGTTCATCACAGCAGACCAATTACTGTAGCCAAGTGGTGGGGTTTGTTGAGTGGTTAAGTCAATCAGGGCCTACCTGAGGGATTAGGGTAAGTAGATCCAAATAATATAAGCTGAGAATAAATGAAGGGTAAATCCACACTAAAAAAAAAAAAAAAATGAGACAATTTGAAAGAAGGGAGAATCACTGTGTAAGCTAGGTGACCAAAAATGATGAATTTCTACTACAAATCCCAAATTTGTTCACCCTTCACCTTTCTTCCAAATTCCAGGCTTGTATATTCAACGGCATATTTGGTATTTAATATTGGATATCTCCAGACATTTCAAACTTTAAATGTCCCAAAATGAATCACCCACGGAACTCAGATCTGGAGGTGGAGAAGTGCTTCTTTTGCTTTTTATTGTGGCTCCCAAACCTTATCCTAACTCTCCTCCTATAAAGCCCCATAATCTTTTATGCAGACCAGGATATTTTAGCACTAGCTTCTTCTCATTGCTGTCATCTGCCAACTCCCTAGGCTATAATCTTCACAGTGCTGATGACTCTAGCACCTGTCTTATAGTCTACTTGTACCAATACTCCTATCAACATAAGTATGTTGTCAACATTCAGTGATGATCCACCTAACAACTTGACTCTCAGTTTCTCAACCTCCAATGATTCTTCCTTCCAATGATCGATTTACCACTCTATCTCAACCATCCACTCACTCCCATGGTAATACTTTGATTCTTGTCTTTAACAACTATACTACCTCCAAAATCCCAAATTCCAGAACCTTATTCTCTAGCCCGCCCATGTCCTATCACTTCTAGTCTTTGCACAGAAGCTCTTCTTTGATCTTAATAAAATTTTCAGTCCAGGAACACCATCCCTTTTTCACTATAAAGCATTCCCTTACCCACCTTATATTTTTGTTCACCGCTAAAATCATTTCCTTGCAAAAGCCGTTAACTCCTCCAGCCCTTTCTTTCTTCCTTTTCTTACCTGACAAAGCTTTGACCCTAATTAATCCCACATACTCCACACCTGCACCCAAGTGTCTGAATACCTCTAGAAAAAGAAAGCTTACAATTTTACTCACATTACATTTATGGCCATAAATCTCATGGGCACTCCAGACTGCCCGTCAATCCTACTTTACTTCCCTAGTCTGCCTGCTTTTCTCTTCTGCATAATAACAATTTCACATTTCTTTTCTCTTTCCTTTCTTTTGCCAACTTTCCTTTCTCAGTTGATGACCTTGCCTCATAATCATTTAAGAAAATACAAATGATTGAGGACCTCTATTTTCTGTACTTATAAATCCTGCTATCAAGCAACACTTGTTGCCTACCATCAGGAGCAGCAGCATCAGGATGTCAACCCACTATGTGATTTGCAGGTATTGGAGTCACTAAGAAAGACATGACTCACACAGGCACTGAAAGGAACAATGCTTTACTCACCTAGAGAAGAGAGCAAGATGAGTTTCAATAGTGTGCATTGGTCCGCCATGGCAGCAGGTCTTGCCTGACAGCTGACATAGGGTAATAGTCTTCACACATCCCTCTTGTGCTACAGGCAAAGGACCCTGTTCCCTTCTCACTGGGAACAGATAGAGCAGTAGGGCTGGCCAGGTGTCATATAATGTACATTCTTTAAGTAGGATAAAGAAGTACAGATGACACCCAGAATAGGGAAAGATACTCCCAAATAAGGAGATATGCCCAGCATAGGTCCTAGGGCCCCTTATCTCCATATAAAAATATCTTCCAGACCTGAGGCATACTTTCATGCAGCCATGCAAGGGTCAACAGGCTGTGCACAACTGTCTTTCCCAACAGTCCAACCCCTAATCCATACTTGGATGCTGACATAGCAGGTAACGCACATCAAATTTGGTAGGACCACTAACCTGGCCAGGATTTGGAGGTGAAGTTGGTTCTTGTGGGGCCTCTGGACAACTCATTATGGGTGTAGTTTATCTCAGAGACTCCCTGTCATTTTGAGACAGCATTCCATCTGGGTTACTACAGAAACAGGCACTTGGGCTTAACCAGGCACTTACCCAGGAACCCCAAGTGCCTGGATCAAGCCAAATAAAGAGATTAAAACGAGTCCAAGGAAACTGTGAGTGTATAGATGTTAACTGTCTTCCTGAGTGTGGATCTTCTCCAGCTCAGTTTTTACCCTCCCTGAATTATTGATACATACACAGCAAGACGTGTTGGCAATAACATAAAAACACCCTATTCTGCCAGCAAATAATCAAGGATATTCAGTTGCCCATCACCACCTTGGCTAGTGAATTCAGTGAGTTTTGTTGGTCTTGGATGGCTTGGAGAAGGTTCGAGTCACTGTGCACTGGCCAGGCCACTACAATGGGAGTGTGGGATGAAAGGGATTTCATCGTGGGGTGGCAAATCCTGCATACTTTGAGCTCACCACTTCTCACCACAACTGTGCTGATTCTCATCAGTGTTGTCATGCCAGGCAAAGCAGGAATGAGAAGAGGAAAGATTAATATTCCTAACCCATCCCCTCTGCATAAACCTCCTGAGGCCAAAGACACTCTTTTTCAATGACCTGGGATGACACTTACTCAAATATAGCTACCAAGGCTCTTTGTGTCCTGAGGCTACAATTTTCATGAGGATCCACTATCCCATTGCTTAACCCTAACCTTTCAGCCCTAATCATCCAACTCAGGGAAGAAGGTCACATCCTGAACAAATTTGACATGCCCTAAAATACTGTCCACCTATATGGAGGAATTGGGAGTTCCAAACACAACCAGGGGAATCCTAGTGTCCTGACAGTCTATCACTCCTTCCCTCATCTCCACAGAATCCACAAGAGGGAGGCACCTGAAGGTAGCATTGCCTTCAGGTCTGAATCAGAGACCCTACTGGTGGTGCCACTGCAACACAGACCACAAACCACCCCTGAGTAGTGTGTTCCAGTGGGAAAAAAGAAAAAGAATGGTTGGGTATACTGAGATTGGGATTTCAGAGGCACAGCCTAATCAGGCATCTGCCTAGTTCTCCACCCACTCCAAACTCAGTATTTTCTGAGACAGGGTCTCACTCTGTCACCAAGGCTGGAGTGCAGTGGCATGATCATGGCTCACTGCAGCCTCCACCTCCTGGGTTCAAGCGATCCTCCCCCTCAGCCTCCTGAGTAGTTGGAACCACAGGTGTTAGCAACTGCATCTGACCTCAGTATTTTCTAATATGCATTGAAGTGCCATGTTTCATTGGCATTATTTGAGTCACCCACGTTATCATTTTACTATCCTACATTTTGCTTGAGAGTGATAGGGAGCATAAAAGGTTCATCTCTCCTTTCTAGTTTGCAAACTGTTACCACAGTTTTTGTTTCCACATAGGGGAGCCTTTTGTGGTCTAATTCTTCATCCATTAGGCACTGGACTCTATGATTAGCCCATTTGTGAGGCCCATGAGTCTGCAAATACATAGGAGGGATTTGCTGTTGGAATGGCCTGTACAGACATCATTGTTGTATAAAGTTCAACCCATTAGACAGTGTTCTTATCTGGTCTCAGAAGGTGGCCATCCTTGAGGCAGATAGCCACAGTGTCCCATTGGACTTCAGTTTCAAGGATCTATCTGTGAACCAAGCCATACCATCTGCTGGAACATCTTTTAACTGTGAGACCCATTTAGTTAAGATTGGGAAGGAAGGATCCCCTTTGGGTCATTAGTCTCCTCCAGCAAAATAGATATTTGTTTATGGAGTTGATTAACCCTTTGGGCCCCCAATCAGGCTCCCTCTTAGATATATCATTTTTATCTAATGACAGAGCTTTGCTGAGCTTGTTTTATTAACAGAATTAGTGAGTACCCATATAAGGATGGGCAGCTTAGGTTTTAAGGTCACATACAGCACTTCAATGGTCAGATTATTTGTTTCCATCAGGTCCCAAAAGCAGGCTAATAGATGCCATTTAAAGGGGGTGTAACTGGCTGCCTCAGGTAATTTATAAGTTTAAAACCCAAGAGATCAATACATCCAAGTAACAGTATCTTGTTATCACAGGTTCAATCTCAGTAGGAGTAAGTGAGATCTGTAGTTCTGACAGGCTTCCTTGGCCCTACTGGCAGGACCCATATCATTGCATGTTGTATGACCTTTAGAGCCTGTTGTTATTGGGGGCTCTAAAGCCACCTTTAAATGATCCACGGATCATTTAAAGGTGGCCACTTTTTGAGTAATCTTGATTAAAGGGACCAAAAGAATACCCAGACATGGTACATGCTGTTTCTAATATCCAAACAGGCCCATTAGCTTTTGAGCTCCTTTCTTATTTATGAGTGCTATCAAGGACAGTAATTTTTTTTTTTACTTAAAAAGAATACTCTGATTACCAGCCAGGTGGCTCCTAGGAACTCCAATTGTTGAGCCTTGGACTTGAGGGCTCAGTCTACATGCCATGGTGTCTATGAGCTTAGGTAGGGCCTGGTCAACCTGTTTGTTTCAGTCAGGCCAGCAATGAAGATGTCATTATCACAGTGAATGACAAATATATCTGAGGGTAACTGTGCTTGTTACAGATCTAGCCCTACCTATTGGTGGCATTTTGCAGGAAAATTGATGTATCCCTGTGGAACTACAGTGAAAGTGTATTGTAGGTCATTTATGTGAATACAAATTGGTCCTGATATTTATCCTACAAAGGAATCCAGAAGGCGGCCTTGGCCAGATCAATAATGTGTTGGTCTCTGTGTAGGCCACCATTGCCTAAGTGATAGTAATGATGTCAGGTAACACAGGAGCCAAGGGTGGCACCTAAGCATATAATCTTTGGTAGTCTACTGTCAACCTCCAGGATCCTGAGGCCTTTTGTACAGTCCAGACTTGGCTGTTACAGTGAAATAAAGTGATGCATAACTTCTGCCTGCAGCAAGTTTTATATCAACAGGGTCATGTCCCTTCATTTACCTGTTATGTAGTACTGTTTTTGTAGAATAACCTGCTGGGGCTTGGATAACTTTGGTTGTAGGTGGGAGCTGACATATCTCACTGTTATGGCTTAAATCCTTTGTTGTGAGGGAGCATATCTCCTGAAGTGGCAGCGATGCTGCAAGTAACCAAAACGTCAATACCTGTAATACATTGTGCCCAAAATGGCCCAAAGGGCCCTACCCAAAAGCATATGAATCTGTCTCCATCAGTTTACCCTTACTCCTTCAGAGTCCCAGGATTATTGCCATCTGGGAAAAGTTTGGATTTGCAGCCAGGTGTGGTGGTTCAGGTCTGTAATCCCAGCACTTTAGGAGGCCGAGGCAGGTGCATCACCTGAGGTCAAGAGTTCAAGACCAGCCTGACCAATATGGTGAAACCCTGTCTCTACTAAAAATATAAAAATTAGCCGGGCATGGTGGCATGCACCTGTAGTCCCAGCTACTCAGGAGGCTGAGACAGGAGAATTGCTTGAACCGGGAGGCAGAGGTTGCAGTGAGCAGAGATCGCACCACTGCACTCCAGCCTGAGTGACAGAGCAAGACTCCATATCAAAAAAAAAAGTTTAGATTTGCTTTTTATTTTTTATTTTTTTTAATCTTGGCAGGAGCATAGGGCTCTGGTCCCCAGTGGGGACCTAGAGACCTTAGTTTTATCCCCCTTAGTTCTATTTTTGTTGAAAAAATTAAGGTCAGGGTCAGGTGCAATGGCTCACTCCTGTAATCCCAGCACTTTGGGAGGCCAAGGTGGGTGGATCACTTGAGGTCAGGAGTTCAAGACAAGGCTGGCCAGCATGGTGAAACCCCAACTCTACTAAAAATACAAAATCAGCCAGGCATGGTGGCGGGCACCTGTAATCCCAGCTACTTGGGAGGCTGAGGCAGGAGAATCTCTTGAACCTGGGAGGTGGAGGTTGCAGTGAGCCAATATCATGCCACTGCACTTCAGCCTGGGTGACACAGGGAGACTCCATCTCAAAAAGTTAATTAATTAATTAAGGTCAGGGTATAGGTGAGTACAATCATACCTACTCCCTGTCTGACTCACTCTATTCACTGTCAACATTGTCTTCCTGATTGTCCTGTTCAGGGCACAGAGAAGTCATAGTCCCCATATTCAGGGACTTGACACTATACAGGATTCTAAATCTTTTCAATCTCATGAGCCCACACTTTTGTTTTTATGGCTAAGATTAGGATCCTAACCTCTAATTTAGTGACACTTCTCTCCGCCTGATAGCATTGGCCAAGATCTTCTACAGGGATCCCATCAATCTTTCTTTCATCTATCCCCCGGGCTTTTTTTTTGTTTTGAGATGGAGTTTCACTCAGGTTGGAGTGCAATGCCGCAATCTCGTTTCACTCCAACCTCCACCTCCCAGGTGCAAGTGATTCTCCTGCCTCAGCCTCTGGAGTTGCTGGGATTACAGGCATGCGCCACCACACCCGGCTAATTTTGTATGTTTAGTAAAGATGGGGTTTTGCCATGTTGGTCGGGCTGGTCTCGAACTCCTGACCTCAGATGATCCGCCCATCTCGGTCTCCTAAAGTGCTGGGATTACAGGCATGAGCCACCGCTCCCAGCCTTGTCTATCCCTCGTTTTAACAATGAAAGCCATATTATTCTGTGGGTCAGCCCTGTTCTCTCTGTTTTTTCCCTTTGACATCCATTGGTTTCCTCTTTTGGTCCTCTGGACATTGCTTCCTATTGTTGAGAACTCCATTCAGCTCAAGTTGTTGGAAACCACCGAAACCATTTTGTTTTTATCCCAAAGCTGGACACTCAGTGGAGTTTTTCCATTGCTTCCCCATGATCATTTCAGGAAACAACAGTAGGGATAATGGGGTCTTCAGGTTTGGGGAGACCTCTGTCACATGAAGGCTTCCACTGCATCATCCATATGCTGGGAGCAGGGTCACACAGTCAGGTATGACTTTTTCCTTAAGAGTGATTTTGGCTTTATGGATGGCTTTCGAGTGGATTTTAGGAAGTCCCCCACAGTTGGGAAGACCATTATCAAGATCTTTTCAACCTAGATCAAGAGCAGCTAGGACTCATCTCTATCCCTGTCCTGTTGGTTGTCCTGTTCAATGTAAGCAAAATAATGTTGCAGCAGGGGGTCAGTGGTTAGCTTACCTATACTGAGCCACTCAGTATGAGACACTAAAGCGTACAACACCACCTCATCAAACAAGTAACTACCAAAGCCACCTAGGACTCCCCTGGCCTCTGCCCATGTCTGTTTTTCAGTCTTATTTCATTTTCAAGGAAGGTACTCATTTTAAGTTTCATTTTCAGCAACACCATCGATGATTACGTGATACTGAAAACAGGTCTTACTTGGGACTTGTAAGTGACCAGAGCAGGAGGAGTTTCCTGTGTGGGGGCCTTTGATTCCCCTCAGGCATTTTCTGCAACCCCTGGGACACAGTGAGAGTCGGCAGATGGTTTGGGAGTGTAAAGTTGGCTAGCCAGAGCCAAGGTATAGTTATCCTATATTTTTCATAGGGCCCACCTCTTGCATTTCTACCCTCATCCATTGTACCAGTTTATTCTTGTTAACAGGGAGAATGTCAACTCCCATGTACCCCCCCATGCAACCAGAGGGAAGCCAGCAGCTCAGTCAGCCCATCATCCCCTCAGGGAGCTGGCACCATCCTGAGATGGCTGGACTGGCAGACCCTGCTTGCTGTGCCAAATTGTCGAGCAAGTAACACCTGTTGTCTACCGTAAGGAGGAGCAGTCCGAGGATGTCATCCCACTGCATGGTTTGCAGGTGACAGGATCACCAGGAAAGACAATTCACAGAGGTACTGGATAGAACAACACTTTACTCACATAGAGAAGAGACAGAGCAAGATTAGCTTCGATTTGAGTATGGTACCCCGCAGTGGGTCTTGCCAGGCAGCTGACACAGCATAATGGTCTCTATGCATCCTACCTGGGCTGTGGGCAAAGAAACCCCTTCCTTTCCAACTAGGAATAGGTAATAGTACTGGGATTGGCCAGGTGCTGTGTGCTGCACATACTTTAAGCAGAACAAAGAACAAAGAAGTACACATCAAGCCCGGAACATGGAAAGATACTACCAAATAAGGTGACATGTCCAACTCAGGATGTAAGGACTCCTTATCTCAACGAAAAAAAGTCTTCTAGGCCCATGTCACAAGGCACACTCATGTGGCCATGCATGGGTGGACAGGCTGCACATGATAGCCTTTCCCAATACCTGCCTTCTCTTTCAACAAATGAAACAGATGAAGTGTCCCTATTCCAATCAAAGATCTCCATTTGTATTCTGGAAAGGATCTCCTCTTGGCTTCTCAAGGGCTTGGCTCCTATAACTTTTGCCTCTTTGTCCTGCATCATAAATACTGTCCCTCTATTAAATAACTCCCATGAACATATATACTCTAGTATTTCCTATTTACAAAGGAGTGCCTTGTCCTTACATCCCTCTCTACCTAGTGACCTATTTCTGCCTTCTTACCTCAATCTCTTCAAGTAGACTTCCATCATCATGATTCCACTGAGACTGTGTTTACAAGATCACCAGTGATCTTCATGTTGCCAAATCCAGTGGTCATTTCTGTTCTTACTTGATCTTTCAGAAACATTGAACCCAATTCACCTACCTCTTCCTAAAATTTTTTACTTCATTTGTGAGGTATCATATTCTCCAGTTTTCCCAAGGCGTCTCCTTTGTTTGCTCTTCCTTTTCTACTAGAACTCTAAACTTTGCAGTGTTTCAGTGTCCTGTCCTGGGCTTCTTCCTCTTCTGTATTTATATTTTCTCTGATGATCTCACTCATGTCAGGCTTTAAATTCCTTATTCATGCCAATGACACTCAAGCCCTGACCTCTCTTCTGAACTTCAGACTCAAGAACCAACCTGCCTCCTTAATGTTTCCACATACACAAGATATTTTCCCTAATTTAACTCTTTAACTTTACTATTTCTTGGAGTATTCGTAAGATTTACAGTTGGCTGTCCTACCATGGAACCTAGAATTTACTGGCCAGATCAGATATTGGGGAAAAATTTAAAAAGAATATTAGACTAAGAGATACAATTCCTTTGTTTCTCAATTGTCATATAATTTGTTAATTCTTTTTTAAGGCTATTTTTCTGTTTTGGAATAAGGTAATTATGCCTGCAATACTTAACTTCTTATACATGTTTCTCCCATGATTTAACCAAAATCTTTGTGTACTTTTTTCTTATAATTTTGTAACCAGATCTTTATATTGACTATCTTTTTAAGGCTGTCTACTGTAAGCTACTTGCACACACTATAGTACTAATTCTAATTCTAGGCCACCACCATTGGCTCTTTTTTCCTTTTCTCTCCACACTCATCTGTTCACATAGCTTCAATCATCCCTTCTACATTAGTGTTTGCCAATGGTCCTCCTCTAGTGCTGATTCTTCTCTGCCTTCAGGTCCACATTTCTGATGGTCCATTGGACAACCATAACCAACCAATGTTCCACCCAAAAATTAACACAACCAAAATGGAATTATCTTATTTTCCTTGCTCCCAAACCAGTAACTAGCTGCCATTCTCTAAGCCACCTGGGCTCCACTCCACTTCCTCTCTTCTCCTCTCTTCTTCACTCCTCTCTTCTCTCTTCCTCTCATCATCACATCCTTCATTTCTTACTTCAGCACAGCTACATAATGCCGTGGTGACATGATTATGCATTTAAGGTCAGAAACACTTGGGAACATTAGTTAACTGAGATCTCCATGCCTCACTTTGCTCATTTCTAATATAAAGTTAAAAATACACACCAGAATTGTCTTGAAGAGTACATGATCTAACACATACAAGAACCTAACAGCATATAACAAGTGCTCACCATATGTTGTACCCTTCCCTACCTTGCATTTTCATGGTCAAAATTATAATGGTGTCCCTCACAATATCTCATTTCTAAACTTTGTAAAAAGTTGGGTGGACACTTTTACTTTTTACTAAACTACAAATTCCTTCAAGGTTGATTTTTGTATATTCACATTAGATTTATCTGAAGCACAGTGCATGCACCAGGGGTTCAGTGAACATTTCTTCAAAAAAATGACTGAAGTGATTATCTTATCAGGAAGTTTGTTATAGAATATAAGAATTTATTTTCAGTATAATGAAGACTTCCAAGACACTTTTAATTTCAGTATTGATATTTATTAAGCCACTTCAAATATTTGGTAGTAATTCGCTTGACTGTTTTAGGTATGGGAGCAATAACTGATGGCTTCATCCCTCAGTTCATCTTTGTTTCCTGAAGAGATAAACATCTTAAAGGAGTTGTGTACTGACTTTATAGTCATTGACCACGTTCACAGGAAGGCACTGTTGTCAATTATCAGGCTCTGAGTTAATTTCATTTTTGCATTGCCCTTGTTACAGTTATTAGTTTTTGAATCAAAAGTAATTCGGGGCTCAGCAAGATGGCCCATGTCTGTAATCCCAACACTTTGGGAGGTCCAGGTGGAAGGATTGCTTGAGGCCAGGAGTTTGAGACCAGCCTGGTCAACAGAGCAAGACCCTGTTTCAACCAAAAAAAAAAAAAATTGGTCAGGTGTGGTAGTACACACCTGTAGTCCCAGCTACTTGGGAGGCTGAGGCAGAAGGATCACTTGAGCTAAGGAGTTCCAGGCTGCAGTGAGCTGTGATCACACTACTACACTCCAGCCTGAGTGAGCAAGACCCTGTCCGTATAAAAAAGAATAATAATAACATGGAAGGTTTTTTTTAAAAAAGGATTGGACTGTATATCACATATGTAGTACCTCTCTTACCCTAAGACTGTGGTTCTCAAACATCTATATGAATCACCCTACACGTGTGCTGTCCAATGCAGCGGCCAGCCACATGTGACAACTGAGCACTTGAAAAGTACAGACCACGCATGCACGTAAATGTTCATTGCAGCACTATCCACAATAGCAAAGATATGAAATCAACCTAAATGCCCATCAATGACAGATTGAATAAAGAAAATGTGGTACATATATACCATGGAATACTATACAGCCATAAAAAAGAATGAGATCATGTCTTTTGCAGGAACATGGATGGACCTGCAGCCATCATCCTTAGCAAACTAATCCAGGAATAGAAAACCAAATACTGCGTGTTCTCACTTATAAGTGGGAGCTAAATGATGGGAACTCATGAATACAAAAAAGGGAACTACAGACACTAGGGCCTCCTTGAGGGTGGAGGGTTGGAGGATGGAAGGGAGCAGAAAAAATAACTACTGGGTACTAGGCATAATACGTGGGTGACAAAATAATCTGTATAAAAAAATCCCTGTGATACGAGTTTACCTATATATAGCAAACCTGTGCATGTGTCCGCGAACCTAAAAGTTAAAAAGTAATAAATGTACAGACCAAATTGAGATGTAAGTAAAAAATACACACCTGATTTCATTTACTGCATACAAAAAACAAATGGAAAATATTTCAATGATTTTTACATTGTTTCTATGTCAAAATAAAAAACTTTGATTATATTTGGGTTAAATAAAATAGATTAGAACTAATTTCATTTTTCTTTCCTTTTTTCTTTTTTTTTTTTTTTTGAGACAGGGTCTGGCTCTGTTACCAAGGCTGGAAGGCAGAGGCACAATCTCAGTGCACAAGCTCACTGCAACCTCTGCCTCCTGGGCTCAAGCTATGTTCTCACCTCAGCCACCACACCCGGCTAATTTTTTATTTTTGATTTTTTTTTTTGTAGAGACAGAGTTTTGCCATGTTGCCCAGGCTGGTCCCAAATTCCTGAGCTCAAGCAATCCACCCGTTTTGGCTTCCCAAAGTGCTGGGCTTACAGGCATGAACCACCACGCCCGGCCCATCTGATCCTTTTTACATTTTAAAAATGTGTGGCCTGGCGTGGTGGTTCACGCCTGTAATCTCAACACTTTGGGAGGCCGAGGCGGGCGGACTACGAGGTCAGGATATCGAGACCATCCTGGTTAACATGGTGAAACCCCGACTCTACTAAAAATGCAAAAAAAAAAAATTAGCCGGGCGTGGTGGCGGGCGCCTGTAGTCCCAGTTACTCAGGAGGCTGAGGCAGGAGAATGGCGTGAACCCGGGAGGCAGAGCTTGCAGTGAACCGAAATCGAGCCACTGCACTCCAGCCTGGGTGACAGAGTGAGACTCTCAAAAAAAAAAAAAAAAAAAAAAATATATATATATATATATATGGCTACTAGTACATTTTTAATTACGTGTGTAGCTTGCATTTGTGGTTCATATTATATTCCAATTGGACAGTATTGCCTCTAATGCTTGTTTAAAATGTGGATTTTTGGGTCCCACTTTTGAACATTATGCTTTCAAGGTTCCAGGTTCGGGCCCAGAAATTTGATATTTTTTAACTTACCAGATTTTAACTGGTAAGTCAGGGTAAGGAATCACTGTTTTATATGGCTTTTGACCAGGTGATGTTTGTGGTCTTCAGAATGGCAGAAACTCTATCTCTACGAAAAATACAGAAAAATTACAGGGCGTGATGGCGCGTGCTTGTAGTCCCACATGGTTGGTGGGCTGAGGCAGAAGGATCACTTGATCCCGAGATTGCAGTGAACAGAGATAGAGCCACTGCACTCCAGCCTGGGTCACAAAGTGAGACCTTGTCTGGAAAAAAAAAGTCATCTATATGTACTGATATGGAAAGATGTTTATGATATTTACAAGACGGACAAACAAGTTGCAGAACATATAGATCCCATTTGTATGTGAAAAACGAAGTACATATATTTGCATTTGCATAGGAAGTCTCAAAAACTGTTAACAGTGGTATTGCTGAAGAGTACAACTAGGGAGAAGATTCCCAGGCATGTGGAAAGATACTTTCACTTTGCTTTTTTTGTTAACTCTTTTTAAAAATTTTTTTAATACAATAGAGACAGGGTCTTGGGCTCAATCCTCCCACCTCAGCCTCCAAAAGTGCTCTAATTACAGACATAAGCCACCACACCCGGCCTACTTTGCTTCTTATATCCTTTTGTACTGTATTGTTTGTTTTACTATTTACTATGAGCAATATGCAAATTTATGTAAGACATTACAAAGTAATACAAAAACCGACAAAATGCCCGGCCCAGTCAATACTTCATCATATAGGTTCCTGTTAGAGAAAAGTGCTTTTCACTACTATCTTTGAATGTGAAGTTTGATCTTCATTCTAATTTTCTAAAAAGCCACCGAATGTATTTGTTCATTCATTCATTCATTTAACCATTACCGACAACCTACTTAATGCTAGGCACTGTTCTAAGAAAAAATAAACAGCAGAGCACGAAATCAGATGTGTTGCTCCCACACTCTAGCAGAATCGGACCGTAATCAAATGCACACATAAACAACTTTAATAAGTAGTGCTTTGAAATATAGAAGTGAAGAACGACCTGAATTTTCAAATACTGAAATGTTCAAATGTCGTGTGCACACACACACACGCAGACATATTCACTCGAACATGCTAATTAATCAAAGCACTGCTTTTGAATTTTGTGTTTGTCGTCTGGATAAAGTATTCAGGGATACTTCTCAAATTAATCTTTCTCTCGTTTTCAATATAACTAATTGAGTACAAAGAAGTTAAAAATTAGCAAAGCATTTCAGCTGTGTGACCTTAGGCAAATTACCTGGCTGTTTTAAGCCTCAGTTTTCTCCTCTGCGAAATGGAGTATTGAACCTCACGTTCGCTGTTTGAGGGAGACTTGTATGGTCACGTTTAGTGTAACCGGATGCCTGGCACGAGGAAGCGTGAGGAGGAATGGATCCCCATGGGGCCTTGATGCCCGCCCTGAGGCCCTGCAGGGCCGCACGCCGGGGCTGTTCTCACGTGGCGCTTTCCGCTTTTTCACCCAAGCGTTTCTGCCAGCCAACTGCCCTTTCCCGGAGTGCTGCGGCCAGGGCTCGCCCGCTCCTCCGGCGGCCTCCGCTGGGGGCCCACTACAGCCCAGCGCCAGCCAGCCAGCCAGCCCAGCTTCTCGAATCGGTCCTAAGCTGAGGCCGCCCTGCGCTGCAAAACTTGTGTCCACTCTCGGACCCAATCTGTCCTGGACGGACTTGGCTCGTGGCAGGCGAAAGCGTCGTTTCCAACTGCAGCTGTTTGAATTCTGGCGCCACACCCGCGCCACGTAGGGCCAAGTCGGCCGCCAGACTCGTAAGAGACGCTTCGCAGTGCGCCTGCGGGCGCGCGCCGGGAAATGGCCGGGCGCGCGGCCGGCCTGCGGCGCGCTCCACAACGCGGAACGGGCCTCAGAAGAGCCACCGCGCGCGCTCCCGCTAATTCGCGACCACACCCCTGTCTACTTCCATGTCCAATAGGTGCGAGAGGGCGGGACGGCCTCGTTCTGACTCCGGGAGGCTATATAAGGAGCTACTGGCTGCGCACTTCGGTCTTTTACGTCGGCCTTCGCGAGCGTCTGGGCGGGTGGTAGGTGAGTGGGTATTGCGGGCTAGTATCCGAGCAAAAGATGGTGGCGCAGGCCGAGTTAAGAGCTTTAATCCTGTGAAGACATCTTAGTGAAGAGTTTAGAGTGCTGAGAGTTGAAAGCTTGCACGTGGGAAACGTGCGGCCGGACTGCCACATGTACTGAGGTTGAGTCGTGACGGCCACAGGCTCCGAGTTTTGGCGTGAGGAACCGCTGATCGGCCACGGGCGCCGAACTTGCTGGCCTCCGGCATGTGCCTGAGCGGCGGCGGAAAAACCACCTTAATTGGGGCGGAGGGTTAGTTTTAACAGCAAAGGGCCTTTACTAAAATGGCGAAGGCCTTCCGTCGGCGTTGTTTTAAAATGGGAAGCCTCGACCCTGTATTGAAACTGAGCTGTTCGAAGGCGGCGTTGTGTGCAATTCGGATTAATGAAGGGGAAGGGTTTTGTGTGGAAAAACGCCTTGGAGTGTGACATTTCTGCGAGAATGCTTAAATACCGATTTCCCGCAGGAACAATGGCGCTGTCTTCAGTGGCACAGTGGAGCAGCTCTGAAGATGCAAAGGTAAGAGCTTAGTTAAGCTTAGTTTCCAAACTAAAGGAGTAAACCTGTTGATTTACAGGAATAGGAACTGTTGCATCGTTTGAAATTTACTTTTTTTTGTTAGATACACGAAAAAACTTCCAGAACATCTGGGAGAATATTTAATGGAAAATCGCTTGGTTAAAACCTGACACTTTTAACAGGTATGTGTTGTTTTAGTACTTTATGATTGAGCATAGCATTTAATCCACACCTAGACTAAATCAAATTTTTTTTGTCAGTGAACAGCGTTCTGAGTGTGGACGAGTAGCCAGTGAAGATAATGAATGTCGAATGTGACTGACTAGCAGCTTCATTTTGAAGTAGGTTGTATGGCTTAAAAGTTCTGTAGTATTTGTACTATAATACTTGCCTTTTAGCATTACCTTGGTTTGTAGTCAGTGTCACAGAAGTGCAGTTTAATGTATTATGTGTACATATACAAGGTCTGATTGGTCTAATCAATGATGAAACCTATCCCGAAGCTGATAACCTGAAGAAAAATAAGTACGGATTCGGCTTCTGAGATTAAGACCAGTAATTCAGAGGTGGAGTAAATTTTGTTGCCGTGATTTTATAACAGTTGTGTTATAAAATCCTGGGTTTTTTTTTTTTCTGCCAACAGTGAGGGTCGCTGTCTGCCCATTGATAGAGGCCAGATTGTCTTGGAAGTTCCAAAGTTGCAACGATTTCTGTAAGTGGAGTTTTTCTGTTTGCTTAGAGATCAGTGAATATTGTGTCCTTGGTCTTATCTGTGATGATCTTATCCCGAACCTGAACTTCTGTTGAAAAAAAAAAACTTTTACGGATCTGGCTTCTGAGATGGACCGTTATAAGGACAATATTTTTTTTTAATACTTTTAATGCTTTTACATATGTTGTAATGTTTGTAGTCTTGTAAGAATCTCGTGTTTTTCCTTTTCTAGGGCTAGTGCCACGAGGTTTACTTGACTGTTGTGTGAAAAGCTGATAAGAAAACCATCCAGAAAAAAGCTCTTCGTTTTACAAACATGAAAATAAAACATGTAATTTTGGATTATGTTCCTTTTTGTTATTACTTTTAAATAGGTCCTGAAATAACATGGGGAGCATTAAATGGAAAATCCACTAACCAGCCTTGTAATCAAATTACTGTGAGTGAATGTTTCGGGTTTGTGCAGGGTACAATGTAAGGGTTTTTGGATCAGTGTAAGAGTGGAGAGACAGGAATTAGAAGTAATTGTTACTAAGCAAATCATGGAATATTTAGTTTTGATGTAACTATAATTTTGAAAGCCTGGATGCTTAAGTTGAGAAATGGGGGAATGAGATACAGAAAATAAGGAGCACAATAGAATAATAATAGCAGTTTATTAAGTATGGTCATGAGGGAAGGTTACTGATAAAACAATCTGGTAAAGACATTCAGGCTTGCTAAAATCTAGGAAGAGGTCATTTGGCAGGATGGGTTACATAATGCTATCTGATACTACCAAATAAAATGAGAGAGAAGCCTTAGGCATGTAACGTTTGGAGATAGAAAATGTACCTTCACTATGAAGGTAGTGTGTGTAAGATGGCAGTTGAAAGCATTGCTTGTGTTTATGTTTATACCCTTGATCTCTGATGCCCTTACCTACCGTACTTAAAACTCTGTTAATCATTGTCTTTCTCCCCCTCCCACAACTTCTGCATAAAATTTTAAGATCTGTGTTTCATTAGTTCAAGAGTGCCTAGAATAGGGCCAGGCACTGTTATACAGTATGTGGTAAAAGACTATTGAGATTCCAGTTTTCAAGGAAGAGTGCCATTACCGTTTTGTTAAAGCTGGCAAACAAGACAAAGTTGTGAAATAGACTGGTTGCTTTGGAGCCCTCTGACCGCTTTTCCTGTAGCTCCTTCTACCTCCCTTGCCTCCCAATAGATTTTTTAATATGTCACATTATCTATCGAAATTAGTACTCCACATTTATATGCACTGGCTTGTGCTAGGCTCTGCCAAGACTCCTGAAATAAAACCGTTTTGTCAACAGTGGCACAAGATGCCAAGGAAAAGTCAAGCTATGAAGGATTCTTGAAAATAGAACAAGTGGATTTGAGTCTAAACCAGCACAGATGTTGGGACAATAGGCCTAAGAAATAACTGAGCAAAGACAGTATGGTTCAGAGTCTGAGACAAATATTGAGGATTTGGGTACCAACAGGGTGGATAGGTGTAGGACAGAAAACTGATGTTATAAATACCCTTAAGATTCTTGAGCAAGGAAGTTACAAATGTAAGACTATTCCTGTAATGAGAGTCAGATCCAAAAAGGTTTAATTTGAATGGAATTGAACTTGAAAGTTCAGTTTCAATTACTGACTCCTTGATGGCAATTTCTAATCACACAGGAGGCTGTTAGTCTGTCATAGCCTCCTAAAATCTCAGGCGATATTGGTTAAGATCAGTTTCCTAAGTTTACCCTCCAGAGCATAGCTGCTGCTTGGGACCAGGTGCAGTGACTCATGCCTGTAATCCCAGCACTCTGCTTGAGCCCAGGAAGAGACCAGCCTGGAAACAGCAAGTTGTCATCTCTATAAATAAGTAAAACTGGGTGTGGTAACATGCGCTTGTTCCAGCTACTCGGGAGGCTGAGATAGGAGGATCACTTGAACCTAGGAGGTTGAAGCTACAATCAGCCATGATTGCACCTCTGTCTTCTATCCTGGGCAACAGACCAGGCTAAAAAAAAAAAAAATCCTTAAGGAGCTTGACTATAATAGACTGGGATATGCTTGATTCTGATTGGTTTCAGAAGTTGAAAGATAATTTACGTGTCTGACTTTAGTGACTTCAGCCAACAGGAATTTTTCCTCTGCCTTACACCAGGCTTCCAGGTAATCTTAAAATACAGTAAGCTCAAACCTACCATTTGGTGCTTTCTAAAATTAGTTCTATTGCCAGAAACCCAATATCCACTGTGCTTGGCTCCCCAGTCAAGTGTCCTGTGAACTAACATCAATCCTCACTGCCCTGTGTATATGAAAGAGCTTTCAGCTGTTTTCATGGTTTTTCTAACAGTTCCCCAGTTGGGATTAGAGCCTTTGTTTGAATCAGCCTACTAGAATAACCTGCTTATCTTTTGCCAGTCCTTTAATAGGAGTGGGACCCTCCTTCCTGCCTTTTCAAAAGCTTGGTTCTGGATCCAAACAATACTTATAGTACTTAGTTATAGGTATATATTAGTATACATGACTTAACTGTCTGAATATTGCCACTGCCTCTGATCTTACTCCATCCTGTAGAGTAACATCTTGTAGAGAGCATCTTGGGGCAGAAGAGGATACATTTTCAGTATGAGAACCAGACTCCTTGTCTTACTCTCATGAGTCCTGGTCTCCTCCTGGTACTACTATTCCACTGCTGAGGTCTCAGCATGCCATATAGCTGAGTTTGTCAGAGTTAATGAGGGTTTAATCAGAATCCCAAATCAAGTACAGTCCAGTCCAACCTATTTGAGAACTTTATCTTTCTTGTTACTTCATTTATTATAGTTCACTTCAAAAGAGCAATGGAAAAGGCACTTCAGAATATGCAAAAAATGTATCATTTGAAGGCAATAATTTACAAATATGCATTACTTCACTGAGATCAGGAAACTTTTGTCCTTGCCTCCTGTAGTGAATATAACTGATGTACAAAAATGTGTACATTTAAAAAGTATACAATTTGATGGGTTTTTCATAGGAATATACTCATGAAACCATCAACATAATCAAGATAATGACTATATCCATCACTCCCAAAAATATTCTATTGTTGGCTTGATTTTGAACATGTTAAGTTTAAATAGCACATGTTATTCAAATTGGGATTTTTGAGTAGGCAGTTAGATATAGAGGTCCACAGTTCAGAGGAGAGGTCTGACTAAAATAAAATTGGGAGTTAACATATGGAAGGCATATTTAAAGCCATAAGATTAGATGAGATCACCAATAGAGAAAAAAGTCCAAGAGTTGAACCCTGTGGCCTTTCAGGATTAGGACATTCCAGGTTTATTCAAATCCTAGAGAATAATTTGTGCCAAGGGACAAAAATCAGGACGCAGGAATCTGCTGCCAAGTTCAAGGGCCATATTTGTTAGGAACAGAAACTAAGTAGAAAACCAAGGATGCCTGGAATGAAATGAGCCAAGAAAAAAGGATAAGAACCAAGCAAAACTTGCTGGAAATTGCCTTGGATTTAATATAGACCATTGGTCAACATGAAAACTGAAGATAGTGTCTGATCATGACTTTGCAAAGTAACAGACGAAGTGATCTTCAGGAGAGAATAAGATGAGGAATTTAGGAAGTATGATAAGGCTTTTTCATCAGACACTGCAGATTGGGAGAAAATGGAGCTGACCATGGACAAGTTATAAATTTGCCTAGCATTGATAAAGTATCAGCTGAGGCTGAAAACCACCAATTTTAACAAAAATCAGCATATTTCTTCAGTATTGTGTGGTGCTTATCTCCTTGGGAGCAGAAAGCAGAGACTGGATTAATCCAAAATCAGGGATAAACTGACCAGGAGGAGCAGAGGAATAATGGGCCAAGAGTACTGAGGATGCAAGTAAAAGTGCTCAAATTACTGTATTGACCTTGTAATCCCAAGCTGATCGGGGAAGGAAAAAAAAAAAACAGGAGAGGGCTGGAAAATTGTCACAGGTAATGACAGAGGATCAGATGTGCTATAGAAATGTGCTGTTGAAAATGGTAGACTAAGCCCCTCTCCAATTATACTGTGGAATGAGCCGTATAACATGTTGTGATTATTGGTTTCTCCCTTCTGGACCTGGAGTGTCAGTTCTTCTAAAGCAGAGACTTCCCTTTAATCTCTGTTTAAACTTGGTGCCTAGGACAATGTAATGGCATCCATAAAATATCTAATGGAATGGAGTTTAACATGTTTTTTAGGGTGGAACTGGTGGTGTGATTTAAATTCTCCAAAAGAGAAATGAGAAAAGTTGGAAGCTGTTGTGGCCTGACTTTATACCCCCAAAATTCATATTTTGAATACCCCAAAAAGAAGTATAATGTAAGTCCAGAATCATTACTGGTGATGACGTTCAAAAGTCAGAATTGAGATATACCCCAAAGAACACACCTTGCTATTGCCCTAGAGAAGTTTAATGTGTTTTATGCCTATGTTCCTATTGATGCAGTTAAAGTGACCAACTATTAGCAACAAACCCCAAATTGTCCTTTGTACAAAAATAGTTGATTAGGCCAGGTGCAGTAGCTCATACCTGTAAACTCCCAGTACTTTGGGAGGCCAAAGTGGGAAGTTCGCTTGAAGCCAGGAATTTGAGACCAGTGGGCAACATAGCAAGCCCGTCTCTACAAAGTGTTAAAAAATTAGCTGGGCTACTTGGAGGATCTGGCTACGTGGTGGCTGAGATGGGAGGATTGCTTGAGCCCAGGAGTTCAAGACCGCAGTGAGCTATGATTGTGCCACTGCACTCTAGCTGGGCAAGAGTGAGACCCTTTCTCAAAAAAAAAAAAAGAAAAAGTTATTTAAAGTTATTTGCACTGTGTCTTTATTATGCTTATATCCATATTTTTCATAACTGAAGGCCATACCATCAATAAAAACACATTGAGTACATTAAAAATATGGATATGAGCAGTAACAAAAATATAGGCCAAATAACATCATTATTATTATCATCATTAATTATTTTAGAGACAGGTTCTCACTCTGTCACCCAGGCTGGAATGCAGTGGCCTAATCATAGCTCACTGCCACCTTGAACTCTTGGGCTCAAGGGATCCTCCCACTCAGCCTCCCAAATAACCAGGAGATCCTCTAGCATGTGCCACCAAGCTCAGCTGATTTGTATTACTTTTTATAGGGATGGGGTGTCACTATGTTTCCCAGGCTGCTCTTAAACTCCTGACCTCAAGTGATCCTTCCACCTTGGCCTCCAAAAGTGCTGAGATTACAAATGTGAGTCTCCTCACCAAGATGCTTTTTTTTTTTTTTTTAAGCAGTGAAATGAGAGCTCACTGTGTAGCCCAAGCTGGTCTTGAACTCCAGACCTCAAGTGGTCTTCCTGCCTCAGCCTCCTGAGTAGCTGGGATTATTGATGTGAGTGGCCACACCTATACCAAATAATTTTAATCAACCACTTTTTTTTTTTTTTTTAAGACAGAGTCGTGCTCTGTCGCCAGGCTGGAGTGCAGTGGTGCCATCTCAGCTCACTGCAACCTCTGCCTCCCGGGTTCAAGTGATTCTCCTGCCTCAGCCTCCTGAGTAGCTGGGACTACAGGCGCATGCCACTACGCCCAACTAATTTTTGTATTTTTAGTAGAGACAGGGTTTCACCATGTTGGCCAGGATGGTCTTGATCTCTTGACCTCGTGATCTGCCCACCTCAGGCTCCCAAAGTGTTGGGATTACAGGCGTGAGCCACCGCACCCGGCCCTAACCTGTACTTTTGTATAAAAGTAGTTGATTAAGGCCGGGCACGGTGGTTCACACCTGTAATCCCAGCACTTTGGGAGGCCAAGGTGGGCAGATCACTTGAGGTCAGGAGTTCGAGACCAACTTGGCCAACATGGTGAAACCCCGTCTCTACTAAAAACACAAAAATTAGTCGGGTGTGGTGGCACGCACCTGTAATCCCAGCTACTTGGGAGGCTGAAGCAGGAGAATTGCTTGAACCCAGGAGGCAGATGTTGCAGTGAGCCAAGATTGTGCCACTGGACTCCAGCCTGGGTGACAGAGCAAGACTCCGTCTCAAAAAACAAAATAAATAACAAAAGTACAGTTTGGGAATTGTTGCTAATAGTTGATTAGTTTAATTGCTTCAATGAGAACATAAAGCATTAAACACAGTAAACTACTCTGGAGCAATAGTAAGGTGTACTCCTTGAGATACATCGTAATTCTGACTTGAATTTCATTGCTGATGGAGATTCTGAGTTTATGTTACATTTCTTTTTCGAAAGTGAATGTACACTGACTAGCCCTTAAAAAAAAGAAAAAAAGCAGCCGGGCGTGGTGGCACACGCCTGTAATCCCAGCACTTTGGGAGGCCAAGGCGGGCATTATCACTTGAGGTCAGGAGTTCAAGACCAGCTTGGCCAACATGGTGAAACCCCATCTCTACTAAAAATACAAAAATTAGTCTGGCTTGATGGTACACACCTGTAATCCCAGCTACTCCGGAGGCTGAGGCAGGAGAATCGCTTGAGCCCAGGAGTTGAAGACCAGCCTAGGCACAGCAAGACCCCATCTCAAGAGAAAGAAAGAGAGAGAGAGAGAAAGGGAGGAAGGGAGAGAAAAAGAGAAAGGAAGGAAGAGAGGGAAGGAGGGAAGGAGGGAGGGAGGGACACAAACATTGTTCTGAGTTTGGCCTCATGCCCAGAAACGTCAGGATAGTTTTGAAATTCATGGACTTGTCCCCACATATTGATGTAGCTCACTTTCTTGAAGGATATTGCTTGCTTTCAATTCAATCTGTTCCTCAGGAGATTGAACCATACTGATAGACTAAGTGTGTGATGATTCAGAAATATACCAAGGTTTGCATTCATTTGTTCATTGAGCAAATATCCTGAATGCCTACCATGTATAGGTACTATCCTAGGCACTAAAGATACAGTAGTGAACCAAACAAAAACCTCTGCCCTTGTGGAGCTTACATTGTAGGAAGAGGAGAAGGACATTATATAATAAATAAATTATAAGCTATGTTAAAAAATGAGAAATGACACAGAAAAAATAGAATATGAGACATTGGGAGTGGGTTTGGGGAGATAATTAGTGTTGCAGTTTCAAATGGGGATTCTCTCATCTGAGAGGCAATTGAAGTAAATGGGGTTGACAGAATAGGCTTCAATGAAAAGTTGAGATTAATTAAGCAGAGATTTAGATATGTGCATAGCTCAATCTCTCACCTAACAGAGGGTGAGAGATTGATCTGTGCATATATCTGGGAAAAGGGCATTTCCATAGCAGTGGCCCATAGGAAGGAGCATGCATAGTGAGAAAGGAAGCAAGGCCTGCAGCTTATGTAGGGCTTAATGGGTCATTGAAAGGATTTCATTCTTAGTCAAATGGGAACCACTGTGAAAGAAAACACAGAAACTCCAAGTATGATTCATACACATCAAAATCTATGAACCCTACCCCTAGGGCCCAGATTGTGGCCTCTAAATACCACTTACCACTAAAAGGAAACAGATCTGAGACAGGAAATGTACAAGATGAGCTTGTTGTACGTTGCTATAACAGGTAGCAAGACTGCTGGAGTTGTGTTAGAAGAACTCAGGAGGCCAAGCACGGTGGCTCACGCCTGTAATCCCAGCAAGGATTACAAAACAGGCAGATCACTTCAGGTCAGGAGTTTGAGACCAGCCTGGCCAACGTGGTGAAACCCCATCTCTACTAAAAATACAAAAATTAGCTGGGCATGGCGACGGGTGCCTGTAATCCCAGCTACTCAGGAGGCTGAGACAGGAGAATTGCTTGAACCCGGGAAGCGGAGGTTGCAGTGAGCTGAGATCTCGCCACTGCACTCCAGCCTGGGTGACAGAGGGAGATCCATCTCAAAAAAAAAAGGAACTCAGGAGTAAACTTGGAGAGTCTCTCACTTTCCAAAGATAGAAAATTTGACTATTATTGAGGTGTAATAGAGAAAAAATAGAGAAAAAGACATGTCTTCAAATCTATGAATTCAGAATGATACTTTAAAAAACTGAATTTAATATAAGTGTTAAAGGATGCTAATCATCAGTTTCAGAACTGCAAATAAAGGGACTTTCCAATACCAACTGTACTGACATAACCAAATAAAAGGTGATAAAAAGTTTGTCTTTATTGATATATTCCAGTTAACAATGAAAAAAGATTGGCATAATTAGAAGATCATCATTTTGCAACATTCTAATGAATTAATGTATAGGCAATAAATATCAATGACTGCTAACATCCAAAAAAGAGGTGATAAGATATTATATGTCCCTGAAGAAAGAATTTGCCTCTGCCTATTTCAGACTCTTGTCTGAAAACAACAAAAATGAATATGAATTTGATAAAGCCTCTGGATATAATTACTAATTTATAGATTACAAAGACATATGTTAAACTACATTACAAAGATACAATCAGCAAAATCCAGACTATGGAAAACTCTACAAATGATTTCTATAACAAATAAATTGCAAGGAAAGAAACCAACCAAACGAGATGAATGGGTAACCTACAAATCAAGAAACTGAAAAGATATATCAACATTCTCAATGTTTGCATCCCAGTTGGATTCTCATTCAATATTGTTTTAAAAAATGAATTTATGAGATATATGTTTAAACACAGGCTATTTCATGTATTAAAAAATAATTGGGACTTTGTTAGATGTGATAATGGCATTGTGGCTCTTTTTGTTGTTCAAGAGGCTGTATCTTTTAGACAAATATACTGAGTTATTTATGGATGAAATGATTTGATGTCTGAGATTTGTTGCAAAATAATACAGAAAACAAAGGAAGTGGTTGAAGGGTAGAGATGAAACAAGATTAGCCTGAAGTTGATAATTGTTAATGTTGGATGATGGGCTCTTTGGAGTTTATTATACTCTTTCTCTATTTTTGTACATGTTTGAAATTTATAGAATAAAATTTTTTTAATCTGTGAATTTTTTAAGTTGATTTAATTTCTAACAAAAGATATTGTGTTTCTTCATAATTTGGTTTTATTGTGTTGTGGCTAGTGCTGTAACAGAACAGGGCCGTTTCCTGCTGCCAGAAACGTAGCCCACCTGTCCATATAGATATATAATGTCTTCATGATTCCACAGTGCTCTCATATGTTCTCTTTGTGATTAAATTCAGGGTATTCCAGTCAGAGCATATGCTTTAGAGATACTTTACATGCATTAAATGAAATAATGCAGGCCAGATGAGGTGGCTCATGCCTATAATTCCAGCACTCTGGGAGGCCGAGGTGGGCAGATCACCAAATGTCAGGAGTTCAAGTCCAGCCTGGCCAACATGGTGAAACCCCATCTCTACTAAAAATCTAAAAATACAAAAAATAGCCAGGCGTGGTGGCAGGTGCCAGTAATCCCAGCTACTCGGGAGGCTGAGGCAGGAGAAACACTTGAACCCAGGAGGTGGAGGTTGCAGTGAGCCTAGATCGCGCCATTGCACTTCAATCTGGGTGACAGATGGAGACTACATATATAAAAAAAAAAAAAAGGAAGAACAAGAAAAGAAATGATGCATATAAAATGTTTAATATAGCGCTTGTCATTATGCATTAGCTATAACTGTTAATAAAATTGGGTGTTTCTATGCATATCAGTAAACACAACATTGTGAGCCACTACGTTCGAATAAGTTAAGTCTATCAGATACCTTCAGTTAAAAAAATATGTGACCTGCAAAGTCAGGAGTTTGAGACCAGCCTGACCAACATGGTGAAACCCCATCTCTACTAAAAATACAAAAATTAGCCAGGCTTTGTGGCAGGCTTCTATAATCCCAGCTACTCAGGAGGCTGAGGAAGGAGAATCGCTCGAACCCAGGAGGCGGAGGTTGCAGTGAGTGAAGATTGCACCACTGCACTCCAGCCTGGGCCACAGAGTGAAGACTCCATCTCAAAAAAAACAAAATACAAACAAACAAAAACAACAAAAAAACCAGCACGGCAGGGAGTGGTGGCTCACACTTATAATTCCAGCACTTTGGGAGGCCAAGACACACAGATGACTTGAGCCCAGGAGCCTCCCAAGTAGCTGCAACTAGCAGGTGCATGCCACCACACACAACTGGCTTTTTTTTTTTTTTCCTTTTTTTGTGGAGACAGGGTCTCTCTCTATTACCCAGATTGGTCTCAAATTCCTGGACTCAAGTGATCCTCTCACCTCAGCCTCCCAAAGTGCTGGAGTGCTCCCACTGCACTTGACAAGGTGAAGAACTTACAGCTGGAGAGTTTAATGCCAGCAAAGGATGGTTTGAGATATATGTGTATATATATGTGTCTATATATATACGTACAAGCCTGTACAGTATGTTATTGTACTGAATACTATGACAAGTGTAAAACAATAGTAACTATATATGTATCTAAACATAAAAAAGATACAGTAAAAATAGTGCATTGTAATCTTATGGAACCGCTATCATGTATGAAGTCCATCTTTGGCCAGAAAAGGTAATTATACTGTGCATGATTGTAATTTAAGTAATTTTCATCTCTAGATTACTTATAATACCTAATACAATGTGGCCAGGCACGGTGGCTCACGCCTGTAATCCCACTACTTTGGGAGGCCAAGGCAGACAAATTGCTTGAGTCCGGAAGTTCGAGACTAGCTTGGGCGACATGGTGAAACCCCATCTCTACAAATATAAAAATAAGGCCGGTGCAGTGGCTCATGCCTGTAATCCCAGCACTTTGGGAGGCCAACGATGTCAGGAGTGTGAGACCAGCCTCGCTGACGTGGTAAAACCCTGTCTCTACTAAAAATACAACGAATAGCTGGGCATGGTGGCGGGCACCTGTAATCCCAGCTACTCGGGAGGCTGAGGCAGGAGAATTGTTTGAACCCAGGAGTCAGAGGTTGCAGTGAGCTGAGACTGCACCATTGCACTATAGCCTGGGTGACAGGGCGAGACTCTGTCTCAAATAAAATAAAAATAAAAAATTAGCCAGGCATGGTGGCATGCACCTGTAATCCCAGCTACTCAGGAGGCTGATGTGGGAGAATCGCTTGAGCCCTGGAGGCAGAGGTTGCAGTGATCCAAGATCACACCACTCCACTGCAGCTGCTGGGTGATAGAGCAAGACCTGGTCTCTGGTCTCAAAAAAAAAAAAAAAAAAAAAAAAAAAAAAAAAAAACTAATACATACAATGTAAATGCTATGTTGTAAATAGTTGCTGTATTTTTATTTGTCATTTCTTATTGTTGTACTGTTATTTTTAATTGTTCTTTTCCTAATATTTTTGTTTTGCAGTTAGTTGAATCCATGGACATGAAACCCACAGATATAGAGGGTTGGCCCGGTGCAGTGGCTCACGCCTGTAATCCCAGCACTTTGGGAGGCCAAGGCGGGTGGATCACCTGAGGTCAGAAGCTTGAGACCAGCCTGGCCAACATGGTAAAACCCCATCTCTACTAATAATACAAAACAATTTGCTGGGCATGGTGGTGCACGCTTGTAATCCAAGCTACTCCAGAGGCTGAGGCAGAAGAATCGCTTGAATCCGAGAGGCAAAGGTTGCAGTGAGCCCAGATCACACCACTGCTCTCCAACCTGGGCAACAAGAGCAAAACTCCGTCAAAAAAAAAAGATACAGGGTCAACTGTACACATTAAACACTTCTATCAACTAGTGATGTCAGTCTTGTCCATTGTATTATTGCCTATCTTACTAAACAGTCATATTTCAGGAAGTACAATATACTCAAAAACTAAGTTAATGTTCTTTGTAGATTTATGGTTAATGGATGATTCATATAATAGAAACTTAAATTTATTTGACCATTCTATTTAATATAGAATAAATACAACTAGCCAGGCATGGTGGCTCATGTCTATAATGCCAGCACTTGGGGAGGCCAAGGTGGGAGGCTCACTTGAGCATAGGAATTCAAGGCCAGCCTGGGCAACACAATGTGAGACCCGTCTCTATGAAAATTTTAAAAATTAGCCAAGCATGGTAACACAAGTCTGTGGTCCCAGCTACTTGGGAGGCTGAGGCGCGAGAAGTCCAGGAGGTCAACGCTGCAGTGAGCTGTGTGTGTGCCACTGCATCCTAGCCTGGGCAACAGAGCAAGACCCTGTCTCAAAAATAAAGAATAAATACAACCTATTAAGCTTGAGAGATCCAGTGAAATCCAAATAAGAGAAACTGTGTCCTACACAGTTTTCTGTTAACCATTTTCTTGGTATTTAAATTATTTATCAAATTTTAACTTCAATAAAAAATTATTCTGGAGAACACATACCTCTAGAGTAAGTAAAGTATACACTTTCAATTTTTAGACATGAGGTTTTGAGGTGTTTGACTGTATCTAATTTCCTAAAGGCTCTATTTTTTAACCTACAAAAATTATAAAAAGATATATAAAAGATATGAAATGTAAAAATAAGGAAGATATGAAGATTAAAATAACCTATAATCCCACCACTCAGAGGTAACTGTTATACAATTTTTGATGTATTATTCTATGCAGATATAAATTTTAATAAAATTTGAATTATATACAGTTTGTCATCCTGATTCCTTTCATTTAATATTCTTTTTTAAAAAATATTTATTTATTTTAGACACAGGATCTTGCTATGTAACCCAGGCTGGCCTCGAACTCCAGTGTTCAAGCAATTCTTGGCTTCAACCTCCCCAATAAATCGGACTACAGGCGAGGGCCACCACACCCAGCTCATTTAATTTCTATCATGACAATTTTCAACATTATTAAAAATTCTACTCATTCTTTTCATTGGCAATATTGAGAGCATTTTTTTTTATTCTTTTTTTTTTTTTTTTTTGAGACAGAGTCTCACTCTGTTGCCAGGCTGGAGTGCAGTGGCGCGATCTCGGCTCACTGCAACCTGTACCTCCCGGGTTCAAGCAATTCTCCTGTCTCAGCTTCCCGAGTAGCTGGGACTACAGGCACGCGCCACTATGCCCAGCTAATTTTTGTATTTTTGGTAGAGACAGGGTTTCACTATGTTGGCCAGGATAGTCTCAATCTTTTGACCTTGAGATCTGCCTACCTTGGCCTCCCAAAGTGCTGGGATTACAGGCATGAGCCACTGTGCCTGGATTATTTTTTAATTTTTTTTTTTTGAGACAGAGTCTCACTTGGTTGCCCAGGCTGCAGTGCGCACTACCACGCCCAGCTAATTTTTGTATTTTTAGTAGAAATGGGGTTTCACCATGTTGGCCAGACTGGTCTCGAACTCCTGACCTCAAGTGATCCACCTGCCTTGGCCTCCCAAAGTGCTACAATTACAGGTGTGAGCCACTGCGCCTGGCTGCATTTTATTTTTGTAGATATTAAACGGTTATTTAATCAATTTTAGAAATTTAGGTTGCCTTTAATTTTATCCTGATGACAAAGTTTATAGCAATAAATAGTCCAAATGTTTAATGGTACACTGGTTATCTCTGGACAGTAGAATAATCTCTAGCTAGTGGGTTTATATTACCATTAAAAAATTAAACCTCTCTGGTAATCTATCCTCTCATATCCATTTGCAGCCATTCTAGTCTACACTACCCCCCAACATGGCCCTCTCTCTCTCAATCCTTCCATTGCACAGTCTACAGGGATAAGAAACTACCCCTATATCCTCCACCATTTTTTTTGGGTGCATGCATTTCTTCCACGTCCTTGCCCTAATTAAAATCTGATTCTTCCTTCCTTAGGGTACTGCTTTCTCTTGCTGCAGCTTGCTTCCTCCCTCAGGTATGAAGTTAAGGTTAGTATCTTCCTTGCTCCGTACTGCCACTTTTTTTTTTTTTTTTTTGAGACAGAGTCTCACTCTGTCACCCAGGCTGGAGGGCAGTGTCACAATCTCGGCTCACTGCAACGTCCGGCTCCCAGGTTCAAGCGATTCTTATGCCTCAGCCTCCCTAGTAGCTGGGATTACAGATGCATGTCACCACACCCAGCCAATGTATGTATTTTTATTTATTTTTTATTTTATTTTATTTTTTTGAGATGGAGTCTTGCCCTGTTGCCCAGGCTGGAGTGCAGTGGAACGCTCTCGGCTCACTGCAGCCTCCACCTCCCAGGTTCAAGCGATTCTCTGCCTTAGCATCCCAAGTAGCTGGGATTACAGGCGTGTGCCACCACGCCCAGCTAATTTTTGTATTTTTAGTAGAAATGGGGTTTCACCATGTTGGCTAGGCTGGTCTTGAACTCCTGACCTCAAGCGATCCACCTGCCTCTGCCTCCCAAAGTGCTGCAATTACAGGCGTGAGACACCATGCCCAGCCTAATTTATATACTTTTAGTAGAGACAAGGTTTCACCATGTTGGCCAGGCTAGTGTTGAACTCCTGGCCTCAAGTGATCTGCCCGCCTCAGCCTCCCAAAGTGCTGGGATTACAGGCGTGAGCCACCGTGTCCGGCCTCCCTACTGCCACTTCTTAACAATTACTCCTCCATCTTTATGTAAAACCCCCTGATCTTTTCATGTTCATGGCCACTTGGCCTGTCACCTTTTGTCTTACTTCGAGGCTATCATTTTCTTACTTTGTGGTTACTGCCCCTTATTAATTTTGAAGAGTTTGGGACCAGGTTCATGGCTCTATTCTGTAATATCTATTTCTAATATTTACATGTCAATGTCCATACAATTTGGTTTATCAGTTCTTTGACTTCCTCCACTTTCTCCCTCCACTTCAGTCCTTTTTACCTGGGATTCCACTGTCCCATAGAGAACCATGGATAAAATTCAAGAAGTCTATGAACTTGGACAGGGGAAAATATGTATACTTTTACTAAACACTAACTGAAATTTAGCATTTCTTTCAATAACAAATGTAAACTGTACACCACAATAGTACTAGCAATATCTATGGGTTTGTCACCAATAGAAAGCACAGCTATTTTTTTTTCCAAAGAGTCATCTGCATCCCCATGTTTATTGCAGCACTATTCACAATAGCTAAGATATGAAATCATCCTAGGTGTCCAACAACAGATAAATGGGTAAATAAAATTTAGGCTGGACACAGTGACTCACACTTGCAATCCCAGCACTTTGGGAAGCTGAAGCAGGAGAATTGCTTGAGCCAAGGAGTTCAAAACCAGCCTGGGCAACATAGAAAGATTCCATCTCTATGAAAAATTTAAAAAATTAGCTAAGTACAGTAGTGTGTGCCTGTAGTCCCAGTTCCTTGGGAGGCTGAGGTGGGAGGATCACTTGAGCCCAGGAGATTGAGGCTGCAATGAGCCATGCAGTGAGCCATGATAGCACCACTGCACTCCAACCTGAGCAACAGAGCAAGACCCTGTCTCAAAAAGAAAAAAAATGGAAAATGTGGTGTGTATATATACACAATGGGCTACTATTCAGTCATAAAAAAGATGACATCATGTCATTTGCAGTAACATGAATGGAACTGGAAGACACTATGTTAAGTGAAATAAGCCAGGAACAGAAAGTTAAACACCACATGTTCTCACTCATGTGGAAACTAAAAAAAGTTGATCTTGCCAGGCATGGTGGCTCACGCCTGTAATCCCAGCACTTTGGGAGGCCGAGGTGGGTAGAACACCTGAGGTCAGGAGTTCGAGACCAGCCTGGCCAACATGGTGAAACCCTGTCTCTACTAAAAACACGAAAATTAGCTGGATGTGGTGGTGGGTGCCTGTAATCCCAGCTACTCAAGAGGCTGAGGCAGGAGAATTGCTTGAACCCAGGAGGCGGAGGTTGCAGTGAGCCAAGATTGCGCCATTGTACTCCAGCCAGGGGGACAAGAGTGAGACTTTGTCTCAAAAAAAAAAAAAAAAAAAGTTGATCTCATAGAAGTAAAATGTAGAACGAAGGATACTAGAGATTAGCAGGGGTATGGGAGATGGGAAGGTAGGGAGAGATTTGTTAAAGGATTTAAAATTAAGGCCAGGTGTGGTGGCTTATGCCTATAATCCCAGCACTTTGGGAGGCCGAGGTGGGCGGATCACCTGAGGTCAGGAGTTCAAGACCAGACTGACCAACATGGAGAAACCCCGTCTCTCCTAAAAATACAAAAAACTAACTGGGCATGGTGGTGCATGCCTGTAATTCCAGCTACTCGGGAGGCTGAGGCAGGAGAATCGCTTGAACCCGGGAGGCGGAGGTTGCCATGAGCCGAGATTGCGCCACTACACTCCAGCCTGGGCAACAAAAGCGAAACTCCATCTCAAAAAAAAAAAAAAGGCATATAAAATTATAGCTGGGTAGGAGGAATAAGTTCTAGTGTTCTACACCACTGTGGGATGACTATAGTTAACAATAATACATACTTTCAGGTAACATGAAGGAGGATATTGAATGTTCCTAACACAAAGAAATGATAAATGTTTGAGATGGTGGATGTACTAATTGCCCTGATCTGATGACTATACATTATATATATTGAAACATCAGTATGTACCCCATGAATATGTACAATTATATGTCAACTTAAACACATTTAAAAGTAAAAAAAAAAAAATCCAAAACACGCAAGGAACTGAGCCAGCACGAATAAGAATTAGCAAAATCTTCAAACCTCAAGACCAGACTCACAAGGACTTCAGATACAGAAATTTTAAATAAAAATTATAAAATGAGTATGTTAAAATGTTTAAAGAAATAAAGGAAGGCATTGGTATATGATACAGAAATAAAAGACCATCAAAAATAATTTGGATGACATGAAAACAATCAAATAGACATTCTGGAAATAAAACATATATAATGGACAGGAGTGAATGTCCCTAGGCTCCTGACCTCTCTGCATTTGCAAGTAGTCTGAGCCAGAAAACGCTGAAAGACCTCAGAAGCCAAGTGGAAGCCCCACAGTGAAGCCAGGAGGGCCTTCATTTCAGACTCAGCAGCTGCCCACGGTGGTGGCTGACACACTGCTGTAGCATGTGTGCTGCCTGAACACTCACTGGCCACCCCCACAGCCCAGAGCACTGGCATCATCTGTACTATCGGCCTAGTTTCCTGATTGGTGGAAATGTTGATGATTAAGTCTGGAATTAATATGGCTTGTCTGAACTTACGAGTACCACGCAGAGACCATCAGGAATGTGTGCACAACTATGGAAAGCCTTGCTTCTGACCCCAATCTCTAGCGGCTAGTTGCTGTGGCTCTGGACACTAACGGGCCTGAGATCTGAACTGGGCTCACACAGAGCAGTGTCCCCATGGAGGTGGAGCTGAAGAAGGGAGCCACCTTCAGATCACACTGGATAATGCCTACATGGAAAACTTATGATGAGAACTTCCTGTAGCTGGACTACAAGAACATTTGTAAGGTAGTGGAAAGGGGCAGCAAGATCTATAGATTTAATAACTTATTTCTCTGCAGTTGGAGCAGAAAGGTACTGACCTCCTGGTGATAGCAATGGAAAATTATGGCTCCTTGGGCAGCAAAAAGGGTGTAGACCTTCCTGGTGACTGTGGACCTGCTTGCCATGTCAGAAAAGGACATCCAGGATCTGAAGTTTGGGGTAGAATGGGATGTGGATATGGTGTTTGCCTCTTTCATCCATGTGGCATCTAATGTCCATGAAATTAGAAAGGCAATTATTGCAAACTGGAGCAAGGTGCCCACTTGCCCACCAGAGTTAGGCTCTTACCTTCCCAGAGGAACTGAGACCCACAGCTATTTTTATATATCTTACAGTTCAGATCAGATACAAATATGTAAACCTCTACATTATTTCTATGTAGAAATTATGATACTCTTTAAGCCTGTCACAGATTTTGTTATTTAATGCAAAGAAGCACATATATTACTATGGGACACTTTTGGTTTGTTTAAATATTTTGATAGTTGTATTTTAATGTAAAGGGTTTCATTTGTAATCTTATACAGATGGTCCCCAACTTACAATGGTTCAACTTATGATTTTTCATCTTTACAACGGCATGAAAGCAATACATTTTCAGTAGAAACTGTAGGTCAAATACTCATACAACCATTCTGTTTTTCACTTTACTGCAGTATTTAATAAACATATGAGATATTCAAGATTTTAACTTTGCGTTAGATGATTCTGTCTAATTATAAGATAAAGTAAGTGTTCTGAGCACATTTAAGGTAGACTAAGAAAACTATGATGTTCAGTAGGTTAGTTATATTAAATGCATTTTCAACTTACAGTATTTTCAATGGGGTTTATTGGAACGTAACCTCATTGTAAATTGAAGAGCATCTTTTATGCATTTTTAAATATGTTTTGAGAAGGGGTCAATAGGCTTCACCAGACTGGCAAAGTGTCTATGGCATGAAAAGTTAAGGACCTCTGCATTTCATATCAAATCCTACTTGTTTTTAACTTCCCTTCCTATCCAGCCTAATTTCGAGGTTTATTGGTGGCCCTCTCGTGCAATATTCCCAACTTCCTTACCCTGTCTTCTTTCCTGGGCAACTACTGAAATCACTTTTGCAAAAATTATAACAATGAGAGAAATCTAACATAACTGACTCTATCTTGCTTCTAACTTCACAAGGCCTAACTACTCTTGCTCATTCCCAGGCATAGTTCAAGCTAACTATGGGAAGACTTTAGTTTATAGTTTAAAGCAAGGATGACAGCAGTCCCTTCTTAAAACTAACCCTTATTGTTCAGGAACCAAAACTACCTCCCTAAAGCTAATGAAAGTCCACAAGGTTAGAATTATGGGAGTGGCCTGAATTCTGTGAAGATGTAGATACAGTTAAACGATAACAAGCCATTGTTCCCTAGCTTGCTTTTCTATAATTGTTTACTCTTCAGGAGTTACAGAGCTGGAGGTCACAAGATTTGTAACCCTAATTGCTCCTATAAATAACATTACTATTGTAAAATCTAAGACTGGTCTTTGAGATATTTTTCAGACTTTGGCATCCTGGCAGATGCTAACTGTACCTGTGACCCATGCCAAAGAACTGACTCTGTGGGTCCTGTGATTCCCTGACACCCCCCATGCAGAAACTGATTCAGGGCACAAAGACAATTTCAATGTCCCTATGATTTCATCCCTAACCAATCAGCAGTATTCATTCCCTAAACCCAGTCCACCAAATTATCTTTCAAAACCCTAGCCTCTGAGTTCTCGGGGAGTCAGATTTGAGAAATATCTCCTATCCTTCCATTCAGTTGCCTTGCTATAATTAAACTCTCTGCTGCAACACTGCTATCTCATTGTATTGGCTTTTCTGTGCAGTGGGCAAGAAGAACCCATTAGTCTGTAACACTACCTGGAAAAACCCCAGCTATGGATTGATTCAACCAGTTGCCTTTCCCAATAACATGCCAGTATTACTGAGCCTTGCTGCCTAAATCACATGGCAGCACAGACTTATGCCACCATAAATTTATAGTCTCCAACTCAACCGGGCTCTCAATACTACAGGCAATTCTTATTTCCCTTATCAGTTTTCTTTTTTTTTCTTTTTTCTTTTTTTTTTTTTTGAGACGGAGTATCACTCTGTCACCCAGGCTGGAGTGCAATGGCATGGTCTCGGCTCACTGCAACCTCCACCTCCCAGGTTCAGTGATTCTCCCACCTCAGCCTCCTGAGTAGCTGGGACTACAGGCACGTGCCAACACACCTGGCTAATTTTTGTATTTTTAGTAGAGACAGGGTTTCACCATGTTGGTCAGGCTGGTCTAGAACTCCTGACCTCGTGATACATCTGTGTCAGCCTCCTAAAGTGCTGGGATTACAAGCATGAGCCACCGTGCCCAGCCACTTTGTCAGTTTTCGTTCCTCAGACTTCCTTTCTCCTCCACATCTCTTCACTCCTTTCTCCCCTATCCCAATTCTTTCCTCACCTAAAAATATGATTTTACCTCCTTCATGGAGAATTTTGATGTTGTCAGATGACACAATTTCCTTACACCAGCTTTCATTTGTATCCACTGTTTTTCATTCCCTCTCACTACAATAGTATGGTGTCCTCTGGAGTAAGGCAAATTTCTCCTCCAGCGTTCTGAATCACATTCATTCATTCAACAAATACAGAATTTACTAGTTTGTTATAGGTTGAATTATGTCTTCCCAAAAAAGATATGTTGAAGTCTTAATCCCTAGTACCACAGAATGGAAATAGGATCATTGCAGATGTAGTGAGTTAAAATGAGGTGATGCTGGAGTAGGGTGGGTCCTAATCCAATATGACTGCAGTCTTTATAACAGAGGGCCATAAAAAAGACAGAGACACAGAAAGAATATCATGTGATGATAAAGGTGGAGGTTGGAGTTATGCAGCTGCAAGCCAAGGAATGCCATGGATTGCCTGAATACCACCAGAAGCTGAGAAGAGACAAGAAAGGTTTCAGAGGGAGCATGGCTCTACCAACTTTGATTTCAGACTTCTACTCTCCAGGACTGTGAGATTAGTAGGACAGAGTGTTCAGATGTAAATGGACAAAAAGCCCTTTTTGGATAGGGTGGAATTCAGGGTGGGAAAAGAAGGGGAGCAGGCTTGAAGTTATGTGCCTACATTGAATTCTGAGTCCAAGAATTCTAAATTGGAACCTGAATCTTTGAGGTCACTATGAAGTTATATAAGTTGAGGTAGAAGGGTAGAAACCTTTTTTTTTTTTTTTTTTGAGACGGAATCTCTCTGTCATCCAGGCTGGAGTGCAACGGTGCCATCTCGGCTCACTGCAACCTCCCCCTCCCAGGTTCAAGCAATTCTCCCACCTCAGCCTACTGAGTAGCTGGGATTACAAGCACCTGCCATAATGCCCAGCAAATATTTTGTATTTTTGTAGAGATGGGGTTTCACCATGTTAGCCAGGCTGGTCTTGAACTCCTGACTCAGGTGAACCACCTTACTCGGCCTCCCAAAGTGCTAGGATTACTGCTGTGAGCCACCACGCCCGGCCAGAACACATTTTATTTATTGGTTTGTTAGATTGGTCTACGGTTTTAAATAGACTTAAGGGTATGTAGGCTTCCATTTGCACTCTTGCCCCACGCTCTCCAAATGTTGGGGGCAAATATGTGGAGCTTCATCCAACTTGAGGAAGGGGCATCTTTTTTGGATAAAGTCACTTTCCACTGCCCCTTCCAGCCTTCAAGGCCTGGTCTTCACAATCTCTAAGCTATATCTGCCTAAAGAGAATACTTATTTCTAATTCACACAAAGGCTCAGTGTAGTCTAGTAGAAGACAGACAGAATTTTTTAAAAGTAAAAGTGAACATGCAATAGAAAATACAAAAGAGCTTTGGACATAGTAAAAGTATTCGCATGAAATATAGTTCTTATATACATATACATGAAATGTGTAAGCTGGTGGTATTATGAAATATATCTTTTTCTTTTAGTCATGGTCAAAAAAGTGCGAAAGCCTCAGCTCCAGGTGGTGTGCAAGGGTTTCCTAATATGACGGTATATTACCTCTCCAATATCACATCTTGCAAGAAGTTCTCCTTCCCCAGCCCTGCCTTTTGCCCACTCTGCATTCTGACTACAATGAACGTTTTTCCATTTCTAGAAGCCCCCATATTTATCTTACCCCTCTGCTTTGACACATGTTGTTCCTTCAGCCTGGATTCCTCTTTCCCTACCTCTTCACCTAGATAATGCCTATTCAGACTTGAGGTCCCAGTACAGACTGCCTTAATTGAAAGCAAACATCTGTTTGGTATGGCAAACATGCAGCAGATTTCTGCAGGAGGAGTCTAGCAGGTAACAGTGCTGAGAAATTTGTGTTCCTCTATGCTAGTCTTAGGCATTTATAATTTGATGATAGAATTGCAATAATAATTAAATTGTTTTTAGAGATGGAACTCACTCTTTTCCCCAGGCTAGAGTGCAGTTCGAGATCATAGCTCACTGCAGCCTGGAATTTCTGGGCTCCAGAGACCCTCCTGTCTCAGCCTTCCGAGTAGCTGAGATTATAGGTGCTAGCCACTGTTCCTGGCAATAATTTAAGTTAAAAAAATAAAATATCAGGTTTTATTTTTGTGTTCTAGAAGTTTATTTTATCATTATGATACTCATATTTGGCCTTGGTCTTGTTGAATGTTGATTTTAATGCTCAGCTTTTGTTATTCAGCCCAAATAAATGTTTATTGCAATTCTATTTTGATCTTTAATTTTTTGTTTAATCCAAAATATACTTAGAATAATTTATTTTAATTTTTGTTTTAAAATCAAATTGGGCCCGGCTCAGTGGCTCACGCCTGTAATCTCAGAACTCTGAGAGGCCGCGGCGGGCAGGTCATGAAGTCAAGAGATGGAGACCATCCTGGCCAACATGGCGAAACCCCATCTCTACTAAAAAATACAAAAATTAGCTGGGCGTGGTGGCACGTGCCTGTAGTCCCAGCTACTTGGGAGGCTGAAAAGAATCACTTGAACCCGGAGGCGGAGGTTGAAGTGAGCCGAGATCCAGCCACTGCACTCCAGCCTGACGACAGAGCGAGATTCCGTCTCAAATAAATAAATAAATACATAAATAAATAAATAAAATCCAATTAAATATTCTAACTGGGGCATAGTTTTTGACTAACCTTTTGTGGTTAATTTGTAGAGGTATGAAATTGAATTCAGAAGATTTAGGCTATTCAATTTTGCATTTTAAAATTTGTTGGCTGCGAGCGGTGGCTCACGCCTGTAATCCCAGCACTTTGAGAGGCCGAGGCGGGTGGATCACCTGAGGTAAGGAGTTCAAGACCAGCCTGACCAACATGGTGAATCCCCGTCTCTACTAAAAATACACAGAATTAGCCGGGTGTGGTGGCGGGCGCCTATAATCCCAGCTGCTCGAGAGGCTGAGGCAGGAAAATCGCTTGAACCCGGGAGGCGGAGGTTGCAGTGAGCCAAGATGGCGCCATTGCACTCCAGCCTGGGCAACAACAGCAAAACTCCATCTCAAAAAAAAAAAAAGAAAAAAAAATTTGTTGCAGGTTTTTTTTGTGACCTAGAGCATGATTTTTGTCAGTATTCTTTTTTTTTTTTTTTTTTTTTGAGACAGCGTCTCGCTCTGTCACCCAGGCTGGAGTGCAATGGCGTGATCTCGGCTCACTGCAACCTCCGCCTCCCAGGTTCAAGGGATTCTCCCGCCTCAGCCTCCCGAGTAGCTGGGACAACAGGCACCCGCCACCATGCTCAGGTAATTTTTATACTTTTAATAGAGACGGGGTTTCACCATGTTGGCCAGGATGGTCTCGATCTCTTGACCTTGTGATCCACCCGCCTTGGCCTCCCAGAGTGCTGGGATTACAGGCGTGAGCCACCGCGCCCGGCCTTTTGTCAGTATTCTTTAAATGCTTGAAAAGTTGTACTTTCTGTAAAGTACCAAGTTCAACATATATATAAAATACTACTTTAAACTAATTAAATTACTTAATATTATTGTCCTTCTTTATTTATTGTCAGCCTTAGCCTAGTAAAATGCAGTATTAAAATCTCCTATGGCACTTTTATTTCCTTTTCATGCAGTTTTATTTCTTCCCATCCCTAAGGCTATATTTTCCTTCTGCCCAGTAACTACCCTTTCTGTACTTTAACACTTGTACGTCTTTTCCAGTTATAGAGTGGGTTTTGAGCATTTTTAGACTTTGGGGTTTGTATTTGTACTCTTTTCCCTAACCAACATTTACACAAAGTAAATACACACACGATTGAATCAGTTTAGCAACTGATTTAATATTGTAAAAGTTCTATTCATTTATTTATATGAAAATTCCTCTATATAAAATTGCCAATTTAACAATAAATTTAAATAATTGTCAAGATCATGAAAAAGGAGGTAGATCAAAATATGCTTATATAACAGAAATACTCAAAGACTTTTATTATGGAATTGTTTCTAATGGATTAAAAAAAAAACCAATCCAACCAGTAATAGTATGGCTATAGAAATTATGAAACTTCTATAAAGTAAAATTCTATGCAACTATTGAAAATTGAAGTATATGAAGTATGAAGTATACTGACAAGAGAACGTGCCCAAATATACATATTAGGTGAAAAAGCTAGTTATAGTCATAAGATGACATGTATGATATGAAACCATTCTTGTTAAACATGTGAAAATAATATTAATATCTAGAGAGAAAGAAACTGAAAGAAATACACATATTTTTATATAGTAGCTCTATTTGGCAATGAGATTACAGGACATTTTTACTTCTATTTTATATGTTTATATAATGGTTGAATTTTTTATTGGAGCATGTATTATCTTTTATAACAAAAAATATAGAAAATAAAAGTAGGACTACAGATATACAAGTTAGTAATCTGATAAACTATATGATTGTCCTTGTCTTCTTGGAGAAATCTGTGATTGAGTTATCTAGAACTTTTATTTCCTCATATGCTTCTTGCTGGCTTTTCATCTCTTCACTAATCTCTATGCAAATACAGGGAGAGAAGAACTAGTCACATTTTATCAGCTGAGTTGAAAAAATAGACACAATAATGCAATTAATTTATATAAGTGGTTAAGTCTCAAGTGGCTCTATTCTAATTGGGTCCTTTTGTGCTAGATTAAAGACCTCAATCTAGCCAAATAAAGGGAGGGAGTATTATTTATTTTAAGGAAACATGTTAAGTAGAACTTTCTGCAAAGATTGGAAAAGTTCTACATTGATGTGTTCATCTCAAGTCACATGTAGCTACTGGGCACTTGACATGTAGCTAGTGTGGCTGAGGAACTGAATTTTAGACTTTGTTTTATGTTATTTCTTTAAGGCGGAGGCTCGCCCTGTTGCCCAGGCTGGAGTGCAGTGGCTCGATTTCGGCTCACTGCAAGCTCTGCCTCCCGGGTTCACGCCATTCTCCTGCCTCAGCCTCGTGAGTAGCTGGGACTACAGGCGCCTACCACCACGACTGGCTAATTTTTGTATTTTTAGTAGAGATGGGATTTCACCGTGTTAGCCAGGATGATCTCGATCTCCTGACCTCGTGATCCACCCGCCTCGGCCTCCCAAAGAGCTGGGATTACAGGCGTGAGCCACCATGCCTGGCCGACTTTATTCTATTTTAATTAATGTAAGTGGCCACATGTAGCTAGTTGCTATGGTTTTGGACATTTTCATTCTAGTTTAGAAGAAACTGAAGAAACAACAAAATGCAATGTGTGAACTTGGTTAAATGTAGTGAGAAGCACATGCAGAAGTGCTGGTAGGTTTTCATCTTCATCTTGCTCTCCCCTGGTCTGTAGCCAGTTCTTTTACCCAATTGTGAACCAACAGCGACCACAGGCCTGCCACCAGCCACAAAACAGCCTTTTTTTTTTTTTTTTTTTTTTTTGAGACAAAAATCTCGTCCTGGAGTGCAGTGGTACAATCTCAGCTCACGGCAGATTTGACCTCCTGGGCTCAAGTGATCCTACCTCAGCCTCCCAAGTAGCTGAGACTACAGGTGCGCACCACTTTGCCCTGCTAATTTTTGTAGAGATGGGGGTTTCACCATGTTGCCTAGGCTGGTCTTGAACTCCTGGGCTCAAGCGATCTGCTGGCCTCAGCCTTCCAAAGTCCCAGGATTACAGGTGTGAGCCACCATGCCTGGCGAAGAACAGCCTTCTAGATAGTTCCTTTTCATGGTCTCACTCCAGGAACGAGACATGGCTGGCTTCCAGATTGTCCTGTAAGCTCTCCCCATTCACCCAGCCTTGTGAAGGACTGGTTAGTGACACTGCTCATTCTCCAAGTCTCCCTTTTGGATCATTACTTTCTCAGCTTCTCTCATCTCATATAAATTCTTATTCCTGTAATAAAACCTTTATTTCATAATACTTATAGTGATTTTGCTTCCCTGATTGTTTCCTCACTGACACAAACTTGAAATCTGTTACTCTCCCTTCCTTTCCAGCTCAGTCAGTGTTACAAACAACCACCCAATTGCTCCCTTACTCCCTACTTTCAGTCCATCATTAAATCTTTGGCAAACTATATTTGAAAATACACTGTGAATATGCCCACTTCTATTTCCTTCACAACACCTTTAGTCCAAGTAACTGCCACCCCTCATCTGGTGCCACTTCTGTCCTCAACCTCCAATAACTATTCAGTTTCTAAAGTTCTAAATACTAATTTTATTTCATCTTATGTTTATTTATTTATTTTTTGAGATGAAGTCTCACTCTTATTGCACAGGCTGGAGTGCAGTGGCACAATCTCGGCTCACTGCAACCTCTGCCTCCCTAGTTCAAGTGGTTCTCATGACTCAGCCTCTCCTGTAGCTGGGATTACAGGCGCACACTACCGTACCCGGCTAATTTTTGTAGTTTTAGTAGAGACGAGGTTTCCCCATGGCTGGTCTTGAACTCCTTGCCTCAAGTGATCCATCTGCCTCAGCCACCCAAAGTGCTGGGATTACAGGTGTGAGCCACCACACCTTGCCCTAAACACTAATTTTAAATATTTGAAATCTTTCAATGACTTCCCTGTATAATCTGGCTTCCTGCTAACTTCTCCAAATTCATCCTGGGCCCTGCTTATTTATAGTTTCTGTTGTCTTATAACTTAGTTTGACATGACCTCTCATAGCCCCAGCTCTAACTCCCTCCTCATGACACTGATTCTACCTTTGGTTTTTTTTCTATAGGAATCTTCTGGTGCCAGATGCTGGTCCAATTAGTTGTGGCAAGGCAAGGATGAGTGGGTGTTGCAGAGTAAGACAGCCTAGGCTGCTCCCTTAGCAGGAGCTTTGGGTGGAGTCACCCTGGAAAAGAGCTTTCAGATACACCATGATGGACATGTTCAGTGAAAACAACTATCACAATAGTTTTCTTTTTTTGTGCAATGAATCATCTTGAAATCTGAACAACGAAAGATTGCTCTTATTCTGGAACTCCATTCAGATTAGGATGGGAATACCTGGATAAAAACCATTGTTTGGGTTTACATTATCCCTGTTCTTTTTGTAGTTACTGGTATATACTCTGTGGCTTCTGGTAATTTAATCCATCACCTTCTATCATAAAAGTGAAAAGTAAAAAAGCTAAAATGACACTGGGTTTCTAATCTTTACAAAAAAAAAAAAAAAAAGCTAAAACCAATACCAAGAATGTTTAACATTTCTAGTATATTTAAAACATCAGGCCCGGCGTGGTGGCTCACGCCTGTAATCCCAACACTTTGGGAGGCCGAGGCGGGTGTATCACCTGAGGTTGGGAGTTCGAGGCTAGCCTGACCAACATGGAGAAACCCTGTCTCTACTAAAAATACAAAAAAATCAGCCAGATGTGGTGGTGCATGCCTGTAATCCCATCTACTCGGGAGGCTGAGGCAGGAGAATCACTTGAACCCAGGAGGCAGAGGTTGTGGCGGGCCAAGATCGTGCCATTGCACTCCAGCCTGGGCAACGAGTGAAATTCCATCTCCCAAAAAAAAAAAAAATCAGCCTTCTTTTAATGAATAAACAATTATTTTAGTTCACTGTTAGATTTACAGAAAAATAAGAAGGTACAGAATTTCCGTTTACCCTCTCACCAACACCTCCTCCACCCCCTAATTTCCTCTATTATTAACAAATTGCATTAGTCCTGTATATTTCTTCATTTGTTACAATTGACAAATCAATACTAACACATTATTATTAACTAAAGTGTATAGTTTACATTAAGGTTCACTATTTGTGTTTTACATTTTATGGGTTTTGACAAATATATAATGACATGTCTTCATCATTACGGCATCAAATAGAGTAATTTCACAACCCTAAAAATCCCATGTTCAATGTATTCATTTCTCCTTCCCTTCCCCCGAGCTCCTGGCAATCACTGATTTTTTTTTTTTTTTTTTCTGAGACGGAGTCTCACTCTGTTGCCCAGGCTGGAGTACAGTGGCACGATCTCGGCTCATGGCAACCTCCGCCTCCCGGGTTCATGCCATTCTCCTGCCTCAGCCTCCCGAGTAGCTGCGACTACAGGCGCCAGCCACCACGCCCGGCTAATTTTTTGTATTTTTTAGTAGAGATGGGGTTTCACCACGTTAGCCAGGATGGTCTCGATCTCCTGACCTCGTTATTACCCCGCCTCGGCCTCCCAAAGTGCTGGGATTACAAGCATGAGCCACCATGCCCAGCCTAACCACTGATCTTTTTACTGTCTCTATAGTTTTTGTCTTTTCCAGAATGTCATATAATTGTAATCATATAGTATGTAGCCTTTTCTGATTGGCTTCTTTCACTTAGCAATAAGTACTTAAGATTCCTCCATGTCTTTTTGTGGCTTTGTAGGTCATTTCTTTAGAGTGCCAAATAATATTCCATTCTATAAACTTCTGAGTCCGACTTAATAGGGCAGAGATGGACCTAGGCACAAGGGTCTTTAAAGAATTATTTAGGTGATTTTAATGTGTGGACCAAAACAAAAACCACCGATCTATCAATACAATACTGAGTTCTTAAACCTAAACATTTTTACACGATGTCTTATCTACGTTAATAATACAAACAAAAAAAGGGTTTATTTAAAGACAGCTGCCACATTTGTGTAACACTTCAAAAGGATCTATAACACTTCAAAAGGAACACTTCAAATGGAATAATACTCCATTTACTAAACAACAATAATATTTTGTTTATTAAAATAAAACAAACTAATAAAAAATATTAGTTTGTTTATTCATTCACCTATTGAAGGACATCTTGGTTGCTTCCAAGTTTTAGCAACTGTGAATAAAGCTACTGTAAACATTGGTGTGCAGGTTTTGGGATAGACATGTTTTTAACACATTTGAGTAAATACCAAAGAGTGTGATTGCTGGATTGTATGACAAAAGTATGTTTAGTTTTGCAAAAAGCTGCCAAACTGTCTTCCAAAGTGACTGTATCATTTTGCATTCCCACCAGCAAAGAATGTGAGTTCCTGTTGCTCCACATCCTCATCAGCATTTAGTGTTGTCAGTGGTTTGGATTTTGGCCGTTCTAATAGGTATATAATAGTATCTCACTGTTTTTTTAAAAAATTCATATATAATATTTGTACATATTTATAGGGTACATGTGGTATTTTGATACATGCTACAATGTGTAATGATCAACTCAGGGTATTTAGGATATCCATCACCTTGAACATTTATCATTTATTTGTGTTGGGAACATTTCAAATCCAGTAATTTTGAGATATACAACATATTGTTAACTATAGTCACCCTCCTGTGCTATTGAACCCTAGAATTTATTCCATCTAACTGTATGTTTGTACCAATTAATGAACCTCTCTTCAACACGCCTCCTTCCCCTCAGACTTTGGTAACTATCACTCTGTTCTCTACCTTCACGAGATGAACTTTTTAAACTCCCACATATGAATGAGAACATATGATATTTCTCTTTCTGTGTCTGGCTTATTTCACTTAGCATAACGGTCTCCAGATTCCATTTATCTTGCTGCAAATGACAGAATTTCGTTCTTTTTTATGTCTGAATAATATTCCATTGTGATATATACCACATTTTCTGTTATCCATTCATCCATCAATGAACACTTGGGTTAATTTCATATCTTGGCTATTTTCTCACTGTTTTAATTTGCAAGTCCCTGATGACATATGATATTCAGCATGTTTTCATATGCTTATTTACCATTTGTACATCCTCTTTGGTGGGCTATGTGTTTAGATTTTTTGCCCATTAAATTTTTTTTTTTGCCAGGCATGGTGGCTCATGCTTTTAATCCCAGCATTTTGGGAGGCTGAGGCGGGTGGATCACTGAGGTCAGGAGTTCTAGACCAGCCTGTCCAAAATGGTGAAACTCTGTCTCTACTGAAAATACAAAAATTAGCCAGACCTGGTGGCAGAAGCCTGTAATCCCAGCTACTCAGGAGGCTGAGGCACGAGAATTGCTTGAACCCAGGAGGTGGAGGTTGCAGTGAGCCAAGATTATGCCACTGCATGCCAGCCTGGGTGACAGAGCAAGACTCCTTCTCAAAACAAAACAAAACAAAACAAAAAAAACAAAACATTTTTTTTTTGTTTTTTATTTGCCTAACACTTGATATCAACGTTTTTGCCAATTTTTCAATTAGGTTGTGTGTTTTCTTATTGTTGAGTTTTAAGAATTCTTTGTATATTTTATTGAATAACAGCCTTTTATCAGATATGTGTTTTGCAAAGATTATTTTTTTTCCCTAGTCTGCGGCTTGTCTTTTCATTCTCTAGACAGTGTCTTTCTTGGAACAAAAGTTTTTAATTTTTGATAGGGCAGGCTTTTTATTACTATGAAAATAAGATGTGAGAGATAGTGCCGCCGGGCGCGGTGGCTCACGCCTATAATCCCAGCACTTTGGGAGGCTGCGACGGGCGGATCATGAGGTCAGGAGATTGAGACCATCCTGGCTAACACGGTGAAACCCCGTCTCTACTAAAAATACAAAAAAATTAGCTGGGCGTGGTGGCGGGCACCTGTAGTCCCAGCTACTCCGGAGGCTGAGGCAGGAGAATGGCGTGAACCTGGGAGGCGGAGCTTGCAGTGAGCCGAGATTGCACCACCGTACTCTAGCCTGGGCAACAGAGCAAGACTCCATCTCAAAAAAAAAGATGTGAGAGATAGTGCAAAAATTTTCTTGATTACTAGAAAGATTAGGTTGAATGGCTTCCATGGTCTCTTTCAACACTAGCTTTTTATGGTTCTATGGAAAAAGTAATGGTGTGCTGTGAATTTTTACCCTGTGAATTGAAGGGTTCCCTGGCCCATTATAAAATTAATATATGTTAATGGCAGGAAGTTTAGAAAATGCAGTAAAGAAGAGAAGAAAATATGCAAAAAACAAAACAAAACAAACAAACAAACAAAAAACAGTGTGGCAGTGTGGCATTGACTGGGTGGAAGAATTTTGGATAAGTAAAAAATCCAAACAGGCCTGCCTACATTCCTCTCTTTCATTAGTTGCCAACTCAACAGGGCTGCATCTTCTCACTGTTTCAAAGCTTACATGGACGAAAAGACAGCAATGAAACTAATGAATACTCTGTCGGGAGCAGTGGGTCACGCCTGTAATCCCAGCACTTTGGGAGGCCGAGGAGGGTGGATTACCTGAGGTCAGGAGTTCGAGACCAGCCTGGCCAACATGGTGAAACTCTGTCTCTACTAAAAACACAAAAATTAGCTTGGTGTGGTGGTGGGTGCTTGTAATCCCAGCTACTCGTGAGGCTGAGGCAGGAGACTCGCTTGAATCCAGGAGGTGGAGGTTGCAGTGTGCTGAGATCCCGCCACTGCACTCCAGCCCGGGCAACAGTGTGAGACTCCGTCTCAAAAACAAAAAACCAAAAAACGAGCCCTGGCGCAGTGGCTCACGCCTGTAATCCCAGCACTTTGGGAGGCTGAGGCGGGCTGATCATGAGGTCAGGAGTTCGAGACCAGCCTGGCAAACATAGTGAAACTCCCAACTCTACTAAAAATACAAAAGAATTAGCCGGCCATGGTGGCGGGCGCCTGTAATCCCAGGTATTTGGGAGGCTGAGGCAAGGAGAATCACTTGAACCTGGGAGGCGGAGGTTGCAGTGAGCCGAGATCACGTACTGCATTCCAGCCCGGGCGACAGTGCGAGACTCCGTCTCAAATAAAAAGAAATGCCAGAATCAAGGGAAGGCCAGGCTGAAGCCATAAAGTGGCTGAGATGAGCTGGGGAGACAGGTGGGACAGATCTTAGAGAGCTTTGTTGATCTAGTTAAGGATTTTGGCTGTTGTTCTAAGTGTAATTGGAAGCTAATGAAGGGTTTTAAGCAGACACGCCATAGGATCTTACTTGCAATTAAGATAGAGAAGGTCAAGGGAGGGAGAGAGCCTACACAGGAGACAGAGAGTCATACAGAAAGACAGATGACTTGGGCTTTGAACAGATTAGGACAGCTGTAAGAGTGGATGAATCAGGAGGCTATGCCATTAGTACAGGTGGTAGATGATGGTGGCTTTGCCTGGGTGGTTGCAACATAGAGATAAATGGAGATATATTTGGGAGACAGAATTGATAGGACTTGATTAACTGATATGGCAGTGTAGAGAAGGAAGTGCCTTGAATGATCCGCTCCAGCAATTCATGTGGGGGATGTTAATTGAGATGGGAACTCTGTAGACGGAAGACTGGGGGAAGATCACGTGCTCAGTTTCTTGAAATGCCCATCTGGAGTGCCAGAAAGCCCACATAAACATTGAGGGCGTGGCTAGAGAAAGGAATTAGATGTCAGAGAACAGCTAGAGATTTTAATTTGGGAGCTTTGCCCAGGTTAAGGCACTTTAAAAAATTTTTTTTAATACCCAGGAAGGTCTAAACAAAGTGTTACATGTTTCAGACTCATTTTTATTCTTTTTTTTTTTGAGACGGAGTCTCGCTCTGTCGTCCTGGCTGGAGTGCAGTGGCGCGATCTCCGCTCACTGCAAGCTCCGCCTCCCGGGTTAACGCCATTCTCCTGCCTCAGCCTCCAGGGTAGCTGGGACTACAGGCGCCCGCCACCACGCCTGGCTAATTTTTTTGTATTTTTAGTAGAGACGGGGTTTCACCGTGTTAGCCAGGATGGTCTCGATCTCCTGACCTTGTGATCCGCCCGCCTCGGCCTTCCAAAGTGCTGGGATTACAGGCGTGAGCCACCGCGCCCGGCCAATTTTTATTCTTGTTTAATCCATGGTATGACTCTTATTTTCATAGTTTTCTATTAAACATTTTGTTTTTCATGTATATCATTAACCACGACCTCTGCATTGTGAACAAAAATCCCTATGGCTGAAGCAGCTGAATATCACATATGTTTGATAGTAAGGAATCTGGGGTGGTGGAGATCTCAAATCCTTACTAAACAGGTTGGCTATGTGGTGCTTTGGCTAAAACATACTTCATATCTGATCCAAGTAGCTATGAAAATAATCTAGCATTTTATGTGCTTGTGCACTTTGAAGAGTGTTTATCTAACTTTTCCTCAAACCACTGATTTGTTATCATAGCACAGAGCTCATCTGGGGAACCAGTAAGCTCTTAAAAATAAGCTTTTTAATCAAAAGGACATTGTTTCTATTTTTCATTACAGCTGCCCTGGATAAAATTAGTATCCATATCGCGTCTGTAATTCAAATGCCTTTGTCTTGTCTTTCTTGTACCTAGTAAACGATTATAAAGGAAACGTCATTTCACAGAAGATTTAGTTGCCAAGGTTTTTTTTAAAAGAAACACAGACATTTTTCTCAAAGTTGTTCTAACCACGCAGCTTTGTGCTGTTTCAAGTTGCTCAAACTGTGCCAGGAGGAAGCCCTTAACTGCTTAAAAGGCCAGGGACTGAAACGGAGTATTGCACAACCCTTCACCACCGGGCGGTTTCGCTTCCAAATCTGGCCTTCGTGTCATCCCAAGGCAGGAGCCGCTCCTCGCTCCACTGGAGCCAGCCCCGTTCCCCCTTCAAAAGCAGCCGGGGTTTCCGCGTCCAAGCCTGGGGCGCCCCTCCCTTCGCCGAAGGTTCCCGTGAAAGCGGAGCCGCGCGGCTGCGAGGAGGGCCCACTGTCCAGTTGGGGAGATCGAGTCTCCAAGGGCGACTCTCGCACTCGAGTACCGCCAGTCCGGCGGACCAAAGGTCCGCGGGTCTCCGCGCCGCTCCCCTCCCCCTTGGCCCCATTGTCTGCCTCGCCCCGCCCCGGGGGACACGTGCGCCTGCAGCTTCCCGAGGAGGAGAGCGCGGGGCGGTGGCAGCGGCGTGGACACCGCCTGGAACGGCTACGCGGCCGCGGAGCCGGGGGCGGGGGCCGGGCGCGCACAGACCGGTGGGTGCCCTCCGGGAAGCGGCAGTCGCACTCAGCGCCCACAGCACTCTGCCCCGCCAGCCCCGGACCGGGCAGGGATGGGGCGGGCGGGAGCTCGGTGGGGGTGGCGTGCGCATGGTGTCGCGGGGAGGGGGTGGGGTGGGGCGGGGTGGGGAGATGCCAGTCTCCTGACAAAGGAAAACGAGTGGGACACGCTGAGCCGGCCCGCCCCGCCTGGAGGGGAGAGGGAGGGGGAGTGTCGGGAGGGGAAGGGGCGGGCCTTTCATTCAGTCTCGGCCCCTCGGCCGCCACCGTCGGAGCGGAAGGGCGGGGTCTTGTGCCTCCCCCACCCCCAACCCAAGGGGTGAGGAGCGGGGAAGGCGGCGCGGCGTGGGGGCGGAGCCCGCGGGCGCGCGTCCCGAGGCGTAGGCTACGTTGTCACGTCAGCGCGGGAGAGAGAAAGAGAGGAGCCGACTCGGCAGGGACTGGGGGACCGGGCCGAGAGTGCGAGCGAGCGAGGGAGGGAGTGAGGGAGCGTGCGAGCCAGAAGGGGAAAGGCGGCCACTCGTGCCTGAGCGACCGCAGAGGGGAGTGGGAGCAGTGGGGTAAAGGAGCGGGGGGCGGGAATAAGAAAGGCCGAGAGAAGGCGGACAGAGGCTAGTGGTGGTGGTGGTGGTAGGGGGAGAAGGAGGAGCTGGAGGAGGGCAGGGGCTGAGGGAGTGAGTGAAGCGGACGCGCGAGGGAGGGGAGGGAAGGGAAGGGAAGGGAAGGGGGGGTCACGCGGGGGCGCGCGCGCGCACCGGGAGCGCGCTCGGAGGCGAGTGGAACTGGATCGGGTTTGCTGCCAGCGGCGTGAGCTTCGGCCGCCATTTTACAACAGCTCCACTCGCGCCGGACACAGGGAGCAGCGAGCACGCGTTTCCCGCAACCCGATACCATCGGACAGGATTTCTCCGCCTCAGCCCAACGGGGAGGTAACGACTGCCAGAACCTGGGTGTGGGAGGGGAGCTCCATGACATTGTGGAGTGAGCTGGGGGAGGGTGGCGCGGGTAGAAACCGGCTTTTCTGGAAAATGGATTCCAATGGGGAGAAGAGCACGTTGACTGGGGCTGCCTGGGAGTAGGCCGCGGCCCGCGCCGCCACTTCCTCCTTTCCATGTGCTGCTGCGGTTCGGGCTTTGTCTGCGGCGCTTTGGGAGGAGGCGCCTCCACGGTCCCGTGGCCCGCACGGACCGCGAGCGGCTTCAGAGTTGGTGCTGTCGTGGCGGTCGCCGCGGCGCGGGAGTGGGCGGAGAGGAGTGGGTCTTGTCCTGCAGCCGTGCGGCGAGCTTGGGCGGTGCTCACGGTCCCGCGGGCGTTGAGCCGTCCGCTGAACGCCCTCACGCTGCTGGGTTGCCGGGCAGGCGTCGCAGTCACTGCACGGAAGGGTAAGGGGTGGGGACCTGCACAGCGCGCCACGGGTCACGTCTCGGCCGGGCGGGCGGCCGGGGGTCGTCGGCGCCCGGGGAGCGCCAGGGGCGGAGAGCCATGTGTCACGGCGGAGACGGCGGCGCTGGGGGGCGGGGAGAGCCTGTGGCCTGGCGCCGCCGGTGCCTCGGTGTTCAGGGGAGAGATTGTGCTGCTGCAGCTTTCTGGGGGCTCCGACCGCGGCTTCGGGTTGATGTTGGGAACCAGTGATGGTCGTCTTGGTTTGGGATTCGTTGGGTTGCCGTTGAAGGAAGTTGTAGGACATTGGAAGGCGCAGAGCACGTGTTTCTAATGGGCTCCTGGCGGCCGCAGTGGTGAGACTGCCGCTCTGGGTGCGGAGTCAGGGGCGGGCTTTGGGGTGCGGGGTTAAAGGGTGGAGAAATTGGGTGGTGGGAAGGTGGCTTGTATGAGCGCTTTGTTCTTCGCTGGCTGTTGTTACCGATCTATAAGCGGCAGGCGGGAAAAGCGCGCACTTTGGGGGTTTATCTTTGAGAGAGAGGAGCCCAGTTTTGCTTTCTCCACACACACCTCATTTTCCGAACGGGCACAGCTGCATGTGGCACGCTGGCTCGTACCCGTGCTGATTGGGCTCTATTTGTAATATGGTTTTTCCTAGGGAGTGTTAGCAGGTGAGTCAGGGGTGGTGCTGAGGAAGAATATGGTGAATCGGTCCTTCTGTGCCCTGTGCTCCAAATCTGGCTTGTCAGGCGATAGTGACTGTAAGGCTTTTTTAAAGGGAGGTATAGGCTAGCTGGTGTAGTAAATGGTAGAGAAAGTAAAGATGGGGCTCTCATATTGTCTTGTATTCTTTTTGAAGATCCTAGTTTAATTTTGCTTATTGCGTTTGAACAGATCTCTGGAAACATGGCTACAGAACATGTTAATGGAAATGGTACTGAAGAGCCCATGGATACTACTTCTGCAGTTATCCATTCAGAAAATTTTCAGACATTGCTTGATGCTGGTTTACCACAGAAAGTTGCTGAAAAACTAGATGAAATTTACGTTGCAGGTAAGAACTAACACTTGCAAAATTACATTATGAAATTTTTCTATTGGATTTCTGGCTTTGAGCTAAAATAGCAACTTTTTGTGGTTTCCAATAAGTGTGGGTACTGGAGTTTTGCTTGTTGTGATAGTTGGTTAATTTAAGTTTGAAGTAGAGGTTAAGATGTATAGAGGGAGGGAAGAAGAGAAGGTTAGGAGCTAAAGGCTGGCTTGCATGCTGGCCTGATGGATAAGTATATGATAGTAGCAACAGCTGCTAAATGTTGGGAACAGGCCATGTGACTTTTTTGAGTATTTTTATAGTAGGATTCTTCTTAAATAACTTGGTAACTGTAGACTTGTTTTCTTGTCTTTCTGGTGCGGCTGTTAACTTTTTCTGGTGGTATTTGAAATTGAGTAGAGGTTCAGTTGTCATGCTTGGTACTTTGTTGGTTGATTCTAGGATTCGTAAGTCTGTATACTGTAAAAATACCGTAGTGTTCAGAGTTATCAGACTTTGGAGATAAAAGATGTAAAAGAAGTTAGCTGATTATTGTAAGTGTGGTTGGTAGGGCATATTTAGTTCAGGATTCAGTTCAGAGTGGCTGAAGTGTGTGTTTTTTTTTTTTCAGGTATAGATGAGGGGAGTAGAAGAATTGTAAAGGCACACATGTACCTGTATTGCCAACATAGTCTTCTCTAAAAAATCTTTTCTAAAAATATTAAAAGCTGATAACTTTTATTTTTTTCAGGGCTAGTTGCACATAGTGATTTAGATGAAAGAGCTATTGAAGCTTTAAAAGAATTCAATGAAGACGGTGCATTGGCAGTTCTTCAACAGTTTAAAGACAGTGATCTCTCTCATGTTCAGGTAATGTTAATGTCAATGTGAAAATTAAAAAATTTGAGTAGTTTTGATACTATCTGCTGAATTTTATTAGACTCAGATATGGTTATTGTTAAATATTAATGGAACATTTTTTTGCAGAACAAAAGTGCCTTTTTATGTGGAGTCATGAAGACTTACAGGCAGAGAGAAAAACAAGGGACCAAAGTAGCAGATTCTAGTAAAGGACCAGATGAGGCAAAAATTAAGGTATGTCTTTCTATACTCCCTTTAGTTTTAAAGTCATTTTAACTGTTTCCTAATTTTGGTAAATATTCCTTGGGTATGAAATGGATGTATGTTAGATGTTGAGATAATTCATCAATCTTTCCTAATTCCTTTTTTTAAGTTTTTTTAAACTATTTGTTTCTAAAGCAATTTGCTGTGAAGTTTATCATGTTATCCAGCTACTGATGTTTAAATCTGTTCTATTGGTAGTCCTAGTATAAAGAAACACACCCATGATACCTCTAGAATATTTTTTGAAAAGCTGCAAAGCCAGCTTATTGACAGTTGAAATACTGATGGAGAATGTACATTTGGCAACTGGCTTTTTTTTTTAGGAGTCTCAAACCCCAATGAATTTAGAATGTTAACCCTGCTGCCCTCCACTTCCATCAGTATGGATTATTAGACTATTTCTCAAAGCAGCTTTGACAATAAGATTGTTTAGTGTGGGTATGTAGATGAGAAACTGAGGCTAGGAGGAGGAGGCTTTTTTTTTGGTTTAAAATCATGGTGAATGGCTTCAAATTCAGCTTGGTTTTGATATTTATATTGGTGAGTTTTCTAATTTATAGACAATGTGGTGATTGTATTACTTTTTAACCTGGTGTGCTTTGTAGTGTGCCAGTGCTCTTGAGCCAAGCGTATGGTTTAAGAAAATCAGTTAAGGGTATAGGCCTTGAGCATTGTTGTAGTGGTGTGGAAACAGGGAAAGCCTAGAATATGGAAAAGGTTGGTATATGGAGTTAGCTGTTTAAGACAACCATGAATTGGAGGCTTTCACAGATCTAGCTGTGAGTGAATTGAGTTTGATCTGTAAATCTAGTTTTTCCATAAAAGTGGAGTATAGTTGTCTCCATTGTAATTCAGTTGTAATCAAGTTTGCATTGGTGAGCTAGAACTAAAGTTTTTAAACTTTTAGTTTGTGACTTTTAGCTTTCAGTTTTTTTTGCAAGGGGGTGGCTTAATTTTTTGTTTGTTTGTTTGTTTGTTTTTGGGAGACAGAGTCTTACTCTGTCACCCAGGCTGGAGTGCAGTGGCGTGATCTTGGCTCACTGCAACCTCCACCTCGCGGGTTCGAGCAATTCTCCTGCCTCAGCCTCCCGAGTAGCTGGGACTACCGGTGGGTGCCACCAGGCCCAGCTGATTTTTGTATTTTTAGCAGAGGTGAGGTTTCACCATGTTGACCGGGATGGTCTCAATCTCTTGACCTCGTGACCCACCCACCTTGGCCTCCCAAAGTCCTGAGATTACAGGTGTGAGCCACCATGCCTGGCTGCTTACAGTTTCAATGAGAGCTAAGTTGTGGTAAAAAGGCATAGAGACATTTTTAGAGGAAGTTTGACAGAGGGAATAAGTTTTTCCTTTTTGTTTTTATGGATTGACAAAAAGTGTTATTTGGGTCTTAACTATTAAGGTTAAAAAATCCGTTTATAGCATAGGGATTACATGTGAGAAAATGGAAAGATGAGCTATTACTCATTTAGTTTATGTTATAGATGTGAGCAAGTTTATGAATGTTTTTATTAATTACAGTATTTTTCATAAACAGTTAGTGTCCTTTGAGTAGAAAATGTTAAAAATCTGTCCAGTAATTTTCAGAGACTGAGGTGACCCTAGATTATGCATTTTGATAAATTTTGTCAGATAGCTAGGATTAGTCTGTTTTTATTTCAGAATGTCCTAGCTAATAAAATTGGTTTTGTTTAGAAAACCACTTTTGTGCTTTGTGGTTGAGACAGTGGAGAAGGGGAATAATTCTTGACTTTTTCCTTCAGATAATGGAGGAGTGTACCTTTTTTTTTTTTTTTTTTTTTTTTTTTTTGAGATGGGGTCTTGCTCTGTCATCCAGGCTGGAGTGCAGTGGCGCGATCTCCGCTCACTGCAACCTCCGCCCCTCCAGGTTTAAGCGTTTAAGCAGTTCTCTGCCTCAGCCTCCTGAGTAGCTGGCATTACAGGCGCGTGCCACCACGCCTGGCTAATTTTTTGTATTTTTAGTAGAGACAGGGTTTCACCATCTTGGCCAGGCTGGTCTTGAGCTCCTGATGTCCTGATCCACCCGCCTTGGCCTCCCAAAGTGCTGGGATTACAGGTGTGAGCCACTGCACCCAGCCTATACTTCTTTCTATACTTTGCCTAGAATAAGGAATAAACACCTAATGCTCTGAGTAAATATGAGTTGTGTAAATTTTAACAGTTACTTTTTGGGAGTTAAAATGTAGAGGTTATGTAACGTTGCAGTTTCATAAAGTTTTTAAAAGTCGTTTTGGCTGTTACTTTTTTCTGAAGGACCCATGCTATCCCATGAAATATGGCACGTAAATGTCAAATAATAATAGGAGATTTTTTTTCCCTGTAGCTCCCAAGTTTCTAGACTTGGTATGGGAAGTGTAATTTCTTCTGAGGTTGGCACAATGCCCAGAATGGCAGTATGTACCTAGGAGTGGGGTTTATAGGGAATTTATTGGGTGAGAGATCCAGATTTGAAAGATGCTCAACCAAATTAGGTACAATCATTTTTTAAGATGGTATTAACATAGTAATACATCCTGTCTTGAAAGTTGCTGATGGATTGGTCTTAACTTTTTGTTGTCCATTAAGCACACTATTCAGTAATTAAGTGGAGACTAGAAAGTAATTTGAACAGGACCCTGGACTTCTGATAATAATTTAGGAGTATAACAAGTACACATTTAAGGGGAAATTTTAAAACAGACATCACAAACCTGTTTTTATAAGGGAACATGCCAAGATAATTGGAAAGATTTGAGCAAGATGGATGTTAACTGCTAAATATATGGGTGTGGTCTAGTGAATTAAATGTATTAATGACGTTTGAACTTTTCAAGGCACTCTTGGAAAGAACAGGCTACACACTTGATGTGACCACTGGACAGAGGAAGTATGGAGGACCACCTCCAGATTCCGTTTATTCAGGTCAGCAGCCTTCTGTTGGCACTGAGGTAAAGCAACTAAAAACTTGTACCTTTTGTAGTAAAAGCACAGGTATCTGGTTTCCTAAAGCAATTCTCCATGGTTTTTACTTAATATTTAATTTACAGATATTTGTGGGAAAGATCCCAAGAGATCTATTTGAGGATGAACTTGTTCCATTATTTGAGAAAGCTGGACCTATATGGGATCTTCGTCTAATGATGGATCCACTCACTGGTCTCAATAGAGGTTATGCGTTTGTCACTTTTTGTACAAAAGAAGCAGCTCAGGAGGCTGTTAAACTGGTAAGTTGTCCTTTTTTCCCCTTCAGTTTTCACGTTCACTGTCTTTAATATCAAGTTTTTTTCTTAGTGTGCCTAAGAGTTTACCAAACATTTTTTGAAGTACTGATTTAGGCAGGTTTTTTTTTTCCCACATCACTGTGCAAGCATTGTAGTGTTATTCTTTGCATGTATAGTTGATAGGATTCAGCATCTAAAAGGCGGCATGGTAGAATTCCTAGCAATTGGTTCTTATAAACATCTGGCTTAGTGACGTTTTTGTGTGTTTGTTTAAATTTATAGGAATGTGAAAAGATTAAGAAAAGTAACTGTGGTAAGAGCTCTCATACTTCCTGGCCATACCTGAGCCATCTCTTTTTCTTAAATAATTCACAAAAGACATTGTGATACATTTCTAGTTGATGAAACAAAAGATTTTATGGTGAGTGGCAATGTTTGATTTAAAAATACCAGATGTTAGGTAAGGACCTGGTAATCTTTCCAACTTTTTTAAAAAGGAAATTTTTCTTTTTTCTTTTCTTTTTTTTTTGAGACCAAGTTTCTCTCTCTTGCCCAGGCTGAAGTGGCATGATTTCGGCTCACTGCAACCTCCACCCCTCAGGTTCAAGTGATTCTCCTGCCTCAGCCTCCCGAGTAGCTAGGATTATAGGCGCCTGCCACCACGCTCAGGCTAATTTTTATATTTTTAGTAGAGATGGGGTTTCGCCATGTTGGCCAGGCTGGTCTCGAACTCCTGACCTCCGGTGATCCACTCGCTTCGGCCTCCCAAAGTCCTGGGATTTTAGACGTGAGCCACCACGCCTGGCTAGAAAGAAATTTTAATATTTTAAATTATAGTTTATGTAAGTCCTTTAAACTAGTTTTATTAAGTTCTGTGACAGAAGTGGTTTCTGCATTTTATAGTTGAAGAGTTGGGGGCTAATTTAAACCCATAGAATGTATCAAGCAACACGACTGGGGAGAACTTTTGTACAAGATAGCTCACTATGCCATGTTTGTTAAATTTGCTTTATCTGGCTTACGTATCCTGTGGGTAATTCCAGACAAACTTAAAATCTTCAGACTCATTTTTTTTTCCCTCCCTCCTGAGTTTTACCCCTTCCTTTACCATGAGGTTTATCACTTTAAGCAAGCCTTAAAGAGAAAAATAAAACTCATAAGTCTTCCTTTTCTTTTTTTTTTTTTTTTTTTTTTTGGGAGATAGAATCTCACTCTGTCACCTAGACAGCAGGAGTGCCATGGTGCGATCTTGGCTCACTGCAACCTCCGCCTCCCAGGTTCAAGCGATTCTCCTGCCTCAGCCTCTCCGGTAGCTGGGATTACAGGCATTTATCACCACACCTGGCTAAATTTTGTATTTTTAGTAGAGACAGGGTTTCACCATGTTGGCCAGGCTGGTCATGAACTCTTGACCTCAGAAGATATGCCTGCCTCAGCCCCGCAAAGTGCTGGGATTGCAGACGTGTGCCACTGCACCCGGCCAAGTCTTCCTTTTCTATGTTGTGTGAATATTCCCCACTGGTTTGCATAATTGAGTATGATGGAAGTTAAACAGTACAAAATTATGTTACTTGAAAGAATATAAGCCTTTACAAAGAGAATTTGAGAATTTAGATATTTTCAAATCATGTCTGATTTTTCTCTTCATAAAAGAGTGCTTTGTGTTTTAGAGGGAATTCAGATTTACTGGTAACCTTTGAGTTGTCAAAATTTTAGTTTCAGCAGTTCAATTTGAGGGGAGGGGCATTTTAGAGCTCTAGAAAGAGGTACCTTAGAAATCCTTTAGTTTGTTTTTATGATTTGTTTTTTGAGACAAAGTCTCTGTCACCCACGCTGGAGTGTGTGGGCATGATCTTGGCTCACTGTAATCTCTGCCTCCTGGGCTCAGGCAATTCTCCTGCCTCAGCCACCCGAGTAGCTGGGATAATAGGCGCGTACCACCACACCTGACTAATTTTTGTATATTTGGTAGAGATGGGGTTATGTTGGCCAGGCCGGTCTTGAACTCCAGACCTCAAGTAATCTGCCCGCCTTGGCCTCCCAAAGTGCTGGGATGACAGGCATGAGCCACTGTGCCTGGCAGGTTGGTCTTGAACTCATGGTCTCAAGCAGTCCTCCTACCTCGGCTTCCCAAAGTGCAAGGATTACTGGCATGAGCCACCTTGCCTGTCCCAAAATCCTTTAATCTCCTATAAAAGAGTAGAATATTTTTGCCAAGTAGCAATAAAGTAGCAGTAAGTGAAAATGCAGAATGATCCAGTAAGCAATGAGGTATCATAACTACAGAAAGCTAATACAGTGGGCTCTCTCTACTGTGGGTCCTGCATTCACAGTTTCAGCTAGCTGAGGATTGAAGATACTCCCAAAAAACCCAATAAAAAAAAAAAACAACACACCAGTGTATGAGAGAATGTTCGTAGGTTATGTGCAAACACTATGCTATTTAAGAGAGTTGAGCATTCATGGATTTTGGTATGGGTTCCTGGAATCAGTCCCCCGTATGTGCTGAGGGACCACTGCAGAATTTAGCTAGTGGTGTCATCCATTTTTTAACATTATGAAAAAGAATCATTAAACTGACATCGTAGGTTACCTAATTCTTGCCGTCAAAATGTACCAATTATGGTAGGTGACCACTATAACTTATTTATAGATGTTTTCCAGAAACTTTACAGTAAAGATACATCATTAGAGGAAGATGGTTTATAATCCATTAGTAACAGTGATTTCGAGTGCCAGTAGACACTAGGAAATGTTTCCATTTGTACAATTGCCTTGTTTAATAAATACGTTAAATTATAAAATTGCATTGCTGTAGGTTGCTTAGAATATAGTCTTATTAATATAGTTTTTAAATATAATGGAGAAACTTCTATAGATAAGCATTCTTTTTGATTGGCGTAGGAATTAACCCTTGTCCTAAAACTTTCTACATTTCTTTCTGGGTTTCTCTGTTGTGATTTGAATCCTTTTCTGGGGGCATAATTATTTTGTACTATCTAATTAATAGGAGACTTTGCATTTTGTTGTCTTTTAAAAGATACTTTTGGCAGGGTGTGGTTGCTCACACCTGTAGTCCCAGCACTTTGGTAGGCTGAGGTGCAAGGATTGATTGAAACCAGCCTGGGAAACATAGACCCCATCTGTACCAAAAAGTAACAGATTAGCCAGGCAGCGTGCACCTGTGGTCCCAGGAGGTCAAGGCTGCAATGACCTGTGATCATGCCACTGCACTCCAGCCTGGGCAACAGAGACCCTGTCTCAAAAAACCAAAAAGGGGGAAAAAAAAAATTTCCAATGGTAGGTATTGGTATACAGCCAGTAGGATATATTGGTCATACCATCATTTGCTTTTTTTGACTTTTTAGTAAGTTTTTTTGAAACGGAGTCTCCCTCTGTTGCCCAGGCTGGGGTGCAGTGGTGTGATCTCAACTCACTGCAACCTCTGCCTTCTGGGTTCAAGTGATTCTTCTGTTTCAGCCCCCTGAGTAGCTGGGATTACAGGTGCACACCACCATGCCCTACTGATTTTTGTATTTTTAGTAGAGATGGGGTTTCACCCTGTTGGCCAGGCTGGTCTCAAACTCCTGACCCCAGTCTCGGCCTCGGCTTCCCAAAGTGCTGGGAGTACAGGTGTGAGCCACCACACCCAGCCTACTTTTAAGTAAATTGTTTATTTTATTTATTTATTTATTTATTTATTTATTTGTTTTTGAGATGGAGTCTCACTCTGTTGCCCAGGCTGGAGTGCAGTGGTGCAATCTCGGCTCACTGCAAGCTCTGCCTCCCGGGTTCACGCCATTCTCCTGCCTCAGCCTCCTGAGTAGCTGGTACTACAGGCACCCACCACCACACCCAGCTAATTTTTTTTGTATTTTTTTAGTAGAGACAGGGTTTCACCGTGTTAGCCAGGATGGTCTCGATCTCTTGACCTTGTGATTCACCCGCCTTGGCTTCCCAAAGTGCTGGGATTACAGGTGTGAGCCACCGCGCCCGGCCTTAAGTAAACGGTTTTAATTATTATTACTGTTTTCGGAGACAGGTTGTCACTCTGTTGCCCTTGCTGGAGTGCAGTGTCATGATCAATGCTCACTAACCTTGAACTCCCGGGCTTACGTGATCCTCCTGCCTCAGCTTCCTCAGCAGCTAGGACTATGAGGGCACCACCTTGCTAGGCTAATTTTTAAACTTGTAGAGGTGGTGTCTCACTATGTTGTCCAGGCTAGTCTTGAACTCTTGGCCTCAAGCAGTCTTACTGCCTTGGCTTCCCAAATTGCTGGGATTACAGGCATGAGCCACTGCGCCTGGCCATTGTTTACTTTTTTTTTAAAAGGATGCTTTACTGTGGGTAGGATCTGGTAGATTTGCTTTAGCACAACAAAGAACTAGATTTTAGAGAAAGTGAAGTAATTGAAACATTCTAGAGAAAATACAAATCTCAAGTTTTTTTGGATGTTTTTTGCCACTTTGTATTCATTTGCGGACATGAATACCCCTTTCCTAAGTATGTTCCTCAAGGGCGCATACTTTGGAAGCTATCTCTACTGTGTTACATTTTGAGATTCTACTTGTTACAGTTCTATCCAAAGTGAGTTTTTAATTGAAGTGTCATTCTAGTTATATATAACTAAATGTTGGGAAAGTGCCTCATGCCTCCTTTGCATTATTTATAGATCAGACAAGATTGAAGCACCTCTGTTTCTCTTTTGAGTGTCTGGAGGAATACCTTAGGTTGAAATAGTTTTAGGTATTTGGCATTGTCTTTTAATACTGATACAGCAATGAATAGTTTCTCTAGGTTAAATAGTACTGTAGACTTTATATTTGTATGTGGACTTATAAAAATGGGTTAATTGATGTTAACAGTTGAAGAGGCATGAAGTTAATTGAAAGCAACTTCAAGTTTCTTAAATGACCCTGATTCTAGCCAACATCTACCTTCATTTTGGGGAATGAAAAAAATCCATTTGTAAATGATGATAATCTAGCTAGGGAAGCATGATCTAAACTTGTGAAAAGGTGATTAATAGCTACTACTTGAGTGCTTGTTAAGGGACAGGAGCTTTGTTAGATGCTACGTTATCACCTTTAAATTCAGCCTCAACAACCCTTTCTGCCAGGTAGTAGAAAGAAATAGACTTGCCTGAGGCCATACAGCTAAACATCCCAGCCCTAGTTTGATGCCAGGTTTCTTTAGCTGAGGTCCCTATTGTTAGACATAACAATTTAAGCCAACTGTACAAGTTACGTCACCAGGTAGCCTGATAACTTTAAATTATGTAGTGGTTTAGGTAGTGTTAAAAGAGTTAAGGAAGTAGGTCCTATCTGTTGCCAAAATATTTTAGCATCTAACACTTTTTATCTTCTTCGCTGCTACTACCCTAGTTAGTCTAAGGTACCATTTGTACCATTCAGACTACTGAAGAAACTTAGCTAGTCTCACTGCCTTCTGTTGCCCTTTATATTTGGCAACATCAATTAGATCACAGCATTCCTGTGCTGAAAAATGACTTACAAACAAGGCCCTATCCAGACAAGTTCCTTCTTACCTCTTTCCCCACTCTTCCTTTTAATTACCCTTTTAGCCATGTTTCGCCTTCTTTAAGCCATGGCCTTTTTTTTTTTTTTTTGGAGACACAGTCATGCTTTGTCACCCAGGCTGGAGGGCAGTGGTGCGATCACAGCTCACTGCACCCTCTGCCTCCTGGGTTCAAGCAGTTCTGCCTCAGCCACTGAGTAGCTGGGATTACAGGTGTGTGCCACCACGCCTGGCTGATTTTTGTATTTTTAGTAGAGATGGCGTTTTGCCATGTTGGCCAGGCTGGTCTCGAACTCCTGACCCCAAGTGATTTGCCCGCCTCAGCCTCCCAAAGTACTGGGATTACAGGCGTGAGCCACCGTGCCCAGCCAAGCCATGGCCATTATCATTTTAAGGCTGCCTTCTGCTGTTCTGCTTTCGTAGGGGTTGAAAGCAGCCCATTTATGACTGATGCTTTCTTTTCAGGTAGGGTGACATTGAGCACCTTACCACCCAGTTGCCCCCATGACAGTATTCTAAGAATGATAAAATAGATTTTGCTTGGATGAGCTTGTAATTATTTTTTGACTTTGTAAATTATTTACATGTCTTTTCCCATTAGAATATGTATATATTTTTCCTTTTTCCCTAACATTTAGAACTGTGCCCCATTATGTAGTAGGTGTTGGATAAATAACCTGACTTGCTGACCAGTGCTCTCTAATATTCTTATGTAACTCATGGACCATTTGCTGTTTTAATAGCCTCCATTTACAATTCTGTGCTACTTACTGCCCTGTGATTAAGGTAAATTAGTAGGTGATGATGCTTTCTTCCCTTACCTACCTAGGGGTTGTTTGGAAATAGACATGTTGATTTAAAGACCATGAAGAAGGGCAGGCAGGTGTGTTTATGTATTTGTGTGGTATGTTGCTGGAATTGGAGCCCAAGGCTGGTGATGCTGCAATTCCATGACAATCTTAAATAACGGAAATATCCTGATGAAATGCTAATAATGTCTATGTACAAGCATTGGAATAGATGAAATCTGTTTGCACGTTACGATTTTTTTTGTTTGTTTGTTTGTTTTTGAGATGGAGTCTCGCTCTGTTGCCCAGGCTGGAGTGCAGTGGCACGATCTCGGCTCATTGCAAGCTCCACCTCCTGGGTTCACGCCATTCTCCTGACTCAGCCTCCGAGTAGCTGGGACTACAGGCGCCTGCCACCACACCCGGCTAATTTTTTTGTATTTTTAGTAGAGACGGGGTTTCACCGTGTTAGCCAGGATGGTCTCTATCTCCTGACCTCGTGATCCGCCTGTCTCAGCCTCCCAAAGTGCTGGGATTACAGACGTGAGCCACAGTGCCCGGCCCACAAGTTATTTTAATAGCTCTGATGGTTCTGATGGTTTTAGTCACCAGATTGGTTATGTATACTGTCATGATGTGTATACAGCTTTTTTTTTTTTTTGAGACAAATCCTCACTCTCAACGAGGCTGGAGCACAGCGGCGCTATCTCAGCTCACTGCAACCTCTGTCTCCTGGGTTCAGGAGATTCTGCTGCCTCGGCCTCCCGAGTAGCTGGGACTACAGGAGCCCGCCACCATGCCTGACTAATTTTGTTTTGTTTTGATATGAATCTCGCCTTGTTGCCCAGGCTGGATTGCAGTGGCATGATCTCGGCTCACTGCAGCCTCCGCCTCCCAGGTTCAAGCGATTCTTCTGCCTCAGCCTCCCGAGTAGCTGGGACTACAGGTGAGCACCACCACGCCTGGCTAATTTTTGTGTTTTTAGTAGAGATGGGGTTTCACCATATTGGCCAGGCTGGTCTCAAATTCTTGACCTCGTGATCCGCCCACATCGGCCTCCCAAAATGCTGGGATTACAGGCATGAGCCACCGCACCCGGCCCTTTTTTTTTTTTTTTTTTTTTTTTGTATTTTTAGTTTGTTGACCAGGCTGGTCTCAAACTCCAAACCTTCAGTGATCCATTTGCTTCGGCCTCATGAACAGCCATTTTGATGAATGTAGTTGACAAGGTAGGTTCAGAGATATTTTAATAATAATTTAGCAAATAGTGTGTTTAGCATGAAAACTTTTACTTCAGATATACAGGTTCTTAGAGAGTTTATAGAACATGAAAGACTACTGTTACAGTGGAATCCAGTGGTGCAAAGCGTAAAGGAAGGATGAAGGGAGACTGGATTAGGGTTGTCAGAGAAGGCTTTGCAATAAAGAGGTTTGAGCAGCACAGTGAAGAAAAAAGGTGAATCTAGTTGAAGCAGTGTTTTGTGGAAATAAAACTTGTAATAAAGTCAGTGCCAGGAGTTAGTTCATACTGGGCTAAGCTGCATAGCACCCCCCACCCCCTTTTTGAGCCCTGATGTGGGTGGCATGTTGTAAGTGGCTGAATAATGAAGATTATTTGAATAAAGACAATAAAGGCCAGGAGGAGGGTGGCAGCAATAGAAAGGAGAAAGATCGGAGATTTTGGAAAGAGAAATGAAAGGCCATAGTGGTATGCTGTAGGTTGTATTCTAGTTTTTATCAAGAATTGAAAGTGTAGTTGGACTGTTCATGATACGTTTGGTAACTTGAATCTCCATTCAGTGATAAATGCCTTGGATGACCGTCAGGATCTGAAAAACTTTTGATAGCCTGAGATAGAAAGTTTATATCTACCAAGATGGAATTGACTAAAGTTAAGTATTTACACTAGTTTAACAAGCTGTGGTGTCAGTAATGTGTGGTTGCCAAATAACCTAGGGTAACACAGACAATATGTAAGAGTGGTATGGTGTCTAGAAGTGGAAAATTAGTAATAAGCTCCAGTTTATTCTAGACTCCTGTTTCAGTCTGCGTTTACAGTATTGTGTTAGAATGTCACTCTTCAGTGACACTTGTCAGTATTTCTTGGAGGTACTTTAGTTTGCCATTATCAGGGAAGCAATGATTAGCCAAGCATAGAAAACAACTGAGTCATGTGCTTGTGTGCCAGGTATATGAAATGCTGTCATTTGGGGGAAAGAAATAGGTTTATTTAAGGAAGTAGATTTTGGCTTATTGTAAAGAAGACTTTATAATTAAGAAATCTTTAGGCCAGGTGCGGTGGATCATGCCTGTGATCCCAGCATTTTGGGAGGCTGAGGCGGGCGGATCACCCGAGGCCAGGAGTTCGAGACCAGCCTGGCCAACATGGTGAAACCCTGTCTCTACTAAAAATACAAAAATTAGCCGGGTGTGGTGGCACACGCCTGTGGTCCCAGCTACTAGGGAGGCTGAGGCAGGAGAATCACTTGAAACCGGGAGGTGGAGGTTGCAGTTAGCTGAAGTCGCGTCACTGTACTCCATCCTGGGTGTCAGAGTGAGACTCGGTCTCAAAAAGAAAAAAAAAAGAAATCTTCAATGTGGAAGGCTTTGGAGGTAGGGGCTTTGCTGAGAAGAGTTAGGACTAAGCAGCCTCTTCTGGATCAGATTCCAAATTTGACATTGCTGAATTTCTGGGAATTTGGTGACTATGAGGGAAGGACTTAAAAGTGACTTAAAATTTTGAGACTTGATGACAGGAACGTTCCAGACTGTACTACTGTTTTGGTGTTCTTAAAAACTGAAACCTCACATTGATTAATGATCATAATTAATCTTCATTTTCTATTTGGTTCATCTCAGCTGTGGTACTGAGCTTGAAGGCTAGATTTTTACAACTAACAAGATTCAGGGCCAACCTTTCTAGAGTAGGAAAGATAAGACTTTTTGTGTGTGTGTGCTCGTTTTTTTATACCACTGTAGTGTCCTGATACACTTCTTGAGTTAGGGTTTACTAGTATTAAATTAGAATCTCTTATTCACATTTGTTTTTTGTATTACACCATTCACCATATAACTCACTGTTACCCATCTTGCTGGGATAAGTGTTTTTTTGTTTTTGTTTTTTTTTAGGTGATAGAGTGGCATTAGTGTAAGAAAGGTTAAGCAATTCAAATACACGTACAAAAAAAGCATGCGTAATCCGTAGATGGGGTGTTGCTTCCGGAAATGTTAATTTCTAGGTACTACTTTTGTTATAGTTGTACCCAGAGTCTCCTTACTTTGTTCGCTTAATGACTTATTTTCATTGGAGAGCCAGTTGACTCTCTGTGTTACCTGTAATACAATTGTTCCAAGTTTTTTTTTTTTTTTTTTGTAGAGATGGAGTCTTGCTCTGTTGCCCAGGCTGGAGTGCAGTGGCGCGATCTGGGCTCACTGCAACCCCTGCCGCCCAGTTTCAAGTGATTCTCCTGCCTCAGCCTCCCGAGTAGCTGGGATTACAGGTGCCTGCCACCACTCCCGGCTAATTTCTTTTGTGTTTTAGTAGAGACGGCGTTTCACTGTGTTGCCCAGGCTGGTCTCGAACTCCTGAGCTTAGGCAATTCGCCCGCCTCAGCCTCCCAAAATGCTAGGAGTACAGGCATGAGCCACCGCGCCTGGCCCAAGTTTTTTAATTGAAAAAATGTGGGTAGGGAGGAATCAGCAGTTTATTTTATAGATCCTGCTAAATCTTTGTGTTATTTATGTTGTTCAGAGACCACATCCATCCTTTGTACTTTCTACCTACCATGCCTTGGCTAACTTGATTAGCATCAGGGCTAGTGATGATGGGTAAGAAGGAAAAAAATGGTGTTTCTGTAGATAATAATGGAAACAGTTATTAATAATTTGAAGCAGCATTGTTAATGTTGATGGTTAATGGAAGTGTTGCCTATGTTACAGATTAGCTGTCTTCTCTATATTTCTTTGATTATTGTTGCCTTGATGGAATGTTTCCATTCTCTGTTGTCTTGCCTTTGCCTCCTACATTTCTTATAAGGATTTTGGTTCCTCTCAATGGTGTATTTTCTTGGTAGAACTAAGAATTCAAGTTTCTGTTAGAAGTTTTTTTAGAATTAGGTATTTTCTTATAGTTAATAGCTCCTGATTTTAGAACATTTGGAAAATACCAGTTCCCCCCCTCATTATACCAAAATCTGTCACCCCCAAAATCACTCCTGTTTTTGCCTTTACACACTTGGTATTTCTTTCCACCTTTTTCTGGTATTTTAATTGTTTTTGTTAATTACTAGAATTACTGATTGCATGACCAATTTGAAAACCACTGATTTGTTGCTAAGGCTGGCTACTTGATGCTAGATTATAAGAATCCAGGGAATGTACATATTTTAAAGTAATTTATTGTGTTCTTAGTTTAATTTTACTTGCAAAATAAGGCATTATAATCTACTTGTCCATAATTCTGTGCAATGATGGATTCAGCCATAGCTCTGCTACATTCAGGTAACATGTTTCTGCTGTTAAAAGATTATTAGTCTGGTAGAAGAGAAAGACATGAATGCTATATGAGAAAACAAAGTATATGGCAGGAGTTTTTAACCTCAGCACTGCTGATCTTTTAGACTAGATAATTCTTTGTGACAGGCTGTCTTCTGAATTGTTAGATGTGTATCAGCATCCTTCTGTCTACCCAGTAGATACCAGCAGCAAGTCCCCACTTCTTTCCAAGTTGTGACAATCAAGAATGTCAAATGACTTCTGGGGGGCAAAATCACTCCTGTTGAGAACTGTTGGTCTGTGTTAACATGGAGGAGTATTTTGTTGACCCTTTTAGGATTTATGTATTGTAGTATTGGGTGGTTGAACTTAATTTACAGGTATCCAGAGGAGCTTGTATGGTAGAAGTTTCAGGGAAGGAAGGCAATTTCTTCAGAGCCATAGGAGTATAAAAATTGCATGTGGCCCAGCATGGTGGGTCACACCTGTAATCCCAGCACTTTGGGAGGCCGAGGCGAGTGGATCACAAGATCAGGAGTTTGAGACCAGCCTGGCCAACATGGTGAAACCCCGTCTCTACTAAAAATACAAAAAATAGCCGGGCATGGTGGCAGGCGCCTGTAATCACAGCTACTCGGGAGGTAGAGGGAGGAGAATTGCTTGAACCCAGGAGGCGGAGGTTGCAGTGAGCCGAGATAGTGCCACTGCTGCACTCCTGCCTGGGGGACAGAGCAAGACTCTGTCTCAGAAAAGACAAAAAAAAAAAAACCCTGTATGTTTAAGAGTTGATATAAAAAGGTATTTGAGAGAGAGAGGAGAAAGTAGCAGGAGTCATCTTTTTACTTTTTTTAATGTTGTGTCTCTGGCATAAATGTAGAGAAATAGAAGTAAACCTGGGATCAGGAGGGCCACACACTTGAATAGCCTGTACAGAATAGTGGGGTAGAAAGCAATAAATTTTTCTGAACTGGAGGTATGGTATTTGAACTTTATTAAATTTTGATTTTCTGGAGATGGGGAAGGGACAGGGAGGACTCAACTTTCTGACTTACATGTTTTCTTCTGTTATACCCGGTGTACCTAGCAAGGATGGGCATAATAGAAGAATGGTTTCTTTTGCTGTAAGGTATTTCTATAAAGTTGTATGGAAATTGATGTTGGTTCTTTAGTTTGTGTAGCTCCACGTGTAGAATAGATTTTGAGGTTAGGTGTGGGAGGATTAATCAATAATTATTGCCGCTGCTGCCGCCATTATTAGTAACAAATTTTGAGGTGTGGTTTTAACTAACCCATATAATCCACTTTTCTAGATTACTTGGATACTTTTGCACTTGGGTTTGTAAATAATACTAATTGGTGGATTTGTCACTTTGACATGTTGCTTTTTGCCTCTGCTTTCTGATAATCTGGGATATGGTTACTCGAAAATTCAATTTACTTTTTACTGTAGTTTTAAAGTTGTTTCTGTATATTTTTGCCATGACAAATCTACTTCTCTTTCTCCTTCATAATTTGTTATATGCATAATGAAAATGAAATGGGGAAAAAGTACAGTTGGATTTAGAAATAAAAGCTGTTTTTTTAGGCTTAAATATTTGAAGCCTGAAATTTCTTATTACAACTTTTGATAAGAGGAAGGGAAGATGGAAAAATAGATTTAGGTGCTGGTTAACAGAACGGCAGAGATCTTGCTGATCTTGGGATCAGTTTTCCTTGTATGAGAATAACTGGTTGATGGGATGAACTTAAGTAAAAGTTAAGTTTTTGAGGAACTGGCAGTTTTTGAATTTAAGCTGCTGCAGATCTGATTTCTAATTAATCAAGTAAAGGATTTAATAACCTTTTATTTGCATTAAATTGGTTCATGAACTTGTCCAATGGGTCTTGTTAATATAATCTGTTCCTCATAATTCCCTTGTATGGGAATTAAGGTAAACTACTTTTTAAAGGATGATTTGCTCTTGTGTATCTTTTATAATTAACTGTTCTAGTTGTATAAGTAATTTAAAAACATGATGCACTTTTTCCCCTTTCAGTATAATAATCATGAAATTCGTTCTGGAAAACATATTGGTGTCTGCATCTCAGTTGCCAACAATAGGCTTTTTGTGGGCTCTATTCCTAAGAGTAAAACCAAGGAACAGATTCTTGAAGAATTTAGCAAAGTAACAGGTAAGTTGGATTTATTTGGAATGAGGTGCAGCTTTTAATAATGAAGATTAATAGCATATTTCTGTGCGTCATGCATTGTTCTAAATACATTTATTGACTCATCGAATCCTCACTACAACTTTTGAAGTGTAGGTAACCCCATTTTTCAGATAAGAAGAACAGGCATTCAGGGATTTGGGAAATAACTTGCCAAACGTTGTACAAGTTAGTAGGGAATACAGCTAGGGTTTGAATTCATTCTGCAAAATCATTGTTCTTCCTATGTTTTGGAAGATCGTATTTCTTTGTGTGTTCTTTCTCTAGGTGTTAGTTGATGTTCTTAGTAGAATTGTTTGAATAATGATTTGATGTTCTTGAAATTACAGGAGTAGTAAGTATTGCCGTAGCAGAGTGTTTTTTTTTTTTTTTTTTTTTGGAGACAGTCTTGCTTTGTTGCCCAGGCTGGAGTGTGCTGGTGTGATCTTGGCTCCCTGCAGCCTCTGCCTCCCAGATTCAAGGGATTCTCTTGCCTCAGCCTCCTGAGTAGCTGGGATTACAGGCGCGCACCACCACACCTGGCTAATTTTTGCGTCTTTTGTAGAGGTGGGGTTTCACCATATTGGCCAGGCTGGTCTTGTACTCCTGACCTCAAGTGATCTGCTTGCCTCGGCCTCCCAGAGTGTTGCGATTACAGGTATGAGCCACCGTGCCTGGCCCATAAACAGAGTTTATATATTGTCAACATGGTAAAAAAATTTTTTGAACTGTAACAACTTTTAAGTGACAGGTTGCTTTTAGAAAATATTTTGGTCTGCCAACAGTGTCTAACAAATTATCAGCCTGTTATCAACTTTCAGGACATTGGAAATTTTTATGCAGTACTTATAACTTCTATTTTATTTGAAATAAAGCCATTGATATCTAAGGCCAGAAAAGTGCCATTAAAAATAATTTTAGTGTTTGCATAATAAGAAAAATAGCCATATTTGATCTATACTGCCATTTTCTTAGAACAATTATATGAAAATTTTTATCTGCCTCTCTGATCTAATTAGTGAAAACAAAAGTAGTCCTTACCTCTAAAAAGAGCACATGTTCTTTTCTGGAGATTTCTGTGTTGAAAAACTTGGAAACAGATTAGGAAAATAATCCGGACCTAGTTTTTGATAGTCTTTTATAAAGATGTCTAGTGAAGGAAAGAGATGATTTTTCATTTTGATATTTAAGTAGTATCTTAGATAAATCCTTTGATCCACTTGTATTTGCTAGTTATTTCATCTAATTTTCCTGGAATGGTTGCTTACTTGCAGAGGGTCTTACAGACGTCATTTTATACCACCAACCGGATGACAAGAAAAAAAACAGAGGCTTTTGCTTTCTTGAATATGAAGATCACAAAACAGCTGCCCAGGCAAGGCGTAGGTTAATGAGTGGTAAAGTCAAGGTCTGGGGGAATGTTGGAACTGTTGAATGGGCTGATCCTATAGAAGATCCTGATCCTGAGGTTATGGCAAAGGTAATGATAGTCAAGTTAAAAATATTTTTTGAGGGATTAATGGGAGAAGGGCCGGGGTTGGGGTGGGGGGAACATAAAATGAACAGTATACATTTTTTTATTTTTTGAGACAAGAGTCTCTTGTTTCCCATGTTTCCCAGGCTGGAGTGCCATGGTGCCATCTTGGTTCACTGCAACCTCCGCCTCCCGGGTTCAAGTGATTCTCCTGCCTCCCAAGTAGCTGGAATTACAGGCTCCCACCACCACACCTGGCTAATTTTTGTGTTTTTTTTAGTAGAGCTGGGGTTTCACCATGTTGGTCAGACTGGTCTCGAACTCCTGACCTCGGGATCCACCTACCTCGGCCTTCCAAAGTGCTGGGATTTAGAGGCGTGAGGCTATTGCACCTGGCCCTGGACACATTTTTTTTTAAACCATATTTTTAGAGTTGGGAGAAATGTTCTTTACTACGGGACTAGGCAGTGCGCACTGGAAATACCATGTGCCTGCAAAGTGAAAATAGAAATTGATGCGTGGATACTTAGCCATAATTGTATAGCCATCACAATCTTGTAATGAAGTCGCCTACATGCTGTAGACAGTTGACTTCCATTTTGTGTGTTTTTTAAGAGCAATTTGAGTTTTTGAGAATGGCACCATTAGTTTACATGGTTTTGGGGTTAAAAGTCTTACTACTAAAAACAGTAAATTATACTGGCCGCAGCAGAGGTGCTTGCAGTTACATTTAGCCATTATTAGGTATCCTGACTTCAGCAGTCAGTGGAGACATTGTATAAGAATAAACATCCCTTGAGTCAACACTTTATTACACACTGGTGCAGTAATTTGCAGTTATTTGTTCTATCCTTTGTTCTCTTTTTTTTTTTTTTTTTTTAAGTGACAGGGTCTAGATCTGTGGCCCAGGGCTAGAGTTCAGGGGCATGATCATAGCTGACTGTAGCCCCAAGCTCAAGAGATCTTCTCACCTCAGCCTCCCAAGTAGCTAGAACTACAGGTGTGTACTACCACACCTGGCTAATTTTTTTAAAAAATTTTGTAGAGGCAGAGTTAATCTCCCTGTGCTGCCCAGGCCGGTCTTACAATTCTTAGCCTTAAGCAATCCTGCTTCCCAAAATGCTGGGATTACAGGCATGAGCCACCATGCCCCAGTTATCCTTTGTCTTTTAAGAATTCCCTCTTTGTTACTTACAGGTTAGGTGTCAGACACCACTAGTTGAGTTAAATTGAGGGTAATATGAACTGCCAGGGAGCTATGAATATTATTGAAGGATAAGTGGTCTTAGAGAAGAGAAAATAGTTAGGATTCATTTTTCCTCTGGCCTATAAATTCTCATTGGGTTAGCACTTTAGATTAACACATTCAGATGGTATTCAAGTTATTTTAGGAGGAAGTGATAATGTTAGTGAAGAGGTTAAATTTTGTAATTTTACTTTGAGAAGCTTTCAGGATTGAGAACAGTTTGTCTTACTAATATTTTGAACAGTCCTTCCCCCTTTAAGATTTCAAAAGCAGGTCCTAATTAGTTTTGGCCACTCTTGTTAAGTGTTAAACATTCAATAACTCTCTTAGAGGGCATGGTATTTACTTTGTTAGGAAAAATTATCTTTTTTATTGCAAAATAATTACTAATTGGTAATTATTACTGATGTAGCCTGTAGTCTGCATTTTCTTTTTCATAGACTTCATTAGAGCAGTTTTAGGTTTACAGCAGAAAGCACAGAATTGCCATATGACTTCTGCCCCCTACACAGGCACAGCCTTCCTCACTACCAGTATCCTGCACTGGAATAGTACATTTGTTAAAATTGATGGACGTAGATTGATTACCTAAAGTCCATAGTTTACATGAGGTCTCACTCTAGATGTATGTTCTGTGGGTTTGGAGAAATGTATAACCGTGTTTCCATCATAGTATTATACAGAATAGTTTCACTGCCCTAAAAATCCTCTGTCCTGTGCTTAGTCATCCCTCCCCATTCAACCACTGGCAGTCACTGTCTCCATAGTTTTGCCTTCTCAGAATGTTACATAGTTGGAACCATACATTATGTAACCTTCACATTGGCTTCTTTCTCTTAGTAATACATATTTAAAGTTCTTCTATGTCATTTTGTGGCTTTTAACTAGTTTCTATCAGTTATAATATTCCTTCTGTATGTGCCACAATTGTCCATTCTCCCATTGAAGAACATCTTGGTTTCTTCCAATTTTTGGAAATTTTTTTGTTTTTCTTTTGAGACAGAGTCTCGCTGTGTTACCCAGGATGGAGTGCAGTGGCACGATCTCGGCTTACTGCAACCTCTGCCTCTTGGGTTCAACCATTTCTCATGCTTCAGCCTCCCGAGTAGCTGGAACCATAGTTGCGTACCATCGCACCCGGCTAATCTTTGTATTTTTGTAGAGACGGGGTGTTACTGTGTTGGCCAGGCTGGTCTCGAGCTCCTGACCTCAGGTGATCTGCCCGCCTCAGCCTCCCAAATTGCTGGGATTACGGGTGTGAGCCACTGCGTCTGGCAAATTTTTGGCAGTTACAAATAAAGCTGCTATTAACATCTCTCTCTAAGTTTTTGTGTGCATGTAAGTTTTCAACTCTGGGTAAATAAGGAGCAGGATTGCTGGGTCATATGGAAGTGTGTGTTTAGTTTTGTAAGAAATCGCCAAACTGTCTTTCAAAGGGGCTATACCCTTTTGCATTCCCACCAGCAATGAATGAGAGTTTCTATTGCTCTGCATTCTTACCTGCATTTATAGTGTGTTGGATTTTGGCCATTCTAATAGTTTTGACTTGCGGTTTCCGAATGACAGATTATATTGAGCATCTTCATGAGATTCTTTGCCATCTGTATATCTTTTTTGGCAAAGCATCTATTTCAGGTCTTTCAACATGATCCAGCAGTTCTGCTGCTTGATATTTACCCAAGGAGTTGAAAACTTTTTTTTTTTTTATATTCTGACATTCTTCTAATGGATTGTGATTTGAGTTAACTTTGTAGGGTGGGGTGGTGGTATCTTAGAAATGGAACTCTTTGGAAATAATACAGGGGGGTATTTTCTTCCCCCTAGGTAAAAGTGCTGTTTGTACGCAACCTTGCCAATACTGTAACAGAAGAGATTTTAGAAAAGGCATTTAGTCAGTTTGGGAAACTGGAACGAGTGAAGAAGTTAAAAGATTATGCGTTCATTCATTTTGATGAGCGAGATGGTGCTGTCAAGGTAAATATGGTGGAATTACAGGCATCTAAATCAGACTAACAAATTTAGTCATTTTAGAATCTCAAAATAGTTTTACAAATTGGAGGAGACTTTGGAAGTCCATGGAATCCATTCAAACTAAAACCTTTTGGTTTTAGTGATGTTGGCAGTTTTCTAAGTAAAAATGAAAAATAATTGAATATCTGCATCTTTAAATAAAATTATTTGACTGCCTGCATGGGGCTTTCTCTTGTCCTTCCCACATTAATGATAAATGATATTCCAACTTTAAATGAATCATAATTGTATGAAAGTCCTATTTTTATATTGACTTATCTAATTTTTTAAGGCTATGGAAGAAATGAATGGCAAAGACTTGGAGGGAGAAAATATTGAAATTGTTTTTGCCAAGCCACCAGATCAGAAAAGGAAAGAAAGAAAAGCTCAGAGGCAAGCAGCAAAAAATCAAATGTGAGTGAAATTTGTATACTTAAAAATTGTATAAATTTTAATATTTATACACTAATTGGAAAATAACAGGTGTTGATCAGACTTGTTAAATGCATAACATCTCTTTAAAGAAGACTTGAACGTTTGAGAGTCATAGGGAAACACCAGTGATCTAAGTGTTTATTGAACTCTTACTATGAACCATATTTGTGAAAATAATCAGAATTGTAAATAACTGGAATTTTGGTAAATTGGCAAGATGAAAAATCTGTCTAGCTTTTTTTTTGTTTTGTATTGGGTGACAGAGTCTCACTTTGTCACTCAGGCTGGAGTGCAGTGGCACTCTTTCGGCTCACTGGAACCTCCACCTCCCGGGTTCAAGAGATTCTCCTGCCTCAGTCTTCTGAGTAGCTGGGTTACAGGCGCCACCATGCCTGGTAATTTTTGTGTTTTTTTTTTTAGTAGGGGTGGGGTTTCGTCATGTTGGCCAGGTTGGTCTCAAACTCCTGACCTCAGGTGATCCGCCCACCTCTGCCTCCCAAAGTGCTGGGATTACAGCTGTGAGCCACCATGCCTGGCCTATCTCACATATTTTCTTTGTATTTTACAGAATGTTCTTCTGAAAATGTCTTAAATATTAGCTGTCCAAATATCTTAATACATTTTGTTAAAGGGTGGAGAGTTTTTTCTCTGAGAGATAGGAAATACTAAATCTCTATTCATGATAGACTGTTTCTTCACCAGTAGTGCTCATTGCCACCCCAAAAATTTCATGTTCGATGGATGGATTTTGAAAATGAAATGAGTATTAAAATTATAACACAGTAGTGCAATAAGAAAACAAGTAGGTGTGTAATGAGTTATACTAATTAGGGAGACCTTTTTAGAGAATCTGTAAATAGGTATCTGCTTAAGACTGAAGGAAACTTAGTTGGGTAAGAATTGAAGTTAGCTCCTAAAAAGTTAGTTACTGATTTCCTAGAAGAGGGGTAATTGTTCTTGAATGTGAGAGCAATAATCACTGTCAATACTATTCAAGGTTAATTTTCTGTTGATTGCCCTGTTTGGAATTTAAAGGAAGAGGATGCTTCTACATATTTCTGTTACTTCATAATCAGGGAATTGATCAAGTTCTAGTTTCTGCAGTTAATTGTCCAGTTGGACAAGTTGGCAAGCTCTGAACCTCAATTTCTTCAGTTCTAAAATGGGATCAGACAAAATTATGTAATAGCTCTGGATTATGTGATTATCCAAGTGACCCATGCTTGTTCTGGGACCAAAGAAAATATACTTTGTAGGTTTGATGATAGTGTAAATGAAGGAAGACTACAAAAAGAGTTAGTTTTAATGCTCTATATTTCAAACACCTGGATATACTAAACAGTGTAAAATAACTTCTTTTTATTTCTTTCAGAAGACGATATATGGTTAATTTATTAAAGTAGAATGTAAGTATAGGAGATTATATTAGATAATGTGATTAGAGCAGTTACATTTGGTACTTGATAGAGGGAGATACTAAATAGAAGGTGGAGGATGTCAGTATATCTGTTAATATTTGAAAAGGAGTACAAACTAAAAGGGATGATTGCATGTTACTTTCGTACTTTAACTTGCTACAGTCTTTTTTTTTTTTTTTTTAAGTTTTAACTAAGCACGTATTCCTACATAATTCTCACTGTATTCCTGTGAGTTAGGTACTCTATCCCTTAGTTTGAAATGAGGAAACTGAGGCTCAGAAGTCAACTTCCTTGGGGTCATTCACATAGTAAGTAGTGGAGTTGGATTTGAACTAAGGTAGTCTAGTCTCCCATAATTTTCCCTCTTAACCACTATACCAGGATTTCTCATCTCTGTCCTCCTGACATTTTGGGCTGGATAATTCTTGGTCTTGGGGGCTGCCCTGTGCGTTGTAGGACTTTTAGCAGCATCCTTGGCCTCTTCCTGCTAGATGCCAGTAGCACCCCCTTTCTCAGTTATGACCGTCTAAAATGTCCCCCTGGAAAGAGGTGGTGGCAAAATTATCCCTGGTGAGAACTATTTAGAAATAGAAAAGGATGATCTTTCCATCATTTCCTCAAAACAATAAACCAGCAGAGCACATAAAAGGTCTAAGGACCTAGTGAACCGGAATAACATTTTTACGTTAGTCAGTTGGAACAGGGGCCTTTAATAATTCAGGATAAAATAAGGCCGGGCGTGGTGGCTCATGCCTGTAATCCCACCACTTTGGGAGGCTGAGGTGGGCAGATCACTCTAGGCCGAGGTGGGTGGATCATTCGAGGTTAGGAGTTCGAGACCAGCCTGGCCAACATGGTGAAACCCCATCTCTACTAAAAATAAAAATTGGCTAGGTATGGTGGCACATGCCTATAGTCCCAGCTACTCGAGAGGCTGTGGCAGGAGAATCACTTGAACCCAGGAGGTGGAGGTTGCAGTGAGGTGAGATTGCGCCACTGCATTGCAGCCTGGGTGACAGAGCAAGACTGTGTCTCAAATAAATAAATAAATAAAATAACATAACAGGTACGGAATAAAAAACACGAGTAAATTATTCCTTCAAGAGGGATTAATTTCCATATTTCATGGGATTATTGGGCTCAAAATAATCACTAAGTTTTAAGGAATTGTATAAAATTGTACTGTAGGGAACATGAGTTGGAATATTGTAACTTCGTTTAGTCCTTTTACATAGTATGTAAGCATATGCTGATTTGTGTGGTTGCTTTCTAATCACTTTGACAACTAAAGTTATACCTGTTTAGTGGTTAAAGTTCAGCACTATAGTTACGGTGTAGTTTATTTTTGGGAAAGTAGCAGATCTTTTAAATTTTACTTGGATAGCATTATTGTAGAAACAGGAAAACTTTAAGGTCTTTATGCTAATTTACTGTAGTAAACTTTGAACTTCACACATTTTGGTTGTGTGCTTGTCCTACTTGCCATTTTGCTTTTGTAATAAATGTTCTTCAAGTATATTGGAATAGAATCTTAGCAGAAATGCAATTCAAAGTGACAAATTTTTTTTTGAGTCAGAGTCTCGCTCTGTCACCCAGGCTGGAGTGCAGTGATGTGACCTTGGCTTACTGCAGCCTCCGCCACCTGGGTTCAAGCGATTCACCTGCTTCACTCAGCCTCCCGCATAGCTGGGATTACAGGCATGACCGCTCCCAGCCCTAAAGTGGCAAATTTGACAGCTAAATCAATTGTAAAAATTCTGTAACAGGTTTATTGGGAGATTTTGAAGATCATGAAGAAATAAATAAGGTTCATAACTAGAGATTTGTGGTATTTTGGGATGCCTATATTGTCATCCTGATCCTCTGATCATTACTACTACTAAAACTTAATCTAGTACAAATAATTCTGTATTAAAGTTATGTGAATTATGCGAAGTAAACTCTGGATTTAAACTGTTACAAATGGCTAAATGCCTACTTGTTAACTAAGTAATTTGATTTAAACTCTAATCTCTGTCTCTTTTTTAATAGGTATGACGATTACTACTATTATGGTCCACCTCATATGCCCCCTCCAACAAGAGGTCGAGGGCGTGGAGGTAGAGGTGGTTATGGATATCCTCCAGATTATTATGGATATGAAGATTATTATGATTATTATGGTTATGATTACCATAACTATCGTGGTGGATATGAAGATCCATACTATGGTTATGAAGATTTTCAAGTTGGAGCTAGAGGAAGGGGTGGTAGAGGAGCAAGGGGTGCTGCTCCATCCAGAGGTCGTGGGGCTGCTCCTCCCCGCGGTAGAGCCGGTTATTCACAGAGAGGAGGTCCTGGATCAGCAAGAGGCGTTCGAGGTGCGAGAGGAGGTGCCCAACAACAAAGAGGCCGCGGGGTACGTGGTGCGAGGGGTGGCCGCGGTGGAAATGTAGGAGGAAAGCGCAAAGCTGATGGGTACAACCAGCCAGATTCCAAGCGGCGCCAGACCAATAATCAGAACTGGGGCTCCCAACCCATTGCTCAGCAACCGCTCCAAGGTGGTGATCATTCTGGTAACTATGGTTACAAATCTGAAAACCAGGAGTTTTATCAGGATACTTTTGGGCAACAGTGGAAGTAGAAACAGTAGGGCCTCTGTAAAATTGGAGACTGATAGGTTGATCAGAAACTCACCCTAAATCTGAACGGGTGCCGCTATAATTTGTGACATCTGGCAAGATTTCCCTTTATGTATATATTTTAACAATCCGCTTGGACACGAACAAAGCCACACTTCTAACTGCTTCTGGCGAACTGATTTTATTTTTAATTTTTTTCAATAAAGATATTCTTAGATACTGAAAGAAATAGTTAATGAGTTTGCATTTGTGCTTGAGAAAATTTGGCTCAAGTCCATTTGGCTGTAGTGTCAACGATGTTTCCAGTAGTGTTTAGATTTGGTGTCTTCAAAGGTAGTTGATTAAAACCAAGTGTGTCTTTAATATCTTGTATCAGAATAACTTTGTATGTTACCAACTTAAATTGCTAGAATAAGGTAAATTGATACACAACTGCTATTTTTAATTTAGAACTTTGACCTAATTTGGGTTTTCAAAACCATTTTGGCTACTTGTATTCTTTATGCTGTTGTTTATTTCAATAAAAAATTCACACCTAAATGTATACTTACTAAAATTGTGTTTACAATTCGTTTTTCACAAAATTTCCTGCAAATTTGGTTCAAATTGTATAGCATGTCAAGGCCAATTAAAGGGTTTTGTGCCTTGTTAATTCTTGTGTGGAATATGTCTGCACATTACACAACACTGATTTATTGCAGTTTTCTGCTTCTGGTTTAAAGTGCTATTTTACAACAGACTTCATGTTCCCATCAAAAATAAAAAGATAATACATGTAGTAAGTTTAAGTTGGTAAGTATTTTAGAGTTCTTAATTGTGATGAATGAACTGTATAAAAGGACAAATTCAGGTAGTCTCAAAGGGTTTGCAGGTCACACTGACAAGTCCACTTTCAGTTGCCTAAAGTTTATCCTAACTAACCTAAAACTCAGATTGAGTATATTGCCCTCTTGACTGTTTTGCACACCATGGGACTAGAAAGCAGCAAAGAAACTCTAGTGTGAAAACAATGGGAATAGGTTTGGGTAATTTGTGAGTTGCACTCTAAATAATCACTGTACTTACCTAATTAAAAATAAAACAGCTTTACAGTTAGTTTTGGGTAAGCAAATATATATCTGAAGGATAAAATTTACCTCACAGACTGGTTTGTATTAAAGATCTAATAGTTTGGATTTTTGTTTCACATTTTAGTCTTGTTTTGGCCATATGGTCTATACTTCTAACAGTAATGATGGGAAAATGTTAGAGTTTTGGGGGACAGACTCTAGGTCAACAGTGAAAAGGTTTAACAGCCACTCCCCACTTCTGAACCTCCATCACCCTTGAATTTAAAGGTATTATACCTGACAATAAAGTTACATGTGAAAAATACATGACTTGAAAGACAAACTTTCTTAAAAATGTCACTAAATTTCAAATCTCAAGGTCAAACAAGTCTGAGATGTTTGCTTTCAGCATATTTTATGATTACTTCATGTCTCAAAAATGGGAATTACTTGCAAGTTAATGGGTAACTTTAAGGTGTGACTTCATTTAGGTTTCCTGTTAGTCTTTTTTTTTTTTTAAATAAAATCAGTTTGTGAACAAAATGGGGTTTTCAAACCTCAGTCCAGCCTCCTCACTCAAAGGGGCAAAAAAGCAACCAAAAACCTCAAAGCAAGTAAAAAACAAGCAAAAAGAAGTTCATAGTTATTAAAGGCAACTTTTTTGGCTAGACAGTATATTTAGAATTACCATGTTAAGGCTTGTCTTTTTAATGTTATCATTATGTATGTACACATTATTAATTTAAGATGATTTATCTAACTGATTCCTTTTGTTACCTGGCTAGCAGGGAAAAGGGGTCGAGGCCGGTCCTGACCTGTTACAATGAAGACTGACTTGCTATGTGGGATTACACCAGAAGCTTGCAGTGGAGTAATGGTAAGGAAATCAAGCAACCTTAAATATGTCGGCTGTATAGGAGCATATTCTATTGCAGAAGACCTTCCTATGAAGATCATGGAATCAAATACGGGACATTGAACTAATACTTGGACTTTGATATGAATTTCTTTAACAATTTTCTCTGCAGTGCAAGTTATTAAACTAAAGCTACTCTATTTTCAAAATGTGTTCCAACAGAAATCCTTCATAACTCCTAGCATGGTATCTTAATAAAGAATAAAGTTCTTTTAAAAATCTGCTCTAAGTAGATTTTTCCCCTTTTTTAAATTAAGGATCCCAACAGTGGTATTTTGAAATATTCTCTTGAATTTGTGCATTTAAATTTTATTGCAGTGGTATAGATGAATGCCACTGATGGTATCCTTAAATTTTATTTCTGCTCACCAAGGTTAATCATGATTGTCTATATCTTTTTTATAGTGATCACTTTTGAATTGTGTTCAGATATGCAGTTTCAGGTGTAATCATCAGAGCTGGTTAGTCAGGCATTCCAGATAGTGGTTCTTTTCAGAACCTTTTTAAAAGGGTTGGTTAACTACCTCAGTAGCAGAGGATTGAACTATACCCTGTCTGTACTGTACATAGAAAATCTTTGTAGATAAAAGCAAGGCTTGTTAAATATGATATGAGGGTAAGATTTTAATATACCAAATGTAACATTCTTAGTTGCCTTTAGTTTCAGAGGCTTGTAAGACTTCCTCATGACCATCATAACAGGCCTTGCTTTTGTCGTATTTTGTGGCTGAAAAAGCAGCCTTGCTTCTTCAGATATTGTAGTTATTTGGATGTATAATAGTTTAGCAAGATGTTACTTTTGTAAGACATCAGATGTTCAAAAAAGTGCATCCGAACTTGTACTAAATACTGCAGTGTCCCTTTATAAAAAGTCAGACTAAAACTGACAATTGTACAGCGAAGCCTGACATTTGGATATTTTGAAGTTTTTTCATAAATCATAGAAATTAGTATATGGCTGTAGTTTAGCTTTTTAGGTAAAAGGTATGTTTCATTAGTGCATTTCTTCCTGCTGATCACTGTAAACATGTGAATCAGCTTTCCATTTCTTATGCAGGTCATGATAACTTGTAGAGTAGAGTACAATCATTTGTGCTATGTTTTTAATTTTCTAAAGCACCTTGATGACAGTGAGTGTCCAGTGGTGAAGCATCCTCTATTGAACCACCCTCAAAAATTTTTTTGCCAAGTCCTAAGTTGATAGCTTAAAGTAAAAAGTGAAAATTATAGTTTCATTAGGACTTGGTGTAAAGAAATCCCCTCCCCCCTTCCCCAAAGGGATACTGCAGTTATATCACATACCCAATAGGCACCACGATGAAGATCAGAGCTTATACTTAATTAAGGTTTTATACACACCAGTTCCCCAGTAAATGCAAATTTAACAAGAAAATCAGACATGTCATATGTTCAAAATGCTCATGGCAAACAATCATTTTGCATTCCTGCAAATAAAATTGTTTTATACTGTAAGCTGGAGGCGAGTGTAACTTATTTTTGTAATAAAGTTTTTATTTTTTTTATGTGTCATTAATATAAATGTGTGTTAGTGTAGAAATCTTCTGGTTTAAAAACTTAGAATTGCACACATTTCAGTATGTTTATTTGTACTTACATAATTTTAGAATAGTGGTTGCCAATAGCCTGTATGTTTCACATTAATTGGTTTTTTGTTATCTAAATAAATCATTTTAGTATGTTGTATGTCAGTTACTGGGATAGCTGGGACATAGAGTGTAATTTAAAATTTGTCAATAAGTATTCATTGGAATATATGTAAATGTGCCTTGCCGGTTATTGAAACTTATCTACAAAATGAGTATGGGGTGACAAAAATTAGTTCCTGGTGCTTAATGAAACTTTCTGCCACTGATTTTATATATTACCCCGTGCTTTTTTAAAGTACATCTCTCTCAAAACTTAGTGTAAGTTTGAGGGCTACACAAAACATTTACATTTCATTCTAACATAATGAATATAATAGGTTGTGGAAAGTGGGTAAACTAAATGTAGCCTTCAGTAAAATTGAATCTCAGTGTAATCCTTGGTGCTGGCATTTCTCAGTTCCGAGGAGTTAAATGATCCCATCTAAGAGGTCATTGCCATGCCTATTGGCACTTTACTGTCATAGCATTTTTAAGGGACACTGTCAAGGTGTTTAAGTTCTCAGAATTACTTGTTGGGATTTTAGGACAGGTTTGTTTACTTAAAGTAAGAACTGCATTGTCAAAGTTGAAAGAGGAACACTTTTGTGAGTTCACAAATGTGTTCTTAAGAAAACATTAAAATATGGAGCTCTGGGTTTTCAAGACTATTTGGCATTCTTAATTTGGGGACTTGGGAGGGAAACTGATAAAAAGAAATTGAAGAATTGATGGTTATACTTAAAGAAGGGTAATGTAAACAGTGGTGATGAAATATATACACATCAAGTGAAATTACTTGACAGTGTTCATTTGAATGACTTTGAATTCAAGCCATTATAATTACTTTTAAAATTAAATATCATTTGCACTGTTCTGATAATGGGTGCAGTTTTTGAGCAATATAATCAGAGCTAAATATGCATGTAGTGATTAGTGATGTGAACAATTAACGTTCTGAGAAGAAATACTAACTGTGGTATTTTCAAACTTAAATTTCTGTAGTAAAATCAGTATCAAAGTCTTATCAGATCAAGGAAAAACAGGCAATGCATATAAACATACTTTTGAATGTTGTGTGGCCTATAAAGCAATAATGCAATTTATATGGAATGTCATGGGATATGAGAAATGGAAATGCAAAAATAACTAATCCTTTAGTAAAAATGTCAACATGTTAAAGGGGGAATGTTAACTAATGTAGGTTATTGCTATTTGTGATTTGTTTATGGGTTCTTGGCTTTGACAGCTTCAAAGAATGGACAGTGATAAGTTAAAAGAAATTTTGTATATTGTCAAGGAAAGGGTCTTAAATCCGAGTCAAGTCCCTTCCTTGGGGTAAAAAATGTATTCTTAAAGCATTCTGATGTTAAAAAGAAAACTTAAGTTATCTAACCAAAACAGACGCAAGATTTTGTTTCTGCAGACTACTTGGCAATCAAAAGTGATCATAAATTTAGGTTATCAGTTTTCAGAAAGTTGCTTTGTGAGAAAATTTTGTTAGATATATTCTCCCAAGCATGCTTTTTGTGGAAGGTTTTCAGCCATTGCCACTGAATCAGATGTTAAAAATGAAGGGAAAATTGAGTGTGCACACACACAACTGTTGTACACTCATGATTGCAGTTTTTAGCTTAAGAAACTTTTCTACCAGTTACTGTGAATCTGACTTAAAATGTAAAGTTTCCTCATGATAAAATAGGAACAACATAGAAATGGATTGATGGGGTGATCTGAGTTATTGTATATAAAAGTTTTTAAAGAATAGAATGAACATCAAGCTAGATAGGCAAAAATTGACACATTCAGAACAGCTTTTTTGACTGCGAAGCCAAAAGTTGTCAGAAACAGCAAAAGATCCCTTATTATTACAGAGTATTTTACGTAGTCTCTATTTTAAGGAGAGAAATTAAATAGAAGGGCTTCATGCATTTAGGGGAGGGTGCTAAAACTTCTCAAGTTCGTCAAACTTACAGGAATACCCACCATGATCATTTTCTCTCTAATTATGTATACCACAAAATTTTCATCTGGCCATAGGAATTCACTGGTGGGTGTAAAATTAATGACTAAAGAAATTAAGTGACAAATACATAAAAGAAACAGACTTGTGGGGATATTGTTTTAAGGTGTATTAATTACTCAGTGATGATACCACTCAATAGGGCATGCCACTACTTTTCTTAAGATGCTAATTATGAAGCAGTGCTCACAGGCATTTTTTAACTAGCAAATTAGTAGATGGACTTTTGGGGTCTGTCACTTTTTAAAAGTATTTAAGACTTAAATTCTATTAGCACCACAGTCTGCCTTCAGTAATACACCTAAAATATTTTTCAGGACCAGAAGCATTCAGTTTGAAAATTTGCAGATGCAAACCAGTATTATTACTAACGCTCTGGGTCAAAGATTAGGTTTTTAATATTAACAGTAGTCTGGTAAATATTTAGAAGTCTGGCATTGAGAAACAAAAGCTTGTACCTGACTAGTATTTTTATTTAAAAAAATTAGTTCTGTTAGCTTATTTAAATTGTGTTTTATTTATCCGTAGAATTTATATTTATTTCATTCCTTTCATCTCACTGAAAACTGTCTGCAGGCCCTTTGATTTGGATTAGATGTGTGAAGTACTGTCTTTTGCCAAAAACCTCAAATTACCTGTTCTTTTCAACGTAGTGGGTTTGTGCTTGTTTGGAGATCAGTTCAAAAACTATCTGTACTATCTGTACTGCCTCTGATGTTAAGATTTTATGTATAGCATAAGGAAGCTAGCTCTGACTATATTTTCCTAAGAATAAAGACCTATTTTTGTAGCATGTCTTAGGATCTCCAGGAGTCCAAGAATTATTGTGGGTGTCCTCCAATTCATCACTCTTCACTTAACAGCTTTTAAGTAGACACTTGGAATCTTTAGAGGTCTGTCGCCCTTTGATTATCCATACATTCGAAGTAACTAGCCAATGGTGAAAAATTCCTCAAGATATCCTCAGTTGCAATCACATTACTGGAAGATGAATAGAATAAATGTATTAGGCTGGTCTTAATTTTTGATGGAAATATTCTGTTGTCCCGTACTTGCCATTGGATTTGATAAAGTTAGTGGTAATTTGGAAAGAATCGGGGACTTGCCAATATATTTGTGGGTTTTAGCTTATACCCCTAGGATTTCTTGGTTGCGGGACGAGCAGTTTTGGCCACTTCCATCAGGACAAGACTTTTTAGGTCACTTAGTGCAGGTTTTAGTTTCTATTTTGGATTAACAACATTTATATTGATTATCGAAAAGAAGCTTTCATCATTTCAGAACAGTCCTGGAAGTTTGACTTTGAGTGTGGGAGAAGTCCTAATAAACCATTTTGGAAATTAGTGTCTCCAAGTGTTACAGCTTCCTAAAATGGGTTTCTAACACAGTGGGATCAAAATAAGGTTATTTTAGGATAATATACTGTAAACTTAATTGACTGTCTGATTTTCTACTTTGTCTATAAAGTGGCTTACAACAGGTTCTAATCTAGAAAGGAGTTATAAAGGTTATCTGTAATGTTTATGAATTGTCATTTCTTGCCTTCTTTTAGGCTTTCAGCTGTATTCTGAAAAGGAGATTGTTGTGACAAACTCAACTTGTTTTGGAGAGAATTTTAGGAAACCTAAGGGATTTGGCGTTTTATATCATTTTTGATGTGCAGTTTTTGAGTTTTCAGGGCAGAAGGGCAAAGTATTTGGTGTGGACAAGTTGTTACCACAGATTAAAGAATAAGACCAGGGCTTGCTGACAATAAGAAATTTGTTAAAGAGTTTTGTAGGTTCCATATGGTAAAATTAGGTCTTGTAATTATAGAAACACCATGATATACAAGAAGAGTTCCAGCATACCTGTTATGGCTCGTTAATAGTGTTAACTTTAAGTTGAAATGTGAATAACATGGCATTTGTGTTACATGAGTACTGCATCATTTAAACACAAATTTGCTAAAGCTAGGTGCATCTGTATACTAAAACCCTTATGACATCATTTTTAAGAGAATATCTTTAATATGTCAGTATTTATGTTAATTGGTTGCTTTAATTGGAAGACTCAGGAATTAGGCCTCCAGTTGCTTTTAGTTTAACACGTCATGAAAAATTAGAAAAGCATATGTACAAATTGTATTTCTCAGTTTTATTTAATATTTGGAATATACTTAGAGGAAAACCAGAAATAAACAATGTTAAAGGTCATCTATAAAAATGGCAGAATACACTTTTCATTTCCACTCTAGAGCCACATGTATACAGTGTAGTTTTGGCAAATTTCATTCATACCTCTACCTCCTTTGCTGTTTTCCTTGAAATAGTAAAAATTCACATGAATTTGCAGAAATTAAGTTCTTAGGAGTTCTTCAACAGTATTAAAGACAGGTTCTGTTCCCTTTTGGTTTCCTGCCTAACTACAGGTACAGTTAAACATGGAATTAAAAGACAGCCTTTATTGTAAAATTGTCATGTAACAGATCCTAGTTGATCTCTGGTTTCCTGGAGATTTATTTAGCATTTGGGAGAGGATCAACAAAGGGGCACAGCAAGCAGATACTGTAGTTAGTATTATTTTTCCCTTTTTTGCTTACTGTCTATCGATTAGTCTTTAAATTACTAGTACATTTTATGATAAATTTCTTTGATTTATTTTACCTCCTTTTAGAATGGAAGCTCCTCGAAGGGCAGGGAAATCTGAGTAGGCAGGCATTTAAAAATATTTAAAATGTTCAGTTGGGTGGAAGTTTAGTTTTATTTGCCAAATTAGGCTTGTGACATGAGAATTTGACAAAGGGGATCAAATATTTCGAACCATTTAATTTATGGCATGGAAAGCTTTTAAAAATGATCACAAAGTGCTAATGATTTAAGTAAATTAAGATGAAGATCCACATTTAAATTATCAACGTGACACTTTAAAAAATTATAAAATTGTCTTAAGTTGAGGGAACAGTTGGCCTAGTGACTTACAGATTTTTTTATATGTTAAAATAACCCTATGTGTAAGTGACTGTTTTCCTTATTTGAAATTAAGAGGAAAAGGGTGCTCATAAGTCATCTTTAGCAGTGAACTTAACAGAATCCAGTGGATCAGTTTTCCTTTATGCTGATGTGTAGTTTAATTTGTGCTGCTGAACAAGACAGTATCAATTTATAAGCCCCCTATCTATAAGTTCTTTATGAGGTGAGGAGGGGGTACTTCAAGATGGAACTGTTTTGCTAATGAGGGTCTGGTTGGTTTTGAGTCTAAAGTTTTTATAAGGTTCTTTTGCATAGCAATTTGAAGGTGAGGGAATAATGATACTTGAGAAAAAGCATGAAGCCTAGATAACTAAAAATGAGGTGTTGAAAGCACCTGTTTCCGAGGGTAGTGTATATTGCTTACTCTATCTTAAAGTAACTTAGAGAAATGGTTACATACATATGAATAGCCTTATATTTACCTACCAATTGATAGGTAGCTGAAATTCAATAACCTGAATAGTGAGGCTCTGAATTTAACGTATTATTTCACTATACTATATATACCTCCTAATATCAGTAGTGTGAGTAAAAGTGGTATTTATGTTATGCTTAGTTGATGTTTTAACTTGATTTTTTAAAATCTAGAAGGACCTTTCCATGGAGTCCACTCCCAGATATCTCCTCCTCTCTTTAGTTCTCTCTTAAAATTTATTTTATTTTTTTAAGAGATAACGGTTGGCCGGGCATGGTGGCTCATGCCTGTAATCCCAGCACTTTGGGAGGCCCAGGGAACGGATCACCTGAGGTCAGGAGTTTCAGACCAGCCTGGTGTCTGGCCAACATAGTGAAACCCTCTCTCTACTAAAAATAATAATAAAAAAAAAGTCCGGAGAGTCAGGAGAATTGCTTGAACCTGGGAGGCAGGTTCAACCTGGGAGGCAGAGGCTGAGATGGCGCCACTGCACTCCAGCCTGGGCAACAGAGTAAGACTCCGTCTCAAAGGAAAAAAAAAAAAAAAGGTCTTGCTCTGTTATCCAGGCTGGAAATCTGTGGCACTGTCATTCATAGCTCACTGCAGCCTCAAACTCCTGGGCTCAAGCAGTCCTCCTGCCTCAGCCTCCCAAAGTCCTGGGATTACAGGCATGAGCCACTGTGCCTGGTCTCTTGGTTACGTTTATTACTTGAAATACACTTAAGTCTCTACTTATATGAATTTTAGAATCTGATTCTCATAAGATAAGGAAATAGTACACTGAGTAGTTTTCTTTTCCTTCATTTTCCACTTCCTGTTAGGTATCCTTCCTTTCTTACAGTCAGGATTATAAGATTTTACAACTGATTACCTTATACTTGCCTCTAGACTGAAGAGAGGCAAAACAACATATATAATGTACTTGCCCATCCTTGTCCATCACAGCAGTTTATTTTATATATGCACAGTCTTGCTCACTCTTGAATGCTAGAAAATTTTAAGTTACCAGTTTCTTATATGGTGCATTGAAATATTAGTTCACATCAGTTTTCTCTTTGTGCTTCTGATTTCCTCAGACGTTTGGTGATTCTTCATATTTATCAAAGAAGGATATTAGGAAAACTGGTGTTGACTTGTCTCCTGACATGGCTTACTGCACGTTCTGTGTGTGTGAGAAAATGAGGACTAATAGCCTTTATTTTTAGCTTTCGTGGGAGTAGTGAGGCAAGTAGGGTACCCTCTCCAGTGTCAGAAGAGTTTTCAATTGCAGGAATTTTGACTGCTCTCAGGTTACTCAGGAAAAGAAAACTTTGAGAGGGAGGTAGACCCTAAAAGCAATTTTACCACTGTCAAGTCTCAGCCCTTTCACTCCTACAAACTAGGAGGTCTTGCTTTTTCCTTCCCACTCATCCCCCCCCCATGGAAAGTGGCTCCTGCTGTTTGTAGCAAAATTAATATGAGCCTCATTTCTTCATCTTTTGTATGAAGGAATATGAATTTATCTTTTGTATCTAAATTGTGCAACTTAGTATAAAAGGTGCTAGTTTTAAAATAGAACTGGTAGTAAAACACAGTAGCATGGTGCCACCTCCTGAATTAGGAGAAATCTTAATCTGTATTATCACTTCCATATCACTGCTCATTTAAAATATATTGTCTTGGAAAAGTAAGTCTTACTTGGAAAGAGAACAGGTACATAGAGGACATTTTGTGACTAAGGATGCAAATTTAGTGACATTCTTAATTGGGAAAAGCATATTATTTTGGAAGACCTTTTTTGTTTTGTTGTTTTTGAGACAGGGTCTCTGTTGCCCAGGCTGGAGGGCAGTGGTGCAATCATGGCTCACTGCAGCCTTAACCTCCCCGGCTCAAGCACTCCTTCCACTTCAGTCTCCTAGTAGCTGGGACCATGGATGTGTGCCACCATCCCTGGCTAATTTTTATTTCTTTCGAGACGGGAGTTTCGCTCTTGTTTCCTAGGCTGGAGTGCAATGGCATGATCTCAGCTCACTGCAACCTCTGCCTCCTGGGTTCAAGTGATTCTCCCAACTCAGCCTCCTGAGGAGCTGGGATTAGAGGCGCCTGCCAACCATACCCAGCTAATTTTTTTATTTTTAGTAGAGTTGGGGTTTCACCATGTTGGCCAGGCTGGTCTTGAACTCCTGATCTCAGGTGATCCACCCGCCTCTGCCTCCCAGAGTGCTGGGATTATAGGTGTGAGCCACCGTGCCCGGCCAATTTTTTTATTTTTTGGAGAGATGAAGTCTCCCTATGTTGCTGAGGCTGGCCTCAAACTAGGCTCAAGTGATCCTCCTGCCTTGCCTCCCAGTGTGTTGGGGTTACAGGTGTGAGCCACTGTTAACCTGGCCTGAAAGGCCTTTTTGGAAATAGGTTCAGAAAATGTTTTCACATTTAGTTTCTGAACATTTAAAACTAAACCAATGAGAATTTTTTCCCCCATTATATTTAACAGTTTGTCTTTCTGTCTTGTTATTTTCAGCAAGGCAAAATTTTTGGCAGGTAATGAAACTTCATTCCTTATTGTGGCAGGGATCTCAAACCTACTTTCCAGATTTGATGTTCTGGGGTTTGATGAAAATCCATGTTAATTTACTTCTGGAATATATTCTATACTTCTGTCAACTCTGGTGATTAGGGAGTTTGATTTTCTACATAAAGACAAATCAAACTTCTTGAGTCACTTTGGCTTCAAGGTATCAAAACAGTTCTTAATTAGGTTTTGTGATATTAAATATTGGCTGATACCAAGGAAGAAACTGACTTGAAAGGTTTCTGGTACCAACAATCTTGGCTAATTTTTTTTTTTTTTTTTTTTTTTGAGACGGAGTCTCGCTCTGTCAACAGACTGGGGTGCAATGGTGAGATCTCGCCTCATTGCAGCCTCTGCCTCCTGGGTTCAAGTGATTCTCTTGCCTCAGCCTCCCAAGTAGCTGGACTACTGCTCAGCTAATTTTTGTATTTTTAGTAGAGATGGGGTTTCACCATGTTGGCCAGGCTGGTCTCGAATTCCTGACCTCAGGCCATCAGCCTGCCTCAGCCTTCCAAAGTGCTGGGATTACAGGCATGAACCACTGTGCCCAGCCTAATTTTGGCTAATTTTTCAGTGGTAACAGTATCTGGCCAGTCACACATAAAAATGTACATACATTCATATATATATATACACACATAATAGGAAACTAAAGAGGGAAATAAATCTTCAGTAGACCTAGATCTTTTAGTTAAAATTTATGGACATAAAATGCTCTTAATTTCTTAACCTTCGTGTCTTTTATTCATACGGCTTTCCCATTCTAACAAGCCTCATCTGGCTTGTATATTTATTTTCCACATATACTTACAAAGGTATAGGTTGGTGAAGTAAAATGCTGTCTGTGCATTAATGTAGTTTCCTCATTTCAACGACTTAGGTAGTCTTTTCAGGAGTTCTGGATGAGACACTGAAAATCTGTTAGTCATTGGGCCATTTAATGGAAGCAGCTACGTATAAACATTTAGCCTCTCTGAGCCTGAGTTTTCTTGTAAAAAGATATTTTTCCAGCTCTCAATTATATCCTATGAATACAGGATTTATAGGATCGTGTCTTTTTTTTTTTTTTTTTTTTTTTTTTTGGGAAAATTCTGCCTAGAGGACTTTTGACGTTATTTCATTCATGCTTTTATGTGGAGATTTATTTTCACAAAAGAATAAATGTTGCATTAAAAAGTAGACTTACTTCACCCTGTAATACCTTACATGTATGAACATTTGGTACATTATTTTTGTGATAGCTCTTTGAGGGAAAGACGGTAAATATGACTCTTGAAAGTTGAGGAAGCTAACACTGAAGCATATATTTTCTTATATTCTGAGGAGGAAAACTATCAAGCTCTCATTAGTCCACAAAGCATTATTCCAAGTTATTCCCAAATTTCCCTAAATTACCATGTTAATGCATGAATTGGGAGTTAACCTGAATCACATAGATGTTAGCTAATACATGAATCTACTTTTGTGGGAGTAACTCCATTTTAAAAAGTTTTAGAATAGGTGTTCATTTATTCTAAGTTTCTTAGTTTTGAAATTCTAGTCAAAATTCTCAATGCTAATAGATGAATGAACCTGATAAGTAAATACAAAACAGTCTAACTGCTAAACCAACCTCCTAGATTTTATTTATGTTAATAATTGTTCTCTAACAATTACAGGACCACCATATAGTCCAAAATAGCATCGGTGTTCTGATTACCAGTGACTCCCCAAGTAAACTGTCTTTAGGCTGAAAGTCCACATATTTAATTATCAGTAAAGCATCTTATTGCACCTTTTCTAGTGAGCTTGGTGGTTTTGGAATGATACCTCTTTTAAGTACAGTCTCTGTTGTACTCAGGCTGGAGTGCAGTGGCGCTATCTTGGCTCACTGCAACCTCCGCCTCCCGGTTTCAGGTGATTCTCCCACCTTAGTCTCCCAAGTAGCTGGGATTACAGCCACCACGCCTGGCTAATTTTTCGTATTTTAAATAGAAACTAGGTTTCACCATATTGGCCAGGCTGGTCTCAACTCCCGCCTCAGGTGATCACCTGCCCGCCTCGGCCTCCTAAAGTGCTGTGATTACAGGCATGAGCCACTGCGCCCGGCCTCCTCTCTTTTCAAGAGTTGTTCACAGGATACCAGTGTCCCCATATGAAAATTATATATTTTAAAGATTTAACCCCTATGGCATTTATTACATTCACTTAACCTTGAAAAATCTTGGCAATTTGCCAAGTTATCTCATCATCTATCCTTACCTATTCTTATTTTCCTTTTTCCCTGTATACGTGTTTCCTTGATCACATCTACATTACAGTCCCATATCACATCTGTGTGGACTCCTCTTTTAGTGTCAGGGCTTGCTTGATGTCTGTTACTTGCAGTTCTGCATTTCAGCTGTCTCCTGAACACATTCAAGTGCTCTTCTCCATCAGCAACTGTCTCATTAATTTCTCACTTCATATCCAGTCACATTTGATCATTTACTTGAAGAGGCCTGAAATATCCTCTCTATCCAGGTACTACCAGTCCTTTAGGAAGTTCAGATCGATCTGGCATAACTCCTTATAAATAAGTTAAACTACTAAGTGGCACATTTAATTTTGCTGGTTCTCTACATCTAGCTCCAGAGTCTACGACAGTATTGAATGAAATGAAATGCAAACCACATATGTAATTTAAAGTTTTATAGTTTGGCCCCAGTTCATCCTTCTAGTGTAATTTTCCATTAATACTGTCTAAAGAAACTGCCCGCCTTGTGTTTCTTTGGCTCATCTCACAGCTTCTGATGTCTTGAATTCTGCCCCATTTTCTTCAACCAAAATAGGTTAAAATCATCTTACTATAGGCACATTAGAACTACCAACATCTTATCCCTGAGGAACAAGTACAGTTTGGAGAACATTAAGATAAAAGTCTTGGCTTTGCCTTCTGGGGCAAATAAGGTTATTAGCTGATTTTTCTTCTTTTCTTGGTTTTGTTTTTTTGAGACGGAGTCTGGCTCTGTCACCCAGACTGGAGTGCAATGGTGCAATCTCGGCAGACTGCAACCTCTGCCTCCTGGGTTCAAGCGATCTTCAGCCTCAGCCTCATGAGTAGCTGGGATTATAGGCACGTGCCACCATGCCCGGCTAATTTTTGCATTTTTTAGTAGAGACAGTTTTGCCATGTTGGCCAGGCTGGTCTGAAACGCCTGACCTCAAGTGATCCGCTCGCCTCAGCCTTCCAAAGTGCTGTGATTACAGGCATGTGCCACTGTGCCCAGCCTTTATTGTGGTATAGGTTTGTGATACAAAAAATTTATCAGCCTCTGCTTAAAGGTAACTTCAGGAGCAAAAGTATACTTTTATTATTTTTTTTGAGACAGGTCTTGCTCTGTTGCCCAGGCTGGGTTGAAGTGGCACCATCTCGGCTCTCTGCAGCCTCGACCTCTGGGGCTCAAGGGATCCTCCCACCTCAGCCTGGGACCACAGGTGTTTGCCACCACACCCGGCTAATTTTTTTTTTGTTTTTGTGAGGCGGAGTCTTGCTCTGTCGCCCAGGCTGAAGTGCAGTGGCATGATATTAGCTCACTGCAACCTCCGCCTCCTGAGTTAAAATGATTCTCCTGCCTCAGCCTCTCGAGTAGCTGGGAATGTAGGCACGCACCAGCATGCCTGGCTAATTTTTGTATTTTTAGGAAAGATGAGGTTTCACCATGTTGCCCAGGCTGGTCTGGAACTCCTGACCTCAAGTGATCTGCCCGTCTCAGCCTCCCAAAATGCTGGGATTACAGGCATGCGCCACTGTGCTTGGCCCCTAATTTTTGTTGTTGATTTTTTTCATGTAGAGAGGTTTCACCATGTTGCCTAGGCTGAAAGCCACAGTTTTAAAACATCTGATGTCATTTGAAAATCTGATATTTCTATGCTTTGCAATAGCAGGAACCTTCAGAATCATTTAAATTATTGCTGCTACCCTTACAATTTTTTTGGCAGTGTGTATCTGGTAATTACAATCTTCTTTCCTCCACCATGGTAAGTAATAGTTTCTTATGTTGCTTTACATAGTAGAAAACACGATGGAACTTGGCAGAGGCTGAAGAGTAAATAGATTTAAACCAATTTAAAAAATAATTATGTTAACATTTGAAAACTCAGTACTTGCAAGGGACTATCTAGATAGGGATAATTTGTCCTAGGTGTCTTAACTGTGAAGCAGCTTAAATGCCCCACAAAAATTGCTCTAGTTCTGCCATCAGTGTTTCTGTGAGCATTCTTAAAGCTTTCTTTTTAGCCACAAGAAATAACTGAAAGCTGATGTTTTTAACTATAAGCATTTTTTGTTGTTTTTAACTAAAAATAGAAGTGATAGAACTGTTCTCTGAACATCTGGGGACAGCAGAGTTCTTAATTGTCTTGAGTACTTAAGAATATATCTTGAATTGTTTCACAAAATTGACTAGGACATAATGCTAAAAATTCAGACTGTTTTAGAATCTTGTGTTCATATGAGTTAAAGAAAAATTCAAATAGTAACTGTCTTTGAATATATAAGGGAAATTTTACAATAAAAATTTTCAAAATTATTATTCAAGATTTATACTTAGATATATTACGTTGAGTTTATTTTCTGGAATCAGCTTGCCAAAAGAGGAAAAGTTTATTTTTAGTGAAGGTAAAAATTGATTTTAATTATTTGGTAGCAACCCTTACTAGTAGAATAAGAGCTGAAGTACCAATATTAGTGATTTTCACTGTTCTGAACCAAGCCTGGTTGCATGGTGGTTTTTAGGACAACAGTGAAGAGCTTTAATTTTTATGTTTTGGGAAATAGCTTGTGAGAGGTAAGAAGGATTGCAAAGTTTTTCCAAAATATTTTATGAAGTTAGTGAAGTCAGTTGAAATGTGTATTTAAACATTTGAAGGGATACAGTTAACATTTTTTTAATGAGAGGAAACCATTGTCTGTAGTTCAGAAATAAGATGGAGTGTTTTACTTATTTAAGGGGTAATTTAAAAAGTAAACAAAAGCATTGGCCTACAAGAGAAAGGTGATGTTGGATTATAAGTGCTTTTTCTAATCGTTAATATTAATCAACAGGTGAGTATATTTTCCGTTTCCAAGCAGTTATTAATTTACATTTTCTCAAATTATAAGTAGCTTCCTGCTTCTCCAAAAGTGAGGCTTAAGAGGATGGCTATTTCATCATAAATTAGAAAAACGACTACAAATATGAAATGGTTAATTTTTTGGTACTAAGATAATGAGACCATCCAGAATTTTATGATCAAAACATGGCTTTTACCCAGGGAGTATCTGTAGTTGAGCCACTGGCTCTATAACATTGTTAGTTCTTTGTATTTTCCCAATGGAGGTTTTACCTCATGGCCATAAAAATAAAAGAGGGTTGAATGTGAAAATAACTGCATTTTGAACATCTCAGACCCTCCACTCATAAAAATTACTTAATGTTCCTCTTCCTTGAATTACATATTTTCCATTGTAATAAATTCCTGTTTTGAAAACCAAGGAAAGGAACATTTTTTGAAGAAAGCAGTTCAGTGGCCTCTTTAACAGGTTTATCAAGAGGTTGATATGTAGGGATAGGTTGTGGGGGAGAAGAGGGTGCTATGAAATGTAAAATTAAGGATGTAAAAATAACATTAGGGATGCCACAAAAGGTGAAATATAAACCATGATCATTTGAGACAAGGGAAAAACAGGGCTTTGAAAATGCCTGTCATGTGATAGGAGGCATCTGTAAGGGAGAGACTGAAATGGCTCCCAGGGGTAGTATATCCATCCTCTTCCCGATATACCTGTGCCATACAAATAATGACCCTCAACACGTTAAAATGTGGTTTACATTAAGGGTCATCAGAGTTTAGGCCTAATTTCTGCAATTCAGGTATTCATCATTACCTTGCAAACTTACTGTACCAACATAAAAAGCATTTTGCTGGTGTGGCGGGGAGAATCAGGTTAAATTAAGTAGAAGCATTTTGGAAACTTTGCCTAGTACTTCATGACTTTTGAAAATTATAAGTGAAAACAGAGATAAGTCCTATTCTTCGCTCACATTATTTCCCACAGGCCTTTCCAGATCCTTATAGCTAAAAATTTCCCTTTTGCCATTAACTGTCATTAAAAAAAAAAAAAAAGATTACAGTCTTTATGTATAAAACCGCTGCCCTTTATAACATTTTATGTGACTTGTTTGCTTCACTAGATTGTAAGCCTTTGGAGGTCAGAAAAAAATGCATCTAAATGTATCTGCCACCACATCTAGCACAGTGCCTTACACTTATTTGCTATTCAATAAATATATTCATTAAAATAATGGACATATTACTGGATTGCAGTTTAATGTCTATGAGCCCTTTAAATGCATTATCAAATTTTTAACTTTTTATAGTTTGTCAGTGTACACCTAGCACATATGTGACCTTTGTAGCATTTATAAAAGATTTACACATTTAATTGTACTGGCTCTCCACAGCTAGCAGAGTCTATAACAGTACAGTGTAGTAGAAATATAATGCAAGCTACATATGTAATTTTAAGGTTTCTAGCTACATTAAAGTAAAAATACTTTAAGGCAATTATTTCCAAAACATTTAATATGTAATTGCCTTAAAACTAATTTTAATTTACATTTAATACAGTTTTCATGGTAAGTCTTTGAAATGTGACAGGTACTTTACACATCACAACAAACCACATTTCAAGTGCTCCCTGGCCACATGTGGCTACTGACTATTGTATTGGACAGTGCAGATGTAGAACTTTAGCGTAGGCAGTCAGCCTTTCTGGACCTCAGTTTTCCTAGAAATCAGGTATTTAATATGTCATTTTCATTTTAGATTGTCGTAATCCAAATAAAAGCTAATTGGTTTAGCTCATTATTGTCATGTTCATAAAGCCATAAAATTTGAAAAAAAAATTTTGTCTTAAGCATTGTACAGAGATATTTAAGAGGCACTTTCCAACTTTCCACCCATTTTAGCCCCCACCCCCCACCTGTTTTATGAAAATAGCTCTGTTTTAGAGTTGAGGTAGGAGTGAGATAGATCAAGTTAATCTTGCTAACATGTTGCTAGTAGGAGATAGAGCTAGTTTCAGAACCAGGGTTGGTTGATTGTGGATATTCCATATAACCTCTCCAAAGTTCAGAACTTAACAAGGTTGGGGAAAAAATTTCGAGCTCTGTGCGTGTAAAGGTGGGTTCTAGACCATAGGCTAAAGACATGTAATGAAATAAAGGTTATTTCCTTAGATGAGGTCCGTAGTGACAGAAATTGAATTATGTTTCATGCTTTAGGTGTGGAAATTCTCTGCCATAAAGAATTTCCTTATGGCTGAAGTTTATTATATTTTTTTTCCTTTTCTAATCATAAGAGCAATTTGGAAATTTAAATTATCTATTGTCCAGTTAACTTATTCTAATTGCCTCTAAGAAATCAGATGGGAAAGAAGTCTTTTAATTGGATGTTGTAGTGATGTCTGTTTTGAACAGAACTCAAAACATTTTGTCTTTAAAATATACTGGCTCTTGGTGAAAAGAGTAATTTCAAAATAAGGCTTTAAAAGGAAGCAAAAGTTTTAAACAAAAGGCAACATAATTTACCAGGCAGGTTAATAACTTACATTATTTGTCATGAGATTAGTTTTTTAAAAGGTAATTTACAAAAGTGTAAAGCACTCAAGTCCATAGGAGGCACTTGATACATGTAGATCCACTCAACATACACCTATTTTAGTATTAACAGATAAAGATACTTAAAAACTGCCAAAGTGAAATTAATAAATGTTTAAATATGTACCTAGAAATATTAAAAAATGGTAAGCTTTCCAATGATGTTACACTGTAGTCTTTTAAATGGTTTAGTCACAAACAGAAAAGTGTATTTGTGATGTTTAGACAATAATAGCTAATCGTGAGGATCAGTGAAATTGTTTACTTTTATACACCACTGTGGAGTTGGTACCACCATTCTACAAAGCAGTTTGACTGTATCAAGAATGTTTGTTTTTACCCTTTGACCCAGTAATTGTATTAAAGTTGATTCTAAATAATTAGAAATGTGCATAGGTTTATCATCAAGGATGGTAATATCAATGGACTTTAGTGGTTAGCAATAATGGAACAGGATGGTACATTCTGATAAAGGATAATAATGCATCATTAAAGATCCATGTTTTTGTAATACGGGAAAATATTCATGAAACTACATACATCATTAAAAAACATTTGTTTCCCCACTTTGAAGGATAAGATCCTAGGAAAGAGAGATGACAGGCACAGGCTCTGTCTTTAGAACGTGTTCAAATTCCGGCTTTGTTAGTTTTATGATCCTAAGTTCCTTTCTGTCTCAGTAATTTGCCTGTATAATGATTGAAACTATAGTACTGTACCTACACCATGGGGTGAATGCATGAAGGTCAAATGAAAGTGCTTAGTGTCTGTACCGCCTAAGTAAATTTTCGCGATAATAGTCTTCCTGCATCTCTCACTGTAGCGGACAATACAGAAAAAAAAATTTAGAAATGTGATGAATTAGTAAAGGGAAAACCCCATGAGACTCTATAAGAGGGATTTTACCTAATCTGCCAACCTGCCTCTTCCAAGCACTCGGATTTTGGTTGGGCTCCCGGAGCCGGCGTGAATTGAGCTCTACCCTTGCCCGTGAGCGCGCAAAAGAGATTTTGTTGGTGGGGTGGCGGCCTGATGAGTTGTAGTCTTTATTCTAGGGCTGTTTTACTCGCCACCCCCCCAGCCCCCAACACACCCCTTTTAAAATACCGACTCAAAGGCGTCCTCCTATCCCCCTCTCCCTTAGGCGTCACGCAAAGCTCGGACCTGCTCCCACCCGGAGCCGAGTGTACGGTGAGGCGCGGAGCGTTGCGGGGTCGGGGAAGCGCTACCACCCGCTCCATCCCTCTGCGGGTTCGTGTCACGAAGACTACAGTTCCCAGCGGGCTCCACGAGCTCCGGTTGCCCCTCAGGCAGCGCCCGGCGGCTACGGGGGTGCTGTAGTTTCTTCCGGGCTCCCTACAACCTTCTTCCCTCTCCTCCGCAATACAGGCAGTTACTGGGTGCTGGGGCTGTCCTTTGATTTCCGGAAATGGCCGGTCGCCAGTGTTGTCAGAGTTTCCACGGAAGACTGCGCGCTACTCCGGCCAGGAGGGCGGAGCGGCGAGACGCTAGAGGCTTTGCGCTGGGTGACGACTTCGGGCACGTTCTACGGCCGTTCCTCTGGTCGGCTGGGGACCGCGGCCGCGCACGCGCGGCGGGGGGCGTGGGGCTGGGCCCAGCCGGACGCGACCTCAGCCTGCGGCGGCTAACTGCCGGTAGGCGTCTGTGTGCGCCGCCAAGTCGGTGGGGCGGGGACGCGAGGTGTGGATGGGGGGTCGCCTTGACCTCTGCCTCAGCCAGTAGCGCAGTCTCGGCCTCGCCGTTACGGAGATGGTGCCCTGGGTGCGGACGATGGGGCAGAAGCTGAAGCAGCGGCTGCGACTGGACGTGGGACGCGAGATCTGCCGCCAGTACCCGCTGTTCTGCTTCCTGCTGCTCTGTCTCAGCGCCGCCTCCCTGCTTCTTAACAGGTAACGCCGCAGCGCGGAGCCTGGGCGGCGGCTTTTCTCCGAAGGTGCAGACGCCCGGCCCGTGCTGCTTAACCGTGCGGAGGCCGCGTAGCTGCGGGACTGGGGACCAGTGGGGAGAGCGAGCTCCGCAGAGGAGCGGCCTCGGGGAGCACGGCGGAGCGTCGAGGCCGGAAGCACAGGCCGGTGGGGTGGGGTTGATTGCCTCCTTTCCCGAGGCTTCGTCTCCTGAGCTACCTTTTTCTCATCCATTTCTCAAAACGAGTTCTTCATCTTCGTTGCTTTTCAAAAGTGAAATCCGTGTGTCGGCTCAAATTGAGACTGTACACAGGCAGTCAAGTCAGCTGACGGAGGAGTGTTCAAGGTCCAGTTCGTAGCCGCAATTTTAGGCAGAATCCGCACACCTGCAGCGCGTTCTTCCATCTCCCCACCTCCCACCCCCTCAGCTTGCAGCTGAAGCTTTTCCCGCAGTATTGTTGAATAAAACAGACGATCATAAAGATTTGTTGGACAGAAATCAGAAAGCAAAGTGGTACCCGTCCCAACATCCTTAGAATTTTTTATTTTTGAGACGGAGTCTCGCTCTGTCACCCAGGCTGGAGTGCAGTGGTGCGGTCTCGGCTCACCGCAAGCTCCTCCTCCCGGGTTCACGCCATTCTCCTGCCTCAGCCTCCCGAGTAGCTGGGGCTACAGGCGCCCGCCACCACGCCACCACGCTACCACGCTAATTTTTTTGTATTTTTTTTTTTTTTTTTTAGTAGAGACGGGGTTTCACCGTTTTAGCCAGGATGGTCTCGATCTCCTGACCTCGTGAGCCGCCTGCCTCGGCCTCCCGAAGTGCTGGGATTACAGGCGTGAGCCACCGCACCCGGCCACATCCCTATAATATTCTTAAGAGGACTTGATGCCACCCTCCCCAAAAAAACCTGAAATATTCCGAAAGGTTAAAATTGATAAATTCAATTGACATTTTGAAATCAGAAGATTCTGCCCCCGAAATAAACTTGTTTTACTTCATTTTACTATTTCAAGAAATTGTTGCGATGCAATAGGTAGTAGAGGAGACTTTTCCATTAAAATTAACACCAGATTTGCTTTTGGTGGAAAGAAATCTGAGATAGTTCTCATTGACAGCATCCGCAAGCTGTTTTCTCTGATGTTTTGAACAGGCAACCATTCTTACTCTTTATCTTAAGGTAGTTGATTCCCAAGGATAGCAACAGGGAGGAATGCGCAAGGAATTTGGTAACTTCATTTTTCTCTGGTGTAACCATTATTTGTGACTATGTTGAAGTTAGATTTCTTCCCTAAAAGTGGCCTTGCTTTCTTGTTGATTCTTGGTTTAAATATTATTGAGCTTAAATAGTAGTTGATGTTTTACTGAGAAGTGTGCTCTGTGATGGTGAGATGTTTGAACTGTAGGAGTGTGGGAGAAGTGGGATCCTTAACAGAGGGAACACTAATTATTATTTGCTTTCTGTCATCTGGAAGGTATTCCAAGCTAGACTAACAGGTTTAGTATGAAAGAAATGTAAGCTTCATATGATTTTTATTTTTATTTTTATTTTTGAGACGGAGTCTCACTCTCTTGCCCAGGCTGGAGTGCAGTGATGCGGTCTCGGCTCACTGCAACAGCCACCTTCCAGGTTCAAGTGATTCTCATGCCTCAGCCTGCAGAATAGCTGGGACTACAGGTGGGCACCACCATGCCCGGCTACTTTTTTTACATTTTTAATAGAGACGGGGGTTTCACCATGTTGGCCAGGCTGGTCTCGAACTCCTGATCTCAAGTGATCCACCTACCTCAGCCTCCCAAAGTGCTGGGATTACAGGCGTGAGCGACTGCACGCAGCCCATATGATTAACTTTTGTCCATGGATTCTTACCTACCTCTTTTGGGAACTGGGTCAGTTTAGGTTTCTAAGGTAGGAGAGCCATCTAGTAGGAGCAGGTTAAACTAGATTTCTGAGGTCATCTACTTATGGTCATAACATTTAGTGTTGTGTGTTATTAAAAAGTCATAGGATGCCATCTGATCTGTATACCATCTAACCTGTACCCTGTATTTCTTTTATGCAGAGAAGGTAGGAAATACAGGTAAATGTTACCTGAGTGGTTGGGTTTATGAGTGAAGCTGTTTTTGCATATGTTTTGGTGTTTTCCATTTGTTACTGCTGTAGTCAGCAAAAGTGATTTTAAACACTAGAACTGTCTTGAATAAAACCATGATTATGTATCCCTTTTCCAGGAAAAATCTTTTGGAAGGTGCCAGATGGTGTATGTAGCATGCTTTTCAGTGTATATGTGTGATTAAAAAAAAAAAAACTTATGTGTGTATTCACGTACACACACACACACACAGATGATAAGAGTATCTCTGAAATGTTGTTATACAAGAAAACATGGGCCCTTCTGAGATGGGGTATACTAGGTACATCTATTCTGAAATAAAAAATAATTTTATATGAAGTTGATCCTTGAACAGTGCAGAGATTAGGGCCACTGACCCCTATGAAGTCAGAAATCCGAGTGGAATACCATGGGATCCATACAAAGTACCACTAATGATACTGGGAGTACTCCCAAGAAGCAGAGAAAAGTAATGACATTACAGAAAAAGTGAAATGCTTGGTATGTACTATGGATTGAGGTTTGCAGCTGTGATTGCCTGCCATTTCAAGATAAATAAATTGAGTGTAAGGACCATTGTGAAAAAAGAAAAGGAAATTCATGAAGCTGTTGCTGCAGCTATGCCAGCAGGTGTGAAAACTTCGTACTTTTTGCAAAGTACCTTTTCATGTTTTATTGAAAATTTAGCTTTTATGTGGGGGCAGAATTGCTATGAGAAAGGCATACATATAAACTAATGCTATTCAAAAACAAGTGAAGTCATTGTATAACAGCTTAAAGCAGAAGGAAGGAGAAGGATCTAAAACTGGGTAATTTAATGCCAGCAAAGGATAGTTTGATAATTTTAGGAAGAGATCTGGCTTAAAAAATGTCAAGAGAACCGGAGAAAAAGCCTCTGCTGACCAACAGGCAGAAGATGAGTTCCCAAACACCATTCAGAAAATCATTGAGGAGAAAGTATTAAATATATCTTCCTGAGTGGGTGTTTTTTTGTAAAAGCAAGTTTATTAAGAAAGCAAAAGAATAAAAGAATGGCTACACCATAGGCAGAGCAGCCCTGAACAAGCTTTTAATGCTGATGAAAGTGACCTGTTTTGGAAAAAATGTCACAAAGGACATTTATTAGTAAGGAAGAGAAATGAGCACCAGGATTTAAGGCAGGAAGGTGTACGCAAATTCTTCTATTTTATGGATATGCAGTTGGGTTCCTTGTCTATGAAGTGTCTAACCCCCGAGCTTTGAAGGAAAAAGATAAGTACCAGCTGCTAGTCTTGTGGTTGTATAAGGAGGCCTGGACAACAAGAATCATTCTTTCTGGATTAATTTCATTGATGCTTTGTCCCTGAAGTCAGAAAGTACCTTGCCAGCAGGGATTGCCTTTAAAAATTCTTTTGATACTGGACTATGCCCCTGGCCACCCAGAACCCCATGAGTTCAACATCGAAGCTGTGGAAGTGGTCTACTTGTCCCCAGACATAATGTCTCTAATTCAGCCTCTAAATCCAGGGGTTCATAAAGAACTTTAAGGCATTACACATGGTACTCTATGGAAAGGATTGTCAGTGCTGTGGAAGAGAACTCCAATAGAGAGAACATCATGAAAGTTTGGAAGGATTACACCATTGAAGATGCAGTCATTGTTATAGAAAAAGCCGTAAAAGCCATCAGACTTGAAACAATAAATTACTAGTGGAGAAACTATGCCCAGGTGTTGTGCGTGACCTCACAGGATTTACACCAGAGCCAATCAAGGAAATCATGAAAGAGATTGTGGATATGACAAAAAAGGTCTTTCAGCATAAGGATCTTACAGAAATTCAAGAGCCAGTAGACATCACACCAGAGGAATTAACATAATATAACTTGATAAAGATGAGTGCTTTGGAACCAGTGCTAGACAGTGAGGAAGAAGACTTTGAAGAAACAGTGCCAGGGGCCAAATGCAGTGGCTCATGCCTGTAATGCCAGCATTTTGGGAGGCCAAGGTGGATGGCTCACTTGAGCCCAGGAGTTCAAGCCTGGGTAACACGGTGAAACCCTGTCTCTACAAAAAATACAAAAAATTTAGCTGGATGTGGAGGTACACGTCTGTAGTCCCAGCTACATGGGGGGCTGAGGTGGGGAAGATCAGTTGAGCCTGGGATGCAGTGAGCCATGATGGCACCACTGCACTCCAGCTGGGATGACAGAGTGAGACTCTATCTCAAAAAAAAAAAAAAAAAAAAAGTGGTGCCAGAACACAAATTGACAGTAGACAATATGGCAGAAGGTTTTCAATTATCAAGACTGCTTTTCACTTCTTTTATCACATGGACCCTTCTTTGATACTGGCACTGAATCTAAAGCAAATGGTAGAAGAAAGATCAGTACTATATAAAAATGTTTTTAGAGAAATGAAACGGCAAAAAGTCGGGCAGAAATCATGATGTACTTCTATAAAGTCGAGTGTGCCTGCCACTTCTGCATCCCCTTCTACCTCTTTCACCCCTGCAATTCCTCAGACAGCAAGACCAACCCCTCCTCTTCAGCCTACCCAGTGTGAAGACAATGAAGATGAAGACCTTTGTGATAATCCACTTCCACTTAATAGTAAATATATTTTCTCTTCCTTATGATATTCTTAATAGCATGTTGTTTTCTCTAGCTTACATCATTGTAAGAATACAGTATATAATACATATACAAAATAAGTACTAACCAACTATTACTGTATTGGTAAGGCTTTTGGTCAACAGTAAACTATTAGGAGTTAAGTTTTGGGGGAGTAAAAAGTTGTATGTGAATTGTTGACTGCGGGGAGACCAATGTATATTGTCTTTATCTGATTTAGGAATTAAAATTATATTAGCCCATTTATTTATTTATTTATTTATTTAGAGACGGAGTCTCGCTCTTTGCTCAGGCCAGACTGCAGTGGCGCTATCTTGGCTCACTGCAAGCTCCGCCTCCCGGGTTCATGCCATTCTCCTGCCTCAGCCTCCCAAGTAGCTGGGACTACAGGCGCCCGCCACCGCGCCCGGCTAATTTTTTTTTTGTATTTTTAGTAGAGACGGGGTTTCACCGTGTTAGTCAGGATGGTCTCGGTCTCCTGACCTTGTGATCTGCCTGCCTCGGCCTCCCAAAGTGCTGGGATTACAGGCGTGAGCCACCGAGCCTGGCCTTATTTATTTTTTTGAGACAGTCTCAGTCCATCACCCAGGCTAGACAGTGGCATGATCTTGGCTCACTGCAACCTCCACCTCATGGGCTCAAGCAGTCCTCCCACTTCAGCCTCCCAGTAGCTGGGACTATATATAGGCTGAGCTAATTTTTTAAGTTTTTTTGTGTACAGACGAGGTTTCACTATATTGCCTAGGCTGGTCTCAAACTCCTGACCTCAGGAGATCCACTTGCCTCTGCCTCCTAAAGTGCTGGGATTACAGGTGTGAGCTGTTGTGCCTGGCCTAGCCCTTTAAATGAGCAGTTTCCACACACACCCTGCCCCCCGCTCCTCCCCTGCTGAAGCAGTTTGTATAAGGTATGTATCTGTTTCATGAAAGTTTGGTAAAACCATTTGGGCCAGGGGCCTTTTATTGGCAACCAGGATTCTAATTACTATTTTAATTTCTTTAATGATAATTGCTCTATTCAAATTCTCTAATTTTTCACTTACTAGTTGTTGCATTTTTATCTTTTAAACAATTTATTTAAGGCGGGGTTTGGTGGCTCACGCCTGTAATTCTAGCACTTTGGGAGGCCAAGGTGGGAGGATCACTTGAGCCCAGAAGTTCGAGACCAGCCTGGGCAACATGGCGGAACCCCGTCTCTCCAAACAAGTAGTTGGTCATGGTGGTGTGTGCCTGTAGTCCCAGCTACCCAGGAGGCTGAGGTGGGAGGATCACTTACTTGTGCCTAAGAGGTTGAGGCTGCAGTAAGCTCTGATCATGCTACTACATTCCAGCCTGGGATGACAGAGCGAGACTCTGTCTCAAAAAAATTTTTTAAAAGTTATTTTATATAGATTTTCCATGTATTAATATATAGTTGTTCATAGTCTTATTTTTTATTTCAGTATAGCTATGGTTACTTTTTTCATTCTGTGTTTTGTATATTTGTATCCTTGATCTGTCTTGCTAGAGGTTTGTCTTTTTAATTAACTTTTGATATTGAAAATTTCCAAGCATACATAAGAGAGTGTAAAAAACTTGCAAGCACCCATTACTCAACTTTAACAACTATCCATATTTTGCCATATTTTTTTTTTTGCCTTATCTTTTTAAGAAATGTCTTATAGAGTGGGTGAGGTGGCCCATGCCTGTAATTCTTGCTCTCTGGGAGGTGGAGGTGGGAGGATCACTTGAGGCCAGGAGTTGGAGATGAACCTGGGCAACATAGAAAAACACTGTCTCTCTCTCTTTCTTTTTTTTGAGATGGAGTCTCACTTTGTCACCTAGGCTGGAGTGCAGTGGCGTGATCTTGGCTCATTGCAATCTCCACTTCTTCAGTTCAAGGAATTCTTGTGCCTCATCCTCCCAGGTAGCTGGGATTACAGGCATCCACCATCATGCCTGGCTAATTTTTGTGTTTTTAGTGGAGACTCCCAACATGGGGTTTTGCCATGTTGGCCAGGCTGGTCTCAAACTCCTGACCTCAAGTGATCTGCCCACCTCGGCCTCCCAAATTGCTGAAATTATGCACCTGGCCAGAAAGACCCTGTCTGTACCAAAAAAAGAAAAAAAAGTAGCGAGCCTATGGTCCTAGCTAACTCGGGAGGCTGAGGTGGGAGGATTCCTGGAGCCAAGAGTTCAAGGCTACAGTGAAATATGATTGTGCCCCGACACTCCAGCCTGGGTGACAGTGCAAGACCATGTCTCTATAAAAGATAGAAATAAAAAAAAAATCACTTCCATACAAAACTATAATATTACAAAATTAACAATAATTGGTTAATATCATCTAATAACTACTCCATAATAAAAATTTTCCCTATTGGGTAAAAATATATAGTGCAGTTGTTCTAATTGGTATCTAAACAAGTTGTACTCCTATTTGGTTCCTACATCTCAAGCTTTTCTAAATGTCTTGTAATCTAGAATAAGGGTTGACACATTTTTTTCTGTAAAGTGTTAGGTAGTAAATATTTTAGGCTTTGTATACCATGCTAAGTCTCTGTTGCTTATTCTTCTTTCTAAAAAACCCTTTAAAAATGTAAAACCTTTCTTAGTATGAGGGGCATACAAAAACAGGTATACTTTTGTCCACAGGCCATCATTTGTCAACTGCTGATCTGGAAGATCCCTCCTCACCATTTTTTTCTCCTTGCCATTGACTTGTTGAGGAAACTGGATCATTTGTTCACATTCTGGATTTTGTTGTGGTTTCCTTGTAGTGTCTTGTATTTTAATCCTCACATTTGTATTTTTGGTAGTCACAGTGTTTGATCTATAGGCTCAATTAGATTTAGTTTTTTTTTTTTTTTTTTCCTGTTGCGGGGAGTGGTGCAAGAAGACTTTAGTGATGCCATGTACATTCCATTGCATCACATCAGTGGATATGTAAGATAGGATTGCTTCACTTTTAATGGGTTCAGTTAATGTCCACCGATACTGTGTCCAACAAACTTACTCTTTGGTTTTACCATTTATTTATTTCTTGAATCAGTTACTTAATTATGGGTTACAACATGGTTATTCTCGAATTCTCTCATTTCTTCTGTATTTTTAAGTTTGATTCTTTTTTGTAGAATTGCTTTACTCCATCCGTTAGGTCTATTTAGTTATTCTGATAGATAGTTCAAATTGGAAAAGTAGGATAAATGCTTACTCTTTATCAATTTTTAGAGTAATAATTGGTACCCTACTAACCTCCATTAGTATCCAGTTAGAAGTTTGGTTGTTTTATTAATTTTTTCAAAGAACTAGCTTATATTTTGTTAATTTGTCATTGTTGTCTATTTTGTTGATTTCTGCTCTTGACTATTTCCTTCCTTTTCATGTGTTTGGATTTATTGTTTTTCCCCCCAAGTTTCTGAATGCTTAGCTTATTGGTTTTCAGTGTTTTTGTTGTTGTTGTTGTTTGTTTTTTTTTAATTATACTTTAAGTTCTGGGATACATGTGCAGAACATGTGGGTTTGTTACATAGGTATACATGTGCCATGGTGGTTTGCTGCACCCTCAATCCATCATCTACATTAGGTATTTCTCCTAATGCTATCCCTCCCCCAGTCCCCCACTCCCCAGCAGGTCCTGGTTTGTGATATTCCCCTCCCCTGTGTCTATGTGTTCTCATTGTTCAACTCCCACTTATGAGTAAGAACATGCAGTGTTTGGTTTTCTGTTCCTGTGTTAGTTTGCTGAAAATGATGGTTTCCAGCTTCATCCATGTTCCTGAAAAGGACATGAACTCATCCTTTTTTATGGCTGCCTAGTATTTCATGGTGATAGTATTTCCAGTCTATCACTGATGGGCATTTCGGTTGGTTCCAAGTCTCTGCTATTGTGTATAGTGCTGCAATACACAAACGTGTGCATGTGTCTTTATAGCAGAATGATTTATAATTCTTTGGGTATATACCCAGTAATGGGATTGCTGGGTCAAATGGTATTTCTGGTTCTAGATCCTTAAGGAATCACCACACTGTCTTCCACAATGGTGGAACTAATTTACACTCCCACCAACAGTGTAAAAGTGTTCCTGTTTCTCCACATCCTCTCCAGCACCTGTTGTTTCCTGACTTTTTAATGATCACCATTCTAACTAGCATGAAATGGTATCTCATTGTGGTTTTGATTTGCATTTCTCTAATGACCCGTGATGATGAGCTTTTTTTCATATGTTTGTTGGCTGCATAAATGTCTTCTTTTGAGAAGGATCTGTTTGTATCCTTCGCCCACTTTTTGATGGGGTTGTTTGTTTTTTTCTTGTAAATTTGTTTAACTTCCTTGTAGATTCTGGATATTAGCCCTTTCTCAGATGGATAGATTGCAGAAATTTTCTCCCATGCTGTAGGTTGCCTGTTCACTCTGATGATAGTTTCTTTTGCTGTGCAGAAGCTCTTTAGTTTAACTAGATCCCATTTGTCAATTTTGGCTTTGTTGCCATTGCTTTTGGTGTTTTAGTCGTGAAGTCTTTGCCCATGCCTGTGTCCTAAATGGTATTGCCTAGGTTTTATTCTAGGGTTTTTATGGTTTTGGGTCTTACGTTTAAGTGTTTAATCCATCTTTATTTGATTTTTGTATAAGGTGTAAGGAGGGGGTCCAGTTTCAGTTTTCTGCATATGGCTAGCCAGTTTTCCCAACACCATTTATTAAATAGGGAATCCTTTCTTCATTGCTTGTTTTTGTCAGGTTTGTCAAAGATCAGATGGTTGTAGATGTGTGGTGTTATTTCTGAGGCTTCTGTTCTGTTCCATTGGTCTATATATCTGTTTTGGTACCAGTACCTTGCTGTTTTGGTTACTGTAGCCTTGTAGTATAGTTTGAAGCCAGGCAGTTTGATGCCTCCAACTGTGTTCTTTTAGCTTAGGATTGTCTGGCTATATAGGCTCTTTTTTGTTTCCATATGAAATTTAAAGTATTTTTTTTTCTAATTCTGTTAAGAAAGTCAATGGTAGCTTGATGGGGATAGGACTGAATCTATAAATTACTTTGGGCAGTATGGCCATTTTCACGATATTGATTCTTCCTATCCATGAGCATGGAATGTTTTTGCATTTGTTTGTGTCCTCTCGTATTTCCTTGAGCAGTGGTTTGTAGTTCTCTTTGAAGAGGTACTTCACATCCCTTGTAAATTGTATTCCTAGGTATTTTATTCTCTTTGTAGCAGTTGTGAATGGGAGTTCACTCATGATTTGACTGTTAGTCTGTTATTGGTGTATAGTAATGCTTGTGATTTTTGCCATTGATTTTGTATCCTGAGACTTTGCTGAAGTTGCTTATCAGCTTAAGTTGATTTTGGGCTGAGATGATGGGGTTTTCTAAATATACAATCATGTCATCTGCAAACAGAGACAGTTTGACTTCCTCTCTTCCTATTTGAATACGCTTTATTTCTTTCTTTTGCCTGATTGCCCTGGCCAGAACTTACAATACTGTGTTGAATAGGAGTGGTGAGAGAGGGGATCCTTGTGTTGTGTCAGTTTTCAAAGGGAATGCTTTTTGCCCATTCAGTATGATAATGGCTGTGGGTTTGTCATAAATAACTCTTATTATTTTGAGATAGATTCCATGAATACCTAGTTTATTGATAGTTTTTAGCATGAAGGGGTGTTGAATTTTATTGAAGGCCTTTTCTGCATCTATTGAGATAATCATGTGGTTTTTGTGATTGGTTCTGTTTATGTGATGGATTATGTTTATTGATTTGTGTATGTTGAACCAGCCTTGCATTCCAGGGATGAAGCCGACTTGATCATGGTGGATGTGCTGGATTCGGTTTGCCAGTATTTTTTTGAGGATTTTCGCATCGATGTTCATCAGGGATATTGGCCTGAAATTTTCTTTTTTTGTTGTGTCTCTGCCAGGTTTTGGTGTCAGGATGATGCTGGACTCATAAAATGAGTTTGGGAGGAGTTCCTCTTTTTCTGTTGTTTGGAATAGTTTCAGAAGGAATGGTACCAGCTCCTCTTTGTACCTTTGGTAGAATTTGGCTGTGAATCCTTCTGGTCCTGGGCTTTTTTTGGTTGGTAGGCTATTAATTACTGCCTCAATTTCAGAACTTGTTATTGGCCTATTCAGGGATTCAACTTCTTCCTGGTTTAGTCTTGAGAGGGTGTCCAGGAATTTATCCATTTCTTCTAGATTTTCTAGTTTATTTCAGTAGATGTGTTTATAGTATTCTCTGATAGTAGTTTGTGTTTTTGTGAGATCAGTGATGATATCCCCTTTATCATTTTTTATTGTGTCTATTTGATTCTTCTCTCTCTTCTTTATTAGTCTGGCTAGTGGTCTATTTTGCTAATCTTTTCAAAAAAAAAAATCGGCTCCTGGATCCATTGCTTTTTTGAAGGTTTTTTTTGTGTGTGTCTCTATCTCCTTCAGTTCTCGTTTTCAGTGTTCTTTATGTCTGATGAATATAGGGTTTTTCCTTTTTCTTTCAGATTGAAGAACTACCTTTAACATTTCTTGTACAGTAGGTCTGGTGTTCATGAAATCCCTCAGCTTTTGTTTGCCTGGGAAAGTCCTTATTTCTCCTTCATGTTTGAAGGGTATTTTTGCTGGATATACTACTCTAGGGTGAAAGTTTTTTTCCTTCAGCGCTTTAAATATGTCATGCACTTTATATCCTATGTCTCTCCTGACCTGTAAGGTTTCCACTGAAAAATCTGGTGCCAGATGCGTTGGAGCTCCATTGTATGTCATTTGTTTCTTTTTTCTTGGTGCTTTTAGGATCCTTTCTTGGTATCCTTGACCTTTGGGAGTTTAATTATTACATTTCTTCAGGTAGTCATCCTTAGGTTAAATCTGCTTGGTGTTCCTAATCTTCTTGTACTTGAACATTGATACCTTTCTCTAGGTTTGGGATGTTCTCTGTTATTATCCCTTTGAATAAACTTTCTATCCTGATCTGTCTCTCTGCCTCCTCTTTAAGGCCAGTAACTCTTAGATTTGCCCTTTCAAGGCTATTTTTTCAATCTTTTAGTTGTGTTTTGTTATTTTGTTCTTTTGTCTTTTCTGTGTATTTTCAAATAGCCTGTCTTCAAGCTTAGTAATTCTTTCTATTACTTGATCACTTCTACTATTAAGAGACTCTAATGCATTCTTCTATATGTCAGTTGCATTTTTGAACTCCAGAATTTTTGCTTAATTCTTTTAATTATTTCAGCTTCTTTGTTAAATTTATCTGATAGGATTCTTTATTCCTTCTCTGTGTTATCTTGAATTTCTTTGAGTTTTCTTAATACAGCTATTTTGAATTCTCCATCTGAAAGGTCACATATCTTTGTTTCTCCAGGATTGGTCCCTCGTGCTTTATTTAGTTTGTTTGGTGAGCCATGTTTCCCTTCATGGTCTTGATGCTTGTGGATGTTTTTCAGTGTCTGGGTATTGAAGAGTTATTTATTGTAGTGTTTGCATTCTGGGCTTGTTTGTTTCCTGTCCTTGGGAAGCCTTTCCTGGTATTCGAAGGGATTTGGGTATCATCTATGTTTTTGGTCAATGCAGCCATATTTGCATTAAGGGGTACTGCAAGCCTAGTAACGCTGTGGTTCTTGCAGACTTACAGAGGTACCTCCTTGGTGGTGTTGGATAAAATCTGGAAGAATTCTCTGGATTACCAGGTAGAGTCTCCTGTTCTCTTCTCCCACTTTCCTCCAATCAAATGGAGTCTCTCTCTGTGCTGAGCTTCCTGGAGCTGGGGGAGGGGTGACACAAATAACCCTTTGGCCACCAGGAGTAGGAGTGTGCTGAGTCAGACCTGAAGCCAGCACAGGCGCTGGGTCTCATCCAAGGCCCACTGTAACCACTATCTGGCTACTGACTATGTTAGGGCTCTATAATCAGCAGGTGGTGAAGCCAGCCAGGCTTGTGTCCTTCCCTTCAGGGTGGCAAGTTCCCCTGGATATGGGGTGGTTCCAGAGATGCCATCCAGGAGCCAGGACCAGGAGTTGGAAACCTTAGAAATCTACCTGGTGTTTTATTCTACTGTGGCTGAGCTGGCACCTATACCACAAGACAAAATCCTTACCACTCTTCCTTTTCCCCAGGCAAAAGAGCCTCTCTCCGTGTCAACTACCACCATAAGCCCATGGGAGTGCTGCTAGACTCTATCAATCTAACTACTACTGTCAATGTTTACTTAAGCCCAAGGCCTCCTTAGTCAGCTTGTGGTGAATGGTGCCAGGCCTGCAACTCACCTTTCAGGGCAATGCACTCCCCTTTGGCCCAGGGTAGGTCTAGAAATGGCATCTAAGAGCCAAGGCCTGGAATTGGGGACCCCAAAAGCCCTCTTGGTCCTCTACCCCACTGGCCAAGCCGGTACCTGAGCTGTAAGACGACATCCCCTTTACCTTTTCTTCTGCTTTTTTGAAGCAGAAGAAGTCTCTCTTTGTAGCCATCAGAGCAGTGAATGTGCTAGACACACCTGAGGCCGGCATACCTCAGTCTTACCCAAGACCTACTGTGTGAATACCTGGTTACTGCTGCTGTTTTATTCAGTCCAAAGTCTCTTTAGTCAGCAGACGATGAATCCTGCCAGGATGGGTCCTTCCTTTAAAGGCAGTGGGTTTCCTTCTGGCCCAGGGTGTGTCTAGAAATGTTGTCTGGGAGCTAGGGCCTGGAATGAGGGCCTCATTACTCTGCCCAGTTCCCTGTCTTCCTGTCCCTGAGATGGTATCTAAGTTGAAAGACAGAGTTATCTTTACTTTCCCCTCTCCTCTCCTCAAGCAGAGGGAAAGGGTCTCTTTCGGACCTGCAAGCTGCACTGCCTGGGACTTGGAGAGGGGTTTCACAAGCCTTCCCTTAGCTGCCTTGGTAAACAAAATAACCATAAGGAGAGAGAGAGGCAGAACAAGATCGCCAGATAGAAGGCTCTCATCATCCTCCCCACAGGATGTCTCACTAGTTCACATGCCCTCCAAGTCCACTGGCTTTGAGCCCCAGCACAGTAGTAGGACTTGCCTAGGCGTTACAGTCCTTGTGGCCTAGACTGCCTTTCAAGTTTACTTAAGACCTTTCAAGTTTATTTAAGAACTCAGAGCACTTTAACCTGTGGTGTCAAGGATTGCTGAAACTCAGGTTTGGACTACTGGGATGAGCAGTTGCCCTCTGGCCAGGACATGTGTAAATGACCTCTTTTTGGGCATCGGCTAAGTTCTTCCTGGTGTTGGCAGCACTGAGTTTCAGTGCAAATTCTCACAATCACTGTGTTGTCCCTCTCTCAAGCCGTGTGCTTTCCTTTGACATGTGGCCACTTCTGGGGGCTGCAGAAAGGGTATTGGCAATTTCAGAATTGCCTTTGCTACCCTCTTCCATGCCTCTTTCAGCAATATGAAGTTAAAATCATGTACTGTGATCAGTCACCTGGTTTTTGATTCTTATGAAGGTTTTTTTTGTTTAGATAGTTGTTAAATTTGGTGTTCCTGTGGGGAGGATGATGAGAGCCTTCTATTTGGCTATCTTGTTCTGCCTCTCTCTCTCCTTATGGTTCTTTTGTTTACTTTTTTTGCTTTTTGCTTGGCTGTCATTTCAGTTATCTCTGTAGTGAACAGGTATTTTTCTTGCCCATGCCCGGCACCTGGCTCTTGTCTTCTTTGGGGTTGGTCACTTGGGTGATGATGGCCAGGCCATCCTTGGGTATGTGGCATGCCAGCTGTTTACCTCTGAAATCTTTTTTTTTTTAGACGGAGTCCCATTCTGTCACCCAGGCTGGAGTATAGTGGCGTGATCTCGGCTCACTGCAACTTCTGCCTCCTGGGTTCAAATGATTCTTCTGCCTCAGCCTCCTGAGTAGCTGGGATTACAGGCACACACCACCATGCCCGGCTAATTTTTTTGTACTTTTAGTAGAGACGTGGTTTCATCATGTTGGCCAGGCTGGTCTCGAACTCCTGAGCTCAGGTGATCCGCCCGCCTCAGCCTTCCAAAGTGCTAAGATTACAGGCGTGACCCACTGCGCCCGGCTACCTCTGAAATCTTAAGAATCAAATATGTCACTTACTCACCAGTGTCAACTTCTTTCATTTAGTCAGTCACACTGTCCCTGCTTCTTGACATTTCAGTCTCCTGACCCTGCTTTCTTTCTGTATGTTGTCCCTCTTCTGTTGTTAGTTTACTTTCTGATGCAGTTTAGAGCCAGTCTAGCTTAGACAGATAGCTTGGTCCATCAGTCATTTCATGCAGTCTATTTCTAGTATCTTTAACTCCATCCCTTCCATTCTACTCGCCTGTCAGAATCCAAATCTGGGATCATTGATGCTGTTTGCTTTTTTTAGGTTCATATTCTGAAAACTGAATGCTGCTGGAAAAGATCCCACAACTGAAAGTTCATTGTCTTCAGCCTCAGTAATGTCCAGCAGTTCCCCAGGATACCCCCCTCTTCCCTTCTCTGTGGCAACTGTGTCAGAATTTCCCCAGTCTTCTAGAACCTCTGTTATTTACTCTCTGTCATGCTACCTTTGTCATTTACTCTCAGGATCTCCTGTTCTATATAAAAGCCATTATATGGCTTTTAATTCTTGTTACCAAATCTACAAATGTAACTGCATATTCATCCTTCTATGCATCCTGTGTGGTGTTGGGAAAGAGACATTTCTCTCATTTATAACTGTTTCTTCCATGTAGATTCTGAATCCTAACAACTCCTACCTTCTGTAAGATAGTATTTACGCATTATTTCTTTTTTTGTACTTCTTTCCCTCTTGCCTCCTTTTCTCCTATATCACCATTTAAATGTGATCAGGTTTTTAATCAAAAACCTTAACTTACTCTCCCCCTCCAGTTACTGTGTTAGCTCTCCTTTTATTTAGAAAGAGAATTATCTACATTTACCAATCCCACTTCCTCACCTCCATCTCACTCCTCAATCCGTTGTAGCCTTTTGCCATTCTAAAATTGTTTTTGCCTGGTTAATCAGTGCCTCTTTTATTGTGAAAACTAATGGACACCTCTCAATTTTTATTTTACAAACATTTGGTCATGTTGTCCACTTCATTTCTGTAGTATTTTTTTTTCTGTTTGTTTGTTCGTTTGTGTTTGACCTTGCCAGTTTTTATGACTCGACCCTTGGTTTTCTTTCCAATTCTTCTAATTACTTGATTCCTTTATAGATTTCTTTTCCTCTGCCTGGTTCTTAAATATCTTATGCTCATTTCTTTTTTAACTCTGTAGATTCTCCCTGGGTCATGTCATTTATTCCTATGGCTTCAGTGATATTTATGTTGATAATTTCTAAACCTTTATCCTTAGCCCATATTCTCTCCAGAGATTGAGACTACCCAATATTTAGGTGCTTGTGGAACATTTCTGTGTAGCGTGTTTTAAAATATCTGAAACTTAACATGCCCAAAGAGAACTGATTTTTTATTTTTCTCTTCTGCTTGCTTTTATGTATTTATTTATTTAGACGGAGTCTCGCTCTGTCACCCAGCCGGAGTGCAGTGGCGTGATCTCAGCTTACTGCAGCCTCCACCTCCCAGGTTCAAGCAATTCTCCTGCCTCACCTTCCCTAGTAGCTGGGATTACAGGCATGCGCCACCATGCCCAGCCAATTTTTATTTTTATTTTTAGTAGAGATGCGGTTTCACCATGTTGGCCAGGCTGGTCTCAAACTCCTGACCTCAAGTGATCTGCCTGCCTTGGCCTCCCAGAGTGTTAGGATTACAGTTATGAGCTACTGTACCTGGCTCCTTCTGCTCACATCTAATCAACTACTTAATCCTCTTGATTTTTCCTCCCAGTGTCTCACAAAATAATTCACTTTTTAAGATCTCTAAGTCTCTTCCCTAGTTTAGGCCATCACTGACTCTCATAGATTACTGCAACAGTTTTCTAACTAGGCTGTGTGTTTCCAGTCTAGGCCATTCTCCATATTTCATCCAGAATGGTCTTCCTATTATTTAATCTAATGATATCCTTCTGAAAACTCTTGAAAATTTTTTAAAATCTTCTTAAATCTCTTAATTGTCTCATAGGTATTACTCAGGACTCTTGATGGTAGATAACAGAAACTCAGCTCACACTAGGTTTAACAAAGGGCAAGCCTTGGAAGGTTTTGTAAGTGCAGAAATAACTGGAGTGTAGCTGGGCCCCAGAAACACATGGAAGCAGGATTTGGAATACTGCCAATACTTTCTTCCCCTTCCTTTTTCTCCTCTCTGAATTCTGGCATCATTCTCTTCTCACTCCGCTTTCCTTTAAGTGACAAAGCATATGGCTGTCAGTTTTATTACAGCTTCACATTTCTACTATCATGAGATGAATGAGACTGGTTGGACCCCAGTTCATGCAGTTTACTCTGTCAGTTCGTGCAATTTACTGTGTTTCAAATGCCTGTTACTCACTAGGTTGTCTCAGATGGTGTCCATCCCTGAACCAGTCAGCTGTAGGTAGGGAAGAAGATGCTATGATTGGCCTATTTTGTTGTTGTTGTCATCGTTTTGTCTATTCTTAATCCAGTCTTGAGTGAGGGAGATAGAATCTTAGGGAGATAAAAGCTCTTATTCCCATTTGAACTTCATGAATAGAGTGTAAAGAAAGAACACTTTGCAGAAGGGATTGTAGTCTCTACTGAGTCTACAAATTATTAGATCCCTACAGTGCATTTTCTTGTAAGATAATACGGGCAGTCCCTGGTTTCTCTGGTAGTGAGGGTCTGTAAAAATGATTGTGCAAGCAGAAACTGTGCAAAATGGTTTCAGTCAATGGGAAAATTACGATTGAGTTTTAAAAAATTTTGTCAAGACATTGAAAACTCTCATTGTCAGTTATAATAGTATAGGGAAATGAAAAAAATAGTAAAGTGAGTAGTACACTGTAATTTTAAACATTAGAAACATTGAGAATTAAAGTGTTATATTTCTTTGTAAAAAACATATTAAGAGTAACTTAAACAGTGTTTGTCTTCTTCTCATCCGATAACATGGGATATGGAGCGAATATCTTTTTCATGCATAGGTGAATTACCATACTCCTAAGTTTGGATCAACTTTCAATGTTTTATCCAATGTTGTGAAATCTCCAAAAGTTCCTTTGCTGGTGTCACTTCTTCTGGGACATTTTCATCCTTGTGCCATAACCACTCTTCTCATTGTTGTCAAAAAGTTCACTACCTTTGTCTGGCTGCATAGAATCTGTTGAACAGCAGCATTGTCATCATTCCCACAGTCAGCTATTTCTTCTGTACTTCATTTACATTTGATTTGAATTTTACTTCTTGCATTACCACTGTTCATTTCTTTGTTTCTCTTTAATATTTGTGGGCCAAAGTCCATGTTTGTAAAGTGTATTGCAGATTTATTATTGGGAGACAGGGAGGTAACACAACTCCATGGTTTCCTGTCTGTGCATGCACTAAAGAATAACAATGTGCAGTGAGTGACCAGTCACTGACAGAACTGATGTGATTGGTCCCTGATCATGATGCACATCTGTTATTTATATAGTGATTTGTGGACTGATGAGTTAGCAGAGTTTGTACTTTATACAGTTACTCACAGTTAATAAATAATACTGTGGTCATTGGCATTTGAACTGTGTTGTGGGGGACTGGTGTTATTTAGCACAATCATGGTATCTGAAATTTTTGCATATCAGAACTGTGCAATGTGAGGACTACCTGTATTAAGACACACATTGCCCATTATATCACACTATATTATTTGGCTTCTGCTTTTGCTTTTAGATTCATCTTAAGGCCTTCTTCCTTGGAAGTGTGCTCACACAGACCTAAGCCCATGTGTTTCTCTCAAGTTTGAATTCCCCTGCCTCTTCTCCAGTCTCCCATACCTCTATCCTATCCTCTTCTGTTTATTTGTTCCTACTTACCCTTTAAGTTTTTCTGTAGATATTGCTTTCTCTGAAAAAACTTTTCTGTTCTTTTCAAATTTGGGTTAATCAGCCTGTGGTATTCCCATATCACACAGACTTTCTGTCGTAATATCACATGTGTGATCACATAGTATTGTGCTTATTTTTACTTACGTATCACCACTACTAGACTGTGTTTTCCATGCAGGTAGAGACTATGCAGTGCAGTTCCTCACTGTATTCCCAGGGCCTACCTCTGTCTATAACAAAATAGGTACTTAGTAAAATTTTTTTGATGTAGTGAAAAATAATCAGAATTTTGTTGGGATATGAATACTACAATATCATCAGAAGGTATTCTGGAAGAATGTAGTATAGACTAGTTAAACATAGGTACCAATTATGAAATATTGATCATTTATGCTTCCTTATCCTTTAAATGAAATATGTATTTGATAGCATACATCTTATGATTCTTGTATTTAATACATTACAAAAAATTAATCATAATTTGAAAAATTGCTTCAATCTGATATTGTAGGTGCTTAATGAATGCTTGTTAAGTCAGTGAAGCGGTAACTTAGAATTAGGCATTTTCTTTGGTTGTAATAATTATTTTCATTTATTTTTAAGGTATATTCATATTTTAATGATCTTCTGGTCATTTGTTGCTGGAGTTGTCACATTCTACTGCTCACTAGGACCTGATTCTCTCTTACCAAATATATTCTTCACAATAAAATACAAACCCAAGGTAAAATTATGTGTTCTTATTGTTAAGAATCAATGTATATGAGCCTAAGCTGTTTATTATTTGAAAGCCTGCTAAAGCAGTATATTTTTTTAATTTACAAAATTTGTTTTCTTTCAATTTCTTCTCTTTTTTTTTTTTGTTTTTTTTAGGTACTCTGCTAAAAGCAGTGATTTTATTATAAAATGATTTTATTATTATAAAAAAATCCATCCAATTTTATTTAATAATGGAAGTCTATTAGAAAATTTTCAAAATAAGATTTGTATATGTGTATGCTTTTAAGGTATACAATTCTCTTAGAGGAGCTATAAAAAGAAAATATGGTACAAAAGTTTCAGAAAGTTGGAATCCACAATTTTAGGGTGTCCTCTATTAACCGTGAGGACAATAAATTAAATCACAGGTTCTCAAAGCTGGTTGTACAGTAAATCTCCTGGGGAATTAAAAAATACAGATTCCTGGGGTGTACTACCAGATTTTGATTGAATAGTTCTGGGTTAGAGCCTTGTAATCAGTACTTGTTAGAAGCTTTCCAGCTGATTCTGAGGCACAGACTGAGGAAGTTCTGGGTTAAATGATCTAATCCTATTAAATTCTTAAATGTTTGTGTGCTTCATAGAAACAGAGATATAATTAGGCAGTTTATATAACCAAAGTAATTTATTTCTGAAATTTAATGAAGGGTGGTAATGTGGTGAGTCTATCTCTGTAAAGCAAGGTTCTGGTCTGTAGATTAGGGTTTAGTGGGATATCTTTTCCTTTTCCTTTTTATTTTTTTGACATGGAGTCTTGCTCTGTCACCCAGGTTGGAGTGCGGTGGCGCCATTTTGGTTCACTGCAACCTCTGCCTCTCAGGTTCAAGTGATTCTTCTGCCTCAGCCTTCCATGTAACTGAGATTACAGGCACACGCCACCAGGCCCAGCTAATTTTTGTATTTTTAGTAGAGACGGGGTTTTGCTGTGTTGGCCAGGCTGGTCTCGAACTCCTGACCTCAGGTGATCCACTTGCCTCGGCCTACCAAAGTGTTAGGATTACAGGCGTGAGCCACTGCGCCTGGCCTAGTGGGATATCTTTAAGGCTTAATAATTCTTTAAGTTGGTGTAGTATCTTGTCTTGGGTTTGTTGGTATTTCTACTCAGAGGAAACACAACTGAACGTGGTGCCCCATATTTGATCAGGAACTGTAATAGTTACCTCGTACCTTTGTCATTGAATTCAAGATTTTGGAGAAAGAGAAAATAGTTTTTTCTTATTATGCCTTTGCAGTAGAGTGTCACTTTCTTTTTTCTTTCTTCCTTTTTTTGAGACAGGCTAGAGTTGCACAGGCTAGAGTGCAGTGGCAGGATCACGGCTTACTGCAGCCTCAAACTCCTGAGCTCAGGTGATCCTCCCACCTCAGCCTCCTGGGTAGCTGGGATTATAGGCATGTGCCACCACACCTGTCTAATTTTTGAATTTTTTTTGTAGAGACAGGGTTTTACCATGTTTCCCAGGCTGGCCTCAAACTCCTGGGCTCAAGCCATCCACTCACCGCGGTCTCCCAGAGTGCTAGGATTATAGGTGTGAGCCACTGTGCTTGGCCAAATTATCACTTTCAAATATAGACTGAATTTTTTTTAAGTGATCATAACAATTGATTTTAACTTTAAGCTTGGAAATTTGGCTTAGGTATTATAAGGCATTTCATGTGGTATTTTTTTCTCTGATGGTTTAGTTTAGCCAGTATTATGTATTACAAAGAAAGATTTCACTGTTAAAGTAGACAAAAAATGTTCTTTGAATTTATACATTGATTTTAAAAACTTCTGAAAAGTTGATTCTTTTAAATAAAGATGTTATGTAAAGATGGATCTCCCCACCACCTCTCATTTTCCTTTTTTAGCAGTTAGGACTTCAGGAATTATTTCCTCAAGGTCATAGCTGTGCTGTTTGTGGTAAAGTGAAATGTAAACGACATAGGTAAGTTAAATATTTTTTTATTTGTTGATCCTTCTAATTACATTTGGATTTCAAGTGATTTAGTTGTATAATTTTTCTTTAGGCCTTCTTTGCTACTTGAAAACTACCAGCCATGGCTAGACCTGAAAATTTCTTCCAAGGTTGATGCATCTCTCTCAGAGGTAACTGATTTAATTAATATTATTAACAGAAAATGTTAAATGCCTGTGGAAAAATTTTCCAGAATTTTTAATCAAAAAATTTAATCATGGAGCATCTTAATACATGTCACTTAAATCAGTTCTGAGGCAGTTGATTATTGCAGACTAAACAACTTGAGTAGTAAGCTAGAAATGTTTTTGAATCTCATGTTTAATTTAGACATTTTCAGCTAAGGAAAGCACTGGTTTACCCGAAACAGTCATAAAGATGAAAACAGTCATCTTTATGATAGCGCAGCAGAAATATCATTTTGTAATTCCAAAAGGAACCCTGGACTGCAAGGAGCAAATCAATATATAGCTTACTGAATTATGACCCCAGTTTTGACACTAACTGAAGGGTAGAGTAGGGAATGGGATATTTTTCAGTATTTCTGCATAATACAGGAATGGAAAGCATGTTCTCTTATCTTTGTTATAGTCAGATTTCATGTGTATCTTTTTGGTAACATGTTTTAGTTGTTTTAAAGACTTGTCTTCTCAGTGGATTTGACAAAACACTCAAGTCCTTGAAGGCAAGGAATGGAGTCTCATTTGTTCCTAGCACCAAGTATCAGGTCACGTATATTGTTGGTAGCTGATCAAAGTGTATTGAATCAAATTGGATGTTAATTAGTTGAAGAATAGCATCTGAATCCCGCTTAATTGTTCTTTATCCCATTTTGTATCCTGCATAAAAGCCCATTAAAATTTGGCATTTTTTTCTTTGCCTCTCTAAGGCCTTTTTTTTTTTTTTTTGAGATGGAGTCTTGCTCTGCCACCCAGGCCGGAGTGCAGTGGTGCGATCTCACCTCATTGCAACCTCTGCCTCCCGGGTTCAAGCGATTCTCCTGCGTCAGCCTCCCGAGTAGCTGGGACTGCAGGCGTGCACCACCACGCCCGCCTAATTTTTTTTCTTTTGTCATTTTAGTAGAGACGGGGTTTCACATGTTAGCCAGGACGTGGTCTTGATCTCCTGACCTCGTGATCCACCCACGTCGGCCTCCCAAAGTGCTGGGTTTACAGGCGTGAGCCACCATGCCGGGCCTCTAAGGCCTTTTTCATCTTCAAGATACCCTGATTTAAGACTTCTGTCTAATATGGTAGCTCCTAGCCACATGTGGCTATTAATAAACACTTGAAATGTGCTAGTCCAAGTTGACATGTGTTCTGTGTATAAAATATATAGTGGATTTTGAAGATTTTGTAAGAAGACTTAGTAAGAAAAGACTTAGAAAAAAGGAATGTAAAGTTTCTTTTTTTTTTGAGACGGAATCTCGCTCTGTCACCCAGGCTGGAGTGCAGTGGCATAATCTTGGCTCACTGCAACCTCCGCCTCCCGAGTTCAAACGATTCTCTTGCCTCAGCCTCCCAAGTAGCTGGGACTACAAGCGCACACCACCACGCCCAGCTAATTTTTGTATTTTTAGTAGAGACAGGGTTTCACCATATTGGCCAGGCTGGTCTCGAACTCCTGACCTTGTGATCCACCTGCCTCGACCTCCCAAAGTGTTGGTAGTATAGGAGTCAGCCACTGCGCCTGGACAAGTATCTCATTTTTTATATTGATTACATGTTGAAATGATAATATTTTGGATGTGTTGGGTTAAATAAAATATAAAATTAATTTCACCTGTTTCTTTTTACTTTGTAAAAAATGTAGCTACTAGAAAATTTAAAATTAATGGGTAACTTACATTATATTTCTGTTGGAGAGTGCGAAGTTGAGGTCTGTTGAAGAAAACTTCTAACAAGAGTATTATTTGTGTCTTTGACATGTCATTCATTCATAAAAATGAAAGGACTTGTATAAAACCCTTGGTCCAGTACCTGGCACATACTGGTGCTCAGTAAATATTAGCTCTCACATTTAAAAACATATTTTGATATCTTATAGGTAGGAACTGGGCTAGGCCCTAGTGATTAAAAGTGAAGATATGGTCCCTTTCTACCAGGAACTTTAGTCTAGAAGTAGAGGCAGGCATATAAACAGGTAATCACAATATAATTTAATGCAGGCAATAATGGAAAAAAATTAAGGTATATAGAATTAGTATAGAGGAGAAGTTCATAACTATTGAGAGGGAAATCAGATCGGAGAACTAGAGGTTTGCCAGACTAATAGTGTGGGAAAGGGTATTTCAGGATTTGAGTAGAGCTTTCAAAAGGAAAGAGAGGCTTGAAACAAGGTGGGATGTTCAGCAAACTGGAGAGTAAAATGTGAGGGAGGATGTGGGCAATGAGGAAACAATATTCTAGTAGCTAATATTTAATGATTTACTTACTGTATATTAGGCATTGTGCTAAGCTCATTCTTTATTTCATGTAATCTATGTATAACCTATGAAGTGGGTACTATTATTGATAATTTTACCAAAGGTAAATGAAATTTAGAATTTTAATAATTTTCTCAAGTTTCATATTTGGTTGATTACAGAACTCAATAAAAAACTCAGGTCTGGTTAAGTTCTTAATCAGGATTTTATGTGGCCCTTTAGAAATGAGACTATCAAATGACTTTAAGGGCTATGCTGATGGAGCTTAGATTAATTGATTCTGGAAGTCAGTGATTTTCTTGAATTTTCACATGTGACTCATAGGGTACACTGGGAGTGAAAAGGAAGTGATGCAGCTGCTGCATGCCAGCAGGTCCCCTTCAAAATCAGTGCAATTTATACCTTTCTTATTTTCATATATTCAGGTTTGATATGTTGAGGATTTCATGCAAGAGGATGATGTGGTCAAATGTATGTTTTAGGTTACTTTGGCAACTCTATTTAGGATGGAAGGGAGTGAGCTTGGAAGCAGGGAGTTGAGAGGCCATTGCTGCAGTATAAGGGGTAAGAAAATGAGTACCCGCTGGGCGTGTTGGCTCACGCCTGTAATCCCAGCACTTTGGGAGGCCGAGGTGGGCGGATCACCTAAGGTCGGGAGTTCGAGACCAGCCTGACCAACATGGAGAAACCCCATCTCTAGTAAAAATGCAAAATTAGCTGGTTGTGGTGGCACATGCCTATAATCCCAGCTACTTGGGAGGCTGAGGCAGAATTGCTTAAACCCTGGAGGTGGAGGTTGAGGTGAGCCAAGATTGCGCTATTGCACTCCAGCCCGGGCAAGAAGAGTGAAACTCCGCCTCAAAAAAAAAAAAAAAAGAAAAGAAAAGCACTACTTAGGATATAAAATCAGTAGGACTTGGTGATTGGCTGGATGTGGGAAATAAAGGAAGAAGAAATGTTTAATGATAACTCGTTCTAGTCTGTTCTCTCTATCCTATTCATTGTTATCCCTGTTTATATGTATTTTCATTTCCCAACACATATAAACAATGCTTAGTTTTTGTACTAAAATGTCTAAATTATTGTTCACTTAATATTTAAACTAGAGAATTCACAAACTTTATTATTGCTGCCAGAGAAAATATATGATCTGATTTTGGAAGCATTAGATTAGATATGTCGTTTTGTTCCCTCCCTACTGCATTTGTAAGTTACTGCCCAATGTTGCAACTCCTTGTAAAAATTATGACATACTGCGACACCCAAATCCAAGAAATGGAAGATTTAACACCCAGGGTTTGTTTTATTTTGTTTTGTTACTTTTTCACTTATATAACTTATGTACTGATTTGAGTGTACAGGTAAAATTTTCGCAAAGCGAACATATGTGTGTAACCAGCATTCAGATCAGGAAACAAAACGTTACCGGCATCCCAGAACTCCCCTTTATGTTCCTCTCTAGCCACTATACTCCCTTCAGAGGTAACCACTAACACCTAATTTTGACCCCTTACATAAATCTTAGCTGCTTGTTTCTTCACTGTATTCTGAAAATACTGACTTATAAAGTTAGGAATGGAAAGGACTAACTTGCTCTGTTTCTTCTTTCCATAGCACGTTTTTGGTTCAGTTAAGCTTCAGAGTCAGGAACAATTTATTTAACTTTTTGTTTGATTATGGGAATATTTAGAAATATGTGCATGTCATTCTAATAATAAGTTTTTCTATTTGTGGAATTTTTATGATTTTCCAAGTGTTTTCTCATATGTTTTCTTTGATCCTCATTCACATAAGGATGAAATATACATTTTGTCATGTGAAAGTATTATATTACTGTCGTTATTTGTTTTTTGTTTTTTTGAGACAGAGTCTCACTCTGTCGCCCAGGCTGGTGTACAGTGGCAACATCTTGGCTCACTGTAACCTCTGCCTCTCAGGCTCAAGCGATACTCCTGCCTCAGCCCCCCAAATAGCTGGGAATACAGGTACACGTCACTACACCCAGCTTATTGTTCTGTTTTTTGTAGATACAGGGTTTCATCATGTTACCCAGGCTGGTCTCAAACTCGTGAGCTAAAGCCATCCACCTGCCTTGACCTCCCAAAGTGCTGGGATTACAGGTGTGAGCCACTGCTCACCGCCTACTGTCACTATTTGTGATAATAAAATTGTTTCTTGGTAATGTTACATATTCCCAAATGGTACCATTTATTTTCCAAAAACTAATTAATTTTATTTTTCTTTAAAAAATAATTGTTTATGCAGGTTCTTGAATTAGTGTTGGAAAACTTTGTTTATCCGTGGTACAGGTATGTTCTTTCTATAAGATCTTTTTTTCTGTGATACAGTGAATACTATTAAGTTAAGCATGCTAATGACATGTTTTTCATGTAGACCAGGATTTCTCAACTTTGTCATTGTTGACCTTTTAGCCAAAATAATTATTTGTTTTGGGGGCAGTACTGTGCATTACATGATAATTAGCACCCCTGACCTCTCCCATTAGATACTAGTAACAGACATCTCTGCCACCAGTTGTGACCAATAAAAATGTCTTCAGAGGTTGCCAGATATGACCTGGAAGGCATAATTGGCCCTAGTTAAGAACCACTGATGTAGGCATCAGTCAATTAATAATTTGGTGATAGTAAAGAGGAAGAAAACTTAGGCTGTGTTTTGAAAGAAAAGTAACTTGTAGAATTCCTTATCACTCCTAAATGTAGTGATTTAATAATTTTGTATACAGTTTTCACATTTGAAATAATTGTACCTTTTGGAGGGGAATCTGTATTCACATATTTCATTAAATTGAAAGATAGCTTCAGTACTTTTCCTGGAGAATTAATGGTTTTTTTTTCCCCAAGTACCTTTGTTTTTGGTGTATGCCATGTACGTGCAAGGGCCTTGTGCTTTTGAAGATACAGAAAATACTTTAGATTTGACAGAAATCTATTTTGAAATTAGAGAGATCCAACTTATATCATTTAATAAATACATATTTTCTTAAATAAGCATCATGTGTTTAATATATATTTGAACACTTATACCTCCATGGCTTATACATATGATGTTTAATGACATCTACCCTGATTTTATATTGATTCAGTATATTTTGAATTTTCTTTTCTTTCTTTTTTTTTTCTTTGAGATGGAGTCTTACTCTGTTGCCTAGGCTGGAGTGCAGTGGCGCGACCTCAGCTCACTGCAACCTCCACCTCCCAGGTTCAAGCAATCCTCCCACCTCAGCCTCCCAAGAAGCTGGGATTACAGGCGTGCACCACAATGCTTGGCTAATTTTTGTATTTTTAGTAGAGATGGGGTTTCCCCATGTTGGTCAGGCTGGTCTCAAACTCCCGACTTCAAGTGATCCACCCACCTCGGCCTCCCAAAGTGTTGGGATTATAGGTGTGAGCCACCATGCCTGGCCGAATTTCTAATTAAAAAAAAAAAAATGCTACTAGTTGAATTCACCCAGAGTGTTTAAGACAAATTTAATATCGTTTCTATGCCATATTTTCCTGGAGAGCTATGTAAATTTACATTTGGTTCTGTGTTAAATATCTGGCATTTGCCATTTAACTAAAGCTGATGGTGAGGCCTTTTGTAAAATGAATCCTTTTGTGAAGACTCCCTTACCTTCTCCCATCTCTCATTACGACACTTTCGACATAAAATCTAGTTGTATTTCTAAGTGTGAAAGTATACTTTCTTCTCAGTTGTAGCTATTGATGCTGTAATATCCCCTTCTGTAGGGTTAACAGTGGGAAGCATGGTTGATACAATTATCTTTCCTATTCTGCCAAGAAAGTTAACAACACCGTCTTTGAGTTCAAGATATCATCATTCTTTCTTTTCTTGCCTTTGATTAGGGAAGTGTTCTAATTCTAGGGCCCTCCAAACATCAGGAAAATGAAAGTAACTCCTCAGTTGAAGGTTGTCAGAATTTCTGTTTTACAAAATGTCTGAGTTTCAGTTCATTTAATTTCTTTTTCAAATAGAGCACACATTTTTTTGTTTTAACTTTTAGAATTTATTTTATAAGTATTTTAAACTATTTAAAAATTTTGTATTAATTCTATTGCTTCTCCAAAATTATTCATTGTTTTATTTCTTTGAACTTTCTTTGGTGTTGCTTAGAACATAATCTCAGTATTGTAAAAATAAGACTGTAGTCGTGTATGTCTGCAAGGAAATATATGTTACAATTTAGTTAATAGTGATTATGTCTTGATGCTAGAATTATGGTAGATGTTTGTTTTATTTTTTGTACATGTCTTTTTTTCTGCAATGAAATGTATTATTTGTAAATGAAAAAAGAAAGTAGCTTAAGTAAACAGAAAAAAGGAAAATTTTCCCTTGGATTGTAGAAGGTGAAACTGTATTTCTCTGAACTTCTGAATATTTGTTTTTCTCCTTATTGAAGGGATGTGACAGATGATGAATCCTTTGTTGATGAACTGAGAATAACATTACGTTTTTTTGCATCTGTCTTAATAAGAAGGATTCACAAGGTATATATTTTTAATGAGAAATTTGGGAATTTGGGGCTTTATCATTTAATGAAAGAGATTTAAAACAATTTTTTGTGAGTACATGGCAAATGTACATATTTGTGGGGTACATGAGATACTTTGATACAGGCATGTAGTAAGTAATAATCACATCATGGAAAATGGGGTATCTATCCCTCAAGCATTTATCATTTGTGTTACAAACAATCCAAATATACTCAGTTACTTTTAAATGTACAATTAAATTTTTGACTATACTCACCCTGCTCTATCAAATATTAGGTCTTACTCTTTCTAAGTGTATCTTTTAGAAGATTATTTGAAACAATTTTTTTTTTTTTTTTAGACAGAGTTTTGCTCTGTCGCCCAGGCTGGAGTACAGTGGCATGATCTCAGCTCACTGCAACCTCCGCCTCCCAGGTTCAAGTGATTCTCCTGCCTCAGCCTCTCGAGTAGCTGGGACTACAGGAATATGCCACCACGCCCGGCTAATTTTTTGTATTTTTAGTAGAGACAGGGTTTCACCGTGTTAGCCAGGATGGTCTCGATCTCCTGACATTGTGATCCGCCCACCTCTTCCTCCCAAAGTGCTAGGATTACAGGTGTGAGCCACTGCGCCCGGCCTTAAACCTTATTTTTACTTTATCCTATACCATGTGTATTTGCTTTGTCTTCATTTTTTTAGGTTAAAAAATTAGTGAATAATTTTTGATCCATCGATCAGTTTTGCTTTCTTTCATTTTAATGCTTAGTTATCTTGGTTTGTAGAAATTAGAAATGAAAAGACAGCTATAGAAAAAAGTCATGTTCTGGCCATCAGAGAAATGCAAATCAAAACAACAATGAGGTACCATCTCACACCAGTTAGAATGGCAATTATTAAAAAGTCAGGCAACAACAGGTGCTGGAGAGGATGTGGAGAAATAGAAACACTTTTACACTGCTGGTGGGACTGTAAACTAGTTCAACCATTGTGGAAGACAGTGTGGCGATTCCTCAAGGATCTAGAACTAGAAATACCATTTGACCCAGCCATCCCATTACTGGGTATATACCCAAAGGATTATAAATCATGCTGCTCTAAAGACACATGCACACATATGTTTATTGCGGCACTATTCACAATAGCAAAGACTTGGAACCAACCCAAATGTCCATCAGTGATAGACTGGATTAAGAAAATGTGGCACAAATACACCATGGAATACTATGCAGCCATAAAAAAGGATGAGTTCATGTCCTTTGTAGGGACATGGATGAAGCTGGAAACCATCATTCTCAGCAAACTATCATGAGGACAGATAACCAAACACCGCATGTTCTTACTCATAGGTGGGAATTGAAGAATGAGAACATTTGGACACAGGGTGGGGAACATCACACACCAGGACCTGTCATGGGGTGGGGGAAGGGGGGAGGGATAGTATTAGGAGATATACCTAATGTAAATGACTAGTTAACGGGTGCAGCACACCAACATGGCACATGTATACATATGTAACAAACCTGCACATTGTGCACATGTACCCTAGAACTTTAAGTATAATAATAATAAAAAAGAAAAAAGTCATGTTCCAGTTAGATGGATTTATTGAGTAAATGGCAATGATTATGATCTACTTTAAAAAATATTTTTCTCAGCCAGGCGCGGTGGCTCACGCCTGTAATCCCAGCACTTTGGGAGGCCTAGGTGGGCGGACCACTCGAGGTCAGGAGTTCAAGACCAGCCTGGCCAACATGGTGAAACTCTGTCTCTACTAAAAATACAAAAAATTAGCCAGGCATGGGGGCGGGCATCTGTAATACCAGCTACTCAGGAGGCCAAGGCAGGAGAATTGCTTTAACCTGGGAGGTGGAGGTTGTAATGAGCCGAGATCGTGCCATTGCATTCCAGCCTGGGCAACAAGAGCGAAACTCTATCTCAAAAAGCAAAAAAACAAATATTTTTCTCGAGCTGTATTTTGTGCATATTTGTATCATTGCCTATATATATTTGTAGTATATTGTCTGTAGACACACACACTTTTCTACTGCTTTGTCAGTTCAGTATTGACATATTGAACGTATTGAGAATTTATTAATATATAATATCTCTGCCACTAGTAATAAAATAAAGATTAATCTTGTTAAATTACTCTATACCTATCTGAGAAGTGAACAATATAGTCAACTGCTAGAGAAAAGATATGCAAAAAACGTACAGTAGTTCACAAAAAAAAGATACAAAATGGCCAATGAACACTTGAAAGTATGTTGTCTCACAGCAAATAAATATGTTTTTAATGAGATATTATTCTTTTACTTATCAGACTGGGAAAGGTAAAAAAGAGTGTTAATATCTAGTAATGGTGATGTATGGAAAACAAGTTCAAATTCAAATTGGTATAGTTCTCACATTTGAGGGCAGTTTGGTAATCTTTATTAAGACTTAAAAAAATCTATACTCCAGGCCATGCACCGTGGCTCATGCCTGTAATCTGAGGTGGCTGAGATGGGCAGATCACTGGAGGTCGGGAGTTCGAGATCAGCCTGGCCAACATGGTGAAACCTCATCTCTACTAAAACTACAAAGAAATTAGCCTGGTGTAATCGTGCACACCTGTAATCCCAGCTACTTGAGAGGCTGAGGCAGGAGAATCGCTTGAACCTGGGCGGTGGAAGTTACAGTGAGCCGAGATCACACCACTGCACTTCAAGTGCTTGGGCAACAGAGCGAGACTCTGTCTCAAAAAAAAAAAAAAAAAAAAAAGCCCAAAAAGTATGTTCAAAGATTTATTGCAGTATAATTTATAAAAAGTAAAACTGAAAAGAAAAATTGATGTCTACTAAGATTGTTAATTGAGTAAATATAATACATCCTAATTACAGAATTCTACACGGCCATGAACAATCATTTTGTAGAATAATACTTATTTTCAAGGGAAAATATTTATCTTAAATAGTCAAGTAAAGGGGATGCTCATATGCTGCTGGTGGGAATGCAAATGAGTTGAGCCACTGTGGAAAGCAGTTTGGAGATTTCTGAAAGAACTTAGAACAGAATTCAAAGGAATATAAATTGTAGACATGGAATCAACCTAGATACCCAGCAGTAGTGGACTGGATAAAGAAAATGTGGTACATATACTCCATGGAATACCACGCAGCCATAAAAAAGAATGAAATCATGTTCTTTGCAGCAACATGGATGTAGCTGGTCCTAAGTGAATTAACACAGGAACATAAAATCAAATATTGCATGTTCTCATTTATAAGTAGGAGCTAAACATTGGGTACACGTGGACATAAAGAAGGAAGCAATAGACATGGTGACCTACTTGAGGGTGGAGAGTGGGAGGAGGATTAGGATAAAAAAACTGCTTATGGGTACTGTGCTCATTACTTGGGTGACGAAATAATTTGTACACCAAACCCCCATGACATGCAGTTTACTCATGTAATGAGCCTGCACATGTACTTCCTGAACCTAACATAAAAGTTGGAAAGAAAAAGGAAAAAAAAAAAAACAAAAAAGAAACAGGCAAATGAACAGGCTGGAAACTAATATGTGTGGTATTTTTCTACTTTGAAAACAAAGTTCATATATTAAAGCTTGCTAATACATATATTAAGGACATATACCTCCTTATCACTGTTAACTCTTAGTGTGGTGGTGGGCTGATGCTGATTTTTTTTCCCATGCACTTCTTTATATTTGTCTTTTTCTATTGCATGTAGCTTTTGTCACTTTTGAAAATAGTTGATAAACAGTCACCACATTGTTTAACAGACAGTCTAGGGAAATTGACTCATAATATTTAAGTGGAATGAAAGAGTAAGAAATATCAATTGGTTGATGACAAACCATTTAAGTTATACTTTGGAATAAGTAAAAATTGATTTATCAAAATTAATTTTGATTGCCATATTACGGTTAGCTAATAAACGTTAGTTAATTGAACAGTTCTTCTGTGTTAACCTTTTCCCTTTTCTTTTTTTTTTTTTGAGACAGGGTTTCACTTTATTGCCCAGACTGGAGTGCAGTGGTGTGATCTCGGCTCACTGCAACCTGTGCCTTCCAGGCTCAAGCGATTCTCCTACCTCAGCCTCCCGAGTAGCTGGGATTACAGGCTTATAGGCGTGTGCCACTACCGCCTCACTAATTCTTTTTTTGTATTTTTAGTAGAGATGGGATTTCACCATGTTGGCCAGGCTGGTCTCGAACTCCTGACCTCAAATGATTCCCCTGCTTCAGCTTCCCAAAATGCTGGGATTACAGATGTGAGCCACCGTGCCCAGCCTTTTTTTTTTTTTTTTTTAAGATGGAGTCTCACTGTGTCACCCAGGCTGGAGTGCAGTGGTGCCATCTCGGCTCACTGCAATCTCCACCTCCCAGGTTCAAGCGATTCTCCTGCCTCAGCCTCTGGAGTAGCTAGGATTACAGGTGCCCGCCACCATGCCTGGCTAATTTTTGTATTTTTAGTAGAGACAGAGTTTCACTATGTTGGCCAGCCTGGTCTCGAACTCCTGACTTCAAGTGATTCACCCACCTCGGTCTCCCAAAGTGCTGGGATTACAGGTGTGAGCCACTGTGCCAGGCCTATGTTAGGCTTTGGATTAGCTTAGTGGATTCTAAATTAATAGCACCTCATACTTGGAGTGGTTTATAGATATATATGTATGTAGTTTGTTAATAGTTTTATTGAGATATAATTTACATACCATGTAATTCACCCATTTGAAGTATATGATTTGATGGTTTTTAGCATATTCAGTTGTACAACCATCCCCATAGTCAATTTTAGAACATTTTCATCACCCAGAAAGAGACCTTGTACCCTCTAGCCATAAACATCACCTCTTCTATCCCTTCATCCATAGCCAACCACAAATCTACTTTGTATATCTATGGATTTGGATGTCTATTCTGAACATTTCATATACATGGAATCATACAATATGTGGCCTTTTGTGACTGGTTTCTTTTACTCAGCATAATGTTCTCAAGGTTTATCCATATTATGTTGTAGCATGTATCAATATTTCATTCTTTTTATGGCTAATATTCCATTGTGTGAATGTACTACATTTTGTTTATCCATTCATCAGTTGATGGATATTTGTATTGTTTCTACCTTTTGTCTGTTATGTACCTGTTAGCATTTGTATACAAGTTTTTTTTTGTCGGATATATATTTTCACTTATCTTGGGTATATACATAGGAGTACAATTGCTGGATCAAAAACTCTATGTCTAACACTTTGAGTAACTGCCAGACTATTTTCCAAAGTGGCTCCACCATTTACATTCCCATCAGCAGTGTATGAGGATCTCAATTTCTCCACATCCTTGCCAGAACTATTTATAATCTCACTCTTTTATTCTAACCATCCTAGTATATGTGACATGATATTCCATGGTGGCTTTGAATTGCATATCCCTGATGCCAATAATGTTGAGAACTTTTATGCTTATTTGCCATTTGTCTGCCTTCTTTGAAGAAATGTCCATTCAAATTCCTTACCTGCATTTTAACTGGGTTATTTTTTTATTACTGAGTTGTAAAAGTTACTTATATGGATACATGTCCTTTATCAGATAAATGATTTGCAAAATATTTTCTTCAATTTTCTGAATTATACTGTGGCTCTTATCTGCGTCACTATCCTGGAAGATAAATGGGTCATTATTATATTCATTTTATAGAAAGGTATTAACTTTGTCAAAGTGTTAGCAAATGTTAATGGGCAAAAGATTAGGCCTTGGTCATCTTATTCCTTCTACAATGTTCTGTTCATGATTCTGTTGCCTGCATAATGTAAATTGGAAGTTTGGGAATAATGAAAACAAAGAATCATTTAGGGTCTACAATTTTTTAAAAATCAAAGTTTAGTGACAAACCCATTATTTTACCATTTTAATTCTGACCTGAATTCCCTAAAGTGGAACTTACAAATAAAAATCTTACTGAGTATTCTCAGAAAACAAGATTTTACAAAATGTTTGAAAACTATAACATCTTGTTTATTTGATAAATATGAGAGTAATTTATAAGCGAGTACCAAGTGGCCAAGGGCAAATGAAGAGTGATGTTATTTTCAATGAGGTATAATACTAGCAAAAATATCGCCTCTTACTGAACATGTTTGATCTGGGTTTTATCAGCAAATCATTAAAATTTGGGGGTTTATGATCCATCATACTTACTAGATTTATCACCCTGGGATTTTGTTCCCTTAATATGGAATTTAAAAAGAATTGAAAAATTAACACTGTTGTGATGGAATTTTCTCATGCCTTTGATAAAGGAAATATATAATATATTAAGTTTTATGGTGGAAGACGGGCCTGTTGAAGTCTAATAAATATGCTTTTTGTTGATTTATTTATAATTTATTTTTAGTTTTTTTTTTTTCCTGTTTTCTGCATGTGCATATAAGCCCTCAGCCCTCCCTCACTAACCTACCATGATCACTGCAGCTTCTAGCCTTTAGGTTGAAAAATCTTGGTGGGGAATGATGAAACTTAATTTTATTCTAAAATAGGGTGTTTCCATATATCTTGAAACCAGGATTCATGCTGGGCATGGTGGCTAATGCCTTTAATCCCAGCACTTTGGGAGGCTGTTGGGAGGCTGAGGTGGGTGGATTACTTGAGTCCAGGTGTTGGAGACCAGCCTGGGCAACATGGCGAAACCCCGTTTCTACTAAAAACTACAAAAAACTAGCTGGGCGTGGTGGCATGCGCCTGTATTCCCAGCTACCCAGGAGGCTGAGGTGGGAGAATCACCTGAGCCCGGGAGACTGAGACTGCAGTGAGATGGTGCCACTGCTCTCCAGGCTGGGCAGCTGCTGTGAGACCCTGTCTCAAAAAACAACAAAAACCCAAAAAACAAACCAGGATTTATCTCATAAGCTGAATGAAGAAGTTCATTTTCAACTAATTTCTTACTAATCACAAATGTACAGCATCAAAGGGATAATAAGTTACTGGAGTTTTCCTTGAACGCATTTAATACAAAGAACACGTAAAGAAGCTAGGAGTAAAGATACTATTTTGTGGGAAAGATTTAGTATTTAAGGTATACATATTAAGATTAATTTTCAGTACTGTGGGTAAAAAAATTATCTAATGTTACAGTTAGTATGATGCAGGAATATAAAGTGTTATTTTTGAAAGATTCTGAATACTTCTAATTTTTAAGATATATTCCAATATCATAATTGTAGTGTACCTGCCATTGTAACTTAGTGATAATTATTTTAAAAGTTTTAATCTTGAATTTTTCTAGGTGGATATTCCATCTATTATAACCAAGAAACTATTAAAAGCAGCAATGAAGCATATAGAAGTGATAGTTAAAGCCAGACAGAAAGGTAATACAGTTTTCTACTACAGTTTGAGTAATTTTGTTTTTATACACCAATTTTCACCCGAAATATCTAAATATGAGTACTGATTAATTAACTTACATATTCACAGTTGATGCGAGAGTATTCTCTTAAACTGAAATGTCTTTCAGTAGTTTGTTAATGTGTGAAAACTTGAGAGCCTTTAAAAATTAAAATAAAAGTTAACTTTACTGCTGACACTCTTAATCAGTTTTGAATGGTAATCTATTTCTCTGAAGTATCTTTCATTTCTCTTCACCCTTTCTCCTTAATGGTTTCAATGGTTTTGACCTATTCTAGCCCATCCTTTATATTGCTACAAGGTTGCTTTTATGATATGACAAGTCTCATGTTGTCTTTCTACTAAAAAAAACAAATTTAGTGACTGTCATAGCATCTAAACTGTGTATTTAAATCCTTTTCTATCTAGTCAGATATTAGATCTAGTCTTGTCTTTCACTATATTATGCTTTGGCCAGGATGACCTGCTTGCTGCTTCTCATGTATGTTCTGTCCTTTTTCCTGTCATGATTTGCACATAGCATATGTTCATTAAATGTTTTCCCTTCTTTCCTTTCCTCCTTTCCTTCTTACCATATCCTGCAGGATCTTTTCTGAGTGAATGAGTGGAATCCTCATTTGAGACTTTTCATGCTCTAAGATCAAGCTCTAAAATGTTTCTTTTTAACAAAACTACTTCTATGCGCTGTACTTAGTTCATGAAACTGAGATTTTCCTTGTATTCGCATTTGGTATTCTTTTTTGTCAGTGGTTTCTGAAGTATGTTCTGCAGAGTACCACTCTACACACATGACCATATGACCAGAAGAGGTTTCACGGTCATATTTTTTGTTTATTGTATTCCCCTTGTAGAAATTCCCATAGGTAGGAGTACACCAAAAGCTTTGGGTAGTCCTACAGCAGTGAAATAGCTTTAACTTTAACCTATCATGTTCCAAATTCATTTGAGCATGGAACCATTTTTTCCCCCCACATAGTATCAATTATTTTAATCAAAAAGCATTTTGGGAAATTATGCTATAGGTAGATTTGAAGTTAAATGAAATTATTAGTTTATTTGCCCTTTGATATGAATAGTTCCTCAGATATGAGAATTATTTTAAATTATATATTTAAAAATTATTCTGTGTTCATCTTATAACAAGTAAAAATAATTTTACTTTCAACATAGTTTAAAAAAAGGTTGAGGGTGAGCATGGTGGCTCATGCCTGTAATCCCAGCACTTTGGGAGGCTGAGGTGGGCAGCTCACTTGAGGTCAGGAGTTCGAGACCAGCCTGGCCAACATGGTGAAACCCATGTCTACTAAAAATACAAAAATTAGCCAGGTGTGGTGGTGCTACTCAGGAGGCTGAGGCCGGAGAATGACTTGAACCCAGGAGGCGGAGGTTGTGGTGGGCAGAAATCATGCCACTGCACTCCAGCCTGGGTGATAGAGCAAGACTCCATCTCAAAAAAAAAAAAAAAAGATGAATGTGAAAGAGTTTGAGTACGCATAACTTTCTTTTTCTTTTTAAATTAAAAACAAATTTTTTTTCTTTCAGAGATGAGGTCTCACTGTGTTGCTCAGGCTGGTTTCAACATCTTGGGCACAAGCAATCTGCCTGCCTCGGCCTCCCAAAGTGCTGAGATTACAGGTGTGAGCCACTGTGCCTAGCCAAGTACACATAACTTAATTGTTGTGTTGTAAAGGCTACTTTACTGTCAGAAGAACGTATAGGAAAAGTATTTTTCTTTAAATCAGTAGATTTTATGTTTTAGAGCAATTTTGCATTCACAGAAGAATTATTGAGCAGAAAGTACAGTGAGTTCTCATGTACTCTCACCTTTTCCTAGTATTAACATCTTACATTACTTGATACATTTGTTATAATCAATGTACCAATATTGATACATCATTATTAACTAAAGTCTGTAGTTTAGATTTTTGGTGTTTTTTTTTTTTATTTTTTGAGACGCAGTTTCGCTCTAGTTGCCCAGTCTGGAGACCAATGGCACAATCTCAGCTCACTGCAACCTCCACTTCCCAGGTTCAAGTGAGTCTCCTGCCTCAGCCTCCCGAGTAGCTGGGATTACAGGCATGCACCACCACGCTTGGCTATTTTGTATTTTTAGTAGAGATGAGGTTTCACCATGTTGACCAGGCTGGTCTCGAATTCCTGACCTCAGCTGATCCACACGCCTTGGCCTCCCAAAATGCTGAGATTACAGGCATGAGCCACCGTGCCTGGCCTCGTTAGGTTTTACTCTTTACATTGTGCATTCTATGGATTTTGACAAATGTATAATCATGTATTCATCATTACAGTAGCATACTGAATAGTTTCACTGCCCTAAAAATCCCCTGTGCTTTCTCTGTTCATCCTTCTTTCCTCTGGGAATCCCTGGCAACCACTGATCTTTTTACTGTCTCTACAGTTTTGACGTTTCCAGAATGTTATATAGTTGGAATCATACAGTATGTTTCAGATGGATTTCTTTCACTTAGCAATATACATTTAACCTCTATCTTTTCATAGCTTGATAACCCATTTCTTTTTACTACTCAGTTATTTTCCATTGTACGGATATACCGCACTTTGTTTATCCATTCACCAATTGAAGGACATCTTGGTCCAATTTTTGGCAATTATAAATAATGCTGTTATAAGCATTTGTAGGTTTTTGTGCGGGGGAAGTATTTTTAATACAGTTTTAATTTTGTTCTAAAGACAAAGACAAGAAGCCTCTCAGACTATGAATAAATGGAATCATCTTTTAACTTTTAGTAGAATTGATGAGTTTAGTAAAATCCCCAAATTGCTTTGTCTCTATGAGAGTGACGTTGTATATATATCACATTGGTAATCCCAGCACTTCGGAAGGCTGAAGCTGGAGGATCACTTGAGCCTAGGAGTTTGACACAAGCCTGGGCAACATAGTGATACCCTGTCTCTACAAAAAAATAAAAAAATTAGCCGAGTGTGGTGGCATGTGCCTGTAAGTCCTAGCTACTTGGGAGGCTGAAGCAGGAGGATTTCTAGAGCCCAGGAGTTTGAGACTGCAGTGAGCTATGATCACCCAATTACACTCCAGCCTGGGCAACAGAGCAAGACCCTGTCTGAAAAAAAGAAGAAAGAAAAAAGGAGAATGATATATATATAAACAAATTTGATTAAAATTTATCATTGAATTTTTGTGAGAGGGGTTGCTTATTTGCTACTATTCATGTAAAAAATCATCCTCAATTATAAAGTCACCCTAAAATGCTAGATTGCATTCATTAATAACATTGTAATCATCATAATTAATGAAGTCCATAGAAGTAAAGGCTCAGAGAATTAGGAGGGCTCTTATTTTATCCCAAGATCCCAGTGTTCTAAATATCATGATAGTAAATTAGACTTATAAAAAAAGTTTTCAAATTTTTGATTTTTCATTTAATGTATAAATTTGTTTTCTAAGTTCTTTGGCTCTACATGTGAGCATAATTCAGGAAGTAAAGTTTCATTTCTTCATCCATAGTTGTCTTTACTGTCTTGGCATTCTCTGCTTAATCTTCTTGAGAATAGGCGTTATATAGAAGTTGTCTATGTAAGTACTTCCATGGCTCTTAGAAATGTTGAATATATATATGTGTGTGTATATATATACACATGTGTGTATATGAAATATATGAATATATGTGTATATTCAACATTTATATACATATGTATAGCTACATATATATATATATATAAACTTAAATTGGATAATGATTGTGTGGGATCTTACTCCAGACTTTCAACCTGAAGATATCTCTTTATCATGGATTTTGTGGACCTTTCCTTTTGTGTTCTGAAAACTGCCAACTGATTAGGCATTAAATATACTGGTGATCAGTGGAGATTAATCCATGCTCTGTATTCCAGCACTCTGTTTTGCTTATATTCCCCGTTAAGGTGTTTTCCCCCACTTTAAAATATTTTGCCTGCTTCCTTTAATTTCTTATCACCTTGGATTTTAAAAATCCCTTATGTCTGACAGGTGCTGAGTAGATTCCAATCTGGTGATTTAATTTATATATTATGTGTGAATGCTTAATCACACCAAATATTGTAATTACTTTTCTATATTACATTATGACTTTTCAGTGTTAATAACTGTTTACTGATACAGATTCTTTTTTTTTTTTTGGAGACGGAGTCTTGCTCTGTCGCCGAGGCTGGAGTGCAGTGGCGCGATTTCGGCTCACTGCAAGCTCCGCCTCCCGGGTTCACGCCATTCTCCTGCCTCAGCCTCCCGAGTAGCTGGGACTACAGGCGCCTGCCATCACGCCTGGCTAATTTTTTTTGTATTTTTAGTAGAGACGGGGTTTCACCGTGTTAGCCAGGATGGTCTCGATCTCCTGACCTCATGATCCGTCCGCCTCGGCCTCCTAAGGTGCTGGGATTACAGGCGTGAGCCACGGGCGCCTGGCCTGATACAGATTCTAAGGCTGAAAGGGATTGTTTCATTTGTTCAAAATCTTATCAATAAAGAAGCAGAGCTGGGACTTAGCACAGCTTACTGTGCTAAGATACTGTGCAGAGATTTCTGACTTTTATGCTCACGATAGAAATTTCTAAAAGACCCATGCCCCAAATTCTAATGGAGAAAAGCTTGGCAAATAATTTAAAATGCGTTTTTTATAAAAACTATGTTCTTTGCTAATCCCGCTTTAAACCCACAAATGCAGATAGCCTTGATTTACCTTCTTAGTACTGTTGCCAAACTGAACTCGGGTCTGCTTGCCCAGTGTGCAGAAAAAAAGCAAGCACTGACACTGGGATTTTCAGCAAGGGAACGTGAGGCATTTATTGCTAACAAGGAGAACAGGCAGCTAATGCTTACGACCTGAATTCCCCAGTGGCATACAAGCAAGGGTTTTTAGACTTGGGGTAAATTTCATGAAAGCAAAATTACATGTAAAATTGTAAGTCAGTACATGAAGGGTTATACATGGGTTGACTCAGAAAGCGGGGATATCTTGAAGTGAGTGAGGGCTTACAAGTGACAGGTGGATTCAAAGAGTCTTTGGTTTGCATTGGTTAAGAAAGCAAGGCTTTGTCTAAAAACCTGGGGTTAGCAGAAAGGAATGTTAAGGCTTGGCCTGTGGGTGTAACTCTCTCCAGGCCCCTCAGGAAGAAATTTAGAACAAAGAACGGTGGTTAGAGTTCAGTCCTCAATTCCTCCTTGAGGTCTACGTGACAGTGGTTGGCATTTTCTATCTAATGGGGGTCCAGGTTTCTGAAAAATAATTCAAAGATATATGTTATAATTTTATCTTTAGTTTCTGTAGGGAACCAAACATCTTGTGACTCTGGCTTACTTGGGGCAATTGTTTATGTTATTATTTTCTTGTTTAGCAGGTTATTCACTCACTTTCCTAATTGCTGGTTGTAGGGCTAGCTTAGGTGCCTGCAATTTCCCTTGGGACTCATAAGTTTTTTCTTTATTTTCATGCTGGGGGTCCTAGCAGGCCCCTAAGAGGGATTGCTGCTCCATCTCAGTACTCACACTGTTGCAATGCATATAATGCCTTTTTTTGTGTATGAATATGCTTGCATTCTATTTCAATAAAAACAGAAGGAAATAGTTCTAAAATAAATGCTATTGAATTAGGGTTAAGATTCCCCCAGCACTTTGGGAGGCCGAGGCGGGCGGATCACGAGGTCAGGAGATCGAGACCATCCCGGCTAAAACGGTGAAACCCCGTCTCTACTAAAAATACAAAAAATTAGCCGGGTGTAGTGGCGGGCGCCTGTAGTCCCAGCTACTTGGGAGGCTGAGGCAGGAGAATGGCGTGAACCCGGGAGGCGGAGCTTGCAGTGAGCCGAGATCCCGCCACTGCACTCCAGCCTGGGCGACAGAGCGAGACTCCGTCTCAAAAAAAAAAAAAAAAAAAAAAGATTCCCAACACAGACTCCATGATTTGAAAACTCTGCACAGAATGCAGAAAGGGAAAAGCATCACTTGCCTTTCCACTTAGTCTTTTGAGGTCTATAAAAAGGAGACAATACTATTAATTTTACATTTGAAAATACTAGTTATTGCCAGGTCTAAAAGAAAACTTTGCTAACATAACTTTTGTCATCAGTATTTATTAAGAAATCTATCCTTTCATGGGTTTCTACTTTAAATAGTTTTATATTTCCTATGTCCTCTGCATGGGGCAGAAGATCCAGAGCTTAACCAGTGAAGCCATATTCTATTGTGAACACAAGTTCTCTGAAAAGGAATTTGAGAGTAAAGAGACTTTGTTTCAGGGAACAGTTTGCAAACCAGGAAAACATAGCCTTCAGTGTGAAACAAGGCTGCATTCCAGAGAACAAAGAGAGAGTTCTGGTTTCATAGCAAAAGTTCCTTCCCAGGTTCTCAATCAGGCCTGTTTATGCAGATGAAGGATTAAAATCTGATTGGTCAGTGCAGCTGAGTTCTGATTGGTTGATACAGCTGAATGCTGATTGGCTGGGACAGGTGAGCTTATATTGGTTGGTTTAGGTGAGCCCTGATTGGTTGGTTTCCAGGCCCCAAACCAGGAATCTGACAGATGTTTCTTTAAATGGCTTCTAGTGGGAGGGAGTTTCCAGCCACAGTTCATCTTGGCTCCCAACAGCAGGAACTGGTTTTGCTTGATTGTAGAAAGGGAGGTCGTATGAAAAAGTTTCATAGCATCTTTCTGAGAACACAGAGTATATAACTGCTTCCTCACGAGCTATGGTGGCCTGGATCTATTTTAAATTTCAGTTTCTCAGCTAGGGGGAGTCCATTTTGTCTGAGGGCTGAGGGCATATTTTGATAGTGTACGTGCTTTAAAAGGTTACTTGGATGTGAAAGCAGATGCAATTAAAGAATTCTGAGGCCAGGCGCAGTGGCTCATGCCTGTAATCCCAGCACTTTGCGAGGCCGAAGTGGGTGGATCACATGAAGTCAGGAGTTCCAGACCAGCCTGGCCAACATGGTGAAACCCTGTCTCTACAAAAAATATAAAAATTAGCTGGAGGTGGTGGCCGGTGCCTGTAATCCCAGCTACTTGGGAGGCTGAGGCAGAATTGCTTGAACCTGGGAGGTGGAGGTAGCAGTGAACTGAGATCATGCCATTGCGTTCCAGCCTGGGGGATAAGAGAGAAACTCTGCCTCAAAAAAAAAAAAGAATTTTGAGGCCTATAATCCCAGCAATTTGGGAGGCCGGAGTGAGCAGATTGCTTCAGTTCAGAAGTTTGAGACCAGCCTGGGCAACATGACAAAACCCCATCTCCACAAAAAATACAAAAATTAGCCGGGCACAGGAGTACCCGCCTGTGGGCCCAGCTACTCTGGAGGCTCAAGTCGGAGGATCACTTGAGCCAAGGAGGTCGAGGCTACAGTGAGCTGAGATCACACCAGTGCATATCTCCAGCCTGGGTGACGGAGCGAGACCTTGTCTCAAAATAATAATGATAATAATAATAATTTTGAGTAAGATAGTTTTTGCTTTTGGAGAGGAGAAAGAAGATACAGGATTTGGCAACAAAAGCCTTATGTGTGCTAGAAGTTGTAAAAGTTGTTTTCTCTAATTTTTTCCACTTAATCATTTGCTATTATTTTATATAACTTGTAGAGGCGTAAGTTTAAATTCTTGTTTGCAAAGGGTCCATTTATCAATTTATTGCAAACTAAGCAGGCTTCTAATAAAGAATGCACATTGAAAAGAGGCTAGGAAAGGAATGACTTCGTTACATATTTTTTTGGGAAACATCTCCATTCACTGCAACCTTGCAACCTCCGCCTCCTGGGTTCAAGCAATTCTGCCTCAGCCTCTTGAGTAGCTGGGACTACAGTCGTGTGCCCCCATGCCTGGCTAATTTTATATTTTTTGTAGAGATGGGATTGTGCCATGTTGGCCAGGCTGGTCTTGAACTCCTGGCCTCAAGCGATTTGCCTGCCTCGGCCTCACAAAATGCTGGGATTACAGGCATGAGCCACCACGCCCAGCCCATGCTCTTCTATTTGTTAGTGGAAATGACCGAAATTATTTAATGTCACTTAACTTGTTTCAATATTTATCTTTAATCTCTATAGTAAAAAATACAGAGTTTTTACAGCAAGCTGCTTTAGAAGAATATGGTCCAGAGCTTCATGTTGCTTTGAGAAGTCGAAGAGATGAATTGCACTATTTAAGGAAACTTACTGAACTGCTTTTTCCTTATATTTTGCCTCCTAAAGCAACAGACTGCAGGTATAAAAAGACTAGACAATATAATAGTATTTGCATAACATGCCATATGTATATTGCTATTTTTGGTTATGATAGGCATATGCTAAAATTTGAGGTTAGCCTATGAATAGCTTTTCATTTGAAAAAATTTATTAAGTTATTAATATATAATTTATTAATTATGGTCTTAAAATGCCAATTTAAGTGCTATTTGTGGTGTGTTGTGTAGCTTAGAATTTTTCTTTAAAACTGATCTTGGACATAAAATATAAATATGAATAAAATTAATTTTTTATGCCATTATATTTTATTTCATTGGTGTTCCCCTTTAAAGACATGCACATTATAACTATAATAGGCAGAAACATTTGAACAAACTATATAGATGAGTTTATGTTTCAAGGTATCCAGCTGGGAAAAAGAATTGGAGGTCATCTAGTCTGTTCTCCCTTTTTCTGGCTGGAGCATGTTTAGATTATTCCATAAGTTACCTTGTTACTCTTACCCTAATAACCCTTAGAGGAGTAACCATGGCTTATTTTTAGTGATATTTAAAGTGATGTACTTTAAATACTACTTTTTGTTTAAAATTTTTATGTGGTTCTTAAAAATATTTTAATATTTTGATTACATGATTTTTATACTAGACTAGTTTATAATAGTAAATATGATTATAAGGTAATTACATTAAACATTAATTTAAATATATAATAAACATTTAAGTATTCTTAGATAGAAAGTATTTTCTTTCTTTCTTTTTTTTTTTTAATTATTTTTGAGACAGAGTCTTGCTCTGTTGCCCAGGCTAGAGTTCAGTGGTGTGATCTCGGCTCACTGCAACCTCTGCCTGCCGGATTCAAGCGATTCTCCTGCATCAGCCTCCCTATTAGCTGGGATTACAGGCATGCACCATCATGCCCAGCTAATTTTTGTATTTTTAGTAGAGACGGGGTTTCATCATGTTGGCCAGGCTGGTCTTGAACTCCTGACCTTGTGATCCCCCTGCCTCGGCCACCCAAAGTTCTGAGATTACAGGCGTGAGCCACCCCACCCGGCCGATAGAGAGTTTTTCCTAATGTCCCCCAAGTTCCTCCTGTTAAGGGAATACTTTTTCTTCTCTTAAGTAATATTCTATTTTAGCCAAGTAAGAACTCTAACTCTTTGCTATTCAACGTGTGTTCTGCAAACCAGTAGCATGAACATTGGTTGAGAGTTTGTTAGAAATGCAGACTTTTAGGGCCTAACCAAGACCTACTGAATTATAGTCTCCATTTTAACAAGATCCTTACGTAATTCACATGCACTTGAAAGTTAAGAACTAATATAAATCACTAAATATAAACAATTATTATTATTTCTTTTTCCAGATCTCTGACCTTACTTATAAGAGAGATTCTGTCTGGCTCTGTGTTCCTTCCTTCTTTGGATTTCCTAGCTGATCCAGTAAGACTTAAGATTTTTTTTTAAATTGTTACAAATTACACTTAATATAACATTTAGTATCTTAAACATTTTTATGTATATAGTCAGTGATACTGAAAACATTCATATTGTTGTGCAACCATCCCCATTCCCCATCTCCAGAACTCTTCATCTTATGAAATTGAAACTCTGCATCTGTTAACAATAACTCCTCATTCCTTCCTCCCTCCAGCCCCCCCTGGCAACCACCATTCTGCTTTCTGTCTCCATGAATTTGACTACTCTGGGTACCACATATAAGTGGAATCATAAGTATTAGTCTTTTTGTGACTGGCTTATTTCACTTAGCATAGTGTCTTCAAGGTTCATCCATGTTGTAGCATGTGTCAGAATTTCCTTCCTTTTCAAGGCTGAGTAATATTTCATTGTATGTGTATAACATGTTTTGCTTATCTGTTCATCCATTGATGGACACTTTGGATGCTTCTACCTTTGATCCAGTGAGATTTTGAAGAAACAAGAATGATTTAGAAATATTTTAAATGCCAAAATCAGAATAGCTTTTATTTGCCCATTTTCACAAAGGTTAAGAACCTGTTTTGTAGATGTAAAAAAACTCCTGCTGTAATACATATGTGCAGATTTTTTGCTACTGCTCCATTTATTTTTTCATTTTTCTAGAAACTTACATAATATGATACAAGTTATGAGAATTCTGGGGAGAATACAGTAGTGGAATTATTTTGACTTATGTTTATTATTTTCCACTAGGATACTGTGAATCATTTGCTTATCATCTTCATAGATGACAGTCCAGTGAGTATTGAATATATTAGAAAACACTTCAGATTGCATTGAATTTTGATTTTGTATGTCAAATCAAGTGGGAATTTTACTGAGTTAATAATTCTCTTTCTTTCAAAGCCTGAAAAAGCAACTGAACCGGCTTCTCCTTTGGTTCCATTCTTGCAGAAATTTGCAGAACCTAGAAATAAAAAGCCATCTGTAAGAATTTTCAGCAATAACACCTTTTTGATATAAACAATTTTAGAACTCATTTATATAGCTTAAACTTAATCTTTCTCTTATATCAAGGTGCTGAAGTTAGAATTGAAGCAAATCAGAGAGCAACAAGATCTTTTATTTCGTTTTATGAACTTTCTGAAACAAGAAGGCGCAGTGCACGTGTTGCAGTTTTGTTTGACTGTGGGTGAGGCTTACCTGTGTATTTTACGAAAGTAATTTTTAAACCTTTTAATGTATTTGAATATTTTAAATCAGATCTGATGTTGTGGTACCCATCTATCATTGTACTAAATTTCATATACTCGATTTCCTTTTTTTTTTTTTTTTTTTGTTTGAGGCGGAATTTCACTCTCGTTGCCCAGGCTGGAGTGCAATGGTGTGATCTTGGCTCACTGCAACCTCCGCCTCCTGGGTTCAAGCGATTCTCCTGCCTCAGTCTCCCAAGTAGCTGGGATTACAGGCATGTGCCAGCACCCCAGCTAATTTTGTATTTTTAGTAGAGATGGGGTTTCTCCATGTTGGTCAGGCTGGTCTTGAATTCCCGACCTCAGGTGATCCACCCACCTCGGCCTCCCAAAGTGCTGGGGTTACAGGCGTGAGCCACCGCGCCCGGCCATATACTTGATTTTCTAAGAGCATATGTGGGTTTCTCTCAAGTGCCCACTTCTTTCCAGATTGGGAAATAATCTGTCACTAACTTCATTCAAATCCTAGTAGCAGAAAAAAAAAATACTAAAAGTACAGTATAATGAAAATATATTAAAAACCCAAACTGTAGCCCATGTCAATATCACTTTTTCACAGTTTTTGTAAAGGATTGTTTTGACTAAATTATCAAATATAAGAATACCTCATTTTAATTATAAGCTCTGTAGCATTATAGATTATTGGATTTATAAGAAACTTTATAGACTGAAAATATTGTTTTTAATGCATTTAATTTCTTTTTAAAATATAACTTTAAAAATGAGGTATAATTTATATAGTGAAACACATGGAATTTAAATGTATAGTTTGATCAGTTTTGCATGTGTGTACATCCACGTAACCTGCATCTTTATCAAGATCTAGAACATTTATTTCCATCAGCCCAGAAAATTCCCTTAGGATCCTTCCCAAGAGATCCACTCTTTCCCCTACTCCTGCCAAAGCAATCACTGGTCTCATTTCTCTCAGCACAGATTAGTTTTGCCTGTATAATTTTTTTTATATAAATTGAATCACATAATATGTACTCCTTTGTGCCTAGCTTCCTTCACTCAGGATAATGCTTTTTAAAGTTCATGTATGTTTTTGTCTAAATAAGTAGTTTGGGCAAGGCGCAGTGGCTCATGCTTACAATCCCAGCACTTCGGGAGGCCGAGGCAGGTGGATCACTTGAAGTCAGGAGTTCGAGACCAACCTGGGCAACATAGTGAAACCCTGTCTCGACAAAAATACAAAAATTAGCTGGGCGTGTTGGCTCATGCCTGTAATCGCAGCTACTCAGGAGGCTGAGGCAGGAGAATTGTTTGAACTTGAGAGGTGGAGGTTGCAGTGAGCCGAGATCATGCCACTGCACTCCAGCCTGGGTGACAGAGTGAGACTCTGTCTCAAAAATAAATAAATAAATATGTAGTTTGTTCTTTGCTGAGTGGTATTCCATTGTATGAATGCATATATCTTTTAAACTTCATTATTAGGTGCAGACACATTTAAGATTGTTATATCTTCTTAATGAATTTATTCTTTTATCATTATAAAATGCTCCTCTTTTATCTTTGGTAATTTTTAGTCTTGAAGTCTGCTTTGTCTGATGTTAATATAGCCACATCATCTTTCTTTATATTTGAGTGTTCATTTGTATATCTTTTTCTATCTGATTGAAATGTTTAATGTATTTCTAGTAAGCAGCACATAGTTTCTCTCACTTTAAAAAAACCTAATTTAGTAATCTTTGCTTTTTAATTGGTATCTGTAGTACATTTACACGTGATATATTTATTATGTGTTTATTGTTAGGCCTTACATCTTGGTGTTTGTTTTATATTTGTCCTGTATATTCTTTGCCTTTCTTTTTCTCCTTTGCTGCCTTTCTTGAGGTTATTTTTTAGTATTTTATCTTTCCTATTTTTTTGAGTGTGTTCTGTTACTTTTTTGATTGATCAGAGATTTTCTTTTTCATTTATCATAGTCCTAATTTAAAAACATTTTACTGCTTCAGGAGCAGTGTAAGAACCTCAGTGTACCTCAGAGCATCCTCTCCTGCCTATTGTGCTCCTGTTGTCATGTATTTTAATTCTGCATAGGCTATAAAACCACAGTACATTATTTCTTCACTAGTCATCAGGCTTCTACACATGTGTGGAATGCACACACACATTCATTTTTAAAGGTTCTTACAATTATTGGCATATTTACTGTCCCGGTGCTCTTCATTTCTTTCTGCAGAACCAGGTTTCTAATATTGTTTCTTTCTGCTGAAAGAAATCATTTTCACAGTTCTTAAAATACAAATATGCTGGAGATAAATTTTCTTAGCTTTTGTGTGTCTGAAAAGATGGCATGATCATGGCTCACGAAATACAGCCTCAACTTCCTGAGCTCATTCATCCTCTTGCCTCAGCCTCCGAAGTAGCTGGGACTACAGGTGAACACCACCATGCCTGGCTAATTTCTTTGTAGAGACTGAGTCTCACTATGTTCCCTAGGCTGGTCTTGAACTCCTGGGCTCAAGCGATCCTCCTGCCTCAGCCTCCCAAAGTGCTGGGATTACAGGCATGAGCCACCACACCTGACCTTTAATCAATTTTGAAAATTCCTGGCTGTCTTTTCAAATATCCTGCCCCATTTTCTCTTCTTTAACAACTCCAGTTATATGCATGTTAACTCATACAGGAATGGCAATTATATTCTGTTGCCTCACAAATCTTATATCCTGTATTCCAGCTTTTTTTTTTTAACTCCCTTTTTTCCCCTTTATGTTTCAGTTTGAATGATTAAGAAGTAAAAGGTAAACTCCTTATTAACACATCCTGAAATAAAAAGAAAAAGCAATTGGTATTTTGGCTATCATAATACTACCATCTTTTATTTTGGAATAAACATTCATTTGTTCAAACTCAGTTCTGCCACTAGTTTGCAGCGTTCATGATAGAAATATTGTTTAAAAACATTGATTGGGACTAAAAAAAGTCTTCATTTTTATTTTTATTTAGTAAATCAGATCTCAAAATAATAAAAGACTTTTGGTATAATAAATTCAATATTCTTTAAGGAAACTATTAGAAGTGTGTTTAGTGTTTTGAATTTTAGCAAAATTTGTATTGGTATTTATGTATTTACATATTTTCTATTAATGTATAAAAACTGGTTGATTGCATTTCTCTTTTATTGAGTAGTTATTTTATTCTCAAATATTTTTTAAAAACTTAGATGAATTAGATTGCTTCTAATTGCTGCTGTTAGTATTGGCTACAATTAGAATGGGACTGAAGCTTTTATGAATAATTATATATTAAAATTATTTTTTCTTATTCATTCCCTCATTTGTTAGAGGAATTTAATGATAGAATTTTACGACCAGAATTATCAAATGATGAAATGCTGTCTCTTCATGAAGAATTGCAGAAGATTTATAAAACATACTGTTTGGATGAAAGTATTGACAAAATTAGATTTGATCCCTTCATTGTAGAAGAGATTCAAAGAAGTAAGTCAAAGACGATAAGAATGACTTATTTAGCACTCTTACAGTTTTTCCATTTATTTTCTGTTTATTATTGCAGTGGCTAGCTGCAGTACATGGGCAGCTATTATTCTATTTTACTAATGAGATGAAAGCTTTAAAGAAAAAACTTATTTATACTTTATGTATTTGTCAGAACTAGAGCTTGGTTGGTCTAATTTCTCAATCTAGTGTGTTTCAGTGGAGTTTCAGTAAAACGTTTTAGAACTGTATATATTTATGCTATTTATAAATAATTTCTACAGTAGAATTTTTTTAATAGTTGCTGAAGGCCCATACATAGATGTTGTGAAACTTCAAACTATGAGATGTCTTTTTGAAGCATATGAACATGTTCTTTCCCTTTTGGAGAATGTATTTACTCCTATGTTCTGCCATAGTGATGAGGTAAGTCAAAATATTAACCTTGTTTGAGGATTTTTATACATAATTTAATAGTAGCTTTGATATCATTAGATGAGTGATTCAAATAACAAAATAAATAGAAAAATAAGACAAGATTACTGGGCACAGTTGCTCACGCCTATAATCCCAGCACTTTGGAAGGCTGAGATGGCTGAATCAATTGAGTTCAGGCATTCAAGACCAACCTGGCCAACATGGTGAAACTCCATCTCTACTAAAAATAGAAAAAATTAGCTGGGTGTGGTGGCACATGCCTGTAATCTCAGTTACTCAGGAGGCTGAGGCAGGAGAATAGCTTGAACCCAGAAGGCCAAGGTTGCAGTAAGCTGAGATCACACCACTACAACTCAAGCCTGGGCCATAGAGCAAGACTCCGTCTCAGTAGAAAACAGAACAAAAAAACCAAGATTAAGAAAGTAAATATTCTTTTTCGCTATGTAATTAAGTGAAGATTAAAAAATAATTGCAAAGGCCGGGTGTGGTGGCTCAGGCCTATAATCCCAGCACTTTGGGAGGCCGAGGCGGGCGGATCACAAGGTCAGGAGATCAAGACTGTCCCGGCTAACACATTGAAACCCCTTCTCTACTAAAAATACAAAAAACTAGCTGGGCGTGGTGGCGGGCACCTGTAGTCCCAGCTACTTGGGAGGCTGAGGCAGGAGAATGGCATCAACCCGGGAGGCGGAGCTTGCAGTGAGCCGAGATCGCACCACTGCACTCCAGCCTGGGCAACAAAGCGAGACTCTGTCTCAAAATAAATAAATAAATGAATAAATAAAATAATAATTGCAAAAACAATTATCAATACCAAAACCTGTTTATATTTGTGTAAGTAGATAGATTGGGACCAAATAGGTCTGCCTGGTTTGCCATATGCCTGAGTGGCTTTGTAGTACTGCAGTGACGCAGAAATCTCATTGTATACACGTTATTTACAAACCTGTGGAAATCATCTGCATTTGCAATATTTTCATCCTTACCCTAGTTGACCATGTCTGTATTCACTTGATTGAGATAGCTTTTTTTTTTTCCCAAAACTGGAAAGTAGTAAACTAAGGTAACATGTTTTAATGTTAATTGTAAGTGTAATAAATGATAATTATTATTTGTTATTTTAAAGTATTTCAGACAACTTTTAAGAGGTGCAGAATCACCAACACGCAATTCAAAATTGAACAGGTAGGTTGTATGTTTTGTTTTTGAACTTGCTGATGCCAGTCATTCTATGATAGCATCATTGTCTTTATTAGCTATTTTTCTGAATGAATATGTGGTTCCATTGTTATATGAGTTCACAAGGCATTTTACTAGTGAATTGTAGAACTGTATTCTATATGGTGATCTGAAAATGCCTGAAATTCTTTTAGAAAAATTTTAACAAGATACATAATGTGGCCTTGTTAATCTCATAATGAATATATATTAGTTTTGATTACCAGCTTTATTGGAGACTAGGGACTGAATGCATAAGTGGCATCCACAGATAACTCAGAATTAAACGTTTTAGAGAAAACTTTTTTTTAAGAGTGCTTACTGGGTACAAAAGTGGAGGGATGTTTATTTCTTTCTTTTTTTTGGCTCTGGAAATCTAAGTGTACAGTTAAATGACCTAAAGAAAGGTAATAGAAGAGAAAATCTTTATCCATTTATAAACTGGATAATTAGTGTTCTAATTTGTGTTTGCAAGGTTACATGTACAAAATTGATACAGACATCAAATCTATAAATCTATTCTGTAGATTTATAGATTTGCTCTCAACACCTTCCAATAATAAAATGTAGACATAAAATATATGAATAAATATATGTTTTAAGTCACTTAATAGCAAATCAACAAAGCTATTCTGAATTTCCAATGAAAGAATGTTAATGGCCGGGCACGGTGGCTCACGCCTGTAATCCCAGCACTTTGTGAGGCCGAGACGTGGGGATCACTTGAGGTCAGGAGTTTGAGACCAGTCTGGCCAACGTGGTGAAACCCCATCTCTAATAAAAATACAAAAATTAGCTGGGCGTGGTGGCACATGCCTGTAATTCCAGCTACTTGGGAGGCGAAGCAGAAGAATTGTTCGAGCCCAGGAGGTGGAGGTTGCAATGAGCCAAGATCGTGCTACTGCACTCCAGCCTGGGTGACAGAGCCAGACTGTTTCAAAAAAAAAAAAAAAAAGTTAAGAAACTCTTTTAACTTATTATATATAAGGTAAATGAATCATTTCATTTACCTTTCATTTTCATTTCTGATCATTTCATTTACCTAATATGTGTACAAAATTGACACAAACATCTAGACACCTTCCAATTTGAGCAAGTATCTAATAAACATAAATAAATTGGATATGTACTACAAAGAGAAAAGTAGATAAGTCAAGAAATGGGGCAATGTTTTAGATAGTTAGTACAAGGGAAAATGTGAAAACCTTAGCCACGAGGAGAATATATTGTATTTCTTGACGTAACCAAGTGTTATGGGAATAGATGTTTTTTTGAATGTTGAATATTAATTCTGATTTAATGCCTCAGTAGAAGTAGTATACATGTAATAACTTTTCTGAAAGGTAGAAATGCCTTTAGGATTATTTGCAAAAATACCACTTTGTAACTTTTTCCTAAAAATTTATGTTACAGCCGTGAAACTTAGACGTTATTTAACAAAAATCATATTCATGCTATTTAAAATAGCGTTCTTTGCCCAGGCCACATGCCTTTTCTTGCATTTGAATTCTTTTCCAAGGAGTTTCCTCAAATGTACTGGCATACTTGAGAAGCAGGTAGAATTTATCCCTGTTTATAGACATAAGATGTTTGGAGTTTCATACCAGGACGTGGAGCTAATGACATGCCCTTTTCTAGGACCATTTAAGGGGAAGTGGTTCTGTGACCTTAAAAGCCTGCTTTGGTAGATGGCCGGGCGTGATGGCTCACGCCTGTAATCCCAACAATTTGGGAGGCCGAGGCAGGCAGATCACCTCAGGTCAGGAGTTCAACACCAGCCTGGCCAACATGGTGAAACCCTGTCTCTGCTAAAAATACAAAAATTAGTCAAGTGCGATGGAACACACCTGTGATCCCAGCTACTTGGGAGACTGAGGCAGGAGAATCACTTAAACCCAGGAGGCAGAGGTTACAGTGAGCTGAGACTGCACCACTGCACTCCAGCCTGGGCAACTAAGACTCCGCCTCAATTAAAATAAAATAAAATAAAATAAAATAAAATAAAATAAAATAAAAAGCTTGCTTCGTGGTTAAATCTAAGTCAAGGTCATAACTTCAGAGATGAAAAGCCTTCTTGGCTACTTTTAGAACACTTGATTATTTTCAGCATATTAAGGTACTAATTTTGTTGGCTTTAAAATATAAAAAAGACAGGTTATATGGGTTCTTTTCATTCTGGATACTGATTATGACTTTTTAAAGTATGTTTTTCTTTATGGTGATCTGATTTTAATAGTTAACTATCAGTCTTGTCAGGACTCTGCTTCTGTGATACTTAATGATTTATTTACCTATATATAATAAGTTAAAAGAGTTTCTTAACATTCTTTCATTGGAAATTTAGAATAGCTTTGTTAATTTGCTATTACATGACTTAAATTACATAAAATATGTATTCATATATTTTATGTCTACATTTTATATTTTCAAAGTAAAATTCTAATGCATATTATTTATCATGTTCTCTGTTTCATTGTATACTTAAAGTACAACTTTTGTTTTTTAATATTTAGAGATCTTTTGTTAACTGTGCTTCTTAGCTTAAAACATATTTTTTTACTCAACCTAAAAACGTGAAGCATAAATGATTCTGTCTAACATGAACACAAGTTTAATGTTGGAAAATATGGGTTTGTTTTTTGTGCCATGCCAGGTTTTTGGTGGCTCAGTCTCTGCATACTTTCCACTGCATGAAAGAAATGGTATGCCTAAGGACAAAGAAAAGACAGAATTATTTCTGGATATTTAATTTCTAAGAACCTTTTTTAATTATGTAGAAAAAAGTCAGTTATTTCCTGATATATTTAATTTTTTTCCATGTCACCCAAGAGAAAACATATTTAATTTTTAAGAACCGTTTTTAGTAATGTAGACTTCATCCAAACACAAAAGACAGCTATGTGCGTTTATCTTACCTTTATCACCTTATTCATGAAGATTTCTTCCCTTTGCAAAAATGAATGTTATACACCTGTGTAACTTCTGAAGCTTTTAAATTTTGTTTTGTGTTCTAAAATGAAGTTTATATAATATCTGGGCTTTCTTTCTTTCCTCTCCTTATATTATTTCACATACCTGTTATTGCAGAGGTAGCCTAAGTTTGGATGATTTTCGGTAAGTCTTGAGCATGTGATTCTTTTCAGTATTAAATGTTTTTAGAAAGTACATTGTGAACAACCTAATACAAATAAAAAGGAAAAAAATGGAACACTGTGGTATTAACTGCCATTATATCCTAGTTATTTAGGATAATCTTTTAAAATGAATACCTACTTTTATTCTACATACCTCCTTTTTGAAATAGCATGATATGCCATCATAAAATAAAAATGTCCTGATACTTTAAAGATATTTTCATTGTTTAATTTGTCAGTATCTTGTATTTTAAGGCTGTTGACTCATTTTTGTTCTTGTTGATTTTGCTAAATTAATTTTAGAACTATGTTTAAAGAACTTTTTTTAAAATAAGTATGATGTTTCTGTATTTCTGGGCATAATAATCATAAGTGAGAGTTTTTAGATTTCAACAACCCCCATTGTTTTATAGTATCCATGTTGTAGAGACTGGAATAAACTATCTAGAGTCTAGAGATTTTAAAAATATTTTGTTAACATTTTTATGTCTTGGGAAATGTTTTTTAAATCAAGGACAATTGTGTCTACAATTCTGGATTAAAAAAAACCCTAATTGTATGTTTGTTTAGATAAAATAATCTAGTTTAAGTACCCCTTTTACTGCTTACTACTTATTATTAGTGTTTTTCCAGAAGTTTGATTTACTTCTTGGATGTGTGTAAAATACACATTACTACATATTGGTGTATTTGAAACTTGATTAATTTTCTTTCTGTAATTGTATTATTTCAGTAGATAACTTAATTTTTCTCATAGGAGTAATAGCTATACACTTAAGCATTCAAAACAAACTTTCTCAGGTTTTAAAGTAGTTATTTTTATTTGGATATCGGTTGTAAGAGCAGTATTACATAGTGAACGTGACTTTATTTTATTTTATATATATTTTCTTGATGGAGCCTCACTCTGTTGCCCAGGCTGGAGTGCAGTGGTGCAATCTTGCGGGTCCAAGTGATTCTTCTGTGTCAGCCTTCCTAGTAGCTGGGATTACAGGTGCCTGCCACCTCGCCCGGCTAATTTTTGTATTTTTAGTACAGACGCAGTTTCGCCATGTTGGCCAGGCTGGTCTCGAACTCTTGACCTCAGGTCATCTGCCTGCCTTGGCCTTCCAAAGTGCTGGGATTACAAGTGTGAGCCACTGTGCCTGGCCTTGAGCATGACTTTTAAATTGGATAAAAGTTACGGTTTTAATTGCTGAAACATTGGGTAGCAGGCTAACGGACATTTTTGCTACTTTTGGCTTATTTGTCTTGTTGCTTTTCAGCTATTTCTGCTTTCAGAAATTCAGCTTAAAAAAATGGCAAAACCAACATTTAATATTTATGGCAGAGCAGACTGCTTCCTTGGGCTACATTTGCTTTTATCCCTGTGCTCATTGCTAACCTTTCCCTTTGGCACTATTCTTTTTCTTAAAGTTCCATCTGAAAATGAAGTACTGAGAAAGTAATAGTTTAATGTTTTTTTTTTCTGTCGCATAATTTTAGTCCAGTTACTCTAAAGGGATGTTTTTGGTTTTGAACAGATCTTAAGCATTTTTTAATCTATTTTGAAATATTGCAATAAGAACTATATTCCACTAGGGGGCTCTCATCTTTTAAAAATTCTAATCCTGTTAATATTTTGAAGTTAATACTAGGTAAATTTTGAGTGTTTATAAATAAATATTGTCCCATTTATTCATCCACCAAATTTAAACTTTAAATACTGTGTCATTTTTGACTTCTGAGATGTTGATACTTAATCCGTGTATGAAAACTCCAAAAGTTATGTTAGCTATACCTTTAGTTTATCATTTTCAAAACTGTTTTTCTTTTTTTTAATAATGGTTTTCAATAAACTAGACTGTTGTGATAATTTGCTATGTACTTGATACATTTTTGTTTAATATTCAGGAACACACAGAAAAGGGGAGAATCATTTGGAATCAGCAGAATAGGTAGCAAAATTAAAGGAGTATTCAAAAGTACCACAATGGAGGGAGCTATGTTGCCTAATTATGGTGTAGCTGAAGGTGAAGATGATTTTGTAAGTAAAATGTATCAATTTGATTTATTTATAACTTCAGACTTACTATGACATAAAAATTAGATATACTCATTATTTTCCTTTTTTTGGAGAATCTGTGTATTCTGTTTAATACTTTACCTTTATCTTCTTACTTCAGACTTCCTTTGTATTTCTCATTCTTTCATTAGTTGTGATAGTTTCATGACGTGAATCTAATTTTTAAAATTCCTGAGAACTGTGTTATTGCTTATTAAGGCAGAATAGTTCCTGTTAAGCTGAGATACTTCTAATAGTCAAGCAGTTTACCGTCTTTTGGTTAAGCTTCAAATTCTGATGTTACCTTTTTCCCACCATGTACTCCAGGTATACAGAGTTGCTAATAGATGCTCTAACTCCTTGCTTACTTAAACTACAGTCTGTTGACAAGCAGCATTGGCATTACCTGGAAGCTTGTATAAATACAGAATCTCAGGCACTATCCTAGACTTACTGAATCAATTTGCATTTTAACAAGATTTCCAGTTGACTTATATAAACATTTTACTTACCATCCTATTTTATTTCTCTGTATTTTTGTCCTGCTTGAAATGCCCTTCATTTGTGTATTGACCTAGAAAATTCATAGGCATCCTTCAAAATGCAACTGTTCCCCATAAACCTTTACCCAAATCCCCAAGTTGAACTGAACATTTCCTCCTTTTGTGTCCCTATTATATCGTATGTTAAAGCTTATACCATAATGTATTTCAAGTTACGTGTTATGATTGTCTTTCCTATCACATAGTCCCATAAAGGCAAGTATTGTCTCATTTGTACTTTTTATTTTTATTGAATAGAGATCTTGGATTCTCATTTTGCCTTTTAATGACCCTGGGCACTGGGGATGAAAAGATGATTAAGACGTAGACCTCGGCTTTAAGAAATTCACTAACGTGGGTATAAAAGGGGTGTTTAGTACTGATTGGATTGATGATGACCAAGAAGGAGGAAAGGTGGGGTGACAGGAGTAAACCCTTTTCTTTACCCCTTCCTTTTGACCTTTGTCCCATTGCCTTCATGTAAGGGTCACTGATTCTTCATAATAATTTAAATGGAATAAAATCTTATTTAAACCTTTTTTTATTAATTCAAATAAAGCCGTTTTTTTATGCCTTTATTTTTTCCCTGTAAGTGTGGGTAGTAATTTTTTTTTTTTTTTTTTTTTTGAGACGGAGTCTTGCTCTGTCACCCAGGCTGGAGTGCAATGGCACGATCTCAGCTCACTGCAACCTCCGCCTCCCGGGCTCCTGCCTCAGCCTCCTGAGTAGCTGGGGTTGCAGGCGCCCGCCACCATGCCCAGCTAATTTTTGTGGTTTTTTTTGGTAAGGATGGGGTTTCACCATGTTGGCCAGGCTGGTCTTGAACTCCTGACCTCGTGATCCACCCACCTGTAGTCCCAAAGTGTTGAGACTACAGGCGTGAACCACTGCACCCAGCCTTGGTGTGGGTAGTTTTATGCTGGGTGTGGTGGCTCATATTTGTAATCTCAGTACTTTGGGAAACTGAGGCAGGAGGATTGCTTGAGCCAAGGAGTTCAAGACCAGCCTGGGCAACATGGTGAGACCCTGTCTTTACAAAAATTAAAAAATTAGCTGGGTGTGATGGTGCCCAACTGTAGTCGTAGCTACTTGGGAGGATTAGTTGAGCTCAGGAGGTCAAGGCTGCAGTGAGCCATGTTTGTGTCACTGTACTACAGCCTGGGTAACAGAATAAAAGCCTGTCTCAAAAAAAAAAAAAAAAAAGTATGGATAGAAGAAAGTAGATCAGAGAAAGTCTTTTTCAAAATAATGTTTATGTTTTCTAATTTTAAGCATATTCTCAGTTTTTTAATAATATAGAACAGTGGAAAAAATTTAAATGCCACGTACGTGCATATCTACCACCCAGAAACCGCTTCTATTAATAGTTTGGTGATTTTCTTTAAAAAAAAAAAAAAAAACTTTCCCTTTTCACCCCTGTAGACTACATTTTATATATAGTTTGCTATCTTTTCTCTATTCGATATTATAACAAAAGTATTTAACCGTGTTATTATGAACTTTTAAAACATAATTTTTTGTGGAAGAAGATGTATTTTTTATTTTTTGCCTTCCCAATTGCTTGATACACAAGTTGTACTTTAGCTTTAGGAATAGGAGGCTATCTTTAAAAAGCTGAGAGAGTTTGCTTTGTTTTATAGTGACCCAAGGAAGAAGGAAATTCTTGATTGGGATTAAAGATAGTAGTAACAGAAAGTTGGAGAAGCAGGCAAACTAATGTTTAATACTATCAAGGGAAAACTCAGGGACAGTAAGGTGCTAACGCAGACTAAGATGATGCCATTTAGAATTTAGAAGACACTGTGCTAGTTCTAAGCCGTGGGACCTTGGGGAATCCTCTTTGTCTTGTTTAGGAAGTTGAGGGAAAAGAGAAGTTTCCAGTTTCACTGCCGAGTGATCCTAAATTGGTTTGTGATCCTAAGATGGACATTTAGGATGTCTTATTGGAGACTTAGGAGACATTATCTTGAACTCCTGACCTCAGGTGATCCACCCACCTTGGCCTCCCAAAGTGCTGGGATTACAGGTGAAAGCCAATGCGCCCAGCCTGACATTATCTTTCAGAACCCTTGTTGTGATCATTTGGCAGCAGTGCCTACTTGCTCTGTGTTTCCCAGGCTAGTCTCAAACTCCTGGGCCCAAGCAATCCTCCCACCTCAGCTTCTGAAAGTGTTGGGATTATAGGCGCTGTCCCCGGCCTATTATATTTTCATATACAGATGATGTAAGAAAACTTGGAGTTGATGCTAGTAACTTGTTAGTTTTTAACTTTTTACCTTTACTTTTTCAGTAGAAAATTTAATATCACCTAGCTTTCAGGGTCTTAAAAATTATCAATTGATATGGGCATATTACTTTATACTTGTATCTCATATGCTGTAGTTCTAAAGGTATTGGGAATATTAAATTCATCCTGGTAATTTTTTTCCAGATTGAAGAAGGTATTGTTGTAATGGAAGATGATTCTCCAGTGGAGGCTGTGAGCACACCTAATACTCCCCGAAACCTTGCTGCATGGAAAATTAGCATTCCATATGTAGACTTTTTTGAGGATCCCTCCTCTGAAAGGAAGGAGAAAAAAGAAAGAATTCCTGTGTTTTGTATTGATGTTGAAAGAAATGATAGAAGAGCAGGTAGGAAGCTTTCTGAGCACCTTTCTTAAAAGATGCCCATGAATGAGTCTGTTGTTATCAGGTATGATAAACATTTTGCCACTTCTAACTAACAAATATGGCTGCATATCCAAAAGAGAAGTGTCCAGAACAGAAAATTGAAAGAAAGCTTAGGATGTCCTAGGTTATCTTCATAGCAGTAACTAATTAACTAATTCAATCAACACTTATTGAGTGATGCCTGCTAGACACCTGACAGTCCATCAGGCATTCAATGCAATGTTCTTTTAATGGTTTTGTTGCCATCATTAGCCATTGCACTTACTTAATTATCATTAATCCATATAGCACTGTATCAGGTATTATTCTAGTTTAATTAAGACAGCGTTTTCTCTCACCCATTTTGTGGGCTAATTAGAATTGATGAAAATATGGCCAGGCATGGTGGCTCACGCCTGTAATCTCAGTACTTTGGGAGGCCAAGGCAGGTGGATTACCTGAGGTCAGGAGTTTGAGACCCGCCTGGCCCACATGGCGAAACCCTATATCTACTAAAAATACAAAAATTAGCCACACGTCTTGGTGCGTGCCTGTAGTCCCGGCTACTCTGGAGGCTGAGGCATGAAGATCGCTTCAACCTGGGAGGCGGAGGTTGCAGTGAGTCGAGATCGTGTGACTGCACTCCAGCCTGGGAGAAAGAGTGAAACCCTGTCTCCAAAAAAAAAAGAACTGATGAAAATATGGTTAAAACTTTACAAGCTTCTTCATGTTTTGACATATTTTTTCTTTCGGTTATGTCAGGTATAGACTGTAATAGAGACCGGGTTTAACAGTATCTGTATGTAGCAGGATAAACAGTCACCACTTTAAAGTCCTACTTGTAACTTGATAAAAAGAAATCAAATTAAAAAATAAAATAGTCACCACTTTGCACTTTTTCCAAGAAGTGGGGCAGTGAGTGTAACGAAAAGCACCACATTTAGAGAATGATGAGCAGAAAATAAAGTTGAGCTCAGGAAGAGGGAGTTATGAGGAAAGAAGGAAAAAAAGTGGCAATGTTAGAAAGTGGTTTTGAGAGGATAACTAAGTAGTAGTGTGAAGATCAGTGCTAATTATTCTTACTTATTTTTCAAAAAGTATTAGGTTTTCTGATTTTCCTCAGAAGTTGATCCTGTTTCAAGAACATGAGACATAGGAATTGGGAGGGAAGAATGCCCAGAGTAGCTAGTTATAATTTTTCCTGTCATAATTAAATATCAGGCAGCATCTTCTGTCCAGGTCTTAGACCATACTGCCTGATTTTGCTGGAGTTGCTGTTCAGTCTTAGTAGTTGCTGTTCTTTCAGCATTCTGACAGGTGGACAGCTAAACCATTGTCAATAATAGAGTCAGATTTCCATATCAAACTTAGTTTTGTTTGGAATATACTTTTGTTTTTGCTTTAAGACAACTATTTTTAATTTTTATGCTTTATCTTAAAAGGTTAATCATTTAACATAAATTATAATAGTTCATGGCTCAGTAATTCAAAAATAAAAACCAAAAAATCTTAAAACTTTTATTTTATTTTTTAATTTAATTTTTTTTCTTTTTGAGAGAGGGTCTTGCTTTGTTGCCCAAGCTGGTGTGCAGTGGCATGACTGTGGCTCACTACAGCCTCAACTTCCCGGGTTCAAGTGATCCTCCCACTTCAGCCTCCTGAGTAGCTGGGACTATAGGTGCATGTCACCACGCCCAGCTAATTTTAAAATTTTTTTGTAGAGAAAAGGTCTCACTATGTTGCTGAGGCTGGTCTCAAACTCCTGGGCTCAAAGCGGTCTTCCTGCCTTGGCCTCCTAGAGTACTAGGATTACAGGTGTGAGTCACTGTGCTGGGCCAAAAGCTTGTATTTTAAAGATAATTTTTGTCAACAGTGCTGCAGACTTCTACTGTCAATGTAATGTGCTCTTAGAAACCATGATTATGAGGGAGAAAAAAAGTATATCATTTAGTATATTGATTTTATACGGATAACAAAATAACAATTTCAGCATTAAAAACCTAGCCTAAATATGCTATGGATCTTTTAAGACCAGTGTTGAAGAAAACTACGATTTGCTTTATATGTTGTGATCAGGTTGGTTTTTTCTAAATAGAAAGAAGTGTTGTTTTGGATGATTGTGGTATTGGTTCACTCGATCTACTGCATTCTCAAATCTATGGTAGATTGATGTTAGATGTTAACAATAACAGTTAACATTTATGAGGTATTTACTCTGTGCTATGCACTGTACAGAAGTGCTTTATGTGGATTATTTTATGTGATAGACACAATTATTGTTATTCTACATCTAAGCACTGTAAGATACAGTGGTGTTATTTGTTCAAGGCCACATGGTAAATGGGGGTGGGGTTAACTGGGATTAGAACAGGCAGTCTGATTCCAGACTTACTCTTTAAACCATTACTATGTGCTGCCCAATTTAGTAGCCACTAGCTGCATGTGGTAATTAAAATCAAATTAAATTGTATTAAAATTTCAGTTCTTTAGTTGCATTAGCTGCCTCTCAAGTACTCAGTGGCAACATGTGGCTAGTAGCTACTATATTAATGCAGATCCATGGAGCATCTTCGTAACTGCAGAAAGTTCTATTGGATAGTACTGCTCTATACTATATTAAATTAGGACAATATGGTAAATATTTGAGAAACCCCAAATCAATAAAAAAAACTTATGAAATACATCATTTTGGTGATATTTTAAAAATAATCATAATTGCATGATATTTTAAAGTTTCTGTCAGCTCTGATTCTGTTATAGAAAAAGTATATTTGAGATAACTTCATAAATAGATGAAATTTATCAGTCACTTCTAGGTAACTAAAATATGGGATAAAATGTGTTAATAATGTTATGCCAAAAATAACAAATTACAACTGTGGAATAATGTCCAGCTTTGTATTCTTTTTTCTTTTTCTTTCTTTTTTTTTTTTTTTGAGACAGAGTCTCGCTCTGTTGCCCAGGCTGGAGTGCAATGGCGCAATCTCGGCTCGCTGCAACCTCTGCCTCTTGGGTTCAAGCGATTCTCCTGCCTTAGCCTCCTGAGTAGCTGGGACTACAGGTGCCTGCCACCACACCTGGCTAATTTTTGTATTTTTAGTAGAAGCGGGATTTCACCATGTTGGCAAGACTGGCCTCGAACTCCTGACCTCAAATGATCCACCCACCTTGGCCTCCCAAAGTGCTGGGATTATAGGCGTGAGCCACCGTGTCTAGCCAGCTTTGTATTCTTAATGTTTTAAATATGGCATTCTTTTAGGTTTTGAAATTATTTGTTACTCAGTGTGTGTGTACTCAATTTACAGTTGGACACGAGCCTGAACATTGGTCTGTCTATAGAAGATATCTTGAATTCTATGTACTTGAATCAAAACTAACAGAATTTCATGGTATGTTATTCTTTTTGGATAAAACATTACATTTCAGCATTAGCATTCTTTAAAACTATGACACCAGATTAATTTTTTTATTTTAAGTAATTGAAATACAAGAAATACAACATTGATGCTTGTGTATACTTTCATTGATAACGGAAATGTACTGTTTATCTTATTTTTATTTATCTGTATATTTAAAGTTCTTGCAATGTACATTTATGCTTTTTTTAAATAAAATCAAAATTTAAAAATAGCTATTTTAAAACTATATTTTAGAAAGGGTTCTCTATTTACTCTTTTTCGTTCTTCCTGTCTCATCAATGTATTTATTTTGGTTAATATCAAGGATATAGTTATAAAGAATTTCCAGCTATTTTTTTTTGTATTTAGCTTGGTGAATTTTATTTGTGTGTTCTAAATCTTTTTATTTTAGAAAAGCTCTGTAGAGTGTCCCCTGATCCAAATTCAGGTTGGTTTTTATTGAGAAGGGTAAGGAACGTTCCTGTCCCTGCTGTAAGAGCAAAGCCTGTGATAAGGATGATTATTATAGGAAGATAAAGAATATAAGGTCCCACTCCATATTTTTGCATAGATTTTGAGTTTGTACTTGTGTTCAAATGGTTTTATCTTTCTCTCTACCAATCTGGTGCAGTACCATCCTCGTTCTTTCTCTGAAAACTACTTTTTTTGTTTAAGGCTGAGAGAAGACAATTTATCTCCATACTTTTCTTTTTTGATGCTAAAATTTCTAAAGCCAGCCCTATCTGAGAAAGCACATTCATGCTTGCTTCCTTCCTTCCTTCCTTCCCTTGTTTCCTTCCTTCATTTCCTTGTTTCCTTCCTTTCTTTCTTCCTTCGTTTCCTTGTTTCCTTCCTTTCTTCTTCGTTTCCTTGTTTCCTTCCTTCATTTCCTTATTTCCTTCCTTCCTTCATTTCCTTGTTTCCCTCTTGTTGCTCAGGCTGCAGTGCAGTGGCACGATGTTGGCTCACCACAGAGATCTTGGCAACCTCTGCCTCCTGGGTTCAAGTGATTCTCCTGCCTCAGACTCCCGAGTAGCTGGGATTATAGGCATGTGCCACCACACCTAGCTAATTTTGTATTTTTAGTAGAGACAGGGTTTCATCATGTTGGTGGCCTTTTTTTTTTTTTTCTGAGGTGAGTCTCACTCTGTCACCCAGGCTATAGTGCAGTGGTGTGCTCTCAACTCCCAGCAACCTCCACCTCTCAGGTTCCAGCGATTCTCCTGCCTCAGCCTCCTAAGTAGCTGGGATTACAGGCATTTACCACCACGCCTGGCTAATTTTTTTGTATTTTTAGTAGAGATGGGGTTTTATATCACGTTAGTCTTGAACTTCTGACCTCAAGTGATCTGCTCGCTGTGGCCTCTCAAAGTGCTGGGCTTACAGGTGTGAACCACTGCACCCAGCCTACATTGTGATTTTAAGCCATTTATATAGCATTGACAAGATGCTATCTTTTTTCCCTGTGAGAAATTAGTTATTTCTTTAGTAAGGTTTTGTCTAGTAGAATCTCACCAATTTCAAAAAAATCTCATAATAATTTTTTGAAGCTGTTTTACTAGGATAGAAAGCCAAAAAATCTGTGTCAAACAGTGATTGTTACAAGAGTAATATTTTGTTTATCAGTAGACTCAAGTTCTTTGGTCTGGACTTCTGACTTGAAGCTCTCTGGTTTTGTGAAGATTTTCAAAGAGTAATGTCACATCTGTACAAGGCAGTATTGCTAATCTGAATGTGCCATAGTAAATTTTAAAACCTAATTTAAGGTTTTAAAAATAGTAGCAGAACACAGTAATAACTATAATATATACTAATTTCAGGTGCATTTCCTGATGCCCAGCTTCCTTCTAAGAGGATCATTGGCCCCAAAAATTATGAATTCTTAAAGTCAAAGAGGGAAGAGTTCCAAGAATATCTACAGGTATAACATCAACTGTATTAATTCCAAATGTTGCTAATCATAGCATTCTCTAATTTGTCTCTTTTTCTCTTGTGTATATGTTCTTTGGTTTATAAATACCTGTCCATGTAGATTTTAATTTAGAAAATATTTTTCCTTGTGAATTTTAGAATGAATTTTTGTCAAAAGTATATTACTTACCCTCCCTCCAAATTGAATGAAATGCAAGATATTTTCTTAGGGGAAGAAAAATCTTTACTTAGTTTTAGGCTAGTTACAACTTTGTATAGGACATTAAAAAAAGGAACTTGGTGTAAAAGATTAGATGCATTTGAAGAATACTGGATAGTATTCTTAGAATATTTGTTACTGTTTGTTCTGTTTTCTGTTTGATTTTTGTGTTTAGCTTTTTCTGAACTTTGGAGTCTTCTCTCCTATGTTATTCCTCAGTCCCTTTTCTTTTGGGTTTATAGATATTTTTCCAATTTCCTGGGATCAACTCTACTATTTGCTACGTGGAGTTGAATTCCATTTTTCTCAGTGTGTGCACGTTACATTATGTTAAAATGTATGGGTGTATTATTTAAATACATGGTACAGTCATCATAAAAGTTACTTGAGACATCAGGCTCTCCAAGACTAATAAACATCTTTCTTTATCAAGTGCTTACAAGGGAGGATACTTTCAATTTGTTAAAAAAATACTTTATTTGGGCATGGAATTTTATATTTTTTAAGAATTTTTCATTCAGTTAAATTTGGATGCTTCCTAGCCAAAAAGAAAGACTTTTAAATTAAAAATACTCAGCAGTATAAAGGAGTATTTACACTTTATTTCCTGTCTCTGAACTGTTGAATGCTTTCAACCCTAAGTTGAAAAAAAAATATATATATATAGGTATCTTCTGTATAAATTTTTGGTGATATGAAAATTGAAATATGAAATAATAATTAACTACTGCAAGGATGTTTGGTTAAAACACAAAGCTATGTTTTTGTTGATACTATTAACTCATTATTTGAACCAGCTAATTATTTCTACAAACTAGAGTACTTCACTCTGGAAGAAATATTTTCTTGTAATATGGATTTAAATTAAATTTTTAATGTAGATTTCTGCTTATAAAGTTTTGTGACTTTCATAGTTAGGAAACTATTAAGACTGGGTTAATTTTGGCTTTTAAAAGTCTTTTTTTAATTTTTTTTATTTTTTGAGACAGAGTTTTGCTCTTGTCATCTAGGCTGGAGCGCAACGGCACGATCTCAGCTCACTGCAACCTCCACCTCCCGAGTTCAACCGATTCTCCAGCCTCGGCCTCCCAAGTAGCTGGGATTACAGGCACCCACTGCCACTCCTGGCTAATTTTTGTATTTTTAGTACAGACGGGGTTTTGCCATGTTGGCTAGGCTGGTCTCGAACTCCTGACCTCAGGTGATCCACTGTATCAGCTTCCCAAAGTGCTGGGATTACAGGCATGAGCCACCGCACCCAGCCCATGTTATCTTATTAGAAAACAGTGTTGCAGGAAGAACAGACAACAGATTTTTCAAGTTATTTCACATTTCCCCATCTAGTTTTCTGCAAAACCCTTTATGCCGACTTTTAAAAATTTATCAGGACAGCTGTATCATGCTATCATTTTTTTCTATAGTTGAGAAACTGGAAATAATAGTAGCTAATGTTTAGTTTTACTTCCTGTGTGTCAGATACTGTGCTAAATGCTTTATATAACAATACTATAGGTAGTGTCATTATTCTCATTTTATAAGTTAGGAAACTGACTCTTGGGCAATTTAGGAACTTTTCTAGTGGCACTTAGCTAGCATGTGGAAGAGCCAGGATTCGAACCCATTCATATCTGACTATAAAGGCCAAGGTCTTACCTACTATCCTATATTCTTCCCTCTAAAAATGCAGTTGCTTTGTTATTATTTTAAATATAAAGTAGCTTTTGGGGATTTAAAATTTAAAGAAATTAAAATACAGTTTTGACTACTCCTCTAGATTTCTAAACTGTGTTTTCCGTTTTTTTTGTTCATTCAAGAAACTTCTGCAGCATCCAGAACTGAGTAATAGTCAACTTCTGGCAGACTTTCTTTCCCCTAATGGTGGGGAAACACAATTTCTTGATAAGATACTACCAGATGTAAATCTTGGTAAGTCAATTTAAAGAATCATTATAAGATAATAAGCTGAAAAGAATCAGCATTTTCAGATTAACTTAGAAAAATATATAGTATAGCCTATGGTAAACTCCGAGGGCCCTTATTTCTGCATTTAGAGATAAATTGTCAGATGCTGACCTTAATCTGTCCATTTTGAGTTCTGATTATTTAAGCAGTCACTTCTAGCCATTTGTCATCACAGAAAATTACATTAGTCAATGTATTTATAAATTTATTTTGTTAAATTTAAATATAAGAAAAGTAGAGATGGTATTTTTAGCATATGCGAATCAGTGTTTTCATCATACAGTATATGAATAGCTGTGTTATTTGAAATTTGTCATTAAATATCTCAAAAAGACTAGATCTGTTAACATTTAACTTAGTTTAAGACAGTTGCATTTTTCCACGTCTTTAAGTTATATCATGCTCTTCCTCATTTTGTATTATAAAGCATTACAAATATTCCTTAAAACCTAATTTTTGGGTCACTTGTAGTAGTTATTTAGGTAAGTAAACTTTGTATAAACTAGCTTTTAATTAACTTGAATTAATCTGTCATTCTGAGCAAATTTCATTTCATGGTACTTCTGTACATGAATTTTATTTAAAGTTTAATTGTTGGCTATAAAACTGGCATAGAATGTACACATGAGATTGTGGAAATATTTCTGCTTTGAATATCATTGTTAATTTGTTTTGAATTTTTCATTAGTAACAGAAAAATAATTTAGTTTCTTGATCTTTAATTTCAAAGTAACTTTATAATTAGTAAAACCATTTTGCAGTTAGTAGATTGCCTTATTTCTACTAGTACTATTGTAAAGGAAATTAAGATGTGTGAGAAAGCTTATATTTGGTCTATTTTTTAAAATATTAATTTTTATTATGACAGATATAGAATCTGTAGTCAAAGCACAGTCTGCTGGGATACTGAAGACCTTATTATATTTTTACTATTAGAGATTGAAGTTAGTATTTCCTGAAGATCATGTTTCAGAAAGTGTTTTTGTGTTGTAATACTTGAGCACTTAATTTCAGCTATCACTTTTGGATGAATTATTTATTATAGTTTGTCTAAATAGCAACAAGTTCAGCAGAAATCCAGATAGATCATCTTCTCTAACCACTAATATAGTACATACATTACAAGTACATGTATAAAAAATAGAAATATAACAAAGGATTCAATTAAATAAATGGTAGTCTGAAATTTTCCAAAGAATCATCCCATAAACCCCTGGCATGCCTCCATTCTGTTTTAAAAACTGTTCCTTAATTACTGTTCCACCTGCTGGTTATCAGTGACTGGATTTTTTTTTTTTTTTTTTCTGTGATGGAATCTTGCTCTGTCACCCAGGCTGGAGTGCAGTGGTGTGATTTTGGCTCACTGCAGCCTCCACCTCCCAGGTTCAAGCGATTCTCCTGCCTTAGCCTCCCAAGTAGCTGGGATTACAGGTGCCCACCATGACACCCAGCTAATTTTTTTGTAGTTTTAGTAGAGATGGGGTTTCACCACGTTGGCCAGGCTGGTCTTGAGCTCCTGACCTCAGGTAATCCATCTGCCTTGGCCTCCCAAAGTGCTGAGATTACAGGCGTGAGTGAGCACCATGCCTGGCCAGTGATCTCATTGTTAACAGAGACATCTCACTCCTCAGTCTTCTTGACCTCCTCTGCAGCATTCTTCCCTTTAGAAATTCTTTGCCTTTGGCATTCATTATTGCATATTATTCTCTTAACTGTTTCAGTCCTATCACTACATTTTCATCCTACACAATCCTCCTTTATCTCTATACACATAAATATAGGTGTTTTCTAAGCTCTGTCCTCAATTTTCCTCTTGCCAGTCTCCACAGAACCTATTATTTTAATCTTTACCTATATATAAATGTTTCTCTTTTTCTTTCTTTCTTTCTTTCTTTCTTTTTTGAGATGGAGTCTTGGTCTGTCGCTGTCGCCCAGGCTGGAGTGCAGTGGTGCCATCTTGGCTCACTGCAACCTCCGCCTCCCGGGTTCAAGCAGTTCTCCTGCCTCAGCCTCCCTAGTAGCTGGGACTACAGGCACACGCCACCTAGCCCAGCTAGTTTTTGTATTTTTAGTAGAGACTGGTTTCACCATGTTGGCTAGGATGGTCTCGATCTCTTGACCTCGTGATCTGCCTGCCTAAATGTAGTCTGACCTTTAGTTGTACCTTTCTAATACCCAGTTGGACGTCACCATCTGATCTATCATCTTTTCAGAACCAACGTGTAATTCTGTTAATGATACTACAGTCATTTCAGCCATGCTTGAAATTTTACCATTACCTCTTAGATTTTCTCTCCCATGCTCTCACTACACATCTTTTTTTTTTGGAGATGGAGTCTCTCTGTCACCCAGGCTGGAGTGCGGTGGCGTGATCTCAGCTCACTGCAACTTCTGCCTTCTGGGCTCAGGCATTCCTCCCACCTCAGCCTCCTGAGAACTACAGGTGTGCACCACCACACCCAGATAATTTTTGTATTTTTAGTAGAGATGGGGTTTCACCGTGTTGCTCACGCTGGTCTTGAACTAAGTTCAAGTGATCCGTCTGCCTCAGCCTCCCAAAGTGCTGGGATTACAGGTGTGAGTCACCATGCCCTGCCTTACACATGTTTTTAGTTCCCAGATTCTGTACGTTTTTCCTATTTGGTGTCTAACTCATGTCTTCCTCTTCATTCCCTTTACTGTTTCCTTAGTTCAGTTTTCATTGCCTCTTATTTGAACTGTACTAAGTTTCCTATCTAGTCTCCTGGATTCCCATCCTCCTCCTGCTCTCTATCAGTTTATCTTATGTAACATAGCCACGTTAATCTTCCTAAAGTACACGTTTGACCATATCTAAAATCCTTTGGTTTTTCTGTCTTTGTTAACTTAGGAAATCTTTATTGTTTAATATGGAACCCTCTGAAAATCACTGTGTGCTTTGATACCAATATAACTTACCGGTATTATTTCTTACTACTTCCTTTCATACTTTAGCAAAATTGAATCCCCTATATTCTTTTGCTCCAATGCCTTTGTTTATACTCTTTTCTTCTACTTTAAATGCCCTTCCATATTACCCATTTTTGAAGATCCAGCTGAAAGAAAGGGACGGCTGGTTCTTCTTAGGGAAACAGGGAAGCCTTTCTTAGGAAGGTATCATTTGTCTAATCTTGAAAGATTAATAGAAATCGGCAGGAGATAGATAAGGAGATCATTCCAGTTGGAGGGACTGGCATGTACAAGAGGCATGAAAGAGGGAATCAGCTGGTAATGTTTGGAGTATCTTGAAGGTACAGTACATGCAAGAGAGTGAGACTAGAAAGATAAGTTATGGCCGAATGTGTCATGATAAGGAATTTGGACTTGATCATCTAAGCAGGGGGAAAGAGACACTGATAGATTTTAAACAATGAAACCTAATCAGATTTAGGTTTCAGAAATCCAACTCTAGCAGCAGTTTAAAGGATGATGCTAAAGGTACTTAGAATCAGTATCTGGGAATAAACCTAGTAGAGTATGTGTATGCATGACCATTATAGAGAAAATTGTAAACTTTTATTGAGAGATATTAAAGAAGACCCAAGAAAATAGAAATCGTATTCATTGTTTAGAAACCGCAATATTGTAAAGATGTAAATTTATCCCCAAGTTGATTTCTAGCTATAATACAGTCCCAATCCAAATCAAACAGGTTGTGTATGTGTGTATACCTTGAAGCTGAATCTATAATTTATATAAACACGCATAGGACCAAGTAGGTAACACACTTTAGAAGAAGAACAAGGTTGGAGAGCCCTATCATATGTCTTGACTTATAACACCAAATCAGTAGACCCATGGAACAGAACAGAGATCCCCAAACTGATCTATACGTCTGTGGACACTTGATTTGTGAGCATGGCTCTGCAGAATGGGGAAGGAGTCAGCTTTTCAAGAAATGCTACTGGGACATTGGGTATACATTTGAACTCCTACGAAGTAGCCACATTTAAGTAGACTAAAGTCCTATATAGAAACCTGTAAAGGTATTAGAAAATAGCAGAGATAAATCCATGTGTTCATAGTCAACTAAATTTGACAGAGGTGTCAAGAACCTACATGGGGGAAAGGACACCTGTTTCAATAAATAGTGCTGGGAAAACTGGATATCCATATGCAGAAGAATGAAACTAGACCACTATCAATCACATAATAAAAAAATCAAACTCATAGTGGATTAAAGACTTAAATGTAAGACCCCAAATTATAAAACTACTAGAAGAAAATGAGGGGAGGATGCTTCTCGACTTTAGTCTAGGCAAAGATCTTATGGCTAAGACTTCAAAAGCATAGGCAACAAAACAAAAATAGACAAATGGGGCTAGATTAAACTGTTAGGTTGGTGCAAAAGTAATTGTGGCTTTTGCCTTTTTTTCTTTTAAACAGCAAAAATCTCTCTTTTGCACCAATCTAATAAAAGGCTTCTACACAGCAAAGGAAACAAGCAGCAGAGTGAAGAGACAACCTGTAGAATGGGAGGAAATATTTATGGATATTTTACCTGTATGTTTTGCAACTATTTAACCTGTACAAGGGGAGAGAATATTTGCAAATATTGCAAATTCAGTTAGAAGACAATACAGTAGAAAAATGGACAGAAGAAAAATAATTTCACCAGCCTGGGCAACGTAAGTGAGACTCTGTCTCTACGAAAAAAAAACAACAAAAAAGTAGCTGGGTATGGTGGTGTGCATGTGTAATCCTGGTTGTTCCAGAAGCTGAGGCGGGAGGATCACTTGAGCCCAGAAAGTTCGAGGTTACAGTGAGCTATGAGCACACCACTGTGCTCCATCCTGAGTGACAGAGTGAGACCCTTTCTCTAAAAACAAAAGAAAAAACACTTCACAAAAGAGGAAATCAATATATGGTCAATAAATACATGGAAAGGTGCCTAATTTTATTAATAGGGAAACTCAAATTAGAATCATGTTTGGGAAACACCGCATTCACCAAAGTTTTTAAAAGTCTGATTATACTAAGTGCTAAATATTGGTGCAGATGTAAAGGAACAGGAACTCTTACACACTGTTAGTAGGACTATAAATTGAAAAACTACTTGGAAAAATTGTTTGGTATAAAAACTGAAGGACCCAGCAGTTCCTCTCTCAGATATATACTTTGGAGAATCTATCCATGTTTAAGAACGTTCATAGTAGAGTTCTTTGTATAGCCCAAACTAGAAACAGCACAAATGTTCATCAGCAATTGAATGGACAGATAAACTGTGGTAAAGTCATAACGTTGAATACCCATATCATGAGGCTACTAGCAACAATGTGGATGAACTTTTAAAAATGTTGAATGAAAGAAACAAAACATGAAAGAATATATACAGTCTGATTCTTTTTACATAAACATCAAAACAGACCAAACTAGTGTAAGCTGGAAAAGTTTGAATAAAATTGTTAAAAAATCGTTGGGCGTGGTGGCTCACACCTGTAGTCCCAGCAATTTGGGAGGCTGAGGCAGATGGATCACTTGAACTTAGAAGTTCAAGACCAGTGTGAGCAACATGGTGAAACCCTGTCTCTACTAAAAACACAAAAATTAGCTGGGCATGGTGGTGGGCGCCTGTAGTCCCAGCTACTCAAGAGGCTGAGGCAGGAGAATTGCTTGAACCTGGGAAGTGGAGGTTACAGTGAGCCGAGATTGCACCACTGCACTCCAGCCTGGGCAACAGAGCAAAACTCCATCTAAAAAAAAAAAAAGGTAAAAAATAATATAGCATTGACTAGTTGCAGTGGCTCACACCTGTAATCCCAGCATTTTAGGAGGCCGAGGTGGGTGGATCACTTGAGGTCAGGAGTTCAAGACCAGCCTGGCCAACATGGTGAATCCTTGTCTCTACTAAAAATACAAAAATTAGCTGGGCGTGGTGGCGTGCACCTATAATCCCAGCTACTTGGGTGGCCTAGGCAGGAGAATTGCTTGAAACTGGCAAGTGGAGGGAGCCGAGATCATGCCACTGCACTCCAGCCTGGGCGACAGAGTGAGACTACATCTCTACTACTATTACTACTACTACTACTGCTACTACTACTACTACTACTACTACTGTATAAAAGCAATATTTCTAAATATATTTTATTTTTTATTCATTTGTATTCATTATGGTTTTTAGAGACAGAGTCTCACACTATTGCCTAGGCTGGAGTGCAGTGGCACAATCATAGTTTTTTTTTGTTTTGTTTTGTTTTGTTTTTTGAGACGGAGTCTCACTCTGTCACCCAGCTGGAGTTCAGTGGCACGATCTCAGTTCACTGCAACCTCCATCTCCCGGGTTCAAGCGATTCTCCTGCCTTGGTCTCCTTAGTAGCTGGGATAACAGGCGTGTGCCACCACGTCCGGCTAATTTTTGTATTTTTAGAAGAGACGGGGTTTCACCATGTTGGTCAGGCTGGTCTCGAACTCCTGACCTCGGGATCCGCCCGCCTCGGCCTCCCAAAGTGCTGGGATTACAGGCGTGAGCCACCACGCCCAGCCAACACAATCATAGTTCACTGCAGCCTCAAATCCTGGGCTCAAGTGATCCTTCCTGCCTCAGCCTCCCAAAGTAGCTAAGACTACAGGTACACACCAGCACACCTGGCTAATTTTTAAATATCTGTAGAGATGGGATCTCGCTTTGTTGCCCAAGCTGGTCTTGAACTCCTCAATTGATCTTTCCACCTTAGGTTCCCAAATTGTTGGACTTACAGGCGTGGAGCCACCCTGACTAGCCTCTAAATATATTTTATATGATGTAATCTGAAGTAATGTATATGGAACTAAATCAGTGAGTTAAATAATGCAAGTAGACATTTGGCTTCTGTCTATACCCACACCCCCACCCAAATCAATACATTTATTTGAGTCAAAATATTTAGTGTTTGTGTATCTTTTTATTGGGGGAAAAAAGTGAGGACAAAATATTTGGTTATATATGGCATTTAGGAGATTGGGTATTCCTGGTTACTGACTAGGTTTGATTGAAGAAGAAATGATCAGGGATGATCCAAGTTTCTATTTAAATAACTGGATGAATGCTGTTACTTGTTGGAATAGGGGATACATTAAGAGCAGTTTTGAACTTACTGAGTTTATAGAATCCAGTTGAAGTTTTATAAAGCAGGAGAGTCCAGGAGACAGGCAGAGATTAGAGATTTGAATTTTATTTGAAATCAGATTGAGCAAATAATTTGGCTCAGTAAGAACACATAGAAGACAGAAAAGCATAGGATGAAACCATATAATTTAAAGAACTTGGGAACATTCTAAGGAGGGGGTGTTATGAGAACCAGAAATACCAGAAATAGCCAAATGGGAAGGTTGGGTGGTTTGCCTGTCACAAAACAGTATTTTTATTCTTTATTATTAATGTCCCCTTCTATTGCCATAAATCTACTTTTTTCTGATTTGTTCAGAAAGCAGTTTAAGTTGTATTTATCAATTTTGATTGATTTTTAAGTCATTTCTAAATGCTGGAGAAAATCTCAAGATGTTTGATGTTTCAAATTAAGGGAAGCTGGAGATCAAGAAGTAATTTTGGCAAACATAGGATTTAGAATAGAAATTCTTAATCTAAAATTCAGAATATAAACTACTGAAATAGTTTTAAATATTGAGGCAGTTCTTAAAACTTTTTTTTGACTGACCTTTGCATATCTTTAGATACCATTATATATTCACTGTTACTGAAAACCCTTTGAAAATATTTCTTATAGAAATTTTCACAAAAGTAGACAAAATTATGTAATAAACTTCTTACTCAACGTTGTTATCAACCCTTGGCTTGTTCCATCCCTTCTCCCACCACTTACCTCACTGGATTTTTTTAAAGTAAATCCCAAATATTCTATCTATAAATATTTCAGAATACCATATTTATTGAAAATTTCCATGGAGTGTGAAATGGTCAATCATAAATACTTTTACAGTTTTAACTTGGCTATTTCGTATTTAAAATTACCTGGTTAAGTATTCATGTGAGCAATTATGAAGAGTTTTATGCCTTCCTAAAATAATGTTTTACTTTTAATTGCAGGGAAAATTATAAAATCTGTTCCTGGAAAACTAATGAAAGAGGTGAGTAACTGATTTATGTGTGTTCTATAACATGATAATCATAAACATATTTAAATATTGATAAATTTTGCTGGATTATGTACTAAAAATTACCTTTATTTTTTATTTTCTTACAATAATCTATCACCACAGAAAGGTCAGCATTTGGAACCTTTTATCATGAATTTCATTAATTCTTGTGAGTCTCCAAAGCCTAAACCAAGTAGACCAGAACTGACCATTCTCAGCCCTACTTCAGAAAACAACAAGAAGGTACTGCACATTGCATTAAAGAACTATTAAGTTTTAAGTTGCCCTACTTGAGATTACTTTTTCATTGTCGAGAGAATGAATACTTTGTTAATGAAATGGATTGAGCTATACATTTCCTTTATGTGGAAATCAGTTGAACGGTATACAGAGGGTATTGTGTGTAATTACTTGGTTCTTTGCTTTAATGTGGTAAATGTTTCTCTGGATACTATATTTGCAAACTGATGCCACTTCTGTATTTGGGGATTTTTAAAAGTGGTTTTCTTAGGTTATATGTCACCAACTTTCAATAATAAGAAATTAATTGCTATACTGTGTTTATGTTTATTGGATGGCATTACCTAACTTTCATGGCTTATAAAGTATTTTATCCATTCATTAAACAAACATTTTATTACATGCCTACGATTGAGTGCTAGGCACTGGGAATATAAGGATACATTCCTTGTCCTCAAGAAGGTGTTTAGTGCCAAGGTGTAGTGCCCAGCATGGGGAGCTATGGAAGCTCAGAGGACCTCTATCTTTTATTTTTGTTAATACTCTGAATGGTATCTTTAATATTATTAATGTTTTCATTTTATAACTTGTATATATAGATAGAAAATTTTTATTTAGTCGTCTTGCTAGACTTAACATTAGTTTTAGTAATATCTGGTAATTCTTTTATATTGACACAATTGTTGCAGATGATTGCAGTTTTGTTTTATTCCTGACTAGGACTGCTATATAGAAAGGAAATTGTTTAATTATTTCACCATCGAATAGTGTGGTGTAGCTCTTTTTGTATTAATAGATAACCTTTATAAGATTAAGGAAGTTGCCAGGTGCAGTGGCTCACATCTGTAATCCCAGCACTTCGGGAGGCCAAGGTGGATGGATCACTTGAGGTCAGGAGTTTGAGACCAGCCTGGCCACCTTGGTGAAACCCTGCCTCTACTGAAAATACAAAAATTAGTCAAGCGTGGTGGTGGGTGCCTGTAATCCTAGCTACTCGGGAGGCCGAGGCAGGAGAGTCGCTTGAACCTGGGAGGTGGAGGTTGCAGTGAGCTGAGATCGCGCCACTGCACTTCAGCCTGGGGGACAGAGCAAGACTCTGTCTCCAAAAAAAAAAAAAAAAAAAAAAGATTAAGGAAGTTTACATTCATGTTTATGGGTAGAATATAGCCTATAATTTTTCTTTCTCATTCTGTCCTTGTTAGGTTTTGGTATCAAAGTTTTATTAGCATTTTTTATTTTTGGTAGACTTTTTATAAATATTTGATAGAGTTGGTAAAGTCATCTAGGCCTCCAGTTTTGTTTGTAGGAAGATTTTTTATAACCAATTTAATTTCTTTAACAATTACAAAATTCTTCAGGTTTATTACTTCATGAGTCATGAAGGTTACAAAATATAACCTATTGAACTCATGCTAGGAATGCTAGGAATTTGTCAGGGAGAAAAATAAGAGAAGAGCTTATAACATGTAAAGGTGTTTATTAAAATATTGTTTACATAAGTGAAAAATTGGAAACAACATGAAATTCTAACATTGTAGGAATGATTATTTTAAGGAACATCTATTCAAGGAGTGTTTTGCAGCAGATGAAATTGTGCTTATGAAAACTATAAAGCAACATAAAGATATTTGATATGGTGCTAAATGAAAAAGTAGGATGTGATATTTTTTGAACCTCATTGATTTGTGGCTATGTATATAGAGAGTACAAGTTAATATACAAAAGTTTAATAGTAACACTATTAGGTGGTTGAGTTTTAATTTAAAAGTTTAAATGCCCCTTTGCTCTGTGTCACTTTATTTAGCCTTAGTGATTATTGTCAACAGATGTAATAAACTGTATATCTCTTTATTATTTCAACTTTTATTTTAGATTTCTGCTTAAAAATAATGCAAACCGTGCTGAAAATACAGAGGGAAAACAAAATTGAGTTGTTTTTCCCGTTTTCCAGACTTACTATATAATATCACTGTTTTTTAGTGAAAAAAAAAATTACACTGAAAATTTAAAAGAGTAGAGGGAATAATATATCAGAAGGGAGAGCCCTTTTCCTATTTTTTGGGTTGGGGAAAAATGTTTTAAGTATGTGTCTGTGTTAATAATATCTGACATAAGAGCCAATAGAATATATGGTCTTTGTTCTCAGGATACTTTTCTAGGAGGCTTTTAAAAAATTCATCTTCAGGTAAAATCGAATATACTTTCCTCCACAGTCTCCTTACTTCTCTTCCCTCTCCCCTCCCCTCTTTCTCCCTTTTCACAGAGTCTCACTCTGTCACCCAGGCTGGAGTGCAGTGGTGCAATCTCTGGCTCACTGCAACCATTAATTCTTAATATCTTGTTTTAGTTCCCCCCCACCCCAACATTGATTAGGCCTTTGTGGGCTTTGAATATTGTCCAAATAAATTTCACCTAACGCTGGATTTTTACCTCTACTTATAGTGATTTATAATCTTTAAATCATGTTAGTGTTTTTTTTTTTTTTTTTTTTTTTTTGACGGTCTTGCTCTGTCACCCAGGCTGGAGTGCAGTGGCACGATTTCGGCTCACTGTTACCTCTGGCTCCCAGGTTCAAACTATTCTCCTGCCTCAGTCTCCCAAGTAGCTGGGACTACAGGCACGCATCACTACACCTGGCTAATTTTTTTGTATTTTTAGTAGAGATGGGGTTTCACCATGTTGGACAAGCCGATTTCAAACTTGCGAGCTCAGGTGATCTGCCTGCCTCCGTCTTCCAAAGTGCTGAGATTACAGGCGTGAGCCACTGCGCCTGGCCTAAATCATGTTAGTTTTAAAGTTAGCTATCAATAATATATTTGTACATCTTTTTATGTTACTTTGCTTTTGTGGTATGTAAAAACAAAGGGGTCTTTAATGGATAATGAATTATCTACTGTAACTAAAATGAATATTTTAGTTTTTATGTAATATTTTTGGGGAACATGTATTTTTTATTGCAATTCGGGGCATAAATGGGGAATTTTAGAAGCATATATTAACCTATCTAATATTCTGTTTTGATTGGAAAAAGTTTAAATGCCTTTGCTGTGTGACACTTAATCCTTATTGATTATCGTCAGCAGATGTAATAAACTATATATCTCTTTATTATTCCAACTTTTATTTTAGCTTTTCAATGATCTGTTTAAAAATAATGCAAACCGTGCTGAAAATACAGAGAGAAAGCAAAATCAGAATTATTTTATGGAGGTGATGACTGTAGAAGGAGTCTATGATTACCTGATGTATGTAGGTAAGATCTAAGTGGTTTAAGACTTGTTTTTCATTCATCTTACTTCTTCTGTGATGCAAATAATGATCTTGAGTATTGCCCCATCATAACTGTCTTTTTAATTGAAGATACCTTTTATAATAATTCAATACGATTGGCCTTGATCATATTAAAGTTGCTAGTGTTTACAAATAAAATATTGACCATGGTCATTTGTGTTTTCTACATTGGCAAATTTCAAAAATACCAATTCATCTGGAACAATGAGGTATCCCATTTGATCCTTTCTCAGGACGGGTAGTTTTCCAGGTTCCTGACTGGCTTCATCATCTCTTAATGGGAACTCGAATCCTCTTTAAAAACACCCTGGAAATGTATACTGATTACTATCTTCAGTGTAAACTAGAACAGCTATTTCAGGAGCACCGTTTGGTCTCACTCATAACACTTCTCAGAGGTTTGTATTTTCTAATGTGTTTGTTTCATATTTTGTGTACTCTATGATTTTAATTGAATCTAAAGAGGAAGAAATCTTGTTTTGCTTTGGTTTATTAGTATTTCTACTATGAGGAAATCCTTTGTGTATAAATAGATGAAAATTCCAGAAATATTTCTTTTTACTCTTTTTTAGATGCTATATTCTGTGAAAACACTGAACCTCGCTCTCTCCAAGATAAGCAAAAAGGAGCAAAACAGACTTTTGAAGAAATGATGAATTACATTCCAGGTGTAATATTTAAGAAGTAACTTAATTTCATATAGATTAGCAGTCCGTTGAGGTCACAATGTATAGTAATTATTGAAGCTAATTTTTTACTGTGAGTTTTCATTTTACAAATAGTTGCAAAGATCAGTTAAAATTAACACACTAGTTAAATAATTCTTTCAGATGTTAGCACTAAGACTAAGATATTAGGACTTTAAGGCAAGGCTGTTTCTACTCACATAATAGCCAGATTCATTCAAAAATAACTTATAGTCAGACTGGTCAAAGTGACATGTGGGACAATTGAAGGCCTGTGTCCACGACACCATAAGAATAGCTCACTAGTGTGTATGATAAAAGATCAGAATTCATTCATTCCAAATTTATTGAGCACCTTCCATATTCCAGGCACTATGCAAAATGCAAGGCATATAAAAAATGCACTTGAGTAGGTCAGTCTAGCAGGAAGACAGGCATATAGACAAAACATACATGTGATAATAGAGGCATTTTCAAGTTACAGAGATATCACAAAGGAGGAGGATGGTCACCTCCTCTGTAAAGTTGGTAGGTTTGGGCCACTAAGGAAATGAGTGGTAGTAACCTCTTAACTGTGACGGGAAATAACAAGGAAGAAATGTCAAGGGATCAAAGCAGGTGATTCTTAGTTTAGAACATTTTGAATGAGAAGTGCCTATAAATTACTCAGGAGGAAGTGTCTGTTAAACACTTAGACACCGAGGTTCAAAAGTTGGAGAAAAGGTGGTATAGGATAGATTAGTAGAGATATGGGAGCCATGTGTGAGTAGATACTAAAGCATAGGGAGAAAGTATGGAGTAAGAAGAGAAAAGGGTGACTTCCAGTTTCTGGTCTGGCACATAAGAACCTGGCCATCATCACTCCATCCTAGTAACAAGCAAAAACCTGAATGAACTAAAAAAACTAAACAACTCTTAGATTCACCAGAGAGTGAGGTCATACGGCAAGCCACTGCCCCCCAAGGTTGGAGAGAATCATAGCTAGCTGCAGCAGAAACCCGTGAACTCAAAACCCCTGGAGAAGCCAGTGCTGAGCTAGGGAAACCTGAACTATAACTGACAAATTGCTACAGCCTTTTAAATCTCTTTTTAAGAGATTAAAAACTCCAGGGGAACCAAGTCATGGGGTTACCCATCCACATTTTTTTTTTTTTTTTTTTGAGACAGAGCCCCACTGTGTCACCAAGGCTGGAGTGAAATGACACGATCTCTGCTCACTGCAACCTCCGCCTCCTGGGTTCAAGCAATTCTACTGTCTCAGCCTCCCGAGTAGCTGGGACTACAGTCCTGCACCACCACGCCTGGCTAATTTTTGTATTTTTAGTGGAGATGGGGTTTCCCCTTGTTGGTCAGGCTGGTCTCGAACTCCTGACCTCAGGTGATCCACCCGCCTCGGCCTTCAAAAGTGCTGGGGTTACAGGCGTGAGCCACCGTGCCCAGCCCATCCACACTTTTTTTGTGAGTTTTACCTCCAGGGCCTTGACCAAGATCCCACAGTGAATATTGGAGAAAAATCCCCATGTGCTTCTGGCAAGGGGGCCAGAAGGGAACCATTTTGAAATACATCAGTCAGGGCATTCTGTTCTTGACAAGGCCCTACCCTCAGTAGAAAGTGACCAGAGCCTGACTGACCTGATGGAAGGGAAAGAACCAACTCTAGCCAGCCCTGGCCTTCCACATGGAAGAAGGGAAATACCCAACTCCAATACACTCTAGCCATCTTGTCCTGTGCAAGGGGGTCAGGGGGGCCTGAGAAGCATGTGTGAAGTTCACAGTTCAGTGGTACAAGCTCACTAAAAGATTGAGACCCCCTCCTAGGACTATAGAACCCTTCCTCTCCCTCCATATTTTATCACCACATTACTAAAGGCCTGTTTGCAGCAGTTCCTCTTAACTTGTGTGTCATGTCCAGTTATCAAGAAAAAAATTACAAGACATATTAAAGGCAAGAAAAAACAGTTTGACGAGAAAGAGCAAGTATCAGAACCAGAGTCAGATATGGCAGGGATGTTAGAATTATACACCAAGTGGGATTTATCCCAGGTATTCAAGGCTGGTTCAGCATTCATTCAAAAGTCAATTAAGGTAGTCCATCATCACATCAGCAGGCTAAAGAAGAAAAATCATGATCATAGCAGTAGATGCAGAAAAAGCATTTGACAAAATCTAACACCCACTTATGATCTCAGCAAACTAGGAAGAGAGGGGAACATCCTCAACTTGATAAAGAATATCTACAAAAACACCTATAGCTAACATCACACTTGATGAAAAACTTAAAAGCTATCCCACTAAGATGAGGAACAAGGCATGCTCTCACTACTGCTTTCAACATTGTACTCGAAGTCCTAGTTAGTGCAGTAAGACAAGAAAAGGAAATAAAGAGCATAGTGATTGGGAAGAAAGAAATAAAACTGTCTTTGTTCACAGATGACATGATTGTCTATGTAGAATATCCAAAAATTGACAAAAATGCTCCTGGAAATAATAAGCAATTTTACCAGGGTGGTAGGATATAAGGTTAATACACAAAATTCAGTTACTTTTCGTGTATATCATCAGTGAGCAAGTGGTATTTGAAATTAAAAAAAATACTATTTGCATTAGCACCCCCAAAAGTGGAATACTTGGGTAGTAATCTAACAAAACATGCACAAGATTTATATGAGAAAAATTGTAAAACTTTAATTAAAGAAATCAAAGAACTAAATAAATGGAGAGAGATTTTATGTGGATAGAAATATTCTGTTTTCAAGATGTCCGTTCTTCTGAACTTCGTCTATAGATTCAATGCAGTCCCAATCCAAATCCCAGTAAGTTGTTTTGTGGGTATTGACAAACATTTTAAAGTTTATATGGAGAGGCAAAAAGACCCAGAATAGCCAACTCAATATTGATTGAGAACAACAAAGTCACAGGATTGACACTACCTTTCTTCAAGGCATACTATAAAGCTACAGTAATCAAGAAAGTGTGATATTAGCAAAAGAACAGACTTACAGCAACTGTTCTTATTAGCAAAGGAACAGTTTACAGCAAAACTGTAAAACTTAGAGGATAACATGGGAGAAAATGTAGATGACCTTCTGTTTGGCGATGACTTCTTAGTTGCAACACCAAAGGCATGAACCATAGACGAAATAATTGATAATCTTTACTTCATTAAAATTAAAAATTTTGCTTTGTGAAAGACACTATAAAGAATGAAAAGAGAAGCCACAGACTGGGAGAAAATATTTGCAAAAGACGTATCAGATAAAGGACTGTTACCAAAAATGTACAAAGAAATCCTGAAACTCAACAATAAGAACACAAACAACCTGATTTTAAAATTGGCCAAATATCTTGACACCTTACCAAAGAAGATTACACACAAGCATATGAAAAGATGTTCTACATCATATGTCATCAAGGAAATGCACATTTAAAACAATGAGATACCACCACACACCTGTTAGAATGGCCCAGATCCAGAACACCAACACCACCATTTGCTGGTGAACATGTGGAATTCTCATTCATTGCTGGTGGGCATGCAAAATGGTGTAGCCACTTTGGAAGACAGGTGAGCAGTTTCTTACAAAACTAAGCACACTCTTACCATGAGATCTGGCAATTATGTTTCTTGATATTTACCCAAAGCAGTTGAAAACATGTCCACCCAGAAACCTGCACATGAATGTTTATAGCAACTTCAGAATTGCCAAAACTTGGAAGCAACCAAGGTGTTCTTTATTTAGGTGAATGGATAAATAAACTCATACTTCTAGACAATGGGATATTATTCAGTGCTATAAAGGAATGAGCTGTCACATCATGAAAAGTCATGGAGGAGCCTGAAATTCATCTTACTAAGAGAAAGAAGCCAATCTGAAAAGACTGCATACTGTATATTTTCAACTATCTGCTGTTTTGGAAAAGGCAAAACTAAGAAGACAGTGGATTGGAGGGGAGGGAGGGATGAATAGGCAGAGCAGAGAGGATTTTTTGGGGCAGTGAAACTACTCTATAATGATGGTTACATATCATCATCTATTTGTCCAGACCCACAGAACGTACAACACCAAGAACGAACTCCAATGTAAATTATGGACTCTGGGTAATAATGATGTACCAATGTGTGTTATCAGTTGTAACAAATGTACACTCTTGTTGGGGATGTTGATAGTCGGGGAGACAAGACAGGGAACATATGCGAAATCTCTTCCTTCTGCTCAGTTTCATTGTGAACACAAAACTACTTTAAAAAGTAAAGTTTATTTTAAAAAGAGGAGGTCTTAGGACAGAACCTTAGAGAATTCTTAATATTGAGGAACTAGCCTTAGAATAGTTCTGCTCTTCCTTGTGAAAATAATTAACTTAAATATCTGCTCTGAATATAAAACTGAACATAAGCTGTTTTTGAGTAAATTTTCTGTAGGCAAATGATGAAATAATTTTTTTTTACCTGTTTTCTGATATAATGACCCTTAGCATTCATACTTTCAACAGTCTCAGCTTTGATACTCAGAAACAACATGGAGAGCCAGAGAATATAGTAATTTGTTATTTTGCTGAGGCACAAATTCAAACCACATTCACTTTAAGACTCCCGTTTGGGAGAGTAACTTAGCTCTTGAGCAAGCTTACCATTCCTTTGTGTTATCCTCTGCTCCTCATCTCTTACTTAGTGACACCTGAAGGATGTGAAAGAATTACGTATATTTGTTCATTAGTTTCATGCATATTAATTGGGAAATTCCATGTAGTATTGGTGAGTTTGAGGATTAACAAAGATTTGTATTGGGCCACATATCTTGAAAATACCAAGGATGTACTATGCCTATTGTAAATTAAATTTGGCTTTGTCTCCTAGCATTAGAATTTTTTATGACCAACACTAGGAGTTTAGTTATGATAGGGGAAAAAGGATAAATATTTGAGTACCTTGTTTATATAAGAATAACTTCTTTTTTTTCTGCTTAGGGAAGCATTCAGTGGAGATCTTAATAAGGATTGACTTTTCTTGGTAACAGAATTGATATCAGTGGTACATGACATCTATGCAGCCAGACACAAATCTGAACTCGTTGGACCCTAAATAAGTGTTTAAATATTTGTTATATTTCCCAAAATGATTGGTTTGTAAGATGGTTAATAGTAACTTATGCAAAAGTCCAGAAATTAGGTGTTCTTATTCACTGAGAAAAGTCTGCCTTAAAAATTAAACTTTTTTTTTCTGATATTAAGAGCACTATGAAAATATATAGAATAAAAAGTAGAAGCTATCTTCTGCCCACTGGGTAGAAGTCGGCTTATCCTACATTGGGTGTTAATCCTTACATTTTTCCATGCATTTCTATACATGTATGTACAGATGTACAAACATCATTTTAGGGTTTAATTTGTTTTGTTTTCCCTTAGTGGGGTAATACAATAAGTATTATTTTCCAACTAGCAGATTTTTTTTTTTTTTTTTTTTACTGCAGCATTTCTCAGAGTTTGCATTATGCCTTGTGCATTGTGAATCTCCAAAAATGGGATACATGATACTGCATTTGTCAACTTGACCATAGAAACCTCTTATCCAGGAGCCTCTTATAGAAACACTGGTTTGGGGAGTATTGATTTGCAGTTTTTGCCTAGTATCTGGGAAACAGGGTGGTGATTTTGCTTTATGATCCAGTTAATGGTGAGTCACTTTATAATATAAAATTATTTCACATTTGGCCTTTTTGTTTAGATCTGTTAGTCAAGTGTATTGGTGAAGAAACCAAGTATGAAAGCATCAGACTTCTGTTTGATGGCTTACAGCAACCAGTACTCAACAAGCAGGTAAAGCTCATTAAAGCTCGTAAACTCATGCTGGCTAGGTTTGGTGAACGACGTAGTAAGGTGTCTGGTAACTCATTAGTTGTATAAATGACACTATACTAAACCAAGGCAATATAATTTTAAACATTCAGATAGAAAAAAAGTTTTATTTGAGTTACTCTTTTTGTTTCAGTTTTTTCTAAATAAGATGAATTATTTTGATTTAAAATTAATATATAGTAATTGTAGAAAATTTGGCATAGAAAATTCATGAAATACAGTAAAAAATTAAAAATGGATAATTCCATTATTCAAGTCACATAGAATAACCAGTTAACATTTTTATGTTTATGGTTTATGTAAACTATGTATAAGCTTTATATATTCTGTTGAGATCTCAATACAGTTGTGATTTTGTGTTCTTGTTTTTCTAAAAATTCAAATATTTAACATAAAAATGAATTAATGAGGCATAATGAAAGTGTCCTCATGCAAACACATGTGTACTTATTACCTATTTTGAGAATAGAACATTATTGATACTACTGAGGCTACTTTTGTGCTTGTTTTATATTATCAGTCCCATTCCCTGCCTTCCCACTTAGAGGTAACCACAATCTTTAATTTTGTGTGTATCATTTTTATGGTTTTTGTGTTTAGTGCCTTAACATTTATTATTATTATTTTTTGGTGCTTTAGCTGACTTATGTTTTATTGGACATTGTGATACAGGAACTGTTTCCAGAGCTCAATAAGGTAACTGAAAAGCAGTAATTTTATTCATGATTTTCTTAATGGTATGCTGACATTTATTTTAATTAGGGACATAAATGTAAGAAAACCCTTGTCTCTGTTCTCTGTGGTTCTTTAAAAAATTAACCTCAGCAAATTGCCTTTTGTATTTTCTTTATTAAACATGCCCAAACAATTCTGGGGGACAGCTATTGAATAGCTTCTGCTTTGACTTCATCCCTTTTTAATTACAAGCAGATAGGGACCCTATATAGTCTTTCCAGGGGAAGAAGTGAGTGTAAGTCCTAGCACTAGAATAGGCCAAGCTCAGTGTTATCGTCTGCACCATTGTATGCTGTGTAAGTCAGAAACTAGAGTATTTTTGAAGCAAGTTTTATGTAAACCCAAGCACAAAATGAACTAAAATTAGAGCATGGTCATATTATTACTATGTTGAATCTTGAGGATTTTGAGTTTTGAGCAAAGGTTTAAGTCATTATTTTCTGTCTTATTTTTTGACTAATCCTTTTGGTTGGATGAAACAACTGTTGTTCAGTGCTGTGGTATTGAAATGAAGTGTGACTTTTGTAGAGTAGAGGAAACCAGATTTGGGCTATTTACTTATTATAAACTTTCAAGTTGACTGGGCACGGTGGCTCACGCCTGTAATCCCAGCACCTTGGGAGGCCAAGGCGGGGGGATCACGAGGTCAGGGGATCAAGACTATCCTAGCTAACACGGTGAAACCCTGTCTCTACTAAAAATAGAAAAAGTTATCTCGGTTTGGTGGCAAGTGCCTGTAATCCCACCTACTCGGGAGGCTGACACAGGAGAATCGCTTAAACCTGGGAGGAGGAGGTTGCAGTGAGCCGAGATCATGCCATTAGACTCCAGCCTGGGTGACAGAGTGAGACTCCATCTAAAAAAAAAAAAAAATTTTCAAGTTATTGTGATATTAAGTGCATATTAAAACAGAGTGGCAGTTACAGACTTTGTATCTTTAATTTTCATGGGAATCAACAACAGGAAACCTTTAGCTCTGTTTGAGACTTCATAACAGAGCTGTCATTAAACGTTGCCTTTTTTCTCATATCTAGAACATAGATATTTCTCACTCCATATGCCAGCCAATTTATTTTGGTTTACAATATATATGTCTTAGGTTAGAATTTTAATACACTAGAGCTGTTAGGCAATTTACAAATGAACCTGTGTCTTGTCTTCTATTAAATGGATTTATTTTTACTTTAGGTACAAAAGGAAGTTACCTCTGTGACATCTTGGATGTAAACACTTGGATTTGGTATAGAATAACCCATTGAAATTTCTGCTGTGCGAGGGTGGTAGAAATTTACTTTTTTGGGTATATTCTTATATATATTATGTACATCGCTGTCTGAAATTTTAGTTATTTTTTGTTTTTAATAAAGACTAACACAAACTTAATGATTAAAAGTGATTGAGTCTCATAGTCTTTCATTTGCTAGCTGTGATCCAAATTTTATTAGAACATAAGTCACTTGTTATTGCCATTTTTAAAAGAGAAAATTCATAATGATGTTATGGCAAACAGATAAGACTGATAAACTTCGTATTGTATAGCTTTGAAAATAATTATGCCTAGTATGGAGAAACAGGAATAAGATCTGATTTTCTTAGAGTTAATATATTTTAGTAGATTGGTTTTCCTTTTTTTTATTTTGTACATAGTTAACTGTGTATCTATAAATAAAGCATCCTATATGAGTTTTTAATAATAAACAAGGGATTTGTCCTTATTCTTTCTGGGTGTCTGACGGGTTGTAGCCCTGTTCAGTTTGAAAACTGAATACTTACAGATACTCGTGATTGTGTGGTTGCCTCTAAGTTTCACTGAATTGTCTGTAACTATCAATATATTCCCAAAGCTCATACAAACAATTTAGGCAAGTAGATTTTTGGTTTTTGTTGTCTGTTATCTCTTCAAAAGAAAAATGTAGAATTACTTATACTTCTTGAAAGTTAACTTAAAAGATTATTTTTAAAGAATCAGTGTTTCAAAATTTTTGCAATTCCTTACCATGTCGTGCAGTTATCCTTGAAACAAGTTTGTCAAGATTGAGCATTTTGCATTAGGTTATTGGCTCTAGTGTTTATTCAGAGTATTTATTGAGCATCATCCATGTATTAGACACTAAGCTGGGTAATGTGAGAACACTGAATATAATTTAGAAAACTAACAAATTTAATTATACCATTCATTAATTTTTCTGAAGATTTCAAAAAATGATTGTTAGGTGTTACAAATTTTTTTGAAAGATTTTCTTAGCAGTTCTATTATATTTTTAAATACTTGAAAGTTCTAGGATATGTGAGTTTCCATGAATCAATGGTTTAATACCAAGCCCTAATAAACAGTTACTGATTTCTCAGGGGCAGGTGGGAAATTGATCAAACGATTCACATTTAAATCCATAGCATTTTGAATGTTATTATTTAAAATGTTATAGGTAAACTGGAAAAATAAAATACTTTACAGACTTTTTTATGTCATCCTTACCTATTCTCCTTTAAATTGTGATATTCTCTTTATTAAGATAAGAAAAAATTTGTGGGTGTATCATGTCTACTCGAGTTGCCATAACAAAACACTACGCAATGGGTGGCTTACACCACAGAAATGTGCTTCTCACAGTTACGGAGGCTGGGAAGTCTAAGATCAAGGTGCCAGCAAATTAGGTTCCATACTGAGGCCTATTCTCTTGGCTTGTAGGTGGCTGGCTTCTCGATATGTGCTCACATGACCTCTTGTGCACATGTGGAGAGGTAAAAATAAATCTCATTCTTTCTTCCTCTTCTTAAAAGGCCACCAATCCTGTTGAATTACGGTCTGACTCTTCAGACTTCATTTAACCTAAATTACCTCCTAAAGGCTCTATCTTCAAATATAGTCATATTGGGATTTATGGTTTCAGCATATGAATTTTAGGAGGATATAGTTCAATCCATAACAGTAGGTGAGCTCTATTTAAAGAAGATGTTATGTATAAAAGACTGAAGAAACAAATGAGTCTGTACATATAAAATTAATAAATCACATTGTGAAAGGGGAAAGGAATTAAAATACAATCCCTATTTAATTTGCCAGGCATTTTATATATATCATCACAGCAACTCTGAGGTAGTGTTTCTTCTATTTTATAGGTGAGGACATGGGGGCTTGAAAGAGTGGTAAAATTAGAATTTGAACTTAATATCTCTAGTCTGCATGTTCTTGTCAATGTTGCACCATGAAAGGAACTTGTTTTCAGATGTAGTCACTCTCTGGATCCCTTTAAAAAGTATGCTTCCTGATTTATTTCAAAAATTTACTTTGCACATTCCTTTCTATTCATTTTTGTGTGTGTCCTCTAGTGTATGAGCTTCATGAAGAACACATTTTTAAATGTGTTTACATAAACAGAGCTGTCAGTTTTTCTGGTTAGGGGAGATACAATGCAGTTAAATATATGAGAAAACACTTTGAAATTTATAAAGAACATTGTAAGATTGTGTTAAAACTATTAAATTTTTTTTTCTTCAACTTTTAAGTTCTGCGGTACATGTGCAGGATGTTTGGGTTTGTTACATAGGTAAACGTGTGCCATGGTGGTTTGCGGCACAGATCAACCCATCACCTAGGTATTAAGCCCAGCATCCATTAGCTATTCTTCCTGATGCTCTCCCTTTCCCTGCCACCTCCTGGCCCCCAACCACAGGCCCCGGTGTATGTTTTCCCTGCCATGTGTCCATGTGTTTTCCTTGTTCAGCTCCCACTTGTGAGAACATGCAGTATTTGGTTTTTTCTTCCTGCGTTAGTTTGCTGAGGATAATAGTTGCATATTAGAAGATTCTGTGAAGTGATTGAAAGCATTTAAATTACCATTTATTGACTTCCTAAAAAATGTTATATTTTTACAATAGAAGTATAAACAGAAGTCTAATTTGCCCACTGTTGTTCTTAGCAGACTGTATAATGACATAGGTACCAGTTATAATTTCAGATACAATCAACATGAGAGTAAAAAATGACTGACTGAATGAAGAAACAAATGAGTATGTCTTCTTAGTCCACTGTACAATAGTACTCCTTTATTTTTCCTGATGCTCTCCCTTCCCCTGCAGTTTTGCTTTCCAAGGTTTCAGTTACCCAAGGTCAACCAAGGTCTGAAAATAGGTGAGTACAGTATAAATATTTTGAAAGACCCCACTCACATAACTTTTGTTACAGTATGTCATTGTAATCGTTCTATTTTGTTAATCTCTTACTGTGCCTAATTTTACATGAAATTTTATAGGTATGTATAGGAAAAAACAGTATAGTCATGCGCTTCATAATGATGTTTTAGTCAATGATGGATTGCATATATGACAGTGGCCCCATAAGATTGTAATGGAGCTGGAAAATTCCTGTTGCTTGGTGATGTAGCCAACTAAATGTCATAGCACAACATTTGTGGTGATGCTAGTGCAAACTAAACCTACCATATTTCCAGTCACATAAAATTCATAATAAACCACTGTGTTACTGGCTTATATATTTACTGTACTTTTTAGCATTACTTTAGAGTGTACTCCTTCTACTTATAAAAAAAGAGTTGACTATAAAACAGCTCGAGATAGGTTTTTCAGGAGGAATTCCAGAAGAAAGCATTGTTATCTTAAGAGAGGACAGCCCCATGCACGTTACTGCCCCTGAATACCTTCAGTGGCATAAGATGTGGAGGTGGAAGACAGTGATATTGATGATCCTGTCCCTTTGTAGGCTTACGCTAGTGTGTATGTGTCTTAGTTTTTTGTTTTTTAAACTTTTATGAGACAGGGTCTCTCTTTGTTATCCAGGCTGGAGTGCAGAGGCGTGATTGCAGCTCACTGCAGCCTCAAACTCCTGGGCTCAAGGGATCTTCCTGCCTCAACCTCCCAAGTAGGCAGATTCCCAGGTGTGAGGCTGAGGTGGGAAGATCCCTTGAACTCAGGAGTTTGAAACCAGCCTGGGAAACACAGTGACACCCTTTCTCTGCAAAAAAAGAGGAAAATTAACCGGACATGGTGCCACATCGCTGTAGTCCCAGCTACTCATGAGGCTGAGGTGAGAGGATTACTTGAGCCTGGGAGGTCGAGGCTTCAGTGAGCAGTGATTGTGCCATTGCACTCTACCTTGGGCAACAGAGTGAGACCCTCTCTCTAAAGAAATTAATTAAAGAAAAATAAATTTAAAATTAGAAAAAAAGCTTATAGTATAAAATATAGTAAAAGAAAATACTTTTGTACAGCTGTACAATGTGTTTGTGTTTCAGGCTAGGTATTATTACAAAAGCGTCAAAAAGTTAATGCTACTCTCACTCATTTGCATGTTGTGGGCTTTCCTGAATAGGATGGGGATGGGTAGAATTTTAAGCAGTGATCAGATAATCAAGGGACCAGCAGCCTGCGTTATCAGTGCTGTAGTTCTAGAGAACAGCAGTTACTGAAGTTACATTACTAGTTTGTTCCTTATCACTTCTATTCTCCAGTAGTAGATGGGATCTCTTTCACAAAGAGATAGTTTTACCTAGAGATAGATTTTTCTTTTTTTTTTTCTTTTGAGACAGTCTCACTCTGTTGCTCAGGCTGGAGTGCAGTGGCATGATCTCGGCTCACTGCAGCCTCTGCCTCCTGGGTTCAAGCGATTCTCCTGCCTCAGCCCTCTGAGTAGCTGGGACTACAGGCACCCGCTACCACCCATGGGTAATTTTTGTATTTTTAGTAGAGACAGGGATTCACCATGTTGGTCAGGATGGTCTCAAACTCCTGACCTTGTGATCTGCTCATCTCGGCCTCCCAAAGTGCTGGGATTATAGGCATGAGCCACCCTGCCTGGCCTCAGAGATAGATTTTCATTGAGGAATAAGGCAAGGCTAGATGAAGAAGACTTAAGCAGATTAATGGTACATCTATGTTGTAAATGAGCAGGAATGATGCTATTTGTATTTCTTAGTGTGACACAAAATTTGTGATCACATAATCACAGTTTCACAATGTGATGAGTTATTGAAATTTTCAGGAGCACTGTTTGTATTAATGCTAATAATATAAAGTCTGTGCATTGTGATTTTACCAGTAAAATAAAACATATGTTTATCCTTCAAATGTATAGCCTTCCTTACTTCATCTGTGGAGTTTAGAGCTGAACAAAGAATCAACATCCAATTAAGAACATCAAGCTCAGTTAAAAATTTGATTAGTCATATTTATTTATTGCTATAAAATAATACTTTGAAATATTTTAGGGGCTGATTTCATTACTCACATGCTTACAGATTATTTAATGATTTGTCTTACCGAAAAAAAGGTTATTTTGTTTACTTCTCTGGCATTTTTGACTTTCATGGAAGTCTGGATATCTCACAAGTGAATATACATTATTGGAGGGGGAAGGTTAAAGTGTAGTTTTTAAGAAAGACTTAGAAGGTACTTTTTTTTGTTTTTAACGTTATTTTTTTACATGTTTTTGTACATGAATTCATATTCATTTTCATAGGGGCCGTTTTTGGGTAATTTATAAAGAAAAGGGGTTTAGTTGGCTCATGATTATGCAGACGGTTCAGGAAGTATGGTGATGGCATCTGCTTTGCTTCTGGGGAGGTCTCAAGAAACTTATAATCATGACTGAAGGCAAAGGGGGAGCAGACACATCACATGGCCAGAGCAGGAGCAAGAGAGAGAGAGCAGGGAGTTGCCACACACTTTGAAAAGACCAGTTTTTATGAGAACTTACTGTCACTAGAACAGTACCAAGGGGATGGTACTAAACCGTTTATGAGAAATCTACCTCCATAATCTAGTGACCTCCTACTAGGCCCCACCTCCAATGCTCAGGATTATAATTCAACATGAGATTTGGGTGGGGACACATATCCAAACTGTATCAGAAACCAAAAGGCTGGAGTTCATTCCTCAGTCAGCCTTCTATCTTTATAAATTTGGACTTGAACCAGGCTCAGCAATTTAGATGTTCCCATCTCTATGTAGGCAACAAACCAAGGCACAAGAATAGTCTAATGTCCTGGGTTTTAGCTGTGAACCCAGCAGCTCTCCAGCCTTAGTCTGGGACCTGCAGCAACAGGGCTGTGTACTAAGACTGTTCTTGTGGTGGGATTTTAGCCATGCCTCACTTACCTTGCTGTCCATTTTCTGGGATAGCTTTCCAAGTTGCTTGATTTGGGGAGCAAGCTAATACCCTTCTGATAATGTCTCTGTTTACAGAATATATTTTTTTCCAACCAAGTATCCTAATGAATAATGAGCCTAGTATAATTTTCACTGTTGTAACTAATATGCCAGCCATCCTTGTCATGGATTAGAGTTAATTATTTTTAGATTCTAGCTAGCTTATTTGTTAACAATGTCTTTCATGATGTATTTAATTTAGGTTCTTAGAGGCCTCAGAGGCACTACTCACTAGAAATTTGAGATCCTCCCAATTTATTATAAAACTCCAAAGCTCCTTTTTGATTGCATTGGATAACAAAACTGGTTCCTTTTGCTGTATAGGAGCTAAAGGAGCTTAAAATGTCTTCTATTTTATCAGCAAAAAACAAAAAAAAAACAACACCATGAATTATAACCTCTCATTTACAAAGTATATAGGACACAGAGCTGCAGGTTGCCCCAGGGCTGCTGCAGCTGATTATGGAGTTGTACTGAGGACTGGTAATCAGTTGAATTGTGTCCTCCAAAGAGATCTTGAAGTCCTGTCGGGGGGACTTCCATCCTAACCCCCCAGTAACTAAGAATGTGACCTTATCTGGAAAGAGGTTTTTGCAGACAATTAAGATGAAGTCATTATAGAGCGGGCACTAATCCTGTATTATTGATGGCCTTATAAAAGGGAGATTTGGACACAAATATAATCATGTAAAAAAAGAGGATGTAAAGACATGGAGAGAATACCATATATAAGCCAAGGATGCCTTAGGCTAGAGGCTACCTGGTGCTAGGAAAGAGGCATGGAAGAGTTTCTCTGTCACTGCCCTCAGAAGAAACCAACACTGCCAGCTTGACCACAGACTTCTAGCCTCCAGAACTGTTAGATTATACATTTCTGTCATTTAAGCCAACCAGTTTGTGGTACTTTATTGTGGTGGCCCCAGGAAACGAATACAGGAACATTTACCTAATCTTGGCAAGCAGTTATGGCTTCTTGCCAAACCAAACATCCATAGGACTACATACTCACAGAGGTAGCAACTTCTTCTGAAGGACACCTATTAGCAGCCTAAACTTTCCTCTAAGAAACCCAGCCTACTCTTGTGTCAGACTGCTGAAGGCAGCTACTTATATAGCCTGAATGTTTATTTTCCCCCAAACTCTGTATGTTGAAACCTGATCATGAATGTGATGATGTTGGAGTTTGGGCCTTTGGGAGGTGATTGAATCATGAGGGTGCTGAATGGGGTTAGTGCTTCCTATAAATGAGGCCCCAAAGTCACCTGGCCTCTTCCATCTTCTGATGACACAGTCAGTTGGTGCCGTCTATGAATCAGGAGGCAGGCCCTCACCAGACACCTGCTAGTGCCTTGCTTTTGGATTCCCCAGCCTCCACAACTGTGAGAAATAAAATTTCTGTTATTTATAAGCTACCCATTCTATTGTATTTTGCTATAGCAGCCTGATATCGTTTGGCTGTATCCCCACCCAAATCTCATCTTGAATTGTAGCTCCCATAATCCCCATGTGTCTTGGGAGGGATCCGGTGGGAGGTAATTGAATCATGGGGGTGGGTTTTTCCCATGCTGTTCTTGTGATAGTGAAAGTCTCATGAGACCTCACGGTTAAATAAAGGGCAGTTCCCCTGCATATGCTCTCTTCTCTGCTGTTATGTAAGATGTGCCTTGGCCCCTCCTTCACCTCCTGCCATGATAGGCCTTCTCAGCCACATGGAACTGTGAGTCCATTAAACCTCTTTTTCTTTACAAATTACCCAGTCTTGGGTATGTCTTTATTAGCACCGTGAGAATGGACTAATACAGTAAATTGGTACCAGTAGAGTGGGTTACTGCTATTAAGATACCTGAAAATGTGGAAGTGACTTTGGAACTGGGTAACAGGCAGAGGTTGGAACAGTCTGGAGGGCTCAGAAGAAGACAGGAAGATGTGGGAAAGTTTGGAGCTTTCTAGAGACTTGTTGAATGGTTTTCACCAAAAAGTCCAGGCTGAGGAGGTCTCAGATAGAGATGAGGAACTTACTGGGAACCAGAGCAAAGGTGATTCTAGCTATGCTTTAGCAAAGAGACTGGTGGCATTTTGCCCCTGCCCTAAAGATCTGTGGAACTTTGGACTTGAGAGAGATGATTTACGATATCTGGCAAAAGAAATTTCTAGATGGTAAAGCATTCAAGAAGAAGCAGAACATAAAAGTTTGGAAGATTTGTGCTCACTTCAGTGGCACATATACAAAAAAAAAAAATTGAAAGATTTGTAGCCTGACGATGCAATAGAAAAGAAAAACCCATTTTTGCGGGGAGAAGTTCAGGCCTGCTGCTGAAATGCACATAGGTAAGGAGAAGCCAAATGCTGATCATCAAGACAATGGGGAAAATGTCTCCAGGGCATGTCAGAGACCTTCATGGCAGCCCCTCCCATCATAGGCCCAGAGGCCTAGAAGGGAAAAATAGCTCCCTGGGCAAGGTCCAGGCACCCCCTGCTGTGTCCAGCCTAGGGACTTGGTGCCCTGCATCCCAGCTGCTTTAGCTCCAACCGTGGCTAAAGGGGGCCAAGTTGCAGCTTGGGCTATGCCTTCAGAGGGTGCAAACCCCAAGCCTTGGCAGCTTCCATGTGGTGTTGAGCCTGCAGGTGCACAGAAATCAAGAATCAAGATTTGGGAACCACCTCCTAGATTTCAGAGGATGTATGGAAATGCCTGGATGTCCAGGCAGAAGTTTACTGTGGTGGCAGGGCCCTCATGGAGAGCCTCTGCTAGGGCAGTGTTGAATGGAAATGTGGGGTTGGATCCCACATACACAGTTCCCACTGGGGCACTACCTAATGGAGCTATGAGAAGAGGGCCCACTGGGGCACTGCCTAATGGAGCCATGAGAAGAGGAGCTGTTAGAAGGGGGCTGTGAGAATGGTAGATTCACCAACAGCTTGTACCATGTGCCTGGAAAAGCCACAGGCAGTCAACGCCAGCTCATGAAAGCAACCAGGAGGCCAGGGGCGGGGTGGGGGCGTCTATACCCTGAAAAGCCACAGTGACGTAGCTGCTCAAGACTGTGGGAACCCACCTCTTGCATCAGCATGACCTGGATGTGAGACGTGGAGTCAAAGAAGATCATTTTGTAGCTTTAAGATTTGACTGCCCTGCTGGATTTTGGACTTGCATGGGGCCTGTAGCCCCTTTGTTTTGGCCAATTTCTCCCATTTGGAATGGCTGTGTTTACCCAATGCCTGTACTCCCGTTGTATCTAGGAAGTAACTAGCTTGCTTTTGATTTTACAAGCTCATAGGTGGAAGGGATTTGCCTTGTCTCAGATGAGACTTTGGAATGTGGGCTTTTGAGTTAATGCTGGAATGAGTTAAAACTTTGGGGTACTGTTGGGAAGGCATGATTGGTTTTGAAATGTGAGGACATGATATGTGGGAGGGGCCAGGGACAGAATGATATGGTTTGGCTGTGTCCCCACCCAAATCTCATCTTGAATTGTAGCTCCCATAATCCCCACGTGTCATGGGAGGGACCTGGTGGGAGGTAATTGAATCATGGGGACAGGTCTTCCCCATGCCGTTCTTTTGATAGTGAATAAGTCTCATGAGATGGTTTCATAAAGGGCAGTTACCCTCCATGCATTCTGTTGCCTGCCTCCATGTAAGATGTGCCTTTGCTCCTTCTCCGCCTTCTGCCATGATTGTGAGGCTTCCCCAGCCATGTGGAACTGAAAGTCCATTAAACCTCTTTTTCTTTATAAATCACCCAGTCTCGGGTATGTCTTTATTAGCAGCATGAGAACGGACTAATACATAGCCCAAACAAAGACAGCTAACGTGGTTTAACGTGTCTGACTGATTGAGGTATAACGAAACCAACTCATTGTGTTATTAGTGTACTTGAGGAAGATCTTAGGCACACAGCCAGTACAGGCAAATTAAAATCCTCAACATTAACTTGGAAGTGTTTATTTGTAGGAATCAGTACTGGCCTCAAAACCATTTTTATATCAGATTCTGTATATCAAAGCCACCAAATTTAGTAGTCTTCCTTAAAATACCACTCACTTTTCTCTCCTACTTAAAAATTGGATGCATTTTTCTTCTCATTTTAGGGGTGTGAGGGGCTATGGAGGGTTATCAGATGGTAAGTGGCTTATGATCAAGAGAAATGATACCAGTGAAAATCTGTCAGAGTTTTCCTTCAGTCATATTGTCTTTAGTTGGCAGGTGTTTGAATGAGAGAAGAAATAACTATCAAAGACCAAAGAGCTTATCTTCAATTTTATTGTTGGGAATCTACAATTGCAAAGTGGTTCAAAGTCATTTCTTATACCACTTCACAATACACACACAGATTTAGGAAACTTAAAAAAAGTTCTTTAAAAAATTCTAATAGGATTTACCCTATTTTACTGGCCAAGTGTAAAAAATAAACCCTAAATGTGACTTTCTCTAATTTTCCTTGTACAATCTTATTGACATTTTTTATAGCTAATCCATATATGCATAGAACCGAGGCTATTATTTTGCTGCAACAACTTTTATAAAAAGGTTATGAAGTTTAAAAGTATATTTTGTATCAAGAGTACTTAATATTTGTAAACACTAAGAAACAAACATACTTCCTATCAAAACCTCTAGCTGCCATTTGCACACTGTTTTTAAGGTGAAGCCTCCCATTTCTTGAATTACTTATGCAGAGCTGAGCAGGCTCATGTGGTTCCACTCCCACGTTAAGTATTTGTTCTTTGGGCATAGGTCATTTCATCAGCATGGGTATTTTCTGACCACCCACTCAGAGGGTCCCACTTTCCAGCAGAAGTTCTCATATCTGGGCTTAAGAATGATTTACAGTGACTGTTCAGATTTGGAGGCAGAGCGACTTAAAAAATGTATACCTCTTCCTAAAGTCATTTATTTTCTTCGAGAACTCTGGACATTCCATAACTGGGTGTGTAGTATGAGTAGAATGAATTCAGTGCTAGCCTCTTGCTGGAGAGGGACAAGTGCAGGTTTAGAATTACAGCTTATGTTAGAAGGTTCTCTTCTCATGATACCTTCATGTTAGAAGAAAGAGGACAGAGGCAGAGCTGATGGAATCTCATAAAATAACAGCTAATGCCGTGTGTCAGGCACTATGCTTAACAAGTATCTGTTTAACATGTGTAAATGCTCTTTAGCTCTTGCTTTTCTATAATATAAAACAGTCCTGGAGTCCTGTTCTTCCCCTTCCTTTCTCTCGTGTCCTTTGACTGTCTTTTGCAGCCTCTGGCCTTTCTCATTATCTACTACAGCTTGCTACCTGACTCATCAAAGGCACATGGGTGTTGCAAGAGAGGATGGTATCCTGTGTTTATACCATTAAACTTGCTATTATAACAGGAGCTATAAAGTGAAAAAATAGAGACAAGAAATAAAGCAGAGATTTGTCATCCATGAGCTTGGGGCTATTGATAATTATGAAGAGAGGAGATATTAAGTATTCTGAACAGTAACTTGATATAGTTGAGAATGCTGGACTTGAGTTCAAAAGACCTAGGTCTAGGTCTTGGATCTGTCAGCATTAGCTGTATGGTCAAGTCAACCCTTTTTGAGCTTCAGTTTTTTCATCTGACAGGTGGGAAAAACATCTCTCTTTCCTACCAAAAATAAGTTGTGGATATCAAATGAGACAGTGTGCTTAAAACTTCCTTGTGAATGATAAAATTTTATGTAAACATAAGCTGTTTGATGGATTAGAAATGGATATGAAGAAGAAAAATATGGTTTAAAATTGTTAGTAAAATTTCATTAAAATTTGGACACGTAAACTTAACATAGTTGGCTTTCTCCTTATAGGGCCCTATGTTAATTTTTTTTCTAACTCACTAGGTTGCTGACCCTGAGTAATCATGTCTGTCTCTTCATTTTATAATGCTCTAACCTTCAGCTTCTAGGAGCCTGTAAAGATGGTTTTTGCTGTCACAAAGCCAGGTCCTAAAAGGCAGATTTGAATCTCACTTGAAAAAATGCAGTTTCACACATTAAAGGCAAGGAGAATTTTTGGCTATTGGTATAAAACAAAGATCACTGCCCAAAGTGAAAGAAATATTAAAGAAAAGCTTCCATGGCAGTGACTTCCTGTGGAAAACTTGATCCGACCTTCAACTGCTGGATAAATTACTTTCATTTTGGAGATATATGTAGAAACCACGTTGATATCTTGGTCACCTAGAAAAACATATACATTATTTTAACTACAGAAAAGGTAATTATCAATCAACAGTAAGGTAGTCCTTTGTAATTATAAAAGGGAAGCAATTTCATAAGCAGGGGTAAAGTGTCACAGAAGACAAGAACGCTAGTGATCATAAGTACAAAGAATTTGATTGCTTTTTCATGCTCCAGATGTAAAATGTGTCTGTTGTTCAATATTGGGTAATTGGGGGAAGTAGAGTTGCCTCAGCTCTGTGATGACTCTAGAAAGAGGTCATTGACATCATAGCCTTTGAACCACTCCAGAACAAGGGCATTAGGGAACTGGGTCAAGAGCAATTAGTTGAGAGATAAAACTGGCTTCCTTTTGTTTGCCTGCCCAATAATTATTTTCATGTAATTGATGATGGGACTTGGGGGATTTCCTTTACCAAAGAGAGGAGAGGATAAATGCTAATTGCCTATAGCTACAACAAACCCATGTTTGTTGGGAACCCATGTTCTGTTGGGAACCCAACAGAATTTTATTTTAAAAATATCACTCCAGTACTTAAGAACCCTTCTCTCTTCAGTGGTTTTCACCTCTGGGTGTACACTAGAATCACTGAAAAAGAGTTTAGCCCCAATCCAGTTAACTTAGAATCTCTTAAGAGCTGCGGCCGAGCCATTGGTATTTAATTTAAAATGCTCCTGAAGTGATTCTAATGTATAACCAGTGTTGAGAACGCTTAGGTCCAGGGCTTCCTTAGCCTTCTGCATGAGCTCCTCTCTCTAACATCCTTCAGTCTAGGCTTGAGTGGTGGACAGCTGATGGCTATCAGCCTCTTTGTCTCATGGGGCTTTTACGCCTGCCCTTCCATCTTCTGTCACGGAAGGGACAGAAGAAGCCAGCACCTTTCCTCCCAGGAAGGGCTGCCTCCTTTGGTCTGGTCCTGCCCTCCACGCTCCTTGGAATAAGTAGCTAAAATGACAGGTCCAGCATGATAAGACTGAGGAAGATCCTGGTGGAACTACCCAGAGATGCCAAGAAGCTGCTTGTGTGTCTTGTAAGCATGCTGGTCTCTGCCCTAGGAAGAGGAAGGGGAAGTGTGTCCTATGTCAGTGGTCTGTATGCACATAATGTGACTCTCAACAGAATTTCTAAAAGTGAGGCTGGCATATAATGTCCCTCAATGCTGCCAGAAGTACCAACTGACATCAAGTATGGTTATTCCTATGATTTGTACCACCAACCCACTGTGCTGAAAGGGCGGCGCTCACCCCATCCACTTCTACCTGACTGATTCACACAGAAACTTCTTCAAGAAAGAAAATTTAAATGATTTAATGTGATGGTTTTCCATATCCTAAAATTCCAGAGGTGTGATATTTCTGTTAATGCAAAACTCACTTATATTTCACAATTTAAATAGCTGCTTAGATGTAGTTAAAAGAATTTTAAAACATTTTTGATTTACAAATGTTTTGTCTCTGGGGTTGGATGAAGGCATGTGTGTGCTCGGGGATTGACAGGGTACATATTCCTCTCTGCTGTGCTGTGCTGCTGCTTTCCAACAAGCAAAGCAGGAGGGAGTCAGCAATACAGGGAGTCACTTTGCCCTCCTGGCACCACTAGTAGCTCCCCTTCTTGGCCCAATTTTGTTGTTCTTTAGAGAAAGGAAGAGACAGTCATGCTTACCAGAGTCATGTCTTAATAATTCATCTTTTATCATCTGGAACCCATCTCCACCATTGGCCAGGAAGTTTGGGAGGATCACCTTATATACCTCGTCCATTTTGAGAGGGTCATAACTGGGCACTCGACACTTGGTGCAAAGAACATCTAATTTGACTACTCTGTCTCCAGGTTTTCGGGAAAGATCATACACCACATGGATTCCTAGAAAAGAAATGAATCTGTTTTCACCAGATCCAAAGGGAGATTTCTGTTTCCTAAGGAATTTTGGCCAAACTCTACAATTGGGGCATGGGGCTGTGGTTTTTCCTTTGGTTTAAACCTGAGTGAAATTTTGTCAAGAGAATTGTGACATTGCAGCCACCCTTTATCCTTGAGTCCTTACAGGACATATGAGAACCACTGGAAGGAAAACCAGCTCTGGACCAGAATAGGCAAAGGGTGACTCTACATGGACAAAACCACATCTTTTTCTGTTTTTCCCTTAAAATGCTGAATTGGTCTACTAAATTGATTCAATGGCCTTAGAAAGTGAGAAACAGATCAGAGGCAGAGAGCATTTTACAATTTTGAAGACCATTAAATGGTAATCATTTGGGATTTGGTGACTTCCACAAGGCATAGAGCTATGCAGTGCTTTGCTAGAGCATCAGAAAACTGCTTTTCCCTCAACTCCCTTCTGGGAAAATGGAGGATGTTTGGGTTGCCCCATAGGCATTAGGACAGGGCCCCACTGCCTTCTGTAGCCCTTCAGTCTCAACAGCAATGTGTTCTGCAGAGGAAAACTCAGGAAAGCAATTCTATCTGTCAAGCGGGACCACAACCTAAGGTTAAAAAAATGAGGCCAGATTATGATTTCCAGGTAAAATAAGATTGCTTTTAAAGGATTAATTCACTGGACTGTGGAATTATTAACAAAAGTGTTTCAGAAGCCCTTGGCAATTTAGGAAGCATTTATTTCCATTCAACTTTCACTGCAGTCCATGAGATAAACAGGAAAGGTTTTCTCCCTGTGCCCAGAGGGGTTGAGAACTTGCCCCAGGTCACAGTGGGACTAGAACCAGGTGTTCAGGTATGTCTGTGCAGTAGGCTGCTCCTTCCAGGAATCATCCTGGTTAATACAGATTGGACAGCATTCCTTTAAATCTTGGCATGGTTCCAGGCAACGATGAGTAGAACAGAGGAGAGGATTTAAAAAAAAAATAATTGAATGCTTAAATAAGATTTTATTAGAAACTAGACCTCAAAGCAGGTGACCTGCTTAGAGGGCCCATCTGATGTCCAAATCAGACTTGGCAAATACTGCTTATTGCCAGGGCTTTGGGGCTTTGGGGCTTTGACCCCAACCTAATCTTAGTGGCTCTGAGAGTCCACAGCCATTAAAGGGTAAGGTATTGGTGTTGGGTCGGGAAAAATCCAAACCAGTTTGACCACAGGAATTTTGGTGAAGGGGAAGCTGAGCCAACCAGCAGGAAATGCCATGTCACTTTGGATGGGCCAGCCCTACAGGATGGGTGACTTACCGCCCACCTGCAGGAACTCTCCAGTGGACTGGCCGTAGCGGTGCACGCTATGCTCAAAGGCCTTCTTCAGGGTGGAACCTTTTAACTGGACTAGGTCAAATGTGCCTCCAAAGGGCAATACAGCAGCCAGGTTCTCCCAGGTAATTGTGCCTGAGGGTAGTCACAGATGAGGCAAGAAGGAAAATAGCTTGAGAAAATGCTTACACCATGACCAGTTTCCCTCAGCGCTGGGGGAAGAAATGAGGGGGACATGGGAAGCTTATAGAGCATCATTAGCTATGTCTAAGTGGTTCCTGACACTGAGGAAGGGAATGAGTTTAGGAGGCCTCTGGCCCTGCACTCCACCACTGGGCAAGATGGCGGGAGCTCACAAATGGCTGTGCCTCAGAAGTTCACCATGCTCAGTCTTAGATCTGCTAGCTTGGGGCTGGATCTCCAGTAGTTTGTTTTGCATTGTTCCGTTCCTCCAGACAAACAATGTGCCCCTGCAACCTGTCCCTGTTGTCTGACAATGGGATGCGTTTGGGGCCTTATACTGATACTGATTGGTTTTCACAGTAAATCAGGGAGGGCTACAAGAGTGTCTTGAGTATTTGTGTAGTTGATTTGTTTTGCCATATGATATAATCTTGGATATCTGTAAATATACTAAGGTAACATTTTAATCCAGTGGTATGTCTTTTTCAGGACAGAAGATTGGTGATTTTGTCTCTTTTCAGATGCCAAGGTGGTGACTGTTGTTATTTTGCATAAATCAGAAACAACTAGTATAGCTTTGTAAGTCAGAAATTCAGACCAAGTTTGAGTTCCACTAACCTTACCTGCAGCTTCTGTGTGTGAATACATATAAGAACACACAAGCTTGTGTGTGTCCTTCAGGCTAGGTTTTAGACTTTAATAATGGCTAACCCTAATTTAAAGGACTGACATTCTGGTACATGGCTGGCAGCAGAGATGAACTGAGGCTGCACATGGGTGTGTTCAGGGCAAGAACCATAACAGAAAAGGAGATCAGAGAGAGAACATGACACACTGAGGAGCTGGGCCTGGGAGCATACCATTGTTGCGTTCATCAATGGGCGACCGGATACCACCTCCATTTAAAATGCACATGGATACGTGGTTCCAGAACATTTCATCCGTGTGTCTCAGGTTGTTGTTAATCTGCAACAGTAGCACAGATTTACACTAGTTACTCTGGCTCTTCTTCCTTAGGATCAGCTCCAGGAATCTGGTTAGCTCTAGTGAGGAAATAAAGCTGCTTTTCACCTGCTGCTGTGTTCCCAGGGATCTCTCAACTATAATTAGAACTAATTTTATGCTCCCAGAAGTAAAAATATACTGTTACCAGTCCATGTCAAACTCTTATTTCCCCCTCCTAAAACTCCCATACTGTCAGGCCAGGTGGCCTTAGCAAAATGGTCTCTCGGTTGTAGCCCTGGTGTCGGGACTGGGCCTCCCATGCAAGGTGGCCTGCAGAGTCACTCCTGCACAGGCTTCTCCAGGGCAGGCCATGCCCTCTGCCTGATTCTGAGGGCTTGGCCCTAGAGCCTGCTCAACACCAGACCTCATGCCAAAGAGAACCTGGCCTCCACGTCTATGTCTGCAGCTGATTCCCAAGTTGGCAATTTTGGAAAGACAGAGACAGCCTTTTGAAGCTGGGGAGAATCACATCCATTCTTACTTTTATTTTACAAAATATATGTTTAGTTATAAGAAATAAAATGAATATATTCTCATTTAGGAGACAAAAAGCCGAAAAAAAAAAAAAAAAAAGGCCAGGCATAGTGGCTCACACCTGTAAATCCCAGCACTTTGGGAGGCTGTGGCAGGTGGATCACCTAAGGTCAGGAGTTCGAGACCAGTCTAGCCAACATGGTGAAACCCCGTCTCTACTAAAGATACAAAAATTAGCTGGGTGTGGTAGTGGACACCTCTAATCCCAGCTACTTGGGAGGCTGAAGCAGGAGAATCGCTTGAACCCAAGGGACGGAGGTTGCAGTGAGCTGAGATCATGCCACTGCACTCCAGCCTGGGCGACAGAGCAAGACTCAGTCTCAATAAATAAATAAATTAATTAATTAAATAAATAAATAAATAAAAAGCAAAAGCTCTCCTTTGTCCTAGCCTCTTTAACAGAGTGGATAAGCACTGCCAACAGCCTGGGTTGTTTCCCTCCAGACTTCTCTTAACATTTATATACCAGCTTCTCCTTAACTACTTCTCTGGCATTGACTGCATGATGCTGAGGAGACATCATGAGTCTGGTCTTGGCATGAGCATGATTGTTGTCATTTACACGGCAAACATTTATCGAGTGCAGTTGTATCCTGGGCACTGGGCAATGCATGCCAAGCACTGACAGAAATGACTTCCCTGGGTGCAGGCTGTGAGCCCATGGAAGTAGTAGTCCGACATAGGAGACCTTGGCTCAGTAAGGCCCCCAGAGAGCTACCATGGCCATTCCGCCTGGTGACAAGTAGACGGGCTTGTTCTTCATACCTGGTCTTGCTCAGCCATAGGACTTGTTATTACCATTAAAACTGTGTGTTGTCTTTCTGTGCCTGTGAAAGAGGTTCCTGTCACACAAGGCCAGGGTTCTCTGGAGTCAAGTGAACAGATGAGTGAAAAACAGTCTGGCCAAACAGATATGCTTTTATCTATTATGTTGATATCTCCAGGGTAGCAGAGTTTGTGCATTTGCATCATCTTACAAAAGGAAAGCAACATCCAAAATTCAGACATCTAAGAACACCTTAAAATAAAGGTTTTAGTTCTTGTAAAGCAGTATGTTGGTGGTTACCTGATCTCCTTCCAGCACCTTAAGAAGGTACTGAGTATGAAGCTACATCAGGCTTTTGTTTAGGCACTAATGTTTTATTTATTTTTCATATTTATTTAATTTTAGAGACAGAGTCTCGCTCTTTTGCCCAGGCTGGAGTGCACTGGTGCAATTATAGCTCACTGCAGCCTCCTGGGCTCAAGCCATCTTCCCACCTAAGCCTCCCGAGTAGCTGGGACTATAGGCACATGCCACCACCCTGGCTAAAAATGTTTTGAAATCCCTCATTCTGTAGCTATCGATCTATCCCTTCTCGCATCCTTCCTTCCTCTTCCCTCTTCCTTTCCTTCCTCCCTAGCATATGTCCACTCCTGCTGATGACTTACCATTGCATCACAAATCAGGTTGCCCATGTTGCATTCTCTAAAGCGGCATGATTGAGAGGAGCCATCCAGATAGACAATTGTTTTCCCTAATTCCTGGGTAGAATAATTATCCAATTTTATCCTCCATTTGTTAATGTCTGCTTTTATGCTTGGATCTAGAAGAAAGAAAAGAAGGTACCCTACAATTAAATCTCACACTGGGCTAAATTCTGGAAAAGGAATGAAACATCATCTATCTTACTTGCTGTGAGAACATATTTGTTTACCATATTTGTGTGCATTTTGGTTTTGACCATGAAATTTCCTTAGGAACTTCTATTTTGTTTCCTGGTAATAAGACCTGGAATGCATCTTAATTTAAGAATATTCTGAACATCTACCAGCTCATCACATCTGTATGAGCTACCCATTGGCCCACCTGGGACAGCATTAGTGGTGGCGGTAGGAGCTCTGAAAGGCCCAGGGGCAGTTATAAAAGGCCTGCTGAGGTACAGCTGGGCTATCGCTGTCAGTGTGGTCCTGGGCCCCTTTCCCATCTGGCTACTGAGAGGGCTGTGTTGTGACTACAGGCTCACCTGGGTGCTGTGCACCTCATCTTCCTGACATGATCATAGTCAACAGAAAAGGGAAAGTGAGAGACAAGCACAGGAGTGTGTTCTGTACACATATGAAAATCAATGATATAAAAATGTATTTTTACTCTGAGACTCATGTAGGGAGACGCCCTGAAACTATTGCTACGGAATAAAAGATGAAATGCTCCTGATTATTGTAAATACAAAATTGCATGCAGGATTGTGTAAAGACAATGCCAGGTTGGACTGCCACAATGAGCCAACAGCACGTGATGTGCTTCCCCCTGCAGAGAGCCTACAAATGGACGTGCAGTCAGGGAGGTTTCCCATCACCAAGATTCCTATCCCAGAAAAGCAGATGTTCATAGCTCTGGGAATGGAATGTGACCCTTGTGGGGAGCCTATAAACGGACGCATGGGGGGGGCCTGTCCATATGGATAAGATAGGGCTATAAACACGCTCATCTTGCCGCCGCTCTTCTAGGCCTCTTTAGGGTTAAGGCGTACTCCCCTCTGAGAATTTCTGGTCTAACTGGTTATCTAGCTTCATGTCCTGTTTCCATGGATTATTTGTAACCAGTTTTTGTTGCAATTGTTACTGCTGATTAATATCTTGCTAATCATAGGTTATGGAAAGACTGTGTTTCTGTTCTAAGGCTCTGTTAGAAATTACTGACGCACACACTATATTGTAAATTCTTATCTCATACTGTACTTCTACATACAAATGTACTGTACTTCTACATACAAATGTTATGTTAAAGAATTACTTCATCCCCATGTGACCATCTCACCTCATAATCAAATGACCCTAAATCCCTCACTAACGTACCCCTGCCCTCACTAAACTTAATAATAAATGCTGGTATATCCAGTGCATTGTTGGCACCGCAGGACCAGAAGGCAGTGACCCCCCTGGACCCAGCTTTCACTATCTTGTGTGTGTCTATTATTTCTCAACCTGCCAATCTGCCTAGGAACAAAGAGAGAGCCCCATTGCATTGCGGGCTGCTGGCCAGATCCCGCAATAGACTCAGACATATAAATAAGGTACTCCCTCATTTGATAAAGAAACTGAGGCCCATGAGATTGGGCAACTTGCCTAAGGCACACTGCCTCTAGTTGGGGGGCCAGGACTTGAGCCCCGCTCTGCCCAATTAGAACCCCTTTAGTTCAGTTATCTCTCCTGTAAACACAAGCTGAGAGTGGCTTTGGCATGTCAGGATCAAGATTTTAAAAGGCAGAGGAAGCAGTGATGTATGGAATCTGATGCTGAGAAGACTTGAAGAAGCAAGTGGGGCTTTTGGCATTTGGGTGTGTTTTAAATCTATCCATGAAGAGGGCAAACTCAAGGAAGAAACTAAATTCTTCAACAGTATTATAGTCTTTTCCTGAAACATTAAAGGAAAAAAATGGGAAGGAGCAAAATATCCAGCCATCTAAATTTTAGATTGGTGGAACATTCCCCTGAACTTCACTTACCTTCAGGAATGCTGCTGTTTAGAAGAATGGGATTTCCATGGGAAGAGATGACGTTTCCTCTTTCATCAAACTCGATCTTCAGATAGCCTAGGTATTTGCCAAAAGCATAGGCCTGGACTACAGGAACCTTCCGCCCATCATCAGAAGTGACTATGAATGGGTACTTCCCAGCAGGCACCTCTTTGGAAGGTGGATTGCCTGAAATAAAAGAGCCACAGCTGATCAAGTCAGCCCTTGTACATACATGGCTGGCTGTAGGCCAGCGGGCTACTGGCTGGATGACAGAGTTTTAAATTGATGATTTGCCATCTGTTGCTCTACATAGCTAGTCTTTCAGAGCCCTATCTGGGCATTTGCCCATTTCCAAATGCCCTTTTGGTACATGAATCCTACCATTCTCAACTCAGCAGTCATTTACCAAGCTCTTCCTAAGACCCGGGCATTGTGCTTGTGCTGTGGGGCACACAAAGATGGAACGCCGTGAAGAGTATCCTCCAGGTTCACTGTGGCTCCATTCTCACTAGCCAGGTGGATTAGCCAAGCCACTTTACCATACTGTAGTTCAGTTTCCTTGCCTATAAGGTGGGCGAAATCCATTTTAAACAATCCCTATTTTACAGGGCAGCTGAGAGGATTAAATATCTAAACTCCCTAGCTGGGGTGCCTGGCACATTGTAGGTGCTCAATAAATATACAATAAGGGTGTATTTTTTCCCTTATAAGGGAATAGCAATCTCTAGAAACCCCAGACATATACTTCGGAGCTTAAAATCTTTAGTAGAAGATGCAGAGATGACAAAGAGCTGTTCTTGGCGTTTGCTGCTAAATTCTGCATCCCTTCAGGTGTCTTTTAGAAGAGCCACATTCACCTTGAGGGCCAACCAGCAGGCACACTCCTGACCCCAGCCAGCCCTCACACTGGTCAGGTTCTGCAGGCCTCTGTCTCAAAGGGGAGATGTGGGAGCTGCTCATCACCCAGAGGCTAGGAGGCCCACCACTGCCTGGAGTAGTGGAGAGTATGCAGGAGGGTGGAGAGTGTCGCCATACAGGGAGTAGGCAGCCCAGCCTTTAATCACTTAGCACATTTAAGTTCCTTAACTGTAGACCTGCTTCAGGCACTCTGTGGCTTATATCTTACCTCCAAGGAGACAATGGCACAGTTCAGCTGTTTCAAATTAGAGACTATGGGACAGATTCATTTGACCCCATTACTGTTTCTAGCATCTCCCTCATCACACCCATGGCTAGTCGTTCCTATTAGATATTTACAGAGGGTCCAGAGAACTTCAGCACATGTTGATTACACACATGGACCTGTTACGAGAATCGGCCATGAGCCAGGCCCTGGGCTTAATCTCATTTAGTCCTCCAAGCTTCCCATGGGGCAGGTCCTCTATTATCTGTACTCTGCAGACAAGAAAATTGATTGTCATAGACAGAGTACCCACGGTCACACAGCTGGTATGTGATGAGGGTTGGGAGGAGGCAGACTGAAAACCCAGGCTGTGAGGTACTGGAGCTTATGTTTTCTCCACTACCCACAAGCCTACCATGTATTTTTTTTCCCCTAAAGTCTGCAAGCTGGTTGTGAAAGGACACTTAACAAATCAAATGCAAACCCAGGATTTGCATCTTTGTGTCCCAAGCTCTTTCTGGGCTTCTCTTTTCACATAAGACAAGCTGGGTAGCATGTTATGAAGAATCCAATCCTGCCATGCTCCTATGTCAAGAGCAGCCCCCCTTTCAGCTCAATAACCACAGGGCAGAAGCACTGCAAATACCAACGCTTCACAAGCAGGAAATAGTTGTTGCCAATAGTAACATCCAATTTTCTTGCTGTCACTGGGGAAAAAAAAGAAAAAGGTCTTGGAACTTTACTTTTACAGAAGCATCCAACTTGAGATCCAGTGAAAGCCTTTGTTCCATCTCCATCTGTAGCGGATGCAGATGTTGTCTGTGACAGTGGCAGATAACGTGATAATGGAAGACCAGCATGGAAGGTTAACATCCTACTCAGCCTCATTCTGCTATGTGTTGGTCCTCCTTTGGGCAAACCTGGTGCCTGGTTTTTATTTCAGGGGACCAGGTAGTTATGGCAGCCTCTGTCAGTTCCTCTGATCATAGATGCTGGGGCGGTGCAGTTCCCCAAATGTCCACAAGGTGGCGGAGAACGCCCCGCCCAGGGAGAGAAAGCACTAGTTGCAGATATCAGGAGTCTGTCAGTTTCCTGGAAACCCAAGAGCTAGGCAAGCCTGATCTTTTTTTGGCCTTTATCTTTCTGCCTTCCGTAGAAATATCTGAGCTTAAAAAGAATGTAAAAGTTAGGAATCCAGTAATCCGGTCAGATGCCTCAGTATGCACTACTATGCAAATAGGAGCCAGCAATCTCAGCTCCAGAAAACATTCATTCATTTGGAAAGACCTTCATGATCCTTTTGTCATTGGCATATTAAATGAGCTTAATCAGGAACAAGAAGGAAGATGCTATCCATGCAGCTGGGGCGATAGCTGGTCTAGTTTGGCTAATCTCTGCCTCCTCCACAGCTGAGCCCTTTCTGCTCCCCTTCAACTCGGCAGTCCCAGGAAACCACTGACACAGAAACCAGTCCAGGGCTTCACATTTTCCACACCATTCCATGCCGTTCAGCCGAAGATGTTCGTGCCCAGAATATTTTTTCCACAAAGAGCTACACATCTGTCTTTAGAAACCTGACTTGTCATCTTGGCAGGAAGGAAGATGTTCACCAGAACTCTATTCCAGTCATCTAGCCGAGAATTCATCCAGGAACCAAACCCAATGGGGCTGTGGAGTTGTGGACTGACATCTGGAGTTTATAAAGCCTGCATTTTCCAGCATGGTGTGGGTGCTTGAAGGAACCTCAAAGGACTCTGTCCTGGGAACCAAGGACTGTGGTGAACCTAAGTGTGGGTCTGGACAATTGCCCTTCTCGTGTCACATGGTAATAGAAGTGCCAGGAAGCAGCCTTTTCTTTCTCTTTCTTTTTTTTTCTTTCTTCCACCTTCCCTCCCTCCCTTTTTTCCTTTTTTCCCTCCTTCCTTCCTCTTTTTTCTTTCTTTCTTCCTTTTCTCTCTTTCAACAGGGTCTCATTCTGTTGCCCAGGCTAGAGTTCAGTGGTCTCCAATTCCTGGGCTCAAGCAGTCCTCTCGCCTTGGCCTCCAAAAGTGCTGGGCTTATAGGCATGAGCCACGCACCTGGCCTGATGTGGTTTTCAATGGACTGAAGTATAGAATGTTGTAAGGCAGTCCATGCTATGATTTTAACACAAGAACTGGTTTAAGAATTCCTGAATTGGGACAACATAAGAGGACTGGATAAAAAGGATTGGTAATTAGGTTATTTCAAATGATTGCTTCTAAGGGATTTGACTCTTTCTTTTAAATTACTTAGAAGTGTACACTCCTTGGATGCTCCTTTTATCTGTCTACTTCTCTACACTTCCTCAAGCAAGCTAGTCTTGACCACTACTATCTTGTGCCTAGGTTACTGTGACAGCTTCCTAGTCTCTGTAGGTCTCTTCTATGCTTCTTTCTACTCCAGTCTCCACACAGCAGCCTGAGTGATCTTTCTAAAACATAAATATGATCATGCACTTCCTGGTTTTAGATATTTCAAAAACATTAACAGTTTTAACATGAATATCATAACCTATAAGACCCACATGATGTGGCCCTTTCTTATCACGCCAGCTTCATCTGGAACATTCAGTCTGCCCTTCAGCATTCTTAGCCTCTTCCCATTCCTAGACCACACCCACGTGCCCAGGAACCTTATGGAGTAAAGAGCTTCTGAAGCCAGAGGGCTACATGTGAATTAGTTACATCTTTTTACTTCTTGTTTATTCATCTGTAAAGTGGAAAAAAAGCAAAAGCACCTACCTTACAGAGTTATTGTGGAGATTAAAGAAGTTAATGCAGCAAGTGAAGCCTGACTCGACTCAAGGGAAATGCTTAATAAAGATTAACAGTGATTATTGACCATGTTAACTCCTGGACATCTTTCTGATCTTGGCCCTAATGTTAGTCCATCAGGGAACACTCACTGATGATCCTCTAGACTTGGCCAAGTCCTCCTTTTATACGCTTTCACAGCATCTTGTACTTTTCCTTTCATACCATGCTTTGTAATTATATATAATATGATTTATTTGCATAATTATGTATTTTTAAAAAATCTGATCAGGGCCAGTATCTCTTTCAAGACATTTAGTTCCATGAGGGCAGGGGCAGCTGTGTCTCTAGAATTTGCCTAGCATGTGGTAGGTGCTAGATAAATGTTTGTTGAATGACAACTTAAGGAGTTTAGCAAACACTTTTCTAGGGATCATACATGATTATGATGCTTTCCATGTGGTGGAATCATGTAGAAGCCAGCGATGCCTGAGTGCCAGCCCTTTACCCCAGGTCCCCTCAATTCAGTGTCCTCAACTATGCAGCTGGGTGGGAGCTAATGAAGAGGAACCTGAACTGGGAGTTGGGATACAGGAGAATGGGTTTTGCTACTAGGTCAGTTTCAGTCTGGTTTCTGGACCATAGGAGAGACATTTAGTCCCTGGGGCCTAATTTTATTTTCTAAATTTGTAAAACCAAAGATTTGATTAGTGGTTTAAATCAATAGTTTGTTTGTTTGTTTGTTTGTTTGTTTAAGCTATTAGTATCTTTAACACACAAGAAATCCTTTGTGGCAAGGCAAGCCAATAAATAGGAAAGCTGAGTTCCTCAGGCTGCACCCTGGTAGAGCTGGAACCCAGGACTAGGTTCCTGCCACCAGAGCCCCTCCGAGCACAGCACAGAAACTGCTGGCCTAGAAGTCCCCTGCACCCAGTCCCTCCAGCTCTCCAGTCAGGCCTGGCTGCTGTCTCTGCTTCTGCTAGTCTAGGAGCACCTTCAGGTGACCAGGACAGAGCACGCTCTCCAGTCATCACAGCCCATTCAAAAGGTGTCCAGCAACCAGAGGAGCAACCACTGTCTCTTCAGTCATCTCTGTACCAAACCATGATGCACAAGCTGTCATGTCAACTTTAGGGAATTTGAGGGGTCAGGTACTGTTATCTATGCCCAGACTATGTCACTCTGCACATGCTTCAATTTACTGCTCAAATTCTTGCCTCTGGCCTTTCAGTGATGACCCAGGAAGTCTAAAGAGATTATGCATCTTCCGGTAGTATACAGAGTGGGCACAAAGCCCTCATGAAATCCAATCCAGGCTATCTGCTTGTACCCAAGCCTGATAGGCTGGGCAAAGCAGGGAACCCTGTAGGTAGGGACAGTTCACCACACATTTAGTCACTCATTCAACAGATCTTCACGGAGCTCCAGTGAGTGCCCAGCATTTTGGATCTCCACCACCTAGCAAGACCAGGCCCATGGTCTGGTGCGTCATCTTTTGTAATGGCTGCTCCATGAATACAGGGTAGGGAAAGCGAGCAAATACTTAGCTTTCTGCCAGCCTCTTCTCTTCACATGGAATCTGGCCATCTCCATGGCTCAGCATCATTCCAGATACTAGGATTCCTATTCACTTCTTACATTATAGAACAGGCTTCTATAAAGCAATGTTTAAAAATAAGAAAACAAAAATAATCGAAACACAGCTACCTTCTGGTTCTATCACTATGGCCTGTTTAAAATGCAGTGGCCAAAAGAATGGGGTGGAGAGAGAGAGAGAGACTAATTTTCATCTTGGCATGCCCGTGTAGTTCCATTACTGGTGTTCTTTTCAGAAGTAATGACTTTATTTCTTGAGATTAAAAAGGAGGTAACTGTGACCATACATTGATATACTCCTGATATATAAATATTTGGCCAGAGGTCTTCCTACAAAGGTTGTCTACTGCTGTGTGAAAGGCTGTGTGTAGTTGGTGAGTGGTCTGAATGCCCAGTTCCCTTGAGTCATTCCTTCCCATCATGCTGGTGTGCAATGTAGTGTGGAGTACTTCAGATAAAGCTTAGAACCTGGAGGTCATCTGGAATGGAAGGCCAAAGCTCTGGTTCCAAATCATGACAGAGTACTTGGAGAGTGTCTTACAGATGAGCAGTCATGAATTCCTAGCCATAAATGTTTCTTGGCCTGGGGGAAACATATACTGAGGACAAGAGAAATGAGTGAAGAATACCTAGGCTGTTTGGGTTAAACCACTGCATTCCTGGTTTCTTATCGTTTAAGAGTAAGAAGATACATTTAGTCATTTTGTGAATTTAGCTTAGATTCTCAAATTTAGGATATCTTTTTTTTTATTTAACAAAAATATGTATTACAGTTCAAGTTTAGGATTAGTAGTTAATTTTATAGGGTTTACAGGGACTTTAAAAATTTGTTATAAAAATAAAACTAGCATTACAGAATATTTGGCAAATGCAGAAGAAAAAAATTATTCATAGTCCTACCGCCTTATGACCAATATAATTTCTGTGAATTAATATGTATGAGAAGCAAGGAGGGGAAATTGGTGTTGGAATACATTTTAAGGAGAAGCCATTTTGTTCAGTGAAATACCTGTATTAGAGTTCTTCAGATAGGATATATCCTACTGGTTTCTATTTCTCTAGCTCTCTCTCTCTTTCTCTCTCTCAATACTATATATATAGAGAGATAATACATGAGCAGAACTGGGCCCTAGAACATAGTAGGTCTAAGATAAATATGTCAGTTCTCTAATATTCTTTCTATATATATATATAAATATATTTAACAGATCATATATGTCTAATATAGACATATTTATATATTTTGTTCATATATTATCTCACTTAATCTCCACAACTCTCTAAGGTAGCCATATCACTGTCACCATTTTAAAAAAAGAAAGCTGATGCTCAGAGTGGTTGAGTAACTTGTCCAAAGTCAGACAGCTAGTGGTGGCTAAGCCTGAGAGGAAACCAGTTCTTAGAGTTTAAAGCACTTTCGAAAACCCCATGCCACTTCCCAGTGAAAGCTGGAGAAATGAGATCCTTTGCAGAAGACCATCAAGCAGCAAAGTTAAGGAAACACAAACTTCAGTCCTGGTAAGAGATTCGTACCTATGAGTGGGCTTAAGACTTCACAGTAGCTGGCCATCACCTTTCCTTATAATTCTACCCTGCCAAATGACCTTGGACTGCCATTCGTTCTGTAGTCATTCTTTTTAGATTTTGGTTTCGGATAGTCTCACTTCATCTTGGAAAGCAGTTTCATGAGACAGCTAAAATGGATCAGTGTTATGTGGCTGCAAAAATTACAAACCAGAAGGCTCTGGCTTTGCTCTGTAAAGGAAGCAGGTGCTCAGGCTGGGCCATGGCCAGAAGTTTACTGAAAGGACCCAAGTGGGTGACCACCAGTACAAATAAGTTCTTGTGCTTACCACATTCAAACAGACCAGGAAAGCAAAATCCTTTTTTTTTTTTTTTTTGAGACAAGGTCTCTCTCTGTCACACTGGCTGGAGTGCAGTGGCGTAATCATAGCTCACTGCAGCCTCAAACTCCTGGGCTCAAGTGATGCTCCTGCCTCAGCCTCCCAAAGCACTGGAATTGCAAACACTGGGATTGCCAACATGCCCAACCACACTCAGTCAGGAAATTACCTTTGAAGCTACCACCCACACCTCTGCCCCTTGGCTGATTCTCCCACATCACTTAATAAACACAGATGTCAGCAGTTCTTATCAAATGCCCAAAGGAAATGGTTCTTTGTTGAGGAGTGTTTCCCTGTCTTGTGAATGTTGTAAGTAATAAGATTGTTTTCTCGTTCTAAAAGGCAAGATTATCTCAACTGCAAGGATGAAAATTAATGGAGAGATGAATAATGATTGTAAACACCAACAACAGTCTCCCACCCTCTTTACTTATTCCTATTACAGCAGGGATGCATCCATCCCATCAGACTATGCACCAGCCTGATGGCAGCATGAAGAAAACACAGCAGGTGCTTGTAGTCTGTCTTAGTTATAATTATATTGCAAGCTCCATTTGTTTTAAGAGCAAAATTCTGTGGTCATTAAAATTATTTCTTTAGATACATGAAAAGTTTTGAATTTTATATTCAATATGTGTGCCTAAATCCAGAAGCAATGGAAATTAGATACTTAATTAAAAAAAAAACTGATCAATCAAATAAAGAAATCTTACTTTTTAAAGAAGTTGCACTTGTTAACGTTCATTTAACAATACCAGACACCTGCCTTCCATGTGTCAGCCGCGACACAGTCAAGGGTGTAATGGACACTTCCAGGCTAGCAAGGAGAGAAGTGAAGCCTGCTGGACTGGGAGGGAAAGAGGAATTCAAAAGACTTGAGCTTTCATAAGTCTGAAGGTGAGCTCTAAAAAAAATAAGGGAGTGAGAAAGATTTATGGATAGGAGGCCTGTGATAAGAGAGTTGGAGAGTGGAGGCAGGGAAATACTAGGTAGAAAAGGGTGGGGTCCCTGGCAATGGCTCCACCCTCAAGCCTGGACCCGTGGCCCAAAGTGAGAACTTTATATCCCCATTTTGCTGCCTGAATGTTGCCTTTTCCAAAATCACCCTGGCCCGCCCTGCCCCCCATCCTGTCCCCATAAAAACCCCAGGATCCACTGGCAGTGGAATGGCAGAGAAGGAGAGAAGAGAAGAAGCTTGACACTGGTGAAAAGCAGCTTGACTTCAGAGGGATGGCTTGACGGTAGGACCTCGGAGAAGAGTTCAGCTGGGGATGGCCTAACTCCAGGGGGAGACACCTTCCCACTCCATCCCCTTTCCAGCTCCCCATCCCACTGAGAGCCATTTTCATCAGCAATAAAGTTCTCCACATTCACCATCTTCAATTTGTTCGTGCAAGCTGATCCTTCCTGGTTGCTGAACAAGAGTTCAGGATACAGAGGGCTGTCACACTGAGCTGTTAAAACACTTAAGCTGTCCATGGACAGCAAAGCTAAAAGAGCACACTGTAACACATGCCCTCTGCGGCTCCAGGGGTCACAGATACTCACCTAGATGCTGCTGCGGGGCCGCACAGAGTTCTACTCCTGCCAGCACCCAGAAGCACTTGTCCCACCCTCTGCACCCACTCACCTATGTGCTCTCCCTCCCATGAGGAGTTGAGAGCTGCAGGATGAGTAAACAAGACAACCCCTTCATGAGTCCCACGAAGGGGTCAAGGGAACTATCCCATTTCAGTTTTGGACATGGAGAAATTCTGGAGATAATCAAGTCTCAGCCTGTGGCCCCAGAAGTGAAGTTGCTGAAATGGAGTGGAGGTGTCAGTCACTGGATTGAGGAGATCAAGGGACTCTGAACTTGGGGTATTGGATCAACTACCCACATGGACACTCTGCCAGGTGAAGGCAGGAGCTGGAGTGGAGCAGAAGATAGGAAATTGGATACTAAATTCTCAGTGACGTGGGACATTGCTTGGAGGTGATTAGATGAGAGTGATAAGACAGGGGACAGAAGGTCTGAGCCTCAAAGGAGTTAGAGGAATAATTAAGTTCATATCAGTAGCCTAATGAAAGTATGAGGTATTCTACCAAATTTTTTTTTATTTCCCCAAATCCTGAAAAGTAAGCTTTCAGGCTCTATGTATGGATGATTTTCTAGGTAACAGGATGTTAGAATGGGAGGGATGACAGAATTAACAATTCAAATCCCTTTAACTTGCGGCTATAGAAACTGGTGCTTATATTCACCCAAGGCCATAGCTAGCCAGATTGATTTGCAGAATCCAAAACTCACTTAAAATACTGGGAGGCAAACAGAGAAACAGCATCTTTGGAGTCCCTTCAAGGACAGCACAGAGAATAGAGTCCCCTGTTGTACCTGCTGCAGGTTTCAACCTGCACTGATTTTACTACTTTTTTCTCTAAAGGAAGCAACATGGACCAGTTCGTGACTCTAGGATTTAACTTCTTTAGAGAAAGCGTTTGCATTTTAGCTCTTATCTTTGTAACTTTATCATTTTGTAAGCCTTGTAGAGGGAAGTTCCCTTCTCTTCACTCTGATGTTAGACTGGTCAGCCAATGCTAGGGTTAGCTGCATATGCATGGTACTTGGAAAGGAAAGAAACTGGAATAACTTTCAACATTTGGAAGGGATCCATTCATGCACTGTTTTAGTCATGCCTTATTTGAAGCTGAGTTTTAAAAAAATATGAGCAAGCTACAATACAATAAAATTAATATAATGGGTGGTAACCAGCATTTAAAAACTCAAATAACAGAACAGAAAATATGAGGGTGCAATCCACGAGCTTTGGAAAGGTTTTCTTCCATGTGTGTTTGTATATTGGATACTGTGCGTGCAGAAATGGTTCTCAGTAAGATTTAAAATTCCAAGGGATGTATTATTTTAACTGTATTTTTATTAACTAATCATATTTATCAGATTCATTATTTTAATGTCATTCTAATTCCATAAAATTATTCAGCAGAGTTGTTTTCTTAAGGCCAGGAAAGTTTATTTAAACAGGCAATATGCCTCATCCCTATTGTGTCCTGGAATTACCTTTAATGTTTTTGCTGTTGTTGCTGTTGTTGAGACAGGGTTTTCACTCTGTCACTCAGACTGGAGTTCAGTGGAGTGATCATAGCTCACTGCATCCTCAACCTCCCCGATTCAAGCAATTCTCCCACCTCAGCCTCCTGAGTAGGTGGGACTACAGGCATATGCCCCTACACTTGGCTAATTTTTAAAAATTTTTTTTGTAGATATGGGGGTCTCCCTATCTTGCCCAGGCCGGTCTCGAACTCCTGGGCTCAAGCAATTCTTCTGCCTCAGCCTCCCAAAATTCTGGGATTATAGGCATGAGCTGCTGTGCCCAGCCACCTTTAATTGTTAAGTTCACTCATCAAAACGATGAGTATGAAAAGTGAAGATTTTCATCAGAACAAGTTTAATCTTGGTAAGCAATCATGAAATGTGAAGTAAATGACTAAGTATTAGTTATCTCAGTTTTCTCAGAGACTGTAATTATTTACTTCAGGATTTACAGATAAGCAAACTCTAATTTTTATCCTCAAATCTTTCTTTCATCCAGTCCTTCATCATTAACTAAATTTATCTACTTAGCAAAGGCACATACAGTTGGCTGTCTCTAACTGTGGGTTTTGCATTGTTGGATTCAGCCAGCCATGAACAAAAAGTTATTTTCTAAAAAAGGATGGTTTTATCTGTACTGAACATATATTTTTTCTTGTCTTTGCTCCCTAAACAATACAGTATAACAACTATTTACATATCATTTACATTGTATCAAGTATTATAAGTAATCTAGAGATGACTTAAAATATATGCGAGGATGTGCACAGGTCATATGCAAATGCTACACCATTTATATAAGGGACTTGAGCATCCATGGATTTTGGTATCCACAGGGAGTTCTAGAACCAATCCCCCACAGATACTAAGGCATGACTGTACTGTTATGGGAACAAAGGACAGGCTACAGAAATAATGGGAAGCTGGGCATGGTCTCCCAATCTTTTCAGGTCTATCAGGGCACACTCACTGATGGACACAAACCACAGGCTATGAATGACTAATTGTTGCTGTAAGACAGCATTGATTAAGATGGTGTAAAGACAAGTCAAGGGGAACACAGGAATGTTCACATCTGAATGAAGGGATGAAACTCCTTTGAGTGTTCATGCATTATTTTGGTCACGTCCCATTTAAAGCTGAGTTTTTAGAAACATGGATTAACTACAGTACAAGAAAATCAATTCAATGAGTGGTAGCTGGCATTAAGTGAATAAAACAGTAAAACAGAAAAGTTGGGGTGCATTCCATGTGCTTTGTGAAAGTTTTCTTTCACTTGTATGTGTTTGCACATACAAGTGCTTTTGCATGTTCGTATGTGAACGCACACACACATATATGTTTGTGTGTTTTGGCTCCCTGTCTAAAATGTTCTTCTTACTACGGGTCATAGTTTAAACTTTTTGAAACCATTATTCTAAAGGAAGAAGGGGGAGGAGACATATCTAGCTCCCACTGTGTGTCCAAGGGTGCTGACACTGCCTCAGTGAAAAGCTAAGGTTTGGGTTTTCACAGGTCTTATCCAGTGAGCCAGCACATAACTAAAATAAGAACAGCTAACATACTAGGCCCTGTGCTAAGGCCATTTACCTATACATTCATTACACATATTAAATCACAGTGACCCCTTATAATAGGTACTGTTGTTATCACCTTCATTCCACAGATGAGGGTAATCAGGCATTGAAAGGACCCCACCATTAGTGGTAGAGTCAGAAGGACTTTGTTGAGTCTTCACCCCTACCCAGTGCTTCCCAGTGACCTGCTCCAATTATTTCCTCGTCTTGGCTCTCTTAGTTCATTTAACCCTCATGGAGTTGTTGAAACTCTTTGATTGCAATGTTATCCATGCTAACAATGTCCAGTGCTAGTCGTCATCCTCATCACATTTATGGATTGTCTGCTATGTGCCTGGGGCTGTTCTTGACATCTTATATACATCTTTTCCCATGGAACAATATTTATCATTCTTATGAGTAATGTAAGTGCCTAATCTATTTTAGTCTTATCTGTCAAAAAAAAAAGCCCTACTACTGGTCATAACCCATAAATTGATTTCACAACCTGTCAGTTTAACTCAGTTTGAAATTATTCCTTAGCCTGTGTTTACCAAGAAGTAAAATATCTGTGAAGGAATTTAATTAGCACACATTCATACTGGTATTTTCTTAAGTGAAGGCCAACTTTAGTTTGTGAGTTATGATTTTGACTGACATATTTTTATAAGCAGGCAACCTCCATGACGCTGCATACCAGAATATAGCTATTTATAGTTTATAAACTGCTTTCACATATTTTTACATCTCATATAATTTTCACAGTAACGTGGAACTTTGAGCATGATCATCCCCTATTTTGAAGCTAAGCTAGCAGATTCAGAGGTGCTAAGTGACCTGCTCAAAGTCATTCAAGTGAATTAGGAATGGGGACTTTTGACCCAATATTGTGTTTCTTTCCTTTTTATAATTTATATTTTGCTTTCCGATTGCAAAAGTAACATGCATTCATTATTTGAAAATACTCCAAAGTACTAGAAAGAAAATAAAAATTACTTTCTTAGTGATAATCCCTTTTAATGTTTTTGGGTATTTCCTACTTATTGTTTGGGGTATTTTGAGTTTCGCTTTTATCAAAATAGCATGGTCTTTGACAGCCCACATAAGGATGGTAGAAGCAGGAGCCTCTTCAAGGGGAGGGCTGTTCCCACGCCAAAGCCTTCTTTGCGAATGCTGATAGAAGAACTGTTTACCAGCCTCTTCTTCCTTTCCTTGGGAATACTTCAAAGATCTATGCAGTGCAAGGTGGGGGAAGTGGGAAAGGTGGAACCAGATTCAAAAGTTTTGGGACATTATAGGTTTAAAGTGGAAAAATCATAAAAGAGTTATTCTGATGAAAACTACTTAACACCAATTTGAGAGAGAAAAAAAGAGAGTGGTGGGGGTAGTCAGGTAGTGGGTAGGAAGAGTGCATGCTCTCCTGAGGACCCAGGGTCATGTGGCTTCCAGGATACTTATATTCCTAGTCTGCAGCAGAGTTAGGACTCACACTCGAGGTCCAGCCTCTGCTACCTGTGCAACCTACAAATCAAATCCACCTTGAGTTATAAAGGTCCTTATTTACATTATTTTGTTTATGCTTAAAGTTTTTATATGACATGTTGCTTTTTGATAAGAATCTATCATAAATGACTTGGTTGGGGCTCAATAGTCTTTTTGTTTTTCATATGTATGGTATATATATGTTTTATACATATTTTATGTCTTATATATTTATTATATACATAAATATATGGAATTGACTTATAATCATGAAATCAATAAATTCTTAGTAATGTTTGTAAGATTTGCACATGTTCCCATTTAATGTATATTACATATATATTATAGATCATATAATATACATTACATATTAAATAGCAGTAAAAAGAGTAATAACAGTTACAAAGGCAAAAGAGACACAGTGCTTATCTGGACATCCTGGCCCATGCAATCCTTTTGAAACAATTACCTGTGTAAAGAAATGTGTTGGAGTGTCCTCCCACCACGACGTCCACACCCCTCACTTTCTGAGCGATGAGTTTATCCATTTCAAAACCCGAATGTCCCAGTGCAATAATTTTGTTCACATTTAGAGTTTTTAACTTATCTACTTCAGGTTGTAATGCAGTGATTTCATCTTCAAACACTAAATTTGTCCCTAAGGAACAAAATAAATAAAATGGATATTTATTAACAATTTTTATTATATTACTTAATATACATATTAACATGCAAAGGTTAAACACCTTAATTTACTAAAGCTCAAGAGTCAGTAAAACCAAAACATATTTATTCATTAAATACAAAACCCCTAAGAAGTAAATAAAAATTCAAATCAATATCCTCATTACATTCACTTTATGTTGTATTAGTTTAAGGTTGTGGATATTGTTTTGCTTGAACTTGGTTGCAAACTGTGAGGAGGCTTCAGATATTGTTTTATATATTTGTACATCTCAACTTCCACAATACCAATGCAGAAAATGCCTAAGCACGTAAGCATGATACACAAAAGAGTATTAGCAACTCCAAGACGTTCGTTGGAAACTTGGGATAATCAGTGTTCAAACTTAAAACTGTCAGCAAGTAGTCCTTGAATGCCTATTTTAATATGGCAGTTGATAACTTTGTCATGTTCTCTTTAATGCCAGCAGGCCAGGCACAGTGGCTCACGCTTGTAATCTCAGTACTTTGGGAGGCTGCAGCAGGCAGATCACTTGATGCCAGGAGTTTGAGACCAGCCCAGGCAAAATGGCGAAACCCTGTCTCTACTAAAAATACAAAAATTATTCAGGCGTGGAGGCACATGCCAGGTACTTGGAAGGCTGAGGCAGGAGAATGTCTTGAACCTGCCAGGCGGAGGCTGCAATGAGCCGAGACCATACCACTGCACTCCAGCCTGGGCAACAAGAGCAAGACTCTGCCTCAAAAAATATATAAATATATAAATAATGCCAGCATTAGAGCATTATTGAGCTCTGTGTTAATCATGAGGGCCTCATCTAAATGTTGCTGGCACTGGGATTGTGTACATTCTTCCCTGGGTGCTTATTACTGCACATAGTGGTAACAAACGATAGCCTTTTGTTATCAGTAGTCAAGCATGGCTCTCACTGTGCAACCCAGGTTCTCTGTGTGCAGCAAGGCAACTGGTTCCTCCAACTGGCTCTGTTAGCCACATTTGAGGAAGCTTTGAGGTTTTATGGCTATCACTGGCATGAAGATGACTGCAAATACAGACATGCTGCCCTGAAGTCATGTCTGGTACTCTGTGACTAGGGAGTCCTCCAGTAGATCCAGACGTTCTTACACTGATTTCTAAGAACTAACACTAAACAAGGGAAGGAGGGTGGGAGAATGACATTTCATTAAAAGCTTTCAAAATGCAGGAGTCTGCAAACTCCAGTTTGAAAAGTACTAATCCAAAGAGTAACAAGATTATTAGAAATGCATCCCTTGTTCCACTGTGAGGTTTAGGAATGTCTGTGTGCTTCAGCAGGGGAACTCCTGAATCCTTAACATTAGCCAACTCCACAAGTGCAAATTACCATGGAAGATAATTCATGGCTGACATCATAGCCAGGGAGGCCCCAGAATGACAACCTAATAATTAGCAGCTCACAGATGTGTTGGACAGGCAAGGCTGTCTGTAACTCATAGGCAATGTTGAAAAATCAAGAGTTGTAGTTTTGCCACTGTTGTCTATTATGAGAACATCAAGGACAATCTGCTTCCTGTTGGTTGCCCCAAGAAGCCCAGGGCTCCCCGTTGACCCTCAGTGCTATGTTGCCTTCTATGTGAGCCTTTCCTTGAGCATCTCTTTGAAACAACAAGGTATACCTTCCCCCCTGCTGCACTTGCCATTCCCCTCCTGCTTAATTCTTCTCCACAGCCTTAGCACCTTCTGACATACCAAACCATTTACTCATTTATTGATTCCCCCACTGAATATGTAAGCTCCAGTGGGCAACTTTTTTTTTTTTGGTCAGTATCCCTGGTGCCTAAAACAGTGCCTGGCACACAGACAGGTACCCAGGGGAATGACTAAATGTCGAGAGTATGCTACCATCTTTTGCTTAAGGTATGGCTGCCAAGAAGGAAAAAAAATTCAGAGAAATGCCTCTGAGGACAAAGGAATGTATTCCTCTATTATATCAGAAACCTCACAGGACCAGGCATCCCATATATACAAAGCATGGCTTATATTTCAAGATGTCATGAGGAGAGTTGTATTTCAGGTATTTAATGATCTAGCTAAAATAAATTAGATTAAATGTGCTAGAAATACAGGTTATAACCCTGTGGGTGCCCAGGCCACTAGGACTGGGAGAACTGGGCTTGATTAGGGTCAAAGAACTGTAGGAAGAACCCACACCAGGCCGCTGGGCCTGTAGTCTTGGAAGAAGCAGTGCTCCTGGAAACATTCTATTCCACCCCATCCCTTTCCCCCCACACTGGGCCCTGCAAAATGCAGCCCTCTCTTCCAGCAGCTGCTGGAAACAGCAGTGTCACTTTTGATCCCCTCTCTGTTACAGCCTGGTAAAGGGCTGGTCAGAGTCCCAGCTGGGGCAGTTTGATTTCTGGAGCTGCTGTGCCTTTCCACCAAGACCTGCACCTCCTACCTCCTTATGGGTGCCTTTTAAAGAAGAGACAATGCTTTCCTCCAAATCACACCTGAACTTCTCAGCCCTACAATCTAGCCCTGATCCAACTTTCTAGCTTTTCCTAGTCAGAACCCATGCTCCAGGAAATGGAACTATCTGCTGTTCTGTGACTGTGGCCCCTATACCTTCCTGCTCTCATGTATTCATCCCAGCAATGCTTCCTGAGGACTTATCATATGCCAGGCACTGTGCACAGTCATTGGGCAATAGTGAGACAGCAGAGGTTTCTGTCCTCATGGAGCCTGCATCCTAGCTTGTGACTCTGACCTCACTTCTGGAATGTCCTGTGCCCCAGGGATGTTTTACACAGCTCTCAAGGGGACCAAGGAGGTTCTTCAGCAAGTAAACCTGACCCCAGGGTGGGGTTGGGGGGTTCTTTAGCAAGTTCTCTCACTCTTCTCACTGACCACTCCAGCCCCAGCCGCTCCACCCTGCCTCCAGCTCTGCCTCTATGCCAGCTGCAGGACCCGCTTGCTGCTCTCAGCAAACACAGCTGACTTTTCTGTTGTTGTTTCCAATGGCCTGGACTTATTTATTTTATAACAACAACAACAGTAAATATATATTTTTGAATTGTCAATTATATGTCCTTTATCAGTTAGTTCTTAATGAAAACTCATGTTTCTAGATAACCCTGGCTCCTATTTTCCCTTTTTTTCTTCAAATATGGAAACACATTTAATTTGGATAATTTAAAGAAAATGTCATTTTTGTTCTCATTGCCAAAATATTCCAAAAAGTTTTCTTATAAAAGTGCCTCAAAATAGTTTCTTGAAGGGTCTTAAGATTATATATGTGTGTGTGTCTTATATGTATGTATGTATATGTGTCATATATGTATGTGTGTGTCTTAAGATTATATATATTATATATACATATGTGTATATATGTCTATAAATGTATATACATACACTTATATATATCCATATATATCATAAGACCACTATATATATTTCCCAGAAAGTCAGATACAAGAATGTCATTAAAACGAGATGAATAATGAAAAGCGAGAAAGGTGAGTTAGCTGGACATGTAATAATCATCCTAGAAAAGGAGCAATAAGGTAAATTGAGGTAAAACTCTGGCTCTGTGCTCATGGCTCCACAGGAGAAGGGCAGTGAGTTTTGAGGCTCTCATTCTCTAGTAAATGAAACTGTACTGTTTAGCACTGGCTATACATTGTCTCCTCTTCCCATTTTGAAAGCACTGAATTAGACAAAGATACTGTTTTTGTCAACAAAGAAGTTCACTGAGCAGAAGAGGACATCTCTTTAAGAAGTACCTTGGAACAACAGCATAGAATTTACCAGATTGCTTTTATCAGTGTTATTCTAGTGCACTATTTACCCAGTTGTTCCTACTTTTATCTACAGTCCATAAATATAATGCCAAGCTGTGATTTAGGGCATCTATTTTCAAGCATTGAGTGCTATAAAAGTAGAAAATACCTGGATTTGAGAGAAAAGGGGTTTCTTTGGAAGTGTATCCAACGATTCCCACAACTTCATCACCAACAGGAAGAACTTTATATGGCAAATAAAGTCCTGATATTTGAGATGCTAGTGGCCCCTTTGCTTTAATGTTTGCACTCAGAATTGGAAATTTGGCCTCTTTGAGGAGTGGCTCGATCAGTCCTTCCACACCATTATCAAATTCATGATTTCCCAGTGCCTAGATAAAACAGAAAAGAGAAAAAGAATTAGGTGCTTTAAAAACATAACATTAGTCCAGTATTTCTCAAAACTGACTAAGCTCTATGAGACATATTGCATGATTTTGTGTCCTCCTCACCTGGGTCAGGCCCAGGGACATTCAGATCATCACATTGCTTGAGAATTGCTACCCAGGTGTCACACCACCTAATAAAGGTGGTTTGCCAATGTGCATACGCAACACCTGGAGAGCTGGCCAGGGGTCCACTGTCCCACCATCTCAGATTGGGGGCAGGTTTGAATGTTCACATTTACCAGCCTCTGCCCAATTTTTCCATGTTGTTTTTCTCTCATAAACCCACATTTCAGACCCCATGATTCAAGCCGCGATCTGCTGGAGAGAATGATTAACATCAGCAGGACTTTAGCAAAAGGCAACCTGAAATGTATGGTTGGCAGAGACCAAAGGCCTCCTTCCTCATTTCACCTCCTAGGTCATCATTCACCTAGGTTGCCACAATTGCTTCTTCCCAAGCACTCCTGTGGTCCTCTAATTCTTCTGGGAAAATGAAGTTCCTCAATAGCAGGCAGGAGCTAGCATCTCCATATGTTCCAGTGTGGCTCTGGCTTCCTCCTCCAGTCAGCTCTGGGCACCCTTTGCTCCAGTCCCAGCAGTTTCACATCTGGGGAAGAACTCCATGGTGAAATGATTAGGTGACCTTCAGCGGGTTCTGTACCTGCTCCCAGCGCAGGGCTTCAGGAGGAGCAGGGATGGTGACAAGCAATCCTTGTTTCCCACCTTCTTATCTCTCTCCCATTCCTCACTGGTTGAGGAGTGGCTGCTGGGTACAAAACCACCCATTGTCTGTCATTTTGCAGCTCCCCGTAGTGAGTTGGGGGCTGGGGGGGAGTGGAGGGAATCCATGCAGAGGCCCCACTGACAAAGCATGACATGTCAGCTGGCTTCCCAGAAAACCTTCCTCTCCTTCCTCCATTGGCCTCCTGGATACACCCATCTCCTTGGGCCCCCTACCCTACCTGCTCTGGCTGCCAAGGCTGGTTTGCTAACTTAGTACTTAAACCAGCAAATCTCAGACTTGCTAAATACCACATCCAGTTTCGTTTCACTTTGTGGGTCATCTAGGAACAGGCATGAAGTACTGGCTGGTGACCCGTCCATTTAAATGAGGGCCTGTGCACTCTCTTACAGCCTCACCCTCTTCCTTCCTTGCTCATTCCATACTCTGTAATGGCATGTTAGCAGGATCTTTCTTTTATATCAGTCTCCTGACTATATGAGTGCTCCTGGGCCACCAGGCCCTGCCACCTCTCCTGCTCAGTGCTGTCCCCCTCCTTGGCACGCAGGCATTCACTGAGTACCTGTGCCTGCAAGGGTTGTGTATACATCCTCATGTGAATGTGTTTGTGCAGAGAAAGCACAATGTGTTTATATTCCTACATACTTGTCTCCCCTATTAAATTCAGAATTTCTAAATTTGCCTTTTCCCCCATCTCTGATGATCTCATTTTTACCTCTTCCTGTTATCTAATTAACTTTCCTCTTAAAAGCTGATCTGGTCTTACAGGTTGTTGCAGGCTTGGGTAATTGTTATTTTTTCCTTCTATTCTTAGAATGTTATGATTTTTTTCCTATGGTGAAATAAGTCTCCCTTGTTATAGTACAATCACTTTCTTGCTTAACTATAAAATTATTTTGTTTTTAATGAATGTTTCTACAGTTCTTCAAGAAAGACTATCCAACTTGTTAGCCACCTTGCAGTTTAACAGCAACATTATATTCCTAGCACTTGGCAATAACTGAAGTTATAGTTTTCATTTATTTGTTTGATGCCTTCTCCACCTCCCCATCCTAACTTGAGCCTAATCCTCCTGAAAGTAGTGACTTTGACTGTCTTTTCACCTCTCTTGCCCCATGGGGAGAGGAGCCCCTTATTCATGGTGCTCAATGTGGTGGGATGGACTGAGTAAATGATCTCATTCCTACTCATACCTTCAACTGTAAACCGAAAATCTCCAGCCCTGACTTTTCTCCTGACGTCTAGATCTGTATGTCAACTGCCATGTGTCATTTCCTCCCAATGTCTCAAAAGTGTCCCAAGCTTACCAGGCTCAAAGCCTCTTCCCTGTGACTCACTGTCTTGGCCCAGGATGCCACCATATACCCAGTCAATAAAGCCAGAAGCCCTGGTGCGGTGGAGTCCCACCCTCTTCCCTCTCCCTCACCATCACGTCCTCTGGCATCCCTCTCCCTTACCTAAATGCTCCAGTTTCCATCCACCTATTGTTGCTGCCTTAGTGTGCTCCTGGACTACCACAGCCTCCTAACTGGGTTTCCAGCTATTCTCATTTCTTTTGCTAAACTATTCTTTATATTGCTGCCAGAAAAACTTTTCTCAAATGCAAACCTGACCTTGGCACTCTCTGCCTTAGGTCTCTACAGAAGCACAGCCTTTATGATAGAAGTAAACACCCTAAGCAGGGTCCAGGGGGCTCTTAGGGATCTGGTTTTGCCTTCCCCTCCAGCCTCATTCCTGACACCCACCCCATAAAGTGTGAGGAAACAAGGCAGGGGTAGCTCCCTCCCAGGCTCCGTCCGCTCCTCAGCAGTGACCCAGGGCACATCTCAGAACCGCAGTTTCCTCTGGAATGGCAGTGAATGAATAAAATAAAAGCAGTTAAGGAAATGAGCCAGTATTGAGTCAGCACTTGCCACATGCCAGCGTCATGGAAAGTGAGTTAGTAAAGAGTACAGAAAATCTGATTTCATGCTGTGAGGGTGGTACTCTTACTGCACTCATTTTACTGATGAGAAAATCTGAGATCTAGAGAAGTTAAATGAACTGTTGAAGATCACACAATTTGTAAGGGGGAGCTGGGACTAGAACCACTTCGGTTTGATTCCAAAGTTCTTAACCTCTGTGCTTGGCTGTATATTTGCATAAAGCCTAGCATACACAAAGCACTAAAAAAAAAAAAAAAAAAAAAAAAAATTCCTAACTACTTGCACAGCAAATGTATCCCTTGCACTACCACAGTGCAAGTAGTTAGTACTACCATGGCAGGGATTCACTGTTGAATGAATAAATGAATGAATGAAAGAATTACTAACAAGTTTCTTTCTTCTATACATAGCTAACTTTTCCACAGAAATTAATGCAGACAAATTCCTTTGTAAATACTTATTTTCTTTAGAAACTTGTATTTTCATTTGACTTCCTTCTACCAGTTTTTCTTCTATTGCACTTACGAGAACTCAGTGATTCCTAAGCTCTTCAGGATCATGCTACTCACCTCAGTACACCAAGTTCCCACCACACCGAGGCATACTGCAGGCACTCAAAAAATCTTGTAAATGCATTGATCTAGTTTATTCGTTTCTATTATTTTTGATTAATAACATGAAAACATCTCAGGAAAAGACTGCCCAAGAGAAGAACATAGAGCAGAGAAATACAGGGGATCATAACAGAGCAGATAATCTTATTCCACCTTTTTTGGTCCTCTCTGAAAGTTCCCATGTAACTTTCCTTATGTGTTCCTGTACATTTTTTGTAGCTAAACTGTTACTTGCCACTTATTGTTTAACCATCAGTTTAGGTATGTGATTTCTATGACCCTAAATCAGATCTTTTTTTTATTTGTATAAATGTATGGGGTACCTAAATCATGTTCTGATGCTCTTTCTCTCTTGTTCTGTTGCTTTCCAAACATTTCATTACTAAGATTGAGCTCATTCATTCACGAACCCTATTCCTTCACTAATTCTATCCCTATGACATCTTGTATATGTTTACTAAAAACACTAAACTTCACCAAATGCACTTTTCTGTAATTTAAGAGAGCAAAGCCCAGCAAAATGATCTTCAGTATCTCCAACAGCAAAATCATAGAAATACAATGTGAGCATCTGGTCCACCCCCAGCTCCTCACCCCCACCACTTTCTTTATGTAGGAGAAAACCTAAAACACTATTTTTAAAAAAAGAATTGATGATCTTATATGAAAGAAACTTTCCACACTCACACAGAACAATTAACAAACTCTCAAAAAAATTGTTTCATTCACAAACAAGTGCCAGTAAGGTATTAGTAGAAATATAAAGGTAACTTGTAAATTAAAACACAGAAATGAAAACAAGAAAACCTGGGCAATTGTCCAGAGAGGGCTACTGGAGTGCCAGGCTGTGAATTGTGAAGCTGCTGGCTAAGCTTTTCACCTGTTTCCAAGCAACTTGGTTTCTCACTTTACAACGAAGACATTGCTTAACTACTTTTTACCAAGTTTGTTTCAAATCCTGACTTCTGAAAAGTTTTAATGGTTCACGCACCAAATCATACCAAAATGGAGCCCATTTAAAAGCAGCAGGTGGAGTGAGTAGTTTTATTAATCATTCAGTAATCATCTGCTGGGCACTGGTGCCAGAGCTCACCTGGTGTCACAGAGAACATAGGGTCAATCTGATGTGTGAACAGACAGACACAGTGGACAGATGGTTAGAGACATGTGTGCAAGGTACAGCTGATACACCAGAGACAGACGTCTGCAGTAGAGGTGTTATGGAGAGACCTCAAAGATGTCACACCTTGAACTGTGTCATAAGCAGCTCATGGCATCCAGGTGATTTGGTGCTCCTGGAACTGAGGGCACCTGAAAATCTGGCAGAAAAAAAAATGATGCTGCTAAGAGCATCGCTGGGAGATCAGGGAGGGTCTGTATGGTGTCCAAGGAGTCAGGGCTTTCATTTTGAGGGAAGTGGGAAGCCTTGAAGAGAAAGTAGGGCTGGAGGCAGTCCGGGGGTGCTTGGAAAGCTCAGTCTGGCAGCCTGCAGTGAATGGATGGGAGTTGTGTGAGCCTGGTGGTGAAGAGACTGGCAGGAAGACACCTCTCCCTCAGGGGAGAGGTGACACAGCAAGTGGGGCTGTGGGAATGTGGTGGGGAGGTGACACTGAGGGGACAGTGCAGGAGTGGAAGCCACAGGAATATTCAGCTGGCTGGGCATGAGGGCACGGGCAGGAGAGAGGATGGGGCTTCTGGTGTTTCACTGCTCCTCCGTGCATTTCCAACAGGAACCATATGCATCCTCACAAGTACCTCACTCACAGCGTCACTGGAGCTAAGCGCCCTTCTCTGCTGGTGGTTGGCCTGGCAGGATAGGGAGGAGTGGGGAGCTAAGGGGAGATTGGGGGCAGAAGGAGCAGTTACCCCCAGTCTCTCTAGACAACTCCACAAAGTGTCTCTTGAAACAGAAGAGAGAGGGGTGCCAGGCCTCTACCCCTCCTGTCCCCTCCCATCTCCCAATGTCTTAACTCACTTTGCCTGGTTTCAAGCTGGGGCAGGACGGAAATGGGTGTGGGAGTTGGGGTGTCATCTCAACCTTTGGAAAAAGCCTAACTAACTGTTAACTCTTGGAATAAAAACTCTGCTGCAGGTTGAGGCAAACTAACCAACAATGCTGTACCAGTGGCTCGTCAGAGCTGGGCCATGGTGATCTCCTCACAGCTTTATATATCTGGAGACACCCATTTCCCAGTTAAGAAAGCAGCCTCTGTCTCAGGTGCAACCTAACTGCCTCTTGGCCTGTGAGGCATTTTTAGCCTTCAGGGCTTTGTGGCTCGCTTGCTTTTTGTGGTTCAATTTCCTGCTAAAGTTATCACTGTGGCTGTTGTGTTCATTTGTCAGAGGCTTTCAAAACAGAAGTCTTTACTATTTTGGTACTCCAGGCCAGAAAGACTGTGTTTTGTAACCTTTTTTCCATTACAACACACATAGAAAGTGATGAGACTTGGACAGAATTCAAGGTCACATGGATGGGGCTGCCAGGGGCAATGGGATAAGGGGCTGAAGGACCAAAAACTCCAGCCTCAGGATTTAACTCTGTCTCTTTCTCCCTCCCTCCAATTATTTATTTGTTCATTCATTCAGTAAATATTTACCAAAGATTTCTCCTGTGTTAGATACATTTTAAGTGGTTATAGGGATCAACTAATGCATATTATTTAATTATTTAATAACAGGGAGAGGGACTGCTTTGATCAATCAATTCTAACTGGGGAGATCAGGAAGTGGGAGATTTCTCTATAAAAATAAAATGTTCCAGAATAGTAAGAGGCCTTAATGGAAGACCGCAGGATATCCACTGACCTCTGTGTTTCCTCCTGCAGACAATGCAGGCCAACGTCCTGCAGGCCAGGGTCAAGTCTGAGGCCTCCATCCTGGTTCCTGTGTTAACCACCATCTCTGACCTGCTCTCACACCACGTGTTTTCATTCCTCTTGCTCTCACCCCAGGAGTGTTCTCATGATTTCTTTCATTCACCCATTTTCTCAATACCAACGGCAGCATTCATTTACAGGTGAAAAGAGTAAATGGAGAAGTGGCAGCTCTTCCTTGGAAGAGCTTTGGGAAAAAAAAACATAGAAGTTGGCACATGGCCTCAGGACAGTGTGGTCATGCAGCAGAGTTTCAGTGTGACTGCTAAATTCAGTTGCAGATTCCATCCACATTGTGTGTGGGTAAAATGTGATAAAGAGAAAAGTCAGAAGGATTCTTCCCTCTTTATCTAAAAGTATTACCTCTACCATTTGTTACTTGCTAAAGATATATTTTATTGTTGTGAAAAAACCAATAAATAGATTCCATGCTTATTATTATATTAGTACAGGATGGAAAATAATTTTATCTTGAGCGCCATCTCTAGTTGATTGACAGTAACTCCTTGCAGTATGGGGATAAGGAGGGTTCTGAGGCTCAGTCCAAACACAGTGGGAAAGGCTGACTAAATCAATTGACTTCTCTCTTCTTAGGGACAAGTTTTTCTTAGCATCTGCCATGGACAGGGTAAGGGCTAGGGGAGGGTCACATAATGATATCATGCATTTGTTTGCATTTCAACTTGGGTGAGTACCCGTTTAATTTAGTTTCTAAGAGATGATAATTGAATGTTATTTTGAATTCTTTTTAGCATATGAATAGAGATATTATTACTTCATAATTACCTGAAGTAATTTCCAAATAAGGTCATTGTATATTCCCAAAGGGAAGGTAGTTTTTGGCCTGTATAGAGAATTCATGTGAATTACAAGCCAAACTTTATACACAAGCTTTCTCTCATGCCTAACTAATTGCAAGGTATTTTTAATAATCAAAACAAGAAACTTGGATTCAGAATATCTTCATTCTTTGATCGTTGATTCATATGACCTTCTGGGTCTTATTCTTAGTGAACAGGGTTTACCCAAAGCCACTGGACTTTTATAAGCTATCCACATCAAATGTAAATATTGACAAATACCCCCAGAAGGTGTTAAAAATACCAGACTGTATCCCACAGGGTTCATTTAACAATAACAACAGGATTTTGAGTCACAGAAGAATAAAATCTCCTTTGGTTCTTCACATTTTCATTTGGTTTTGGCTTTAAACATCAGGCAAAATTCCAGGTATTTGGGTTTCAAAAATACTGGGCTGGGCTAGGCTAGGAAATGGAAACTAGAGGGATGAGGCAGTAAAAATGTTCCAAGTGATGACAAGAGGCTGAAACATGTCAGAAGGGAAACAAAGAAATGTTAGACGGTAAAACAAAGGATAGCAGAGTTTCTTTAAAAGCAGTGTAGGATGCATGATGCAGAAGAAAAGAATTTTTTTGTTCCACATAAATAAATTTTAATAATGTCAAAAAGCCATTTGTCAGAGGTTTGCAGCACATTTATTTAGCTAGTCACTTACACGCTAGCTCATTCGTTAAGGGCTGAGGTTGCAGGAAGCCCTATAATTGAAGAGCTAAAGAGACAGCCTAGGCTGGGCATGGTGGCTCATGCCTGTAATCCCAGCATTTTGGGAGGCAAGAAGGGATGATTGCTTGAGCCCAGGAGTTTGAGACCAGCCTAGGCAACATTGGGAGACTCTCTCTCTCTCTGTCTCTCTTTTTTAAAGAGAGACAGCCTGATTTACTATATGACGGGGCTCAGTTGCCAATCACTCAACATCATCCAGGGAGGATTACAAATTACATTTGTTTTGGTTGATAGGTTTCTGGCATTGTTGCCCACTTCTGATGTTGGGTTGGCTTCCATCCCTGCAGTCCTGGGCCAAGGAATGTTGGCCACAGCAGGTGAATGTGGCATCACACTGAATAGCAGGAAACACCCTGGGGTTCAACCCAGCTGCAACTGGGTTTGGTTGTTGAAAGAATGTATGAATGAGCAAGTACCAAATAGACAGCATTCTACTTGTTTGGGGAGGGGGGACGTACAAACTCTCCATACGTGCAAAATAGGCACATCAACATTCAGAATTAACTGCCCAACTAATTGAGGTCCAGGAAGGTTCAACTATATCTCTGAGGGGCTAGAGGGCTCCAGCTAATATTTGGATTATATATAGAACTAATTATTCAAGTGAGGGAAAAGAAGTGTCAAAAGAATGTTCAAATTCCGATTATGTGGCTGAGGAAAATAAACACTGGAGAGTACAGAGCATTCAGATGTATTTGTGAGTGATGTGCAGAAAGCCGCCAATATGATGTTGATTTGTTTGGTTCTCTCCAATTTTCAGTTAAGAAAACAACAGATGCTATTAATAGTACGAGGACAAGATGAGCTGAGAAACTACCTTTACTTCCTCCCTCCCCTGCCTGAAGCTGGTCATCCAGCACCTCTCTGCTCTGGAATTTAGACTGAAAAAGAGGAAGCAGAGGCCTGAGGCCACAGCCCCAGGATGGGAGTGGTGCTGTTCCTGTCTCTGAGGTTGGGGATCCACAACCCCCTAGACATTCACAACTTCTGACACCTGAGCTTTAGGAATAATTACTTTTTTGGTTGTTGTTGCCTTTTTAAAAGTGTCATTGCAAACAGAATCTCTCTTTCAAGCTTCCCAAACTAGTATTGCTAATTTTTCTTTCCTCAAGAAAGGCTTCATGACTGAAGATAAAGTAATTGTGACAGTTTCCTTTAACATAAGAGTCCTTGTAAGCACTTGTCTCTCTTCTTAGGGACAAGTTTTTATGGGAGAAGAAACATGCTTACTGCTGATTTCGGCTTAGATGCTAAATATGAGGGTCTGATGTGTCTTCTTCTACAGACCAGATCTTTAGCTCAAGAATCCCCATGCATGGGTGTTAGAATTTCAGTCACTTTTGCTTTGCTGTTTAACCTCTCTCCTTTATAGATCTTACCCAGTCCCTCTGTGTAGTTAAGAGGAACTCGAATGGCCATTATCCACTCTGCTATCTTCTGAAGAGTAATTTTCACCCTAGCAGGTCCTGATCGCTATCCTCAGCACTTAGCAGAGAGCCTGGCATGTAGTAATGCTGAATGAAGATTTGCAGATTGAATGAATAAATGAGCCCCAAAGACTCAGGCTCAAAACTGGGCTCATACTCTTCCCATTCCCCAGGCCATCATTTCTGTTACTACCAGAGTAACATCCCGCGAGCATCCTGGAAACCTCTTCACCTGCAAACAGTGGCCAAATGGAAGCACCTGAAAGACCTACGCTATCTCTCCACAAGGAAATAGCTGCCAAAAAATAAATAAATAACTGTGAAGGAGAAATTAGAGAGTTGTCATGCAAACTTAGACTTGTCCAGAGACAAACCAAGTGATGTAGGCAGATTAGAAGCAAGAGAGAGGGGTGGGGAGGAGCTGAGGTGCTGAGAAGTAACATGCAGTAGACCACCCTCTCCAATTCCCCCATTTTATAGATAAGGAAACCACTGCCAAATTCACACAGCTAGTAAGTGGAAGAGCCAAGAAGTAAAATCTGGGTGTTCTGACGTCCCATCCAAATCTCTTTCCACTGCTCCTGTCTGCCACAGCCCTGTACAGTCCAATGGTGCCCAGTAAGTCCAGGAAAAGTCTTCAGACTGCATTTCAGGGCTTGAGGTAGCAGGCCTCAGCTGTCAGCGGTAAGCGGAAGTAGAAGAATCCAGCCTCTGTGTGGAAGCATTAAAACCTGCTGACTCTCCCATTGCCTGGTGCTTGAACCCTCATAATCATCTTTTGATTACACCCTCTCCTGAGCCACCCCTGCAAAGAGAAGGCAAGTACAGCCGGCACTTACTAGGGGCTGGCCCTGTGCTAAGCACATTATGTGCACTACTATCTCTTGTAAACCCCACAGCACCCTAGGGGTGGAGACAACAATCACATACCTCACACATGTGGAAATGGAGGTTTCATGAGATTAAATAACCTGCTCCCAGTCCACAGATTCTAAGTGGTAGGAAGGGGACTTGATCCCAGTCTCACCCCCACGTTTACTCCCTTAGCCCTATACCTACCAGACAGAATGCCTTTTGCAGCTGGTTCCCGTGGATTTGGTCTCCTCAATTACCAGAGTTCAGGTGTTATCATCTCACACTTGGACTGCTGCCTGGCCTCTTTCCTCACCCTCTTCTCTCTTGTCTTCTCCCTCCCACCCTTTTCTGCTCATCTTCCAAAACCGTGATTTCCCTATGTAGCTGGGAGGGTTTTTCCTCACATCAACCAATTCCCCAATTCTGTGTGGACACCAACTTGGTGTCCAACAATTCAGATGCATTCTGACATTCTCTACCTGGACTTAGCATCAGATCCCACAAGTGAGAAGGCTCAAATGCACAAGACTGCCCCCACTTCAGACACCAGTCGAGAGTCCTGGGCCACCTGTATTCCCAACCAACTAGTTATAAATTGGAGGTTCCCATGACCCTATCCTTGGGATTGATAATTGGCTAGAACGAGTCACAGAACTTGGAAAGCACTTTACTGGCTTATTATAAAGCATACGACTAGGGAACAAGCAAGTGAAGAGATGCACAGGGCAAGGCATGGGAGTGGATGGGCAAAGCTTCCATGCCCACTCCATGTGCACCACCTTCCCAGCACCTCAATATGTTCACCAACTTGGAAGCTCTCTGAATCTGGTTGTTTAGGGGTCTTCATGAAGGTTTATCGTGAAGGCATGATTGATTAATTCACTGGCTGTTGGAGACCGAACTCAATCTGTAGCCCATCTACCCTCTAGAAGTGGGAGAGGTAGGGCTGAAAGTTCTAACCCTCTAGTCATAAATTAGTCTTTCTGGCGACCAGCCCCCTTCCCGAAGCTATCTAAGGGCCCCCAGCCATAGATCATCTCATTAGCATACAAAAGCACAAACACACACATACACACAAACTGCTTTTTCTACTGTCACACTGAACACAGAATACTTCTGTGACCAGATGTGTGTGGGATTTCCCCCAGACACCAAACAGTACTCCAGAAAACACAAACTGAGTGTCCTATAATTGAATTCAATTCTGATACTATCTCAAGACATTGTCAGATCCCATAGGTTAAGGGCTCAATCCTACAAGACTGCCCTGACTTCAGGCTGATCACAAGCCTGAGGTTGTGCTTCTGGCTGAATGGCTATAAATCAGGGGTTTCCATTACTTCCTCCTTGGCTTCAATTAACTTGCTAGGACAGCTTACAGAACTCACTCATTGGTTTATTATAAAGGCTATACAAAGGATATAGATGAACAGCCAAGTGAAGAATGGATAGGCCAAGATATGGGGGCAATGCGGAGCTTTCATGCCCTACCTGGGTGTGCACCCTCCAGGAACCTCCAAATGCTCAGCAACTAAAAAGCTCCTCACATCTTGTTCAAGAGTTTTTGTAGAGCTGAATCTCCAGTCCCACCCTCCTTTCCTGGACTTTGGTGGGTGGTACCGAAAGTTCCAACTCTTTGATCCCCTAATCTCTTGGACTTGCTGGTGACTGGTTCCATCTTGAAGCTATCTAGGGATCTCACCCTAAGTCTGCAGGAGCATAAACCCAGGTATTATCATGGGGTTTATTATGAATCACAAAGGACATTTCTATTACTTAGGAAATTTCTAGGGTTTTAGGAACTCTGTGACAGGTACTGGGGACAAGGACCAAATATTTATTTTTTATTATACCACAGTGGTCTTCTACGCAGAAACCACATGGCTGCCCATGGCAACATAACTCAAACTTCTCAGGTGGCCTTTAGAGTTTACACAACCTCTTCTGCCATGATTCCTGCTACCTCACTCTGGTCCAACCTGGTCCATTGTGTAGATTCCTGCCTCTACACCTTTGCCCCATCCTCCTGTCCCTTCACTGAATCAAAACATTTCACTGTAGGGCTCCAGTTGTTCAAATATGTATGGGACCTCAGAGGTAAGCTGGTTCAAACTTCTATTTTATAGATGAGGAACTGGTGATGCTGAGAAGTGAATTGCATAGCCACAGATTGTAGATTTATCTCTTAAAAGGCAGAGAGAACCGTGGTGATCTCTGAATTTCCAGTGAGGAGTGTTAAAGGTGATAAGCTTTAAATTAGCAAACTATTAGGCAAACTTTCAAAAGCACAAGCCACAAGGAAAAAAAGATTAATTCAATTACAAGAAATGAAGAATTTCTGTTCAATGAAAGATACCATGGACAAAATTAATAGACCTAATATCATCATAATATATTTGCAATGTCTAAAATTGATCACAGATCAAAACCTATAACTCCTGAAAGTCAAAAAATATAAAGCTAACCCAATTTAAAAAATACCAAAGAATATGAATAAGCAATTAGAGAAGAGGAAGCTTAAAAAGTTAACAAACATATCAAAAAATGTCCAAACTCACTAGTTATTAGAAAAGTACATGATAAAGCAGCAATGTGTATTTTACACCTACAATAAAGCTGGATACTGCCATGATATATAGGTAAAATATAGAAATTTACATGTCCTGTTTGGGGATGGGAGTAGGTGGAAGAGAATGGAGGATGTCAGTCATTGAGGAAACCAGTCTTGTAGTACTCAAAGTATGCCCTGTGGCCAGCAATTCTGCTCCTGGGTAGAAATCATCTGGTGAGACCATCCAGGAAGATATCTGGAGCAGCATTATTTGTGGAGGCAGGGTGTTAGACGCCATCTCCAAACCCATCAGCCAGGGAGCAGATGGGTAAAATACGTGGAGATGGGTAAAATACACAGAGCACAATTCACAGTGATGTATAGGTATAAGGGCATCTAGGGCAACATGGACAAATCATAAAAACAATAAGTTCAGGACAAAAGTAAGAAACAGAAAGGGCTAAATAACAGGACTGGGTATGCCATTATAAAATATAAGCACACAAAGGTTTTGAAAGTGCATGTAGAAACAAAACTATATGCAGTCCATCAAACACATTAGAATGTTGTCTATGTGGGAGGTGGAGGGTGGCGAACAAAGGACCATCTATCTGACTAACCTGTCCCCTGGGTGAGTTAAAGGCGGGGGCCATGGTTCCCACCCTGGCTGCTGCCTCCCCCATTTAGGAGCAATTGGCTAGGGCTAAGGCTGCAGCCTTATGGGCAGGAAGTGGGCTCAGCAGCCAGGGCCTCAGAAGCAGCAGCCAAGCAGAGAAAAGGCACCTTTCTAGGGGACCCTAGAGACCTGCTCAAAGCTACCTTCCCCACAGCCTGTCTTGGTGAGAATCTCACCTCTGGAGGTGGATACCTTCAGTTTTGTGCTGTGGGGAGATTTCATAAGTCTGCTCAATGAGTAACTATAGCAAAAATAGTTTAGGCAATGGTACTTAGGTAAGATGGTAGAGGGCAGGCAGGTGGTAGACTGTGCCAGGCTGTGAGAATCAGATAATCTGATGCACAACCCAAACCTTCCCTTCCTCACAATTCCCCTCCTCCCCACCCAGGGCACATGAAACTCACTTTCAGTGAGCACCAGCAGGGATTATCTCATGTATTCCTCACAAAACCTCTGCAAGATGGGGGTTATCACTCCTGTTTTACAGCTAAGGAACATGAAGCTCAGAGAAAGTAACCAGGCCAAGCGCATACTGTCAGTGCTTCCATGCTGTCTTCCTCGTGCCTCAGGGGACAACAGTCCTTCCACTGAGACAGCTACACTAACTGGAGAGTTTTGCCATCCTCTTCCCAGTTTTCTGCCTAGTAGTGGTTCCAGGGGGTCTCCAGGATTGCCCTGGGTCCTCTACAGCAATCAGGATTACTCCAGTAGGTCTAGAAAGTGTACACCTCCTTGGAAGTTCCTGCTCGAGGGGACTCCTGTGTTTTAGCTGGATTCTAGGAAATTCCTCTTTGTCCTCCATATGCTTCAGTCCTTTTATGTGGCTCCTTTGAACTAGGTCCAGTCTCCAGGAAACTGGAGATGCCCCTCCACAACTGTTTTCCACCCTGATTTGAATCCCCAGTGTCCTAGGAATCAATATGCGGTGAGTGGTTACAGTGGAGGAACGTTTATACCACAACAGCAATAAATTCTCTGAGGGTTAGTATAATATAAACAATTGACAGTGAAACATCTGTGCAATACTGGAGTACAGCAGAGCTTTAGCACATGCTTTAGCACTACAGAACTGGGATTTTATGCACGTCAAATCATGTTTGACACACCCCCAAACTGCACAGAGTAAGTCCTGAGGACACAGCCATCTAACCTTGCCATGTGATCCGCTCCCAATCTTTACCCCCTGCCAACATTACGTAAGTAGCCTATTTTTCCTCAGAACCCAATTCAATTTTCTTGAGCAAAATTTGAAAGAAAGTAATTTCATCCAACAAAAAGGATTCTGAACAAACACAGAAGAGATAGGCTGTAACTTACAGCAGTTTACTCAGGCCTCACCTAGATGTCCTGTCATAAACATTTGATACCATGATTAACACCAGGAGCTCAACTAGACTTACAAGAGGGAAATATTATTAGGGAAAACTAGGAATTCTTCATTCTTATTTTTCCACTAAAAAGGGTTCACACAATTGTGGAGAAAAGAGTGTCACAAAAAGTAAAGTTTACAAAGTCGTGGTTTATATGCAAAATAAAACAAACACATGTAAGTTTATTCTACCCTTCTGGGAGGAAGTGGAGACACAGGGTAGCAACAACTCAATTCTACAAATATTTATTTTGTCATTACTGAGTGCAAAGTATCAGGGAAGTGTAGCTGTGGAATACCAATGCTTAAGAGACCACAGAGTTCTTGAAACCCACGATTCTTCTTCAAATCCAGATGTGTGTGAGCCCCACCTCATCAACTCTGAAGGCTGAAGGATCAGCTGGAATTTCTGCTGCAGGGTGTCCCTGATAAGCTCAAAAGCATCAGAACGGAGGGAGCTTTCTCCCCTTCTCTCATCTCATTAAAATGAGCTTTCTTGTTGTGGGGGGTTGGGGAGGGACCTTTAAAACCAAACAATGGTGCCCTCTTATCATCTTTTCCTGTCCTCCTTTCTCCAAGTTTCCAGAGGGGAAAATAAAACCAAACAAACCCCTCAGCATTGTGCTCTCCTGACCTCTAAGCTCTTCTCATATAAAGTGTACTGTTAGCCTTCTGTATCCCAGCCTAATCACACTTCCCTTTCCCTTCCACACTTGTGGACTTCACAGATTTCTCTGGACGTTTCTCTGGAGATTTCTCAGTTCTTCCTCTTCCAAAGCTCTTTTTTCTTCTCCCAAGTTTCTCCACAGTCTTGCTGAATCCCTTTACTCAAGGCTTTTACACAGGGTTAAATTTGGGTGGTGGTTTTATTTTTTTTTTAACCACCATATATACATCTTGGTTGTACTTATTTATTACTGTGCAACCACCTCTGCTCCCTTTCTAGAATTTAGTGCAATAGAAAAGGCATTACCTTTAACCTAACATTTGGGACTTTGAACTAAACTTTTGCACATGTTTTAAGAGCCCATTATCTCTTAAGTTGGACTCTTCCTAAATCTCTGCCGCCAAACCTACTTTATTGAAATCCTTTGAAACCCAAGTCTTTCCACATTTTGGCTCTCTCTGAAGTTTCTTTCTTTCTTTCTCTTTCTTTCTTTCTTTCCTTTTCTTAACCCTATATTATAGTGTCTGGTAATAACAACATATATAGACACCACACTATGTGTCTGGTAATAATATAGAGACCACACTATGTGCACTATGTACAATTATAATCCTTATTTTTATACAGGATAGAACTGAGGCAAGAAAGAGTAAATAACTTGCTCAAGGTCACATAGAAGGTAATTGAACAGAGAATCTACCCCAAAGCTGTGAGCTTAATTACTCTCAAGCTCCGGGGTCAAAGAGATCTGGTGTCCATTCTTATCACGTCTCCCTTTTTGCGGGGATGGTGCCTGTTAATTTATTCAGCTTCTTCGACGCGGTTTCCCTTTCAATAAGATTGAGATAAAGCATTTTTCGAAAGATCTAGATTGAGATAAAGCATTCTTTGAAAGATCTAGCAGTAAATGAGAGCTGCGTGAGGGATCCGATTCAGTCCCTAGCTCTGGATAACTGTCAGTGCTTCTACGCACCCCACCTTAAGCCCCTCGCAGGCAGGACTGGGTCCTGCTCCTCTAAATACTCCCATCTCATAGTGGGGGCGCAATAACGTCCGTTTAAGACGAATCGTCCAAGGGACTTCTATGCATCCAGCTGGCACACTGGCCGGAGTCTCACTTTATCCCCACATCTCTCCGCGCCCTGGACCTAGGCTTGCCACACTCTGCCATCCGCTGCTTTTCCAGCCCGGCTCCTCTCTCAGTCCGGGACTACTATCCCGGGCGCGGGCTCGGGTCTTACCATGGCATCGTAGCGCAGGGCGTTCATGAAGTGCGCCACCTCGGCGCCCTTGTACACGGTGAACCAGATAGTGCCCTGGTACTGGTCGCCGGCGTCCAGCAGCAGCACGTTGGGTTCGGCGCGGCGGATCTGCTGAACCTTGGTGAAGAGCCGAGCCACGCCACCCATGCAGCGGCTGGCGTTGACGCACTTGCTGGAGTCCTCGCTGGTCTGCTCCAGCCGGCTGTGCACGTCGTTGGTGTGCAAAATCGTAAGCTCCCAGGCGCCAGCCGCAGGCCACAGCACCGCGCCCAGGGCGAGGAGTAGCGTCGCGGGCGCCCGCGCGGCTCGGGGACACATAGCTGTGGCGCGTGAACTGGGTGCGAAAGCGGGCGAGCCGGGCGAGTGCCGGCGAGTAGGGGCGAGCAGCTAGGGCCGGGGCTCGGTGCCCCGGCTGGAGGGGCGGGGCCCGGGTCAAGGCCGGGGCGGGTCCTTCTTCAGCCTGGAGGCCGGCTTGGCGGCCAGGCGCAAGTTCGCGACGTCACCCGATCCGACCCTGGTACCCGGAGCGGCCCTGGCGCGGCTGTCGGCTGGCACCAGCTCCCTGCAGGAAGAGTGGAGAGGTTGTTCCCGGCGGGGAGCGGGTACCGGCCGCATCCCGGCCGGACCAGGGAGCCTGGGCGCCGGCAGTTCGGCTGCTGGTGCGCCGCTCTTTCGGGGGCGCGAGGAAGGAATTGGAGGGGTCCGCCCCGCGCCTGGGTCCTCTCTGAGTCTCGCCTCATTCGAGGCACGGGTTTTTCTACAAAAGGAATGTATGGTTTGTGGTTGCGCTAGCTCATCACTTCAAAGAACCAAAGAAGGAAAAGAGAGGGGGCGGGAAGAAAGATGAGCGAGCTGAGGGGCAGAGAGGAGGAGTAAAGAGAGGCCGGGCAGAGGAGCTCCTTGCAGTTTCGGGCTGTGAGAGCCGAAGCTCACTGAGATGTGACGCTTCCTGTTGGGTTGAGAACGCACGAAGTCTACGATGCTTAGACAAAAAAATCTCAGAAACTAAGAAATCATTCGAATCCAGTTCCTTGTTTATTCACAATTAAAACCTTAGTGATAAAACAGAGGCGACGCGCGGACAGCTCCTGGAAGCAGAAACACGATTGGGGTAAAATCCGGCAGCTATCAGGACGGGAAGGGATGCTGCCCTTCTTTGCTTTTCTGGTCTTATTTTATTTTATTTTATTTTTATTTTGTCGCGTGTGCTTTCGGTGTCGCAGTGAAGTCATAGCCAAATACAATGTTAGGAAGATTTTCCTCTATGTTTTCTCCTAAGAGTTTTATAATTTAAACTCTTAGACCTTTAATCCATTTTGAGTTAATTTTCATATGTGGTATGAGTCCACATTTACTCTTTTTCATGTGGATATCCAGTTTTCTTAGTACCATTTGTTGAAAAGACATTCTGTGCCCGTTTTTAAGACATTGACCTGAGGTTCGGAGATTGTAAATCATTTGCCAAGAAAGGCCATGCAGTTTGGGAGCAGCAGTGCCTGGGGCTACAGAAGACCCTTGCTTCTGGGACACCCTCTAATGTCATGCTTTGCAAGGTTTTGCTCTGTCCCTCTTTGAGCACCTGCTAGAAGCAGGTAAAAGAACTGGTAGTTTTGCTGTTTTAACTTAAAAAAAGAATGATTTTAGACTTACAGAAAAGTTGCAAAGGTAATAAAGGGAGTTCCCACATACCCATCACCCATATTGCCTTATGTTAACAGCTTATATAACCAATGAAACTAAAAACTTAACAGTGATACGAAACTATTAACTGTGTTACTGATTTTATTTTAATTTCACCAACTGTTCCACTAATGTCCGTTTTCTATTCCAGGACCCAATTCAGGATACCATATTGCAGTTAGTTTTCCTGTGTTCTTAGCCTCCTCTAATCTGTGACAGTTTCTCAGTCAGTTGTCTTCAAAAACCTTGACACTTTTGAACAGTACTGGTTTCTGTATACTATCCCTCAGTTTGGGTTTGTCTGATGTTTTCTCATGATTGGACTGAAGCTGTGGATGTTTAGGAAGAATGCTACAGAGATTATGTGCCTTTCTCATTGCCTGGTATCTGTGGGTACACGGTATCAACATGACCTATCACTGATCACTGGGGAACTGATCATTTGTTGTTTCTTGTCTTTTAAACCTAAGCCACTGCAATAGTTTCTGAAATTCCTGTTCTGGGGATGCTACCAGATTTCTGCTTCAATATCATTTCCATGCCATTTGTTTTCATATACATCTAAAATGGCCTTTGATTGTTTATTGCACCAAGTTCAAGCTTCGCAAACTGGCATTTTGAAGTCTCATTTTATCCAGCCAACTTTACCTTCCACTGTTCCTCACACATTCCCTTTGTCCTCATTTCTTCTCTCCAAACCACCATTTCCAGTCTGTCCTTAGGCCAAGGCCCGGGGTTCCTTTAATTTCTTGTTCAAGTCAACATGAAGTTCCTTTGACTTCTTCACACAGCAGTGAGTTTTTCTCTTTTCTAAATTTCTGGTCAGTTCCTACAATCTCACTTTAATGTGGTTTTACTTTTTTTCTCCAGGTGTTTAATGTGTGTTTTTGGTCTTCTCCCCAAGCAATGGAAACAGAGTTGCTGCTTCAGTGGTAGTAGTACTTGCAATTCAAGTAACACTAACTTAAAATCTACTTTAGACACAGTGGGCGATAGTATGAAAGAACCAAGAAGGATTTCGGCTGTCCTGGAGCTGATAATGCTGCAAACAAGGTGAGGGTGCATACAGTAAGTAGCTGCAAAGCCATGAGGATCATAGAAAATTTCCCAAGTCCATGAGGAAAGAAAAATATACAGGCAAAAATTTACATACAAATCAGGGCTTTATTTATTGTTTCATCAGTTGATTAGACTTAAGAAAGTAATGAAGAAAATGTCAAAATAATGCAGAATAAACTTAAAAGTGTGTGGTGCTAATATCCATTACATTGGGAATAGCCCCCCAAATTGAGAAAATATTATTTCAGTACATATTAGAAAACTATTTTCTGACTCAGGAAAAATCTCACTCACATCATTGATGAACAATATATCTAGTGCTAAAACTAGGTTTTAATTTAATGACTATAGCCTGTACTACACTCATTATATAATAGGGTGACAAATACTTTAATAATAGATTACATATTACATCCAATAACAATACGTTATTGATTTATTAGAAAATAAATGGGTATATAACTCCATTTGTCAAATCAGTTCAGCCGGAACCATAGGTTGGCTATGGATTGCAAAAGTTCTGCAAAAATCAATGAAAGCAGTCTGTAGGAACCAATAGTAAAATTTACAAATAGTAAATTGTGTGTAACAATCTTTTATATCAGAAAAATTTATAATAAATATGTATGTATATAAATGCATGCGTTTTTCTTTAAGAGTCAGTTGTTGAACATTTACCAGCACACCACTGGAGCTATCTAATGGATAATATATATTTAAGTTTCTTTTGTGATGAGAACCTATTTTATATCTTATCACAAAGTCTTTAATAAAATATCAATTTTTCTTTAAATTTGCTGAGATAGATTTATTTAGGTGGGCTGAATTAAAAATCTGAGACCTGCTTTTAGGTGAATGCGGGGTGAAAACAGGGACCGGCCAGGCGCGGTGGCTCACACCTGTAATCCCAGCACTTCGGGAGGCCGAGGCGGGTGGATGACCTGAAGTCAGGAGTTTGAAACCAGCCTGGCCAATATGGTGAAACCCCATGTCTACTAAAAATACACAAAATTAGCCAGGTGTGGTGGCGGGCGCCTGGAGTCCTAGCTACTTGGGAGGCTGAGGCAGGAGAATCTCTTGAACCCTTGGAGGCAGAGGTTGCAGTGAGCTGAGATCACGCCGTTGCACTCCAGCCTGGGCAACAAGAGCAAAACTCTGTCTCAAAAAAGAAAAAAAAGAAAGAAAACAGAGGGACCTTGTCATAGGCATCCTGGCACATTTGGATTATGCTGTTAAATGACTATTAATATTTCATCTTATTGGTAAGAAAACTTAATGTGATATTTAACCTGGCTGAATAATTTGCTTAAGATCATTCATGTCCAAGTAAGTGGCAGTCAGGTTTTGAGCACAATTGAATTCCAATACTCAGGTTACATTGTTAAGTCTTCACAAAAGCATGAAGGGTAAATATTATTATCTGCTCCCCACCCCCACTTTTTCTGTGGTGAGAACGCTTAAAATCTACTCACATAGTGATTTTCAAGTATGCAATACATTGTTATTAACTATAGTCACCAAATTATACAGTAGATCTCTTGAATCTATTCTTCCTATCTAGCTGAAATTTTATATTCTTTGATCAGCCTCTCCAGTAACCCTTCAGGCAGCCCCTGGTAACCACCATTCTACTCTCCACATTTTTGCTTTATCCATTCATCCATTGATGGACAGTTAGGTGGATTCCAAAGCTTGACTATTGTGATAATGCTGCAATATCATTCTCCTTTTATGGGTAATAAAATGGAGCTTCAACATGTTAAATTAATTGCTCAAAGTTCCACAAGTGGGCAGGATTTTTTTTTGTCTTTTTATATTTGTAACTCTATTTCACATAAAGGCTCTCTGTCCACTCAAAAGGTTTACCTCTTGCTGTCTGCCACCTGTTATGCCCAAGGAGTAGTTCTTGGTCTGGGGACTTCTGAGAAGGCTACAAAAGCTCAGAATCCTTTCTTGCAACTTTGCCGTGATCTCTTTGTGGCCATAGGAGGACCATCAGTCTATATTGGCCTCTTTAATAAGCCACAAATAATAAGAGTGGTTTAGATTCGAGTCAATCCAGGACACAGAATGTATGTTTTCAGAGGCTGCACATAGAATGCACAGGGGATGAGGAAACTGGCCTCTTGCACAGTCACTGACTCTGACATCTAAGCTCAGACATGCCTCTTTCTCCAGCACTCTGGGACGACAGAGGTTCAATGTGCGGCTTCTCTGTCACAATCTACTACTCAGCTGCTCACAGCAGAAGTACAAGCAGAATCTTTCTCCCCTTCCCCATTAGAACTTGGTCCCTTCACGCAGTGGACTTCCTCCCTCCCACCAGATTCCCAGAAGCAACATGGAGTCTGAGTCTCTCTCCTCCATGTGGGATGCTTCCTTCCCATAGGCAGCAGGACCTGGGAGTTTCCTGGGGCAGATCCTCTCTGTCCCTGGGTAGATGACTTTTAAAATACCATTATTGCTTTCCAATCCCCTTCTACTCTGTTGTGTAGTTCCATATTGCTGGATCCTGAGTCCAAAGGATTAAATTACATCACTTTGTTAGATCCCACCAAATTAGCTACCTTCTAAAACCAAGAAGAATTAAAGGAAAAGTTTTCAACTATATTAAGAATTGATATTTCCATGGATATTGTATTTTTTTTAACTTAAATTATGGGAAAAGCATAAACAACTATATTACTTTCTTCAGGAAGAGGATTAGTAAAAGATACTCAGTTCAAAGGAAGTTAAGAATTTTAGTAGGAGCATGGACCTGCTCCAGCTAGATTGTAAATATCAATATAAACTACTTCCTTTATAAGAAAAACGGTTTAGCTCTTCCATTGAAGTAGCCCAAGAGTGGCTGGGCACGGTGGCTTACGCCTGTAATCCCAGCACTTTGAGAGGCTGAGGCGGGTGGATCACCTGAGGTCAGGAGTTTGAGACCAGCCTGACCAATATGGTGAAACCCCATCTCTAGTAAAAATACAAAAACTAGCTGGGCATGGTGGTGGGCGCCTGTAATCCCAGCTATTTGGGAGGCTGAGGTAAGGGTATTGGTTGAACCCCGGAGGCAGAGGTTGCAGTGAGCTGAGATCGCGCCACTGCACTCCAGCCTGCGCAACAGAGTGAGACTCCATCTCAAAAAGAAAAAAAAAAAAGAAAGAAAAAGCTCAAGAGCAATGTGACCCCATGACACAGCTTAATGCTCACTACTATAGTAATATTATTTTCCACTAACGGGAACCAGGATCCTTAGAGAAATGACTAATTTGATATTTGAGGTTACCTCCCATCAGGGTCACAAACAAGAATGTAGGCAGCTTCCCAACCTAAATCACTGCTAATAAGATGATGAAGTTATCTGTTATAAAACAAGCAGCAAGTGGTTTTCCAGTTGCTATGATGAGAAACTCAGATTGTCAGCAATCTCATGAGATTGCCCATGATAATTCCAACACTTGAAGGGCACATTGCTGTCACTTTCAAAGATTCACTGCTATTCCAACTTGCTTTTCAGAAAAACTGTGAGTGGCCAGGCCATACTGTTTTCTACGATAACACATCCTTTTGAGCTCAGAGGTACTTAGGTTTTCTGTGCAATGGCTCTTTTTACAATCCAGTGAAGCCTATGGGCCCTTTTTAGAATAATATTCTCAAATGCATAAAATGAAATAAGTTGAATTACAAGGAAAGCTAGGTATAGTGAAATAAAGTTATCAAAATATTTTTAAAATTTGTGATATAGTAATATATACATTCTTTATTAGTAAATTAAAAAACAAAAACATTTAAAATTTTGCCTAAGTAAGCAAAATTTTATTTTTGAAAGACATTAATATGAAAGCAGTAGTTGCTTAGCTTGAATAAGAGAATTAAACTATGAGGTGATCTTTGACAAAGCAATATGTGTCATGTTGGCTATCTGATGAATTTTGATCTTTTTTTTTTTTTGGATGGCCACAAATGCTGACAATCCCAAGTCACAAACTATATTGTTGTGACTGGAATTAAAGTTTCGACAGCTCACTTTACAAGGCCAAGACAGGCAGATTTCTTTCAAAGAATATCACAATTTTTTAGTTAAATTTCAGTTGTAGTCAAATTTTTATCCAAATATCAATGACTTCATCTTTGGCTAGGTCAGTATTTTCAACATAGTTAACCAATATTTTCTTTCAATGTTTAGTGCTTTTTAGTTTAGTGTCTTGGTGACCTGGGATATGCAAATATCTCATCAACAGAAGATCTCCAATATAGTGTTGGCTAGAAATTATAATAGGGCTGGGTGCAGTGGCTCAAGCCTGTAATCCCAGCACTTTGGGAGGCTGAAGTAGGCAGATCATCTGAGGTCAGGAGTTCTAGATCAGCCTGGCCAACATGGTGAAACCCCGTCTCTACTAAAAATACAAAAAAGTTAGCTGGATGTGGTGGCAGGCACCTGTAATCCCAGCTACTTGGGAGACTGAAGCAGGAGAATCGCTTGAACCTGGGAGGCAGAGGTTGCAGTGAGCTGAGACTGCACCATTGCACTCCAGCCTGGGCAACAGGAACGAAACTCCATCATGAAAAAAAAAAAAAGATAGGGCTGGGTGCAGTGGCTCACGCCTGTAATTCCAGCACTTTGGGAGGCCGAGGCAGACGGATCACAAGGTCAGGAGTGGTGGCATGCCCCCGTATTCCCACTACTCAGGAGGCTGAGGCAGGATAATCACTTGGACCTGGGAGGTGGAGGTTGCAGTGAGCTAAGATTGTGCCATTGCACTCCAGCCTGGGTGACAGAATGAGACTCTGTCTCAAAAAAAAGATAAAAAAGAAATTAGAATAGTAGATATATTTATGTTATTCTCAGACTTAGGTGAAAACCATTCACTATTTTCACATTAATATGGTTTGGGTATGTGTTCCCTACAAATCTCATGTTGAAACGTAATCCCCAGTGTTGTTGGAGGTGAGGCCTGGTGGGAGGTGATTGGCTCATGGGGGCAGATCCCTCATAAATGGCTTGGTGCTGTCCTTGCAATAATGAGTGCATTTTCACTCTATGAGTTCACATGGATTTGGTTGTTTAAAAGTGTATGGAATCCTTACCTGCTGCTGCTCTCACCATGTGATGCGTTAGTTCCCACTTTGCCTTCTGCCTTGAGTAAAAACTCCTTGAGGCCTCACCAAAAGCTAAGCAGATGCTGATGTCATGCTTCCTGTATAGCCTGCAGGACTGTGAGCCAGTGAAGCCAGGCTTTAGGCAGAATTATAGTTAGGTATTGAACATGGTGCACTGGCGCAATTTGATCCACTTCCCTGTAGCTGCTAACTAACTTGAGAGTCATGTAGCAAACTGACCACCTGCTCCCACATTGTTCCTATAGATAGAATCTCTGGAACTGGATTTTTTTTTTTTTTTTTTTTTTTTGAGATGGAGTCTCACTCTGTCACCCAGGCTGGAGTGCAGTGGTGTAATCTCCACTCACTGCAATCTCTGCCTCCCTAGTTCAAGTGATTCTCCTGCCTCAGCCTCCCAAGTAGCTGGGATTACAGGTGCCCGCCACCACGCCTGGCTACTTTTTGTATTTTTAGTAGAGACAGAGTTTCACCATGTCAGCCAGGCTGGTCTTGAACTCCTGACCTCAGGTGATCTGCCTGCCTTGGCTTTGGGATTACAGGCCTGAGCCACCGCACCTGGCCGATACTGGACATTTTAACCCAATAATTGCTTAAGGTGTTTTTTGATATCCTGAATTCCAGCAGAATGGCTGATGCCAGCTGGTCTGAAGACCCAGAGTGTAACTGACTCAGGACAGGAATGTAGTCTCTTAATCTACCTGCCCTATGACTTCACCTCTCACTTCTTGACCAATTAGCAATCAGTACATTTTAGTCTGTCACCTGTCCAGGTCCCTTAAAAGTCCCATCTCCCTATCTTCTGGAGATGTGGATTTGATGTTTCCTCCTGTCTCCTTATTTGGCTGTTTTATGATAATTAAACTCTTTGCTGCAACTCCTGTTGTTTTGGTATATTGGTCTGTCACTGTGCAATAAGCAGTCGAATGCAGTGGTCCTATAACACCTTTGCCAAATTAAGGAAGTTCTCTTCTATTTCCAGCTTGCTGAGAGGTTTTGATAATGTTTATTTCCTAGAAAAGAGAAATCTGTAAAATACCCAGAAAACTTCAGAAGTCTATCAAAAGTTCTATCTGTCTAGATGACATTAAAATTGAACTATGGATTTATAATCATTTCCTTTCTGATATAAACTGTATCCTCTGGCATTGATTAGATAAAAGGATCAATAAAATATTAGAAAATTAAATAAATGTATAAAAAGAATCATACTCTACGACTAAATGAGATTTAGCACAGGTATTCAAGGCTGGTTCAACATTTATTCAAAAATCAATTAATGTAGTCCATCATATCAACAAGCTAAAGAATACAAATTTTAATTTTGTTTATATTAATTTTTGCTCTATCCTTATTTTCAGAGACTGTGTACACAAAGAATAAAAATTCTATGATCATAACAATAGATACAGAAAAAGTATTTGCCAAAACCCAAAACCCACTCATAATAAATAATCTCAGCCAATGAGGAATAGAGAACTTCCTCAACTTGTTAAAACCATCTATATGTAAACCCAGCACTTTGGGAGGCAGAGGCGGGGTGATCTCTTGAGGTCAAGATTTCGAGACCAGCTTGACCAACGTGGTGAAACCCCGTCTCTATGAAAAAATACAAAAATTAGCTGGGCATGGTGGCGCATACCTATAATCCCAGATACTCAGGAGGCTGAGGCAGGAGAACCGCTTGAACCTGGGAGGCGGAGGTTGCAGTGAGTTGAGATCGTGCCACTGCACTCCAGCCTAGGCAACAACAGCGAAACTCCATCTCCAGAAAAAAAAAAAATCTATAAAATAACCTACAGCTAACATCATACTTACTTGTGAGAAACTTGAAGCTTTCCCACTAAGATCAGAAAGAAGGCAAAGATATTTCCTTTCACCATTGCTTTTCAACATTGTCACAAACAAGAATGTAGGCACTGGAAGTCCTAGCTCATGCAGTAAGAAAAGAACAGGAAATAAAATGTATAACGATTGTGAAGGGAGAAATAAAACTGTCTTTATTCACAGATGGAGTCATTGTCTATGTATAACATCCAAAAGAATTGACACAAACACTCCTGGTATTAGCAAGCAATTATAGCAGGGTTGTAGGATGGGATATAAAACTAACACACAAAATATCAATCACTTTTTTATATACCAGCAATGAACAAGTGGAATTTGAAATGAAAAGCAGTGCCATTTACATTGGCCCGCCCTAAAAATAAAATACTTAGGTATAAATCTAAAAAAATGTATAGCAGATCTATATGAGAAAGCTAGAAAACCCTGATAAAAAAAAATCAAAGAAGAACTAAGTAAATAGATATGTCATATTCGTGGATATGAAGACAGTATTTTCCGGATGTCAGTTCTTCTCCACTCTTCCCAAAATTCAACACAATCCCCCTAAATTCTCAGCAAGTTATTTTGTGGAGGTTGACAAACTGATTCTAAAGGTTATATGGAGGGGCAAAAAGATCCAGAATAGCCAATGCAATATTGAATGAGAACAAAGTTAGAGAACTGATACTACGTGACTTCAGCAGTTACTATAAACTGCAGTAGTCAAGACAATGTGGTACTGAAAGGAGAAAAGACAAATAGATCAATGCAATTAAACAGGGAGTCCAGAAACAAACCAACATAAATATAGTCAACTGATTCTTGACAAATGAGCAAAGGCAGTACAATGGAGAAAAGGTCGTCTTTTCAGCAAATGGTGCTAGAACATCCACATGCAAAATAAAAAATAAAAAAATAAAAACAATCTAGACACACATCTTACAGATTTTATACCTTTCCCAACAATTAACTCAAAATTGATCATTGACCTAACTATAAAAATAACACTATACAGCTCCTAGAAAATAATATAGGAGAATACGATCTTGAGTATAATGATGACATTTTAGATACAATGCCAAAGGCATGAAGCATTAAATAAAGGATTGGAAAACTGGGCTTCATTAAAGTTAAAACTACTGCTCTTCCAAGTACATTGTCAAGACAGTGAGTAGACAAGAAACAGACAGGGAGAAAATATTTCTGAATGATATATCTGATAAAGGACTATTACCCCAAATATACAAAGAGCTCTTGAAACTCAACAGTAAGAAAACAAACAACCTGATTAAAAAATGGGCAAAAGATCCAAGGTAATTTATAGATTCAATGCCATCCCCATGAAGCTACCAATGACTTTCTTCACAGAATTGGAAAAAACTACTTTAAAGTTCATGTGGAACCAAAGAAGAGCCCGCATTGCCAAGTCAATCCTAAGCCAAAAGAACAAAGCTGGAGGCATCACGCTACCTGACTTCAAACTATACTACAAGGCTACAGTAACCAAAACAGCATGGTACTGGTACCAAAACAGAGATATAGACCAATGGAACAGAACAGAGCCCTCAGAAATAATGCCGCATATCTACAACTATCTGATTTTTGACAAACCTGACAAAAACAAGCAATGGGGAAAGAATTCCCTATTGATGCTGGGAAAACTGGCTAGCCATATGTACAAAGCTGAAACTGGATCCCTTCCTTACATCTTATACAAAAATTAATTCAAGATGGATTAAAGACTTTCATGTTAGACCTAAAACCATAAAAACCCTAGAAGAAAACCTAGGCAATACCATTCAGGACAAAGGCATGGGCAAGGACTTCATGTCTAAAATAGCAAAAGCAACGGCAACACAAGCCAGAATTGACAAATGGGATCTAATTAAACTAAAGAGCTTCTGCAGAGCAAAAGAAACTACCATCACAGTGAACAGGCAATCTACAGAATGGGAGAAAATTTTTGCAACCTACTCATCTGACAAAGGGCTAATATCCAGAATCTACAATGAACTCAAACAAATTTACAAGAAAAAAACAAACAACTCCATCAAAATGTGGGCAAAGGATATGAACAGACACTTCTCAAAAGAAGACATTTAGGCAGCCAAAAAACACATGAAAAAATGCTCATCATCACTGGCCATCAGAGAAATGCAAATCAAAACCATAATGAGATACCATCTCACACCACTTAGAATGGTGATCATTAAAAAGTCAGGAAACAACAGGTGCTGGAGAGGATGTGGAGAAATAGAAACACTTTTACACTGTTGGTGGGACTGTAAACTAGTTCAACCATTGTGGAAGTCAGTGTGGCGATTCCTCAGGGATCTAGAACTAGAAATACCATTTGACCCAGCCATCCCATTACTGGGTATATACCCAAAGGATTATAAATCATGCTGCTCTAAAGACACATGCACACGTATGTTTATTGTGGCACTATTCACAATAGCAAAGACTTGGAACCAACCCAAATGTCCAACAATGGTAGACTGGATTAAGAAAATGTGGCACATATACACCATGGAATACTATGCAGCCATAAAAAATGATGAGCTCATGTCCTTTGTAGGGACAAGGATGAAACTGGAAACCATCATTCTCAGCAAACTATCGCAAGGACAAAAAACCAAACACTGCATGTTCTCACTCATAGATGGGAATTGAACAATGAGAACACATGGACACAGGAAAGGGAATATCACACACTGGGACCTGTTTTGAGGTGGGGGCAGGGGGGAGGGATAGCATTAGGAGATATACCTAATGCTAAATGACTAGTTAATGGGTGCAGCACACCAACATGACACATGTATACATATGTAACAAACCTGCACATTGTGCACATGTACCCTAAAACTTAAAGTATAATAATAAAAAAAACAAACAAAAAAATGGGCAAAATATCTAACAGATACCTTACTAAAGAAGACATCCACATTGCAAGTAAGCATATGAAAAGACACTCCCCATCACATGTCATCAGGGAAATGGAAATTAAAACAATGAGATACTGTTAATGGAAAGGGGTCCCAATCCAGACCCCAAGAGAGAGTTCTTGGCTCTCGCACAAGAAAGAATTCAGGGCGAGTCCATAGAGTAAAGTGAAAGCAAGTTTATTAAGAAAGTAAAAGAAGAAAGAATGGCTACTTCATAGGCAGGGCAACCAGGAGGGCTGCTGGTTGCCCATTTTTATGGATATTTCTTGATTATATGCTAAAGAAGGGGTGGATTATTCATGCCTCCCCTTTTTAGACTGTATAGGGTAACTTCCTGACGTTGCCATGGCATTTGTAAACTGTCATGGTGCTGGTGGGAGTGTAGTCGTGAGGATGATCAGAAGTCACTCTCATTGCCATCTTAGTTTTGGTGGGATTTGCCGGCTTCTTTACTGCATCTGTTTTATCAGAAAGGTTCTTATGACCTGTATCTCGTGCCAACCTCCTATCTCAGACTGTGACTTAGAATGCCTAACTGTCTGGGAATGCAGCCCAGCGGATCTTACCCTTATTTTACACAGCCCCTATTCACGATGGAGTTGCTCTGGTTCAAATGCCTCTGACAATACCACTACACACCTTTTAGAATGGTCAAAATCCAGAACACTGACAACACCAAGTGCTGGTGAGGGTGTAGAGCAACAGGTACTCTCATTCATTACTGGTGGGAATAAAAAATGATATAGCCATTCTGGAAGACAGTCTGGCATTTCTTACAAAAATAAACATATCCTTACCATACAATCCAGCAACTGCTCACCTTGGTATTTACTCAATATGTTAAAAACCTATGTCCACACAAAAACCTGTGGATGAACTGTTTAGAGCAGTTTTATTCATAATTGCCAAAACTTGGAAGCAAACTAGATGTCCTTTATTAGGTAAATGAATAAACTGTGGTCCATCCAGACAATGGTATATTGAAATATTATTTAGTGCTAAAAAGAAATGAGCTATCAAGAAATGAAAAGACATGGAAGAAACTTAAATGCATATTACTAATGAAAGAAGCTAATCTGAAAAGGCTACCTACTCTATGATATATATATGACATTTTGGAAAAGGCAAACTTGGAGACAGTAAAAGGATAAGTGGTTGCCAGAGGTTTGGAGCAAAGAAGGAATGAACATGTGGAGCACAGATGATTTTTAGGGCTGTGAAACTACTTGTATGATACTGTTACAGGAAATGAGGCCTGACCCAGATCCCAAAAGAGGGTTCTTGGATTTCACACAAGAAAGAATCCAAGGAGAGTCTGTAAAGTGAAAGCAAGTTTATTAGGAAAGTAAAGGAATAAAAGAATGGCTATTCCACAGAAAGAGGAGTCCCGAGGGCTGCTATTTGCCTATTTTTATGGTTATTTCTTGATAATATGCTAAACAAAGGGTAGAATATTCTCCTTGTTTAAAAAATATAAAAGATTAATTTTTTTCATGTAATTATAAAAAACTGACAGGTAATACAACCAAAGGATAATTTTTTTTTTTCAGAGCGAAACAAGAATGAGTTTTCTTTTTCTCTTAGAAAAAGTATAACTTCTACTTATAGTTTTTCTCTCTTTTATGGTTTTCTTTCTTAGTGGTAGAGAAGCACTCTCTATGATGTTCTCATTTTCTGACAAAATTTTTTCAAAATGGAGTAATTCAGAGATCTGCTTCTGATAAGGGTATTGACTCTATGGCTATGGAAAAACTTCAGGATACCAGGAGTCTTCCTTATTAGGGCTTGTCTGTATAGGGAGCAATGAATGATAATGACCTGAGGAGGGTTTTTTTTTTCGTGAAAGTAAGAAAACAGGATATGTGACAAATCTCACATGTGCTCCATTTGCACAGAGTACAAAGTATTTCTTTCCAGGCAAAATTGTGTTTGGCATTGTTTTTCTGCTTTCTTTCTTAAAAAACATTTTCAACTTAATTAAGGGGCACAAACATACAGTTAGATAGAAGTGGTACAGGACAGGGTTCCCAGTCCAGACCCCAAGAGAGGCTTCTTGGATCTTGTGCAAGAAAGAATTGAGGGCAAGTCCGCGGTGCAAAGAGAAAGCAAGTTTATTAAGAAAGTAAAGGAATAAATGAATGGCTCCTCCATAGACAGAGCAGCCCCAAGGGCTGCTGGTTACCCATTTTTATGGTTATTTTTTGATGATATACTAAACAGGAGTGGATTATTCATGCTTCCCCTTTTGAGTCCATATAGGATAACTTCCTGATGTTGCCACAGCATTTGTAAACTGTCATGGCGCTGGTGGGAGTGTAGCAGTGAGGACGACCAGAGGTCACTCTCATTGCCGTTTTGATTTTGGTGGATTTTGGCTTGCTCCTTTACTGCAACCTGTTTTATCAGCAAGGTCTTTAGGACTTGCATTTTGTGCTGACCTCCTATCTCATCCTGTGACTTAGAATGCCTTAACCGTCTGGGAATGCATCTCCCAGTAGTTTCAGCCTCATTTTACCCAGCTCCTATTAAAATGGAGTTGCTTTGGTTCAAATGCCTTGACAGAAGCTATAAGTTATGGTATTCCATAGTACAGTAGGGAAATTCTAGTTAATAATTTATTGTATATTTAAAAAAAGCAAGAGGAGAAGATTTAAGTGTTCTCAACACAAGTACAATGTTTGAGATAATGGATATTCCAATTACCCTGATTTGATCATTACACACTGTACACAAGTATCAAACTATGACATGTGCCCCCAAAATATGTATATATCAATAAAAAAGGAAATAAAATTTCAAAATATTGACAGCATTTGTAACTTCTAAAAAGGACTAAAAAATATAAGAATTATTTTTTGATGTCAACAGCAAGAACATAGTGAACAAAACAAGGAGTTGGCTATTTAAGGAGATGGCCTGCAATTTCTCTTTTTTTTTTTTTTTTTTTTTTTTTTTTGAGACGGAGTCTCGCTCTGTCGCCCAGGTGGGACTGCGGACTGCAGTGGCGCAATCTCGGCTCACTGCAAGCTCCGCTTCCCGGGTTCACGCCATTCTCCTGCCTCAGCCTCCCGAGTAGCTGGGACTACAGGCGCCCGCCACCGCGCCCGGCTAATTTTTTTTTGTATTTTTAGTAGAGACGGGGTTTCACCTTGTTAGCCAGGATGGTCTCGATCTCCTGACCTCATGATCCACCCGCCTCGGCCTCCCAAAGTGCTGGGATTACAGGCGTGAGCCACCGCGCCCGGCCGGCCTGCAATTTCAATCAGTTGTGTAGTAAAGGGGAACATCTACATTGCCAATTTTTCAATGATATGCTTCAAAATGTTAAAAAGAAATATCATTTCTTCAGAGAAGACACACACAAATGGAAGAATATCCCATGCTCATGGATAGGAAGAATCAATATCATTAAAATGGCCATACTGCCCAAAGCAATTTACAGATTCAATGCTATTCTTATCAAACTACCAACTATATTCTTCACAGAACTAGAAAAAACTATTTTAAAATTCATATGGAACCAAAAAAAGGGCCCAGATAGACAAAGCAACCATAAGCAAAAATAACAAAGCTGGAGTCATCATGTTACTCAACTTCAAACTATATTACAAGGTTACAGTAACCAAAACAGGATGGTACTATTACAAAAACAGGCATATCAATCAATGGAACAGAATAGAGAGCCCAAAAATAAGGCCACACATCTGATATTCAACAAAGCTGACAAAAACAAGCAATGGGGAAAAGACCCCGTTTTCAATAAATGATGCTGGGATTACTGGCTACGCATATGCAGCAGATTGACGTGGGACCCATTCCTTACACAATATATAAAAATCAACTCAAGATGGATTAAAGACTCAAATATAAAGCCTAAAACTATACAAACTCCAGAAGACAATGTAGGCAATACAATCCTGAACATAGGAACAGGCAAAGATTTCATGACAACGACACCAAAGGCAATTGAAACAAAAGTAAAAATTGACAAATGAGGTCTAATTAAACTTAAGAGCATCTGCACAGAAAAATAAAATATCAACAGAGTAAACAGGAACCTAGAGAATGAGAGAAAATATTTGCAAACTATGCATCTGACAAAGATCTAATATCCAGCATTTATAAGGAACTTAAACAAATTTACAAGATAAAAACAAACAACCCTATTAAGAAGTGGCCAAGGGACATGAACAGACACTTTTCAAAAGAAGCCAACAAATATATGAATAAAAGTTCAATATCACTGTTCATTAGAGAAATGAAAATCAAAACCACAATGGGATATCATCTCACACCAGTCAGAATGGCCATTATTAAAAAGTCAAAAACTAACAGATGCTGGCAAGGTTGTGGAGAAAATGAAACACTTATACACTGTTGGTGGGAGTGTAAATTAGTTCTAACATTGTGAAATGCAGTATGGTGATTCCTCAGAGAGCTGAAAGCAGAACTACCATTCGACCCAGCAATTCCATTACTGGGTATATATCCAGAGGAATATAAATCATTCTACCATAAAGACTCATGTAGGCAAATGTTCATTGCAGCACCATTCCCACTAGCAAAGACATGGAATCAAACTAAAAGTCCATCAATGACAGATTGGATGAAGAAAATGTGGTACATATACATCATGGAATACTATGCAGCCATAAAAAGAATGCAATCATGTCTTTTGTGGGAACATGGATGGAGCTTGAGGCCATATCCTTAGCAAACTAATGCAGGAACAGAAAGCCAAATACCGCATGTCCTCAGTTATAAGTGGGAGATAAATGATGAACCCATGAACACAAAGAAGGGAACAACATACACTAGGGTCTACTTGAGGGTGGAAGGTGGGAGGAGGGAGATGATCAGGAAAGAGAATTAACAGGTGCTAGGCTTAATACCTGGGTGATGAAATAACATGTATAATACAACCCCATGACATGAGTTTACCTATATAGCAAACCTTCACATGTATCCCTGAACCTAAAATAAAAGTTAAAAAAAATCATTTCTTAAACATATCACATAATTGGCAAAGAGCCATTTCTAGCCTTTTTCCCAGTAGAAATAGGGGGATTTCAGAAACCTTACATCATTTTCCTGGTGTGTTGTAGAAGAGGTTAGAGGCCAGAGAATCACAGTGTGCTTTGTTATCCTAAGGATATGTGGGCCGCACTGCCTAGCAATTTAGAAGTCTTTGTAATAGACTCAACAGTTATTTAAAAAGAAATTTATAGGTTAGCCTGCCCTAAAGCTGTTGCAGAAAAATGAGGATTCCATTTGTTCTGGAAACAATTATCAGAAGTACAGAGCTCCAAAGATGAAGCTTTTTTTCTCATATTTCTATATTAATAATCATTAACAGTCCAATTTGCATTTTAAGCAAGCTACCTTTTATTCTGTAACACCCCCCTTTTTCCACCAGAAAACTAGAAATTTGAAAGAATATAACCACTTGTGGAAAAATCATAGCTATATATTTGTATCTACTACATTTTGAAGAAAAGGTAACTGCCCCATGAGTTCTTCCTGCCCACTGCAAAAACAAAATAAATTCAGAGACCATGGCATTGCAATATAGTTTAACTGACATGAGGCCAGCCATCCCACATGGGAGACAGAGTTGTTACCCAAATCAATCTCCCAGAAAATTTGGAGGCTAGGGTTTTTCAAGGATAGTTTAGTGGGCCAGGGAGTTGGCTTCTGAGTGAGGCCACAGGACCAGCTGGCAGGAGTTGGTGGGTCCGAGTGGACACATAGGTCATCAGAAATGCAAACACCTGAAAAGACATCTCAAAAGGCCAATCTTAGGGTCTACAATAGTGATGTTATCTGCAAGAGTAATTGGGGGAGTTGCAAGTCTTGTGACCTCTGGGATAATGGCTAGTAGTTGTTTATAACTACTCCTTAGCAGAATTCAGGCCCCTCACACTCTAACCTGGTGGCCTTTCATTAGCTTTACAAAGGCAGTTTAGTTTTGGGGAAGGGCTGTTATCATCTAAACTATAAAGGTCTCCCAAAATTAGCTTGGTCTAAGCCCAAGAATGACCAAGAGCAGTTTGGAGGTTAAAGGCAAGATGGGGGTTACTTAGATCAGATCTCTTTCACTGTCATAATTTTCTCACTGTTATAATTTTTGCAAAGGCAGTTTCAAAAAGTATACATGTAACACATACTTTTTTAAGCTATAGAAAATATGAGGAGAGGTAAGCCCTGTGGTCAACACCTTACTTTCATTGTTTTATTTAATTCTCACAGCAGCGTTTTCAAAGTTGAGGATGCACAGAGGAGAAAATCCTTTGCCTAGTTCAGCATATCCGGATCTGTCTGGCTCTCTAATCTCATTGGGTCAAACTTTAACACATTTTTATCTCTTTTGACTGGGAGGAAGCACGTATTAGAAACAGCACACTGTCTGAGACCTTGGGCAAGAGTCTTGGTTCCTCTGTGGTATAATTCCTCATTCTATGTCAGAAGAGACAATATAATAATCTACTCTCCCAAACTTGCAAAACAGTTTCCAAAGAGATTGCTCTCTGGTGATACAATGATGGATTGGGCAGGCCTGGAAAAGATGCTTCGTCGAACAACAGTGGGCAGGAGCTGGGTATGCAGATGCCCCTGTCCATAGAATGATGGACTGGGAAGTACTGGAAGTAGTGGTAGGTACTAATGGCATTCAAGGAACATTTTTGTGGGGAGCTGAGCAGCCTGTTCATTCCCATAAAAGGGAACCCAGCTGATATGTAAGGAAGACTGACATTACCATGCCTGAGTTTCCCCCTTCCCTTTGCAGAATAATTCACACGTATCTTTTTTTTTTAATACTTTAAGTTCTGGGTTACATGTGCAGAACGTGCAATTTTGTTACATAGGTATACACGTGCCCTTGTGGTTTGCTGCACCCATCAACCCATCACATACATTAGGTATTTCTCCTAATGTTATTCCTCCCCTAGTCCCCCACCCACTGACCAGCCCCAGCATGTGATGTTCCCCTCCCTGTGTCCATGTGTTCTCATTGTTCAACTCCTACTTATGAGTGAGAACATATGGTGTTTAGCTTTTTAATCTTGTGATAGTTTGCTGAGAATGATGGTTTCCAGCTTCAACCATGTCCCTGCAAAGGACATGAACTCACCTTTTTTTTATGGCTGCATAGTATTCCATGGTGTATATGTGCCACATTTTCTTAATCCAGTCTGTCACTGATGGACATTTGGGTTGGTTCCAAGTCTTTGCTATTGTGAATAGTGCTGCAATAAACATATGTGTGCATGAATTAACATATATCTTTAAGGGCAGCCAGCATCAATCATATCTTTTCCATGTGCCTGGCATTGTATAACTATTAAATCTCATTTAATTATCTCAACAATCCTATGATGTAGAGTAAGTACTTTTTAAATCTCTATATTACGGAAGGTACAATCAAAGATTTGAGTGCATGTCTTGCTCAAGTTCACAGAACTGGTAGGTGAATAAATCACCTTGTTTTAATTATGAACCCATCTGTAGTACTCCCATAGGCTTCCGTGTATTTTTACAAAATTGTGGAGCTCTTGATTTCCCATAGCTGAGAGAAGCTAAAGGACAAGCTTTAAAATAGGTCAGCAACATAATCCCATTTTCATGAGAATTACTAATATAAGATTAACCTGATTTTATCGTCTCAGCCCTGTAACCTTCAACCTGTCCCAGACCATTGTGCCTGAGAATCTGGGCCTTCAAAAGAGACAGAAATGTTACTCAGCACTCAACGGTAACTCTATTTTTAAATAATAGCTTAATTGAGATGTAATTAAAATCTATAAAATTTACCTTTTTTAAGTGTACAATTCAGTTGTTTTTAATATATCCACAAAGATGTACAACTATCACCAAGTCAATTTTATAACATTTTTGTCACCCCCCTAAAGAAACCCCCATTAGTGGTCACTCTCAATTTCTCCCCATCTTCTCCAGACCTAGGAAATCACCAATCTATTTTCTGTCTTCATGAATTTCCCTATTCTGGAAATTGAATATAAGTAGATTCATACTATATGCAGTTCTTTGTGACTAACTCCTTTCACTTAGCATAATATTTTCATGGTTCATCCAGGTTATAGTGTGTATCAGTACTGCATTCCTTCTTATGGGTGCGTAATATTCCGTTGTATGAATATAAAACATTGTATTTATTCATCCATCAATTGATTGACATTTGGATTATTTTCACTTCTTGCCTGTTATGAATAATGCTGTTATGAAATTCTAGGAAAGGTTTCTGTGTGAACATATGTTTTCAATTCTCTCTAGGAGCGGAATGACTGATTTATGTAGAAACTCGATGTTTCTACATCTTAAGGAATTGCCAAATTGTTTTGCAAAGTACTAGTGGTTATGAAGTGATATCTCATTGGTTATAATTTGCATTTCTCTAACAGCTAATTATTTGGGCATCTTTTTATGTACTTATTAGCCATTTGTATATCTTGGAGAAATGGCTACTAAATCCTTTTTGTATTTCTAAAACTGAGTTATTTATGTTTTTGTTGTTGAGTTGTAAGAGTTGTTTATGTAGTCTGGATACAAACTCCTTATAAGATACATGATTTGCAAATATTTTCTCTCATTATGTGGATTGTCTTTTCACTTTCTTGGTAGGATCCCTTAAGCACAAAAGCTTTTAATATTATAAAAAGTGGTGTCATATCCAGGAAACCATTGCTTGGTCCTAAGACATAAATATTTACTCCTATATTTTCTTCTGAGAATTTCATCAACACTTGTTATTTTTCGTGTGTTTGATAATAGCCATTCTAATATGTATGAGATGATGCATCTTTGTGGTTTTAATTTGTATTTCTCTGATATTGAACATTTTTTCATATTCTTGTTGGCTGTTCATATATCTTCTTTTGAGAAATGTCTATTTAAATTCTTTGCCCATTTTAAATAGGGTTATTTCTATTTTTTGCTATTGAGCTTGTTATTTTTTTAAATATGGGCATTTTGAGTAATAAATTTCCCTCTAAACACTGCCTTCAATGTATCCCATGAGTCATGGTGGTTTTTTATTTTTTTAATTTTCATTAATCTTAAAGTACTTTCTAATTTCCCTTGGGATTTCTTCTTTAATCCATTGGGTTTTTTTGTTTGTTTTTGTTTTTTTTTTTAGCAGTGTGTTGCTTAATTTCCACATATTTGTGAATTACCTAAATTTTGTTCATTGGTTAATTTCTAATTTTATTCCATTGTAGTTGGAGGACATTCTTTATATGATGTAAATCCTTTTTAATTTATGGAGGCTGGTTTTGTGGCCCAACATGTCGTCTATCCTGAAGAATGTTCCATGTGCCCTTGGAAAGACTGTATATTCTGTTGTTGAGTGGAGTGTTATTTAGATGTCTGCTGGGTTTACTTAAAGTGTTGTTTAAGCCTTTTATTTTCTTCTTGATCTTCTGTCTCCTTGTTCAATCGATTATTAAAAGTGAGGTATTGAAGTTTCCGATTGTTGTTATTGAATTGACTATTTCTCTTTGCAATTCTGTCAGTTTTTACTTCGTGTATTTTTAGATTTTGTTGTTATATGTATACATGTTTATAATTGTTTTTCTTATTTCTGATGAATTTATTCTTTTATCATTATAAAATGTTCTTCTTCTTAAAGTCTACTTTGTCCGATATTAATATAGCAACTCCAGCTCTCTTTTGGTAACTTTATGCATTTTATTCCCTTCACCATCCTTGTATTTTCTTGCTTTGGTTCTTGAAATTTGTTTTTCTTTTCCGCTGCACCCCGCTCCCTTGGAGTGCTGCTCAGGCTGCACCCCGCTCGCTCTGAGCTCTGGGCTCCTGCTATGCTAATGCCGCCATCGTCTGCCTTCAGCCACCATCATGATTTATCTACTGGGACCTCATCAGCCATGATGAGATGTTCTCCCACATTTACAAAATCCGGGAGACTGCGGATGGGCTGTGCCTGGAGGTGGAGGGGAAATTGGTAAGTAGGACAGAGGGTAACATTGATGACTTGCTCATTGGTGGAAATGCCTCCGCTGAAGGCACTGAAAGCGAAGGTACCAAAAGCACAGTAATCACTGGTATCCTTACTGTCATGAACCATCACCTGCAGGAAACAAGCTTCACAAAAGAAGCCTACAAGAAGTATAATACACCAAAGATTACATGAAATCAACCAAAGGCAAACTTGAAGAACAGAGACCAGAAAGAGTAAAACCTTTTATGACAGGGGCTGCAGAACAAATCAAACACATCCTTGCTAATTTCAAAAGCTACCACTTCTTTATTGGTGAAAACATGAATCCAGATGGCATGGTTGCTCCACAGGACTACCGTGAGGTTGGTGTAACCCATGTGGGATTTCCTTTAAGGATGGCTTAGAAATGGAAAAAAAATTAACAAATTTGGCAATGACTGGATCTATTACCTGTCATCATAACTGGCTTCTGCTTGTCAGCCACACAACACCAGGACTTAAGACAAATGGGACTGATGTCATCTTGAGCTCTTCATTTATTTTGACCATGATTTATTTGGAGTGGAGGCATTGTTTTTAAGAAAAACATGTCATGTAGGTTGTCTAAAAAAAAAGAAAGAAACGTTTTTGAATCTAAAGTATATGTTGACATTTTTGGCCAGTTCCCTGCCATCCTGTGCTCCCTAGTTCCCTGGGCTCTCTCCTTGCTTGCCTTCTTGCTCTGCCATAACCTGCTCTGAAGAAACACCCACCATTTCCCCCAGCAAATCGGCTGGCCTGTGGAGGAGGGTGACATGCAGCTGTGCCTTGCCCAGCTCTCTGAGCATGCCATGGCTCCAACCTGAGGGTCTGTGAGAAGTGCAGGCTACAACTTGTACAATGCCTATGATTAGACAATACCACCTATAGAGAAAGCACTCATGAAAATAGACATTCAGGTAGCTCTTCCTTCTCTGGGTGTTAGGAAGAGTAGTTCCATGGTCTGGCTTGGCTGCAAAACATTTTATTGATGTAGGAGCTGGTGTCATAGATGAAAATTATAGAGGAAATGTTGGTGTTGCACTATTTAATTTTGGCAAAGTTTGAAGTCAAAAACAGTGATCAAATTGCACAGTTCAGTGCTGAATGGATTTTTTTATCTAGAAATAGAAGTTCAAGCTTCGGATGACACTGAAAGGTGTTCAGGAGATTTTGGTTCCACTAGAAATAATGAAAATTTATGCCAAGAATAGAAAATGAGAAATTATACATTTTTCTTAAAAATTGGCCAGGCGCAGTGGCTCATGCCTGTAATCCCAGCACTTTGGGAGGCCGAGGCAGGCAGATCACAAGGTCAAGAGTTGGAGACAAGCCTGACCAACATGCTGAAACCCCATCTCTACTAAAAACAAAAAAAATTAGCCAGGTGTGGTGGTGTGTGCCTGTAATTCCAGCTACTCAGAAGGCTGAGGCAGGAGAATTGCTTGAACCTGGGACGCGGGGGTTGTAGTGAGCAGAGACCGAGGCACTGCACTGCAGCCTGGACAACAGAGGGAGACCCCGTCTCAAAAAAATAATAATAATAAAATAAAATAAAGAATTTTTGCTTAAAAAAAGTATATATTTTGTAGACAGCATGTGGCTGGAACATGTTTTTTAATCTATTTTCCAATCTCTGCCTTTTGATTGGAATTTTAATCCATTTACATTTAATGTCATAACTGATATGAAAATATTTATATCTGCCACTTTACAATTTGTGTTATATATTTCTCTTATGCCCTTTTTTGCTCCTCCAGCCCTTCATTATTGCCTTCTTTTCTGTTACATATATATTTTTTATTGTATCATTTTAGTTCCCCTTCTTTTTTTATTTCACTATGTTTTTGACTTATTTTCTTAGTGAGTGCCCTGGAGATTATAATTAACAATTATAACAAGCACTTTGGATTAATACCAATTTAATGTCAATAATACACAAAAACTTTGCCACTATATGTTTGTTCTATCACCCCATTTTCCATTTTTGTGTTACCATTGTTACATAAATTACATCTTTATACATTATAGGCTCATCTAATTATTACTTTATGCAGTCATATTTTATTTTTATTTCATTTATTTATTTAATTTCCATTTTATTTTAGATTCAACAGGTACATATGCAGGTTTGTTACGAGGGTATATTGTATGATGCTGAGGCTTGGGCTTCCACTGATCCCAGCACTCAGATAGTGATCCCAACTTCCAATAGGAAGTTTTTCACCCCTCTCCCTCTCTCTCCCTTATAGTAGTCCCCGGTGTTTATTGTTCCAAACTCTATGTCTAGATTTAGCTCCCACTTATGAGTGAGAACATGTGATATTTGGTTTTCTGCTCCTGCGTTAATTTGCTTAGTACGATGGCCTCCATCTGCATTCACGTTGCTGCAAAGAACATGATTTCATTCTTTTTTATGGCTACATGGTATTCCATAGTGTATATGCACAATACTTTCTTTGTCCAATCCACAGTTGGTGGGCACCTAGGTTGTTTTCCTGTTTTTGCTATTTTGAATAGTGCTGTAAGGAACATAGAAGTATATGTGACTTTTTGGTAGAACAATTTGGGTATATACACAGGAATGGGATTTCTAGGTCAAATGGTCACTGTTTTAGCTCTTTGAGAAATTTCCAGGGTGCTTTCCATAGTGGCTGAACTAATTTACATTCTCACCAACAGTGTTTAAGTGTTCTCGTTTCTTCACAGCCTCACCAATGTCTGTTATTTTTTGAATTTTTAATAACAGCCATTCTGACTAGTGTGAGATGGTATCTTACTGTGGTTTTGATTTGCATTTCTCTGATGATTAACAATGTTAAGGATTTTTTCATACGTTTGTTGGCCACTTTTATGTCTTTTTTGAGAAGTGTCTGTCCTTTGCTCACTTTTTAATGGGGTTATTTGTTTTTGTCCTGTTGATTTATTTAAGTTTCTTGTAGATTATGGATATTAGACCTTTGCTGGATACATAGTTTACGAATGTTTTCTCCCGTTCTGTAGGTTGTTTACTCTGTTTTGAGTTCCATTTGCTGTGCAGAAGCTCTTTGGTTTAATTTGTTCCCATCCACCAGTTTTTGTTTTTCTTGTAATTGCTTTTGAGGATTTGGTCATAAATTATTTGCCACAACTGATGTTGAGAAGGGCATTTCCTAGGTTTTCTTCTAGGACTTTTATAATTTGAGATCTAACATTTAATTATTTCATCCATCTTGAGTTAATTTTTGTGTATGGTGATAGGTATGGGCCTAGTTTTTTCTGCATATGGTTAGCCAGTTTTCCCAGCACCATTGATTGACTAGAAGTCCTTTCCCCATTGCCTATTTTTGTGAACTTTGATGAATATCAGTTGGTTATAGGTTGATTATGATAAGTGAGCACCCTTTGATTCCTGTTTTTTTAATAAAAAAAAAATTGGCTGGGCACTGTGGCTCAGTTGTGTAATCCTAGTGCTTTGGGAGGCTGAGGTAGGAGGAGTACTTGAACCCAGGAGTTTGAGACCAGCTTGGGTAACATAGTAATACTCTATGTCTAAAAAAGAAAAAAAATATATTAACTGCCTGTGGTGGCACCTGCTTATAGTCCCAGCTACTCAGCTTCTCTTGAGTACTTCTCCTGAGTAGCTGGGACTACAAGGTCCCAGCTGAGATGGGAGGCTGCAGTGAGCTTTGATCCTGTCACTGCATTCCAGTGTGGACAACAGAGCAAGACCCTGTCCCCTCACCTTACCCTCAAAATAACTGATTTTTGATTTTTTAAGAAAATCATTTATTGAAGTGATTAACTATTTTTCCTTTTTGACATTTTAACTTGATGTTTTGCTAATATTGAACAAACTTTGCATTCCCAGACTAAAGTGTCTTTAATCATGGGATTGTGGTATTTTAAAATATTGTTTGACTTTATTTTCCAATATTTTATTTAGGATTTTTGTATCAATATTTATGAGTGAACCTGGGATATAGTTTTCTGTTAAGTTTTAGAATCAGTGTTACATGGTTTTATACAAATAATTGGAAATCTTTCCACCTTTTTCCTCTGGAAAATTTAACAAACATTTAAATATTTATTCCTTGAAGGTTTGAAAGACTTCATCTGGAAAATGCTCTAATCCTTGTACTTTGGAGGATATTTAGTCTTAGGTAACTTGAAAAATATTTTCCAGGGTTATAAATTTTTGTAGATTGTCTGCTTACTCGAGTTTTTTTTTTTTTTAATTTGTATCCTTCTCAAAAGCTATAAAATTTTTTTTTCTGGATTTTCAAACTTATTAACAAGGAGTTTAAATTACCTCACTATTGGTAATCATTTTTACTTTCTCATTCTTAATTGTTCTTTTATTTTACAATTTTATCATAGTGATATCAAAGGATGTGATTTAAACTATTTGCTGTAGGATGTTCCTTTCTTTTTCTTTTCTTTTCTTTTTCTTTTCTTTTCTTTTTTTTCTTTTTTTTTAGACAGAGTCTCCTCTGTTTCTCAGGCTGGAGTGCAGTGGCGCAGTTTCAGGTCACTGCAACCTCCACTTCCCGGGCTCAAGGGATCCTCCCACCTCAGCCTCCCAGGTAGCTGGGACTATAGGCTTGCGCCACAACACCCAGCTAATTTTTTACATTTTTGGTAGAGCTGAGGTTTCGTCATGTTGCCCACGTGGGTCTTGAATTCCTGAGCTCAAGAGATCCACCCTCCTCAGCCTCCCAAAGTATTGAGATTACAAGCATGAGCCACTGCACCTGGCCCAGGATGCTCCTTTTTGACATTAAGTCAGCTGAATGGCTTGGGAAGCAGGCCATGTTCTTTCAAGTGTGTACCCTTTCTTAACCAATGCAGTCTAGAGGCTTGCTTGAAAATGTGATCCCAAGACCACCAGCACTGACCTGGCCAGGGAGCTTGTTAGAGATGTAGAATTTCAGGTCCCACCCCAGACTTACAGTCACAACCTACATATTTAGCAAGATCTACTAGTGATCCATGTGTACATTAAAATTCTGGAGAATTTCATACTTTAAATCATAACATTTAATTTGATTGTGAATGTCTTCCACATCACATGTTATTTCTTAATGTTGCACTTTTAAAATAAATGAAATCCATCTTTCATTATAATCTAGCAAAAAGCAAGTTTTTAAAGTTAAGACACTGAATACCAGTGTAAAATTGCCACCACTTTTCTGAGGACCTAATTACAGCTGGGACTGGCTCCTAACCACATTCTGATTTCATCCTTTCTTCCATATACCCTCCCTTCTACTGCTTACTAACTTTTAGAATTAGGACCTGAGGATTTTGGCTCTGCAGACTAGGCAGACAAGGTCACACCCCCACTGAACTGCAAAATCAAGGTAATAACAATGTTTTTGTCTGTATGTTTTTCTGTGATGCTCTGGTTTGAGCTCAAGCCACGAAGCAGTGATGCCAGCCCTTGTGCTGAACATCAATGGCAAGAAACAAGCAGTGCATTCTTTCTTCCTCGCAGCACAGCAACTCCAGGAAACCAGAGGAAAGGAGGGCAGGGAAAGACCAGCAAGCTGGTAGCCACAGAGGAGCTTGAAAGGTTAGGATTGGGCACAAGTCAAGCTAGTGTATGCATCTCAGGAATTAGGGCTTTGCGGAAGTAATTCATAAAAATATATTACATTCTCATCATGCCAGACCAATGACCTTTCTCAAGTAAATTGTCTTACATCTAAAAACATGGCAAGTATTCTGGATTTCCTGGCTGTTGCGTTTCATTTTTGTGCATAATAACTCTGGAACTATCTCTGGCAGAGGGGAATTTCCAAACAAGCAAGAAGTGGATAAACCATGGCAGCTCATTCTTGTAGGGCCTATCAGGTTACCCAGGAAGGCAACTTCATCATGTCCAGGATCAGTAGTACCTTCAGCAAACGTGTAGCTCACTTAGCTCAGAAAAAAATGCTGATCCTTGGTCCAGCCAATAACCTGGATGAGACCGAATCCTCATATTGGTGAAGCTTGACACAAACAATCTACTCAATTGGCATGTGTGTAAGAAATTGGCAATGCCTGTTCCACAAACATCTGCAAAATTTTGAGAGGAGGTTTTGACTAACTTAACTCCTTTAAGCTCTTACCAACTAGGTGTTTTTTAGGTTGCTTTACGATCAGACCTTCCTGGAATCAGGGGATTGCTTTGGTCTGGATTAGATCTCCTGTATCGCACATGCCACTAAATGGACCCCCGAGATGACATTTCAGATCCTGGATCAGGCCCCATTGTATATAGCTCTCCTCTTCCTCTCTCCCATTCTTCTGTTCCTTTCCTCTTTTGTCTTCCACCTCTCTCTCTATTTCATTACCCCCACAGACTTATATTTGGGATCCCCAGAGCATTGCATCAGTTATCCAGTAGACATCTATTATGTATCAGACATAATGCTGGATCACTGTTATCTTGGATGGTCAGAGGAAAAAACTTTCTAAGGCAGGCGAAACTTGAACAATAATAAGCTAAGATAGTCTTATTGAAGTTTCTTGAAGCAAAACAAACAAATGTTGCTGAGGTCTGGACTAATTCCTCCGGGACTTATTGTTCCTCCTTCTTTTACATTCTTTCTAGTCCAAAGTGAAATATTAGATTTGTAGAATAGATTTTGATTATATTTAGAATTTTCTCAATATAATAAATATAGAATAAATAGTTATGAACATTCTTTCAAGTATTAGTAATTTTCACTGCAAATTGAAGATCTAAACTTAAATTCCCAAGCATGTATTAATTCATTTGAACTTCTCATATTGGTTCACAAAGAAAGCATCCTCTCTAAAATTCCAGATGTGTAATTGACCCTACTGTTTCCTCTTATCTAAATAAGGTATACTGAAGTTGTGAGCTGTTTGCTACATTAAAATATTGGAGGTAAAGGACTATGTTTTAGTTGAATATCTTCTTATTAGGACCTGGAACTAGTGTCAAATTAGAGCCGTTATGTTCTTCCCCTAAGGACCCTCCAGAAACAAGAGTGAATATTACAGGGGAACCAGTGCAACATTGGCCAATGATTTCATTATCAGTAGGAGCTGGGAAGAGTTTTCCCAAAAGTCAGTGGTCAGTTTAGGCCTTTCTGCATAAGTCTTGGCACAACCTCTGTATCCTAGAAATTGGAGTCAAGTTGGAAAGCCTTCCTTCTCCTTGTCCTTGCTTCTTTTGACTCTTGCTTTTATGGCTTCTTCTTTGTCAACTGATTTACTTCTGCATGTACAGACCTCACTTCACTTTCCCAAGAGAAGGCCAGAAGTTCCAACCCTCTGGCTTTTGTCTTAGGTTCACAGCTGTTTTTCCTATCCTTGTCCTCTGCTCAGGTTGTCTCACTCCTGACACAGTTGGATGTGGTTGTTTAGGTTAATGTCTACTAATACCGTCACTCTATTTTGATTGCATTTAGTATTCTTTCTGTCTCTGAGGTCATCAGGAGAACAAACAATCTTTGGTAAGTCATTTCATTTTTCTTATTTTACTGGCATCATAATAAAATCAGGAAAATCCTTTCTGATGACAAATTCGGTTGGAGATAAATCTTAGAGCCATCGAATAGATGGTGTGATGAAGCATCACTGCTATCATCTGAATGCTTGTGCCCTTCCCCACCTCCAAAGTCATATGTTAAAATCTAATCTCCAATGCAATAGCATCAAGAGGTGGGGCCTTTAGGAGGTGATTTGGTCAGGAGGGCTCCACAAGGGATACGTGCTCATATAAAAGAGGTCTGAGGGAGCTTATTTGCCTCTTCCTCTATGTGAGGATGCATAGAGAAGGTGCCATAACTGAAGTGAAGAGTGAGTCCTCACCACACACCAAATCTTCTGGTGCCTTGATCTTGGATGGACATGCTAGCCTCCAGAACCATGAGAAATAAGTTTCTATTATTTATAACTTGCCCAGTCTGTGGTATTTGGTTATGGTAGCAGGAATGGACTAAGACAGTCACAAAAGTTAACTTTTTCACTTGTGCAGTTTTGGAGCTCTCTGCTTATGTAGGTTTGTCTTCTGTGTGGTGACCCTGTGGTTGGTTGTCCCCACCTAGAATTCGTAGCAATATTTTCACCTCTTGGCCAGGTAGATCATTCTCTGTTTAGTTAACCTATTCTCTCACTATGTCTGGATTTTAATGTACTCATTAGTGAGTAACAAAGGAAAAATCCTTGTTGATTCTAATTGGAAAACATGATTAAACCTGTCTCTCAAAATCAAGCCTCTTTTTCCTTTAGGTCCTACAGTGCTGCTGTGCTCATGGCACCTGCTGACCAAGGGCTGAGGTGACAGGGTTGGTCAGTGTAAACTCTGATGACCCAGGACATTTTTAGGGCCCAAGAACTTGGAAAATTTTTTTAGATAGCTCAGAAGCAAATGTTCTGCTCTCCCAGGCCTCTTTGTTCCTCCATGCTTATGATGCCTAGTGTTGCTTTTTCCCCTTTTAAGTTTTCCTGAATAACATTATTGCTTTTCGTTAGTGCACTCCTCCCTACTTTGACCAGCTCCTCCCCACTGGCTGAAAAATGTTTCACATTTTCCTGAGGTCAGCTCCTGGCTGACTGGCCAGGAACCTCAACAGCAGAAAGCACCCAAACAGCCTTTCACTAAAAGGGAAAACTTTTAGTGAAAGGGGAACTGAAGTTTTAAAGCTGAGTGCAAATAGAGACTGACCACAAAATTCTTGTTGCTGTAGGTGTGGCACTTCACTTGTTTTCCTGAGTGTGAGTGTGTGTGTGTGTGTGTGTGTGTGTGAGAGAGAGAGTGAGAGATAGAGTTTAACGTATCTGTGTTTAGTATCTTTTATCCTCTATTTGTATTCATTTACTCATTCATTCTCATCCTCTCTCTTTTACATGGCCTCAGAATAATTTTTTCCTGTTATTTTCATCATTAAAACACAATCAGAACTGATGGTCAGGTGGTCCTCAGTGGCACAGCTATCATGACTGTTAAATATAGAAATACTTCTGTACCTGACAGCAAGTAACTGTTGCCACAAGTCCCACCTGAGTGCTCCTCTGATGCCAAGGGATCCCCTAGCCCTCCTCACAGTCCAGCTTCTGAAGGGCTCATATGCGGCATAGTGAGAGGAGTGTCCTCCAGGATCCTGCTTTGGCGCACCATCTGCCTGCACCCACCCACTCTTAGGTGGTGCCCTCTGTGCTGTACTAGTTATCACATATTTGGATCTTCACCTCCTGCTAATAACAATATTAACCCAGACTGTATGGCTATTTAGCCAATCTTAGTTCTGGAATTCAGCCAAGATTCAGGAAGAAAACAGAAGAAATCCCAGAACCATAAGAATAGATTTCACAAAGTCCAAGCATTGTGCTCATACATGTTCCTCATAAGGAAGGACACTGGGACAACTTAGAGACAAAATTCTTTTTTTCTGAAAGAGAACGAATACAACATAAACCTGTAATTATGAAACTTTATCTTGAAGCACTGCTCATCCATGGCAATGGAAGATGGTGTGGGAGGCAATGACAAGCATGCATGTGGGATATCAGGATGTTTGGGAGGGAAGTGGTTTGATTTGGGGAATACGCAGTTGGTCTTTGAAAGTATGACAACAGTGGAGGGAGGATTTATTTTCTGGGACTGCATTGAAATGGAAGGAATTCCTGAGACTGATGAGTCAGTCATTACTATGGGTTCCTCTGGAAGGACCTAAGTCCTTAGCACTTCTGGTTCTCCTGAATTTGGAGTCTGGGTGAAATGGCTCCAGCAGGCCAGGGGTTAGTCCTCTGCCTGTGAGGCCTATTGGAAGTGAAGGATACAGTAGCTACAAGATTACAGAGAACTGGTCAAAGGGACTCAGGGGAATCTGAGTTGAAAATCAGTGTGGCTCCTGCAGGGGCCTCCGGCAAGTTAGCTAACTTAAGTGTGCTTTGGTTTTCTCCTCTGTAAATGGAGAATAAAATATGTCCCTACTGCAGTACCTGCACCCACCCCATCCCCCTCCTTTTTTTTTTTTTTTTTTTTTGCAATTTAAATCTCTGTGGTTGGCCCTGACAAATGTCAGTAATGATTTTTGCTCAGAGAACTAGAAATAAAGTGGCACCTGGGAAAAAGAAACATCCTAAGGGCATATAGCCATGAGATACCCTGGAGCCCCACATGCTCTCTGACCAAGCCTGGCTGAATTGTCTTTCTTAAATTTTTTAAATTAAAAAAAGTTTTTAAATGCTTGAAAAAAAATTGGAAAAAAAAACACCCAGAAAAATTAACATCCATATACTGCTCTCCTAGATTTAAAGCTAGCAGCATCTTCACACACACACACACACACTCACTCACTCACACATTTCCTTTCATAAGCCATCTGAAAGTAGTATGCAGGCATCATGACACATCACTCCCATATAATGTTCTTATTCAACAATCACAATTGAATAGGGATATTTCACATCTAAGGAACATTAATTCAAAAATACCCAACACATAGTCAATAAATAAATTTACTAAATTGTTTTCAGAATGTCATTAGAGTCAAGGTTAATGCATTACATTTGCCTGCTATGTTTCTTTCATAGCCTTTAGTCTAGAGCAGCTTTCCCTTCTCCCTCTGTTCTTTCTCATGGAACCTTTTAAGTGTCCAAGCCAGGTACCTTGCAAAGCACTCCATGGATTCCAGTCACTGTTTCCTGGTAAGATTGCATTTCTGAGCCAGCTTTTCTATCTATGGTGCTGTGGGTCATGGGGTTGGCTTTGATGCTGTGGCCTGAGGATCTTCCTAGGTATTTGGGGTTAGACTTAGAGAACAAAGAGCAAATTTTGTATAGGTTTGAAGACTCAAACTTATTAATACGTCTCTGAAGGACTCTAGGTTTATTCAGTCCTTACTCACCACCACCTTAACTTATACAAAATCAGTCAGACTCGCTACAGAATGACCTCTGAGATCATTTCTAAAATTCACAGCAGAAAAGGAACTGAAGTGTTTGATTCATTTTTCTTCTGCACTGATGATGTGGGCTAACTCTCAAGGCACCAAAAGTAAAATAGAGGTTGATTGTAGACTTGGAAGAAGAGGATTTGTTGTTTCTGTCTTGAGTATTTATGAAGAAATCTCCTCAGCCTCCAGCTTCCCCATAACAGACTGACCAGGCTATAAATTGGGCTAAGACTTTGAAGTGTGAAATGTTGGGGGGTGGGTAGACAGAAAAATGGGCTATCATTGCCACAAGCCACCCAGCACTCAGACAGCTCCTCTCATTTCTCAAGAAATCTATAATCATGGAGCGAGAAGAGATCATTTTGGAGATGATGAAATGGAGGCTCAGAGAGACAGAGATTTGTTCAATGCCACCCAGTTCGTTGGTGGGCATGACATTAAAGCCTGTGTCTTAAATTCAGCCCAGTGATTTGTCTATGATCCACAATGATGGAATCTTTAGATTTTGTATTTAAATGCCTGAAGAAACAGTTTTGAAATGACTAGTGCTGAGGAAGAAAAGAACACAATCAATCCAGGAGATACAAGAGACTCGTAAAACAGTTAAAATCAGAACAGAGTGTTCCATTGTCATATTCTTGAATCTGAAGGAATGGCAATGTGCTGTTCTGTGTGAAAGGGCAGAGCACTTTGCTTCTTGAAAACTCTTTCCTTTCTGACCTGACAAAAATCAGTTTATTCTGACCTTCAGAGTTTGAGTCAAGATACCATGTGTGGGGATGAGTAACATTTTCTTGGTTTTTCATAATGGATTGTTTATCTTTTAAGTTGCAAACAGTTCATTTTTTGAACTATATCTGTTTTACTGGCATTTTCCTTCTGAAGCAATTTTGCAAAAATCTCTTTCTTCCTCCTCCACAGGCATATAAATACCCTTTGCAATTACCACGTGTCTGACTTTACCTGTTTATTACAGAGGGAGCTTTCAGAAGTTCCAATTATACATCAAATTCATGGCCTAGATTGTACTTTGATCCTAAAAGTATAATTTAAGATAATTTTTGTCAAACAGTTACACAAATTATTGTGGTCTTAATTATTATTTTTTGTACATAAAATATATTTGTTTAGCTAGGTCCCCTTTTTAAGAAAATGTATTATTGGTGCCCCATAGAAGAAAGAAAAGAAAGAAAGGAAGAAGAAAGGAAAAGAAAACTTACCATCAGCCACCACCTGCTCTTAGTTAGAGTTCAGTTTTTTTTTCTGGGTTGTGAATTTCTCAATATTTTTTGAATGTTTATAAAAATCTCCAGAAGCAGTATAGGAAGGAAGAGTCAGTGAGATGCACACCTGTATCAGTCAGATGTTTTGGCTGTAAGTAGCAGAAACAGACAAAAAAGAGACCCCTAGTTTGCTTCAAATAATAAAGAAATTTATTGGTCTACATAATGAGAAGTCTAAAAATGGGGTGGCCTTCAGGGTGCATTGATCTTGCAACTCAGCATCATTAAGAACTCAGGTTATTTCCATCTCTCCATTCTGTTAATCACAGTATAATCTTTGTTCTGAGACTGGTTGTTTTGGGGGTCAAAATATGTTTGTCAGCAGCAATGGAAGCTGCAGGAGTTCTTGTTCAGATTTAACTTCAAGGAGAGATAATCTCTTCCTATGGTTTTCTCTAGTGTCAGGAAAATTTCCCAGAAGATCCCAGAACAAACCTCCGCATACTGTATTTACCTAAATCAAGTTACTTGCCCATTACTGAACCCATTCCTGTCATAAATACCATGCTTAGACCTAGTATATAACGTTGTCCCCAGGAAGCAAACTCTGGGACAATTTGTGTGCAGGAGGTTAATTGGCCAGTACCCTCCTATCAACACTTGTGGAGGAATAAAGGAAGTGGGACTGGACAAAGGAAGGCGTTAAACTAAAGACTTAGTCAGTTCCACAGGGAATCCTGGCCTTTCAGAGTGGTCTTTCCTTGCATTAATTCTGCCCCAGCTTTATGCTCGGCTTTGAACAGTCACTGAATGTGAGCTGACTCCAGGGATACGGTGTGGTCTTGGGTAAGGTAGCCTTTGGCTTGGCTCTCCAGGGTAATGCCTAGAGAGGGGCTCAGCTGAGACCCATTAGTTACCAACACTTTTAGCATGGAGGCATTGTTGGGGAATGAGTATTTCAGACCTAAGGTGAAGGCATCTGAGAAGTACACCACAGCATACATTACATTTCACCTCTTGAGTCATTTGGATCTGCAGTCTTTGTATGTCTTCTGGGAATAGCTCCTCTAGAATTCTTAGTGATCTGTGTTCCTGGAGCTTACAAAAGTAAGGTTAGCAGTCAGGATGAATGACTGCCCCTGTGAGGGTTGAAGGATGAAACAAAGTCAACCTGCTACCAAGTGGCTGGTTCCTTTCTTCAGAGGATGGTGCTACTGCCCCTCTACCTGCAGTCATAGGCAGATGCGGAAGAATAGAAAAATTTCAAGTAGCACCAAACTAGCAGTTAGTTTACAATATTTTTCCTCCAGGATCTCCAGCTGGCTCTCAACATGGTCAAAATCTAGAAGTACCACTGTGGAACAGAAAGAAAGTCAAGGAAATACATTTAGCTCTGGCTTGAGGAACTCTTAAAAGAGAACTCTTGGCTGGGCACGGTGGTTCATGCCTGTAATCTCAGCATTTTGGGAAGTCAAGGTGGGTGCATCACTTGAGGCCAGGAGTTCAAGACCAGCCTGGGCAACATGGTAAAACTCTGTCTATACTAAAAATACAAAAACTTAGCTGGGCCTGGTGGTGGCGCATGCCTATAATCCAAGCTAGTTGGGAGGCTGAGGCAAGAGAATCACTTGAACTCAGGATGTGGAGGTTGCAGTGAGTCAAGATTGTGCCACTGCACTCCAGCCTGGGCAACAGAGCAAGACTCTGTCTCAAAAAAAAAAAAAAAAAAGAATTCTAAAGATCAGAAAGAGTAGAGAGGGATTTACCTGAGTTTCCCCCCCCACCCCTCCTTTTTCTCCATTCTCTTTTATCCCAGCCCTACACAACCTTATGGGGATGGCGGTGTTCATCATGGAAAACTACATGAATTAAAACTCTAAGGGAGGGGAGCCTTCATTTTTCATTTGGTGGAGCTGCAGTTCCAACCTCCAACCCTCTTTATAATGTCCCCTCTCTCCCTTGTCATTTGGTCCCCAAATGTAGCTCAACCACAGAAGTGGGTGGATTTTTGCTGATGGACTGAACACAAGAAGACCCAGGGAACTAGAAACTACTAGGAAGATAGCAGAGAGGGAAGTGCACAGGAAATGGATCACATAAAACTGTTTATTAACATCTGTACTGATCTCCAACCTGCCTATAGGTGGATCTGCTTCTAATTAGCATTCAAAAAATGATGAGAACTGAGCCACCAGATAGACTTCTTCCTAGGGCCCAGACAGATCCCTGGGTAACATTCTCCACAAAATTGATCTCTATAGCACTTAAAGCCTTTGAAACCTGAACTGACATTGTAATCACAGCACCCAGAAAGTGGGCTGGAACCTAACCAGGCAAGTGCCTGCTAAAACCCAAATATCAACATTCTCTTCTGGGATTTAAACATGATTCACAGTCTTATAAAGTAATATTCAAAATATCCAGGATACATACTCTTGTTTCTCTTCCAATTGTATAAATCTTTTGCTTTTTACAAAAGATCCAGGTTACAATCCAAAATTACTTGGCATACAAAGACATACTCTTGTTTCTCTTCCAATTGTATAAATCTTTTGCTTTTTACAAAAGATCCAGGATACAATCCAAAATTACTTGGCATACAAAGAACCATGAAATTCTCAACTTGTGCAAGAATGGATGCTAATGATGAGACAATACAAATGTTGGACTTATTTGACAAAGAGTTTAAAATGACTATCATACAAATGGCCAAAAAAGCAATTGTGAACACTTTTGGAATGAAGTTACAATAGAAATAGAAGATATAAAAATAATCAAATGGAAAGTTTAGAACTGAAAAACATAGTACCTAAAATTAAAAATTCACTGGAAAGACTCACTAGCAGGATGAAGACAACATAGGAAAGAAATAGTGAACTTGATAGATCAATGAAAGGTCATCCAATCTCAACAACAGAGAGAAAAAAATATGTAAAAAAAGAACAGAATCTCATGGTCCTGTGGAATAACAACAAAAGGTCTAATATTTGTGTCATGAGTTTTCTGTAAGGAAAGAAGAAAGAATGTGGTACTGAAAAGAAGATTTGACGAAATAGTGGCTAAAAACTTCATTCATTTTGAGAAAGACGTATATGTACATAGTCAAGAAGTGGAGTAAACTCCAAATAGGATAAAATCAAGGAAATGCATGCCCAACACACCATACTCAAGTTTCTGAAACACTAAAGACAAGGAAAAATTCTTGACACATCCAGAGAGAAACAATACAAAATCTACAGGAGAACAATGATTTGATGACAAGTAACACAACATTTTCAAGTGCTGAAAAAAAAAACTGTTACCTCAGAATTTCATATAAGGGAAAATAGCTTTCAGAAATGAAAGTTAAATAAAATATGGGTAAAGAAACATGAAGACCCAGTTTTAACCCAGCAGTCCTGCTCTAAAAGAAGTGCTAAAGTTGGTACCAATGTTATTAAAAGAAAATAAGAAAAGAATAGCTAAAGGGAGATCTTTAGACAGAAGTGAAATAATTCTAGAAAGAAATGGGAACTTCAAGAATGAAGAGGGTGACAGAATGGGGAATGTTCAAGTAAATATAACAGACTATTCTTTTCCTCTCTAGTGCTTAAAATGTTTTATGGTTGAAAGCAAAAGTATAACATTGATGAAGTTTTCAGTACATATAGATGTGATATTTAAGACAACTCTAACATAAAGAAGGAAAGGTGAGACTTTATGGTGTTAAGTTTTCTGTTTTTAGATAGATGTGAAAAGTTAAGTATATATTTTGTAATTCCTAGAGCAACCACTAAAAAAAATTATGTGAACATATACTGTTAAAATCACAATAGATATATGAGAATAGGATAGGCATGCTGGCTCAAGCCTGTAATCCTAGCACTTTGGGAAGCCAAGGTGGGAGGATTGCTAGAGCCCAGGAGTTTGAGACCAGCCTGGGCAACATAGTGAGACTCCATCTCTACAAAAAATAAAATAATATAAATTAGCTAGGTGTTGGCGTGCACGTGTAGTCCCAGCTACTCAGGAGGCTGAGGTGGGAGGATCACTTGAGCCCAGGTTCAAGGCTGCACTGATCCATGATCACACCACCATACTCCAGCATGGGTTACAGAGCAAGATCCTGTTTCCAAGTCCCGCTCTCCAACCCAAAAAAGTTAAAACAACACAAACAAGCAAAAAGAATAGGATGAAAGAGATACCCAATAATCCCTTCAAAAAGGCAGAAAAGGGTGAAGAGAATGAGAGAAATGAAAAACAGAAGAAACAAACAGAAAACAATAATCAAATGGTAAACATAAATCCAAACATATAAAAATTTTACTAAATGTAAGTCATTTTAATACACCAATTAATAAACAGAGATTGTTAGAAGGAATAAAAAACACGTCTTAACCATATGCTGTTTGCAAGAAACTTACTTCAAATGTAATAAAATAGTTAAAAGTTAAAGAATGAGAAAAGATATGCCATGCAAAAACTAATAAAAAGGAAGCTGGAGTGATTTTATTATTGTCAAAGTATACTTCAGAGGAAAGAGATGAAAAGGGACATTAGATATTGATTACATAAAGATAAAATGGTCAATTCACCTAGAAGACATAAAAATTATAAATGTGTATGTCCTAATAGCAGGGCTTCGAAATACCTGAAACAAAAACTGACAGAGGTAAAGAAAAGAAACAGAAACAGACAAATCTGAAATTATAGTTGGAGAGATGAACACTCCTCATCCAGGAATAGATTGAACCAACAGGTAGAGAATCAGCAAGAATATAGAACTAAATATCACCATCAACCAACTGAATCTAATTGACATTTATAAACACTCTATCCAACAGCAGAATATGGATTATTTTTAAGTGCATATAGAATATTCTGCAAGGAAGACCATATTCTGGGTCATAAATATTAACAATTTAATTAAAATTATGCTAAACATATTCTTTTACAAAATAAAGTGGATGCCGGGTGCGGTGGCTCACGCCTGTAATCCCAGCACTTTGGGAGGCCAAGGTGGGTTGATCACAAGGTCAGGAGTTCGAGGCCAGCCTGGCCAAGATGGTGAAACCTCGTCTCTACTAAAAATACAAAAATTAGCCAGGTGCAGTGGCAGGCATCTATAATCCCAGCTACTAGGGAGGCTGAGGCAGGAGAATCACTTGAACCTGGGAGGCGGAGGGTGTAGTGAGCCGAGATCATGCCACTGTACTCTAGCCTGGGCAACAGAGTGAGACTCCATCTCAAAAAAAAAAAAAAAAAAAAAGTGGAGAGACATACTGTGCTCATGGATTGGAAGATTCAACACAGAAAAGATATCAATTCTCTCCTAATTGATCTATAGGCACTATACCAAAGAGAGTACAAAGATAGAAATAAGCACATGGAAAGATGTTCTGCCTCATTAGCCCTTGGGAAATGCAAATTAAACTACAATAGATACCACTATACACCTATTAGAATGGCTAAAATTAAAAATACTGATAATAGCAAGTGCCATAAAAAATGTGGAACAATTAGAACTCATACGCTGTGGGGCTGGGCGCAGTGGCTTATGCTTGTAATCCCAGCACTTTGGGAGGCCAAGGCGGGCGGATCACCTAAGGTCAGGAGTTCAAGACCAGCCTGGTCCACATGGTGAAACCCCATCTCTACTAAAAATACAAAAATTAGCTGGGCGTGGTGGCAAGTAAAAAAAACCAAAACAAACAAACAAAAAAAGAACTCATATGTTGTGGGAAGAAAATGGGTTTCACAATTTCTTATAAAGTTAAGCATACACTTAAAATTCAACAGTTCCTTTCCTGCGTATTTACTCTAGAGAAAAGTACACAAATATAAATAGCAGCTCTATTCATAATTGCTAAAATCTGAAAACAACTCAGATGTCCTTCAATGGGTGAATGGATAAACTTCAGTACATTTATACAATGGAAACGACCCAGCAATATTAAAGAATAGACTATTGATCCAATGAACGATTTCGGTGGCTCTCAAAGGCATTACACTGAGTTAAAGGTACTGGTCTCAAAAATGTTACATACCACACTTTGGGAGGCCGAGGCAGGCGGATCACGAGGTCAGGAGATCGAGACCACAGTGAAACCCCGTCTCTACTAAAAATACAAAAAATTAGCCGGGCGCGGTGGCGGGCGCCTGTAGTCCCAGCTACTCGGGAGGCTGAGGCAGTAGAATGGCGTGAACCCAGGAGGCGGAGCTTGAAGTGAGGGGAGATCACGCCACTGCACTCCAGCCTGGGCGACAGAGCGAGACTCCGTCTCAAAAAAAAAAAAAAAAGTTACATACCAGATGGTTCCATTTATATGACATTCTCGAAATGACAAACCTAGCTGGACACGGTGGCTCATGCCTGTAATCCCAGCACTTTGGGAGGCCAAGGTAGGCAGATTGCTTGAGCTCAGGAGTTTGAGACCAGCCTGGGGAACATGGTGAAACCCAGTTTCTACTAAAAAATACAAAAAAATTAGCCAGGCCTGGTGGCATGTGCCTGTATTCTCATTTACTGGGGAGGCTGAGATGGGAGGATCACCTGAGGCTGAGAGAGGTCGAGGTTGCAGTGAGCCGTGATTGTACCACAGCCTGGTTGACAGAGCGAGACCCCGTCTCAAAAAAAGATCAGAAAAGAAAAGAGAAAACCATGGTGATGGAGAATAGATTCATGATTGTTAAGGGAAAAAGGTTGGGAAAGCGTGTGACTATAAAAAGATAGTATGAGGGCATTTTGGTGCTGATGGAACTGTCTTGTATAGTGATTGAGACGGTGGCAACATCTTGGAATCTACTTGGAATCTACTTGGAATATGGAAGGGTAGGGAAGGAGATGGTTTTTTTTTTTTTTTGCTGTTGTTATAATCATTTGCAAGGAAAAAACCTTGTAAAGTCAATTTATTAAGTTCAATGATGAAAGTTATCAGAAGAATATTCTCCTGAAAATTATTTTTTCTAAGGAAAAAATAAAACCCCAGCTCCCTCAGAGTAGCCACAGATGCTGAGGCATTCAGTCTCTGCAGACCTTCTTTCTCATACCTGCATCTCTCCCCTTAAAACCTGCCTCAACAGAGGTTGCAGTGAGCCATGATTGTGCCATTGCACTCCAGCCTGGGCAACAAGAGCAAAACTCTTGTCTCAAAACAAAAACAAAACAAAACAAAATGAAAAAAAAAAAAAAAAAGCCTGCCTCGTAAGTTCCCTAAAGCCTCTCCCAAGATCTGGAGCAAGTTCCCAAACTTGTTGGGGACTAGGGATGAGAGGTGATAATTGGTATAAGAGATATGAGTTGAGTGAATCCTCAAAGAATAAGTGGATCTGAGAGAGATGAAAAGAACAGGGAAGGGTGGGAAGGGGACCGTGTGAGCCGTATCAGGGAATGAGGGACATAGGATATGTGGGAGAAGCAACAGCTCCTCAGTGCTCTGGAGGATAAAATGTGAGCCCAGGAGTGGTGAAAGATGACACCAGCATGGCAAGCAGGGGCCAGAGCAAGGACCTTCCCCTGCCCTGTTAAGAGGTTTGCATTTTAAGAGGTAGCATTTCCACCATTGCCAGTTAGAAGCCCAGGAGCATTTGAAACTTCTGAGAAGCAAAATGATGTGGTCTGATTTGAACTTGAGTATCTAACCCAAATTTCCCTGGCCTCTCCAGCCTGGAGCACAGATGACTTAGTGATTGTATGAAGAGTTAGGAGACTTTCCTTCTGCCTTCATTTAGGCAACATTCATCGAACCACTATGTTTCTGAAAGTGTTCTAAGTGCTATAAATAAATAAATGATAGACCCTGCTCTAGTGGGGAAAGCATACAATAAACAAGCAAACAAATCCATGAAGCATTTTCAGGTAGAGAAGAGTTGCCCCAGTATGTAGCAAATGACGGTGGGCTTGAGAACCAGGGTGCTGGTTGTAGCGATGCAGCAGAGCCAACTGGGTCACTTGTCTTCTGCCCTGGGAACATGTCATGTCAACCTGTGCTGGCTAGGGGCAAAACCTCACACCTATCATGGTTATTTCTGGAAGACTCTGTGCCCACAAGAGCAGCATTAGCCAATGTAGGTGATCTGTAGGAGAGGGCTCAACTTGCAAGAGAAACATAAAATCCTCCCTCTATAAATATTTCTTCTCTTTTAAGTTCTTCCTCAGCCTCACCCACCAGGATGAGGTGATGACAGACTGGAATTGTATGGTCAAATGGGAAGTCACCAAAGCAGGGAGAGAAAAGAACACCATGGGCAGGAGAACACAGGAGCCACAGTTGCTGAGGCCTCAGGGATCACGTCAAGTTTGAAGAAGGGGAGCGAGTTCAAGATGTTTATGCTTTGCTAAGATTTTGGGGAGCAGTATGAGCAGAGGTAATTTTAGATACATCCTCTGATGGCAGGGTGGAGAATGATTTGAATTTCAGAGACACTGAAAACAGGGAGGCCAGTTAGGAAACTGGGGCAGTAGCAAGGAATGGAGGAGATCCAGGAGGGAAAAGATGAATGGAAATAAATGGAGGATTGAAGTCCCCATGTCTGTATGGGGTGGAAGGGAAGGTCCTATGGGAGTGAGGAAATGAGATGGATGAAAGTTAGGAGTTTGCCAGAGTGGGATATTGGGTATCTTACAGAAAACTCATGAGGAGGAAGAGTCCTGAGTAGTGGAAGATGAAAGATGTGGTTTTCAAGGTGGGAACCAAAGATGATGATGATGATGATGATGATGATGATGATGTGTGTGTCTGTGTGTGAGAGAGAGACACTTGCTTTTAGTACCACCAAGACGAAAGGCATGCTGGAAAATGAGATCATCACTTAGAACATGATCTGGCACGTAGAGGATAGTAAATCAACAAATATTCAACAAACATTTGTCAAATGAATAAATGAAGTGCTGGATCTCACATACCTACCTTTGGTAGAAGTTGTTGTGTTGACAGAACAGGCTGCAAGTCGCAGGCTGTGTCTGATCTTGTTTAATATGGGCAGAGAGGCTCTCTGATCCAGGTGCGGGCTGTCTCACGCCACTGAAATGTTTCCTACCCTCAGGGATGTGGCCTCAGGGGTTCCATCTCCTGTGGAATCCATTAGTTGCCCCTGTCCTTCCCATGTGCTTGTAGAGCACATCATTTGTCCCATCCACACAGTGTGTATCATGGGCTGACACATTCTCTAACTTGTTTTTCTAGGACTCAAAGGACTGGAAAAAAGCAAAATGGTCTGTGAAACCTGGGGCTTGCCCTGCTTGTAGGTGTATCACACAGTCCTGCTATAATTAAAGGGGCATTTGCATTTGCACATTTTTGCTGTGTCAGTCAGGGCCCCAGACAGAAACAGAATAGGATAACTTAAGAAGGGTTTAATCACTCCTTGCCTTTTCCTACAATGGCTAAAACCCCAAATCACAGGCAATAATGGGTAATGCATAAATGAACATATCACAGTCAGTGTCAGGGGGACTCTTAAGGTATTTCTATGCAAGGGAATATTATGCTGTCATTATGTTTCAAAAAAGTTTTTAATGTCATGGGAAAATAAGTATGATCTATTACACAAAAAAGCCCAAAGTTTCTATTTAATTTTGATCCCAAATTAAAAAGAGGTAGGCTAGGCTTTGCACAATAAACAGGCATTGTTTTAGAATTAAAAAGGAACAACATAGAAAAAAAGGTCTGAGCAAGAAGGGCCCAGGCTTGGGTTTTCCCCTTAGTACATTTTTATCAGCATTCTAGCCAGGATGAGATTAGGAAGTTGTCACCGGGGCTCTTTGGAAGTGATGAAGCTCCAGATGACATGGGACATGCTGAAGGTGGTTCCTAAGCTGGGTTTCGATCTAGAGTAGGGGGAGAATGAGGATGGGGCATGGCTCATGTGTGTGTAGGCTGTAACCCTCTGAGGGGAGAGGAGCCCTACCTGGCTCGCTACAGGGTGCTCCCTGCCTCTCAGAGGCACCCTGGGTCAGTGGTGCTGTGAGGTGCATTTTCATATTCCCCACAAAGGGGCTGAATGGGCTGGTGGTTTCTCTGTGAAGGAGTTTCTTGCTGAAGAGAACAAGTGGATAAAGTTGTGTTGGAGTGGGCAGTTCAGGTGGAGAAAGGCCAGAAAGCAGGAGGGATTTTGGAGGTTGTCTGCACAGAGCAGGGCTTCCCCAGCCCCCAGATTTCCCCAAGTCAGAATCAGGGTTGGCCCACAGAGGAGACATTGTCTGGTTAGAGTTGGGGCAGTTGTCCATCCTGGACTTTGCACAGGCATATCAAGTATTAACTTATTAAAACAAACACGCCCTTAGAAAAAGGAAGTTTTCAAACGTTAAACCACTTGGCTTTTAGCCTCACCTTTCTTCTGATTTGAGGCAAAGATGTGTGTGGTTTTTCCCTTAACAATAACTGATGTTTGTTTTTCTCTGCAAAGCTTTGTGGCTCCCCAGATCAGCTCTGTTTATTTTGAATTCATAGCCACAAGCTTGAATTGGACTGAAAAAACATTGAGTGCAATGACATTTTATAAATTAGCATCTGGAGGGATGTATTGTTTTATCTTAGAGAAACAAATGAAATTTCCTCTTGTAACTTGGTGTGAGTTTTCTCTGTGCCCAATCAAGACTGACACCTGTGATTCCCTTCCATCAACTCGGAAGCACAAATGAGCTCCTGTGTTCTGGTTTCTGAGAGCCCTTCAGCTAGGTTTGCAGTAAGATCTCTCTGGGCTGATACAAGCAAAAGACAGAGTGAAGTAACTGAGTTTATAGGATCCACTCAGATTATACTGTGACTCAGCTTCATTGCCCATCATTTTTAGGTCTAAGATTCATACAAATTCCGGAAGATTGAATGAAAATCCTGCCTCCGTCTGGGAGTATTATTTATTTGCATAGCATAGACAGGCCTCACACCCGATTTCCTGAAGCACTGCCAGCCAGCTTGACTCACCGCCCCCACAGTGATGCCCGATTCTTCCATCAAGGCTGGAACACAGGAGCAAATAGCTTGAACATACAAGGATTATATTGTTCCTTCTCTTAAAGTTACCTCTGTCATGCGCGTCCGTGTGAAGATACCACCAAACAGGCTTTGTGTGAGCAACAAGACTGTTTATTTCACTTGGGTGCAGGCGGGCTGAGTCCGAAAAGAGAGTCAGCCAAGTGTGGGATTATCATCAGTTCTTACATGTTTGGGGATAGGCGGTGGAGTTAGGAGCAATGTTTTGTGGGCAGGGGGTGGATCTCACAAAGTACATTCTCAAGCATGGGGAGAATTACAAAGAACTTTCTTAAGGGTGGGGGAGATTACAAAGTACATTGGTCAGTTAGGGTGGGGCAGAAACAAATCACAGTGGTGGAATGTCATCAGTTAAGGCTATTTTCACTTCTTTTGTAGATCTTCAGTTGCTTCAGGCCATCTGGATGTATACGTCAGGTCACAGGGGATATGATGGCTTAGCTTGGGCTCAGAGGCCTGACAACCTCCAGATTCAGAGTTCTTAACCTCTTTTTCCTGGTACATTGATAAAAGGTGCTCTAAGGACACACAGCCTCTCTTTGTTAGGTCCCTATTATCTTTCTTTTAAAACAAAAGTGGTTTAAGGGTAACATAAGCCATGCTATTTCCTAAAGCTGGGTCCCCCCCTGCTTTGACTTCTTTGACTTCATTCACCAGCCTTAGAAGTGGTCCGCAAGATTCATTCATTTAGGCAATAGCACGTGTGTCAAAACCGTGGAGTAAGGGCTTTACATTAAGCTGATTTGCCTTTTACCTGGACAAACACCTGAGCACCAACATTACCCACCTTGAATACTAATTCATAACATAATTCATAAACAAGGTCATACCTGTTTAAAGGCTTTAAGTGTTCATTTCAAAGCCACATACAACCAGGGAGTCAGCTGAACTAACTTCATGTCTTAAGACATTCCAGAGTGCTAATTTACATACCCAGTGGTATTTCCTGAGGATGTGATTCACTCATACCCAGCAGAGAGGGAAAGAGTAACATTTGAAAACATACTTAATGAAGGGTGGGTAAAACTCTATTCTTTCTGGCAAACAGTCTTATGGTGTGAAGTGGATATTTTTACCATTTCTCTTTGTGCCAAGAGATAGAGATGATGTTTTAGGGGCTGCAACTGGAGGTGTGAGAATAGCTTGTTCCTGCCCAGGCTGAGACTTTGAGGAAAGCAGAGACTTGCTGTTCAGTGAAGTCAGGGAGGCAGGCTCTTTTTGGAGTTGGAGATGTACATTCCTTGAATGTGACGATTCACAGCTAAAGCCACGTCTCTGTGCCTTGTTACAAGGCTGGCCATGGGGGTCTAGTGAAGCAGGAAGGGGACTTGCTTCAGTGACAGGCATCTGGTCTGCTGGCCTTCTCTTTCCTTGTCAAAGGCATGACACTCTAGTCTTCTTTACCAAGGACCCTTCCCTGGCTCCTGGCTCTAGCTTTGCTTTTCCTTCACAGGCACGGTGTTTTATTCTTTTGTTTAGAAAACATTCCAGCCTGTAGGTAACCTCTGTGCCATATAACCTTTTATTTCCTATGATTAGGAAGTTTGCTGAGGAGCCAGATGCCTTGTGCTGACTTGTCTATTTTGAAAGAGGCTGCAGAAACACTCGATTCCACCTCAACCCGGAATTCAGCTTTCTTAGGTAATACACATGACGAGGCTCCAATTGTTCATGTATTCATTCCCTCCCTTGCATATTCCACCAATATTTGGTAAGTGTCAGCTACGCGCCACGTGCTTACTGAATTATTCATTTGTGTGGAGACATCTTATTCACTAGAATTCTGGAAAGGACTGGAAAGGACAAGGGCTGGCCCATGGGAGAGAAGCAGGCTGAGGACAGGGCTGGACAGGCCTTCCCAAAGTTGCTGTGCAGTGGACAGGGTGATGGCTGGGCTAGGGCTTTTGGAGACCAGGGCCCGGGTATGGGGCTGGCTCTGCAAGAAAAATAGGAGAGCTGGGCCCTGGGTTGTCCTGTGGAAAGTACCCTTACCCCCAAGGTCACTCATCTTCAACCCAACAACCATGATTATGATGTGCTCACGAGACTGGCTTTCTTCTTGTGGAAAATAAGAGGGGTAGATCTTGCTTCTGGGTTGGTGTACAGTGGAACCCCTGTACAGAAGCTAGAGCAAATGAAGGTATCTTGATGTTACATCTTTCACAGGAAGAATACAAGGCTCATTCAAGATGGTGCAATTGGGAGACTTGAGCCAGGTTCACCTAATTCTCTGTGCCTTCTCAGGACAGAGGAACTAGAGAAAGTTTCCTCCTGTAAGCAGCACAGCCCCCTGGACCATGGCCTTGGCCCCTAGAGGCTTTTTCATGCAAAGAAAACTAAGGCTGTGGTTGTAGTCACAGAAGCAGGGTTTTGTCCTGGGGCAAGATGGGGCCTGGGTTTCAGCCTCTGTGTTGTCCCCTCCTCTGGGTGACTTTGAGCACATGTTGCCTATTTCACCAGTCTGGTTCCTATTAACCATTGGTAGACACTAGTAATCAAGGATGTGGCTCCAAATGTTTCCTGTGTGTCTGCCAACCAGCTGTAAAGTTGACCTTGTCAGGAATTCTGGTTTCAGTGTCTCAAAGAACATTATCTGTTATAGTTGTAGTCTGATGGCAAATAATAACATTTAATTAGTATTCAGTATCCCCTAAGTTCTATTTACAACAGTAGGAAAGTGGATTTCAGTTCCAGGTGGGAGTCACAGGGCATTTTCCTAACCTCCAGGAAGTTCTTCCTCTAGGAAGATACTGCTAATGAAGGAAGCAAATACAAATAGTAATAACAATGAATAAAAGCAGTTGTTTATTTAGCACTTAAACTGCACTGTCAAAAGAAAACTCTCATGACACGCACACTAGGGTCCTCATTGGTAGGGAAATGGTTCTCAGTTAACTGGCAATTAAGGGGAGTCAGGCTCCCTCAGAGACTGGAAAGTCTGGGTGAGCAACTGACTCGGCCCCTTCCCTCTAGGTGTGTCTAGTCTGAAAGTCCTCCAGGCTGGGATTGTTTGGAGGGGTTCACTTTCTTTTCCTGTATGTTTCAGTTCAGTCCCCAGCTAGGCTGTAACCACTTTGAGAGCAAGGACAGAAATGACTTCCTGTTTGCCCCCGAGGAAATAGAAAAGGACCCACAAGGTGAAAGTCTGCTGTGTGTAAGGGTCTGAGTCTATTCAGTGCAATATATACTATTTTATTCCTGAAGCAGCTGTGAACATATTTTTTTTAGTGGCCACAATTTATATTTTTAAACCTTTCAAAGGTCCTCACAGTTGCTGAGGATCACTCAAAACTCCCACTTGGATAGCGCTCAGGCCTTCCTGAGTCTGCATCTGGTACTAAACTTTGTTTTTGTTTTACTCTCTTTGTGCTCTCAGGTCCTCGTCCCTCTCTCTTCTGCTTCTTAAAAATGTACACAACCAAAAGGCCTGAGCTTGCTGGTTTTCATGTGGCTTTGAAAATTCTGTTCTTGGAAGGTAGCTGTAAAACTTGGGTACTGAGAATATTTGGCGCTACTCAGGCTGTTTTATATTTGTGAATAAAATTGGTAGGAGATCACAGTTTACCTAAATAAAGCTTAGTGCCCTAATCCAGTTTTTTTTTTTTTTTGAAAGAAACATTTTAGGCAGGAACAATTAAAAATTTTAATCCCAAGGAAACTTCAGACCTTTATTTTGTCCTGAAATAAATCTCACTGGAGATTGTCATTTTTGGTTTAGTTGTCAGTCTTGAGAATATACACAATCTTCCCAGAGTTGTTCCTATTTATTAAGCCCTCTTTCTGAGTAGGGCTCTGCACTAAGCTCTGGTCAAATTTTAATGCTTCATTGAAGATTCTGAGCCTGATCTGGGAAAGTTTGCTCTAATTTAAGGTGTTAAAGACATTGCAAAACAACATGACTGGAATTGATAAGAATTAATAAGCAATTCTGGCTTCTATTACTGCTCTTACCTTTTTTATTAGTTGATTTTAGGCTAATCTTATCATTATTAATGTGGAAAAATGTAAGATGCAAAGGTTGCCATTCCCCCAAGAAATTCCTGTGTGAATTCTGTAGCCTGATTAAAAATATTACATGTTGGCATTAAAATTATGGGCCTTTACTTTTACCACCCACGGTGTTTGGGAAAAGCAGTGAGGGACAAAGAGAAGTTATTTAGAATCACAGAGTTGTTTGTACTACCCGTGGTTCTCCTGGAATAACAGCTCTGTGGAAACATAAAGTCATGGTATTTGCAGGAGTAAAGAAAACACGATAGAAGCACAGATGGAATGGTTAGTTAGGTGGAGGGTCCCGGATGTGGGCTGTGTGAGTGGTTAATTACCTGCCTTTCTTGATTGGGCTTTTGGAAAACTTGACAAATTCCAAGTTGTTTTTCCAGCCTGAGGACTGACTTACTATTTAAACCTGGACAAGTCACTCTATGTTTTGTAAAGAATATTTGAGAAATGTTTGAGAAAGCTTCTTGATAGCTATTTGCTACATTGCCTTTTGTCTTTTACAGCAATACCCAGGGATTTCGACAGTCTCCCAAACAGAACCAGGGAGCAAAATAGCCATGATCTGTATTCTAGAACATTCCAGAATTGGTCCTTAAACACTGTGTAGTAAACGGGTTAAATAGAATAGTGGTATAAAAAGAAATAGGTGTAACTCTTCCAGATATGTGACTTTGTGTTGAGAAATAAGCAGTGTTTCTGAAATATTTATTTTTTCCAGTCATTCAATACTAACTAGATTTTTATTGAACTCTACAGTAGATGGCATGGGTAACCAACCCTAAGTTCACCTGCAGCTACAGCAGAGAGCTCTAGGGTACACTGGTAGATTCCCCTCTTACCTGTCCATGGCTCTTTGTTTCTCTCCCTGCAACAAAAAGAGCTCCCTCAGCCATGTGCAGGGCTGCTGGCAATGCTGGAAATGGATGCTCCAGGGGCAACACTTAATCAATGAGGTATGAGAGTTTGTGAATAAATACTGCAGCTTCTGTATCCCTTGGTGGAACAGTTCTGAAGGATGCTTCCCATAGGGTCCTCATCTGCCCACAGTGGCCATCGACTCACTGATGCACACACTATTGGCCTTCCTCCCTTCTTTGCCTTGATCTCCCCACTTGCACTTCCTGGGATCATGTTCCCAATAAACTACCTAACCCAGGGTTGCCTTGGGGTTCGCTTTCAGAGGAACTCAGAGGCAGGCAAACTGTGACTAAGGCACCATGCTAGACCAGTGAAACTCTCAAAGATCTAGTAGTAGAGACAGAAGAGACTAAGAAAAATGGACCGCTAGCAGAACATGGCGTGTACTGTGAATGGTACGAAAATGACAGCTATAGAGGGATTCAAAGAAAGGGGAGATAGTTTCAGTTTGGAAAAAAACAGGACAATGGAATAAGAAAATTATGTGAGTCCATTGAAATTATCAGGCCCAGAGAGGCATTAAAATGAAACAGCAATCATGTCCTACTCTCCTCTTTTTTGGGCTATGTTTTCAGCTTTTGAAACTGCTTGTTATTGCCACAAGTAACTAAAAATTAACCTAATAATGCCACCCAGTACACTATAACCGGCGTTCTACAGCTTAACAATGCGTAGCCAATCAATAATGTCATTATAATGTGAATTTTTGGTAAACAACTCTGGAACTGCCTCTTCTTTCCCTTTAAAAATCCACTTGTAACTGCTGCTAATCAGAGTGTATACTCAGGGCAATTTGAAACTGTGCTCCTGGATTGCAGTCCTCAAGCTTGGCCCAGATAAACTGTCTACATTTTTTTCCCCCTTTCCTTTCCTTTTCTTTCTTTCTTTTTTTTTTTTTAACTTTTATTTCTGTTTAGGGGTACATGTGCGGGTTTGTTATATGGGTAAATTGTGTGTCACAGGGGTTTGGTGTACAGACTATTTCATCACTCAGGTGATAAGCATAGTACCTGACAGGTGGTTTTTTAATCTTCTCCCTCCTCTCACCCTTCACCCTCCACCCTCAGGTAGGCCTCAGTGTCTGTTGTGCTCTTCTTTGTGTCCATGTTCTCAATGTTTAGATCCCATTTATAAGTGAAAACCTGTGGTATTTGGTTTTCTGTTCCTGCATTAGTTTGCTTAGGATAACAGCTTGCAGCTCTATTCATGTTGCTCTAAAGGACATGATCTTGTCTCTATTTATGGCTGTATAGTATTCCATAGTTTATTTGTACCACATTTTCTTTATCTAATCTGCCATTGATAAGCACTTAGGTTGATTTCACATCTTTGCTATTGTGAATAGTGCTGCGATGAACATTTGCGTGCATGTATCTTTATGGTAGAATTATTTATATTTCTTTAGGTATATACTCAGTAACGGAATTGCTGAGTTGAATGGTACTTCTGTTTTAAGTTCTTTGGGAAACTGCCACACTGCTTTCCACAATGGCTGAACCAATTTACATTCCCACCAGCAGTGTATAAGAATTCCCTCTTCTCTACAACCTTGCCAGTACCTGTTATTTTTTTATTTTTTAATAATAGCCGTTCTGACTAATGTGAGATGGTATCTCATTGTAGTTTTGATTTGCATTCTCCAATATTTAGTTATTTTGAGCATCTTTTTCATGGCTGCATATATGTCTTTCTTTGAAAACCGTTCATATTCTTTGCCCACTTTTTAATGGGGTTGTTTTCTGCTTGTAAATTCATTTATATTCCTTATATATTCTGGATATTAGACCTTTGTCAAATGCATAGTTTGCAAATATTTTCTTCCACTCTGTAGGTTGTCTGTTTACTCCATTGATAGTTTCTTTTGCTTTGTAGAAGCTCTTTAGTTAGGCCTCATTTGTCAATTTTTGTTTCTGTTGGAATTACTTTTTGTATCTTTGTTGTGAAATCTTTGCCAGGGCCTATGTCCAGAATGATATTGCCTAGGTTATCTTCTAGGATTTTATAGTTTTGGGTTTTACATATAATTCTTTAATCCATCTTGAATTGATTTTTGTATATGATGTAAGGAAGGGGCTCCAGTTTTAATCTTCTGCATATGACTAGCCAGTTATCCCAGCACCATTTATTAAATAGGGACTGCTTTCCCCATTGCTTGTTTTTGTTGACTGTTGAAGATAAGATGGTTGTAGGTGTGTAGCATTATTTTTGCAGTCTCTATTCTGTTCCATTGGTCTATGTGTCTGTTTTTGTACCAGTACCATGCTGTTTTGATTATTATAGCCTTGTAGTATAGTTTGAAGTTGGATAACGTGATGCTTTCAACTTTGTTCTTTTTGCTGAAGATTGCTTTGGCTATTTGGGCCCTTTTTTGGTTCCATACAAATTTTAAAATTGCTTTTTCTGGCTGGGTATGGTGGCTCATGCCCTTAATCCCAACACTTTGGGAGGCTGAGGTGGGCGGATCACTTGAACCCAGGAGTTTGAGACCAGACTGGGCAACATGGTAAAACCCCATCTCTACAAAAAATACAAAAATTAGCCATTCATAGTGGTGTGTGCTTGTAGTCTAAGCTATTCAGGAGGCTGAGGTGGGAGGATTGATTTAGCTTGGGAGGTCGAGGCTGTAGCGAGCCAATTGCACCACTGTACTTCAGCCTAGGTGACAGAGTAAGAGCCTATCTCAAAAAAAATTGCTTTTGCTAATTCTGTGAAGAATGTCATTGGTAGTTGATAGGAATCGCACTGAATCTATAAATTGCTTTGGGTAGTCTGGCCATTTTAACAATGTTGATTCTTTCTATTCATGAGCACGGCATGTTTTTTCATTTGTTTGTGTCATCTCTGATTTATTTGAGAAGTGTTTTGTAATTCTTGTAGAGATCTTTCATCTCCCTGGTTAGCTGTATTCCTAGGTATTTTATTCTTTTTGTGGCTATTGTGAATGTGATTGTATTCTTGATTTGGCTCTCAGCTTGGATGTTGTTGGGGTATAGAAATGCTACTGATTTTAAACTCTCTATATTAATTTTGCCTTAGCTTCTTCCTTTTAGGTTGACAGGAAGAAGTAGGATAAAGTGAGGATCCGAAGAATGAGTTGGAATTAAATTATTTTTCTACAGAGTTGGGAAGATAGCATTGGATCTGTGGTCTGGGGCTGACAAATAGAGCCTTTATCTGGAGGGGGAGGTAGAGGGAAGGGAAACAATGTTTGCTGAAGTGAGGCTATTAGTCATACAGGTTATATAGGACTAAAGTGGGCACAATGATTGGGAACACAGTTTACACACACTATCATATTTAATCCCCAAAATAATAACCATCTGAGAAAGGTATCATCATCCATAGTTTATAGAATAGAAATCTGAGGCCAGAGAGCTTAATTGGTTGGCTCAAATTGACATAGCTAGTAAATGGCAGATATAGGATCGAAATCTATATGGGGCCAATCCTAGAAAGTGAATGTAAACACAGCTGGCTGAAAAGTGAAAGATTAAACAGTCTTCTGTTGGACTATAGCACCAAAAATGATATTCATTATTCATCTGCTGCACCCTTTTGCCGTGATCTGACTTATTATTTACCCATATCAAATCTGGGGACAATTTTAATCATGATTAAGTCTAGGATGCTGCATTATTTTGAGATGGAAAGACAGTTCATTTCTGTCTCAGTAGACACTATAAAAGGCATTAGAACTTTGATTTATATTTAGCTTAAACAAAGATAAATAGTTTGCATTTGATCAATCAATGTAGATCTTTAAAAATACTCTACCTAATATGCTAGTTTATCAATTGTTAGAGTTGATTTGATTAGGGTGATTTATTTAACTGAACTGTGCCCCCAGATCTGATCTTAGCCTAGTAACAGAAAAGAATGATGACTGTTACACATTTGGAGAGCAATTAGAGTAACTCTCCTGCTGGGGATGTGGTTGGTTCTTAAAAGCCATGTAAATTGTTAAATAAGTATTAAATAGACATGAAAGGCTAAGCCTTTCTCTTTTAATTCAGAAACTGCCAAGAAAAGAAAAAGATAAAGAGGGAAAACAATAAGTATTAAACAGGGATAATAACCAGAGGCCTTCTCTCTACTGCAGTTTGGAATTTCATGCTTCTTTAGGTTTTCAAATTATTTCCCTTTGCTTTTAAATGAATTTAATCTGGATAATAATTTGTCTACAGACCTTGCAATTCAAATGATTCTACTTAGTTTAAAAAATGAAAGAGACTTGAAACAATTCTCCAATCTCCATTGGCAAAATGGAGATGAAGGTGAAAAAAATAAAATAATAGCCAACACTTATTAAATTCTTATGTGGGCTAGCAATTCTTCTAAACAACTTTACTTAGAGGAAGCTAAGGAACAGGAAAAGTGATTTTGCCAAAAGTGGATCTGGGATGAAAGCCAGGCATTTGGGTTCAGAGTGTATGCACCAAACTTCTTTACTTTCTTGCTTCAATTGTAGTAATAAGAGCACTTAACAACTCTTCAGCTGTGCTCTCTGTGGAAGATATTATCTCCCTATTATAGACAAGGACATTGAGTCTTGGAAAAATTAACCAACCAATTAGCTCAAGATCAGACAACACAGATGAAGTAGTCTGGAATTTAGCAGAGGTCTGTGTAATTTCAAAGTCTGTGCTTTGAGTGTTTTGATGCTTAATGTTCAAGGTCAAAGGGTTTACCAAATGGGTTTACAGAAAGAAGTTTCACCTTTCTGTCCCAAGAATTGGCCTTAAAGCACAGTGCCATGGCCAGGAGACCTGGCTAACAGAGCACCTGCAGTCCCAGCGGGCAGCTTCTGTGCATTCCTGTTCAGAGGGTAGGCCAGTCTCAAAGAGATGCTGATGAGTATGGTGTTCCAGGAGGACTGGACTGCCTTGCCACTATTAAGGTCAAGTGCTAAATAAACATCTTGTGAGTTTTACACCTGAGAAATACAAATAAAATCCTAAACCCTCCAACTGACTGAATCCACCCCCTCTTAGCCAAGGAGACCCCAGAGAAGCCTTAAAAACTGAGTTTTGGCCCATTATGGGGGAGGTTGGATATGCTTCATTATACTTTCTCCCTCAGTACCTGCCATTAAACCTTCTTTCCTAAGGATTTAACAGAAACCAGCCATTTCAAAAGACTCAGTGGACTCCCCTCCATTTTTGCAGTTTTGACCCAACAATCAACCAGCATGTTTTCCTGATAAGAGACCACTAACCATGAACTGGTTTTGGCCAGTTTGTGGAGTCTATGTACTGGATGCCTCTGTGTCCTCCATTTCACCTTATAATGTGTATAGCCTAATTTTAATGCATTTAAATGTTAAGTATCCACCAAAAAGTGAACCTCGGATGTATGTGACATGCATGTTAGTTTACTATGCATGCATACATGCATGCCCTCTTTCATGAATATTTATTGCTCCTCCTGTAATCTGATGAATATGTATGCTTAGCCAACCCATTTGGCCTAAATTCCTGTGTCACCATTTCCTCTCTGCTTCTACTGGAGGTTATGCTTCCCAGGCTGTGGATTGTTACCCTGGAGGCTGCAACCTTTTATAAGAAATAAAGTTCTCCTGTCCAAATGTGGAAACCTCATAATTCTTTGGTTGACACAACTCAAGAATATTTCCTCATGGACTTGTGGCAACATTGGTTGACACGCTTCTTCATGTTCCTCATCTTCTCGAAATGTAATCGTCAAAAAAGATAAGGCCTCATCTCTCAGTTTCCTGGGAGAAAATGGGCCTAATTTCAACTCTCCCCGACTTGAAATGGCAAACCCCTACCTCTAGTTATAATGATACAATAAACTTAGGGATTTTTTCTTGAAAACATGAGTGTAATGGATTATATCCACTTTGCTCTATGAAAGATTTCTTTTCACCATTGCAATCTCTCCAGTGAATTGTTCGTGATACGCGTTACGTTCTGGTTTAATGTTTATTCAATAGTAAAATTGTTTTCTTTCTTGATTATGTTTGTGGAGAGGTTTTCTGGGCTGGGAGGGGGTTTTGCTTTTAATTATATTTCCTCAACACTACCTTAGGAAGCTTCTTCTGGGAGATTCCAAAAAGGCAAAGCTGCTTCTGGGAGAGGTCTAGGGAGCAGGGGAGGGGAAGGTACCAGACTCACCAGGAGGGCTTCTAGGATTGATAGATTTGATTAAGGCATTAATTAATTCCAAAAATATTTATTGAGTACTTACTATGTGCCTGGCCCTGTGCTAGAGTCAAAATGTCAGAGAGGTACTTTTCCTAATTATAGCCCGAAGAGAGCATAGTAATTGGAAACACACCTGCCTCCTGGGTGCTTAGGAACAGGAATTGGCTGTGGATTTCCTGCCTGGGAACCTGGGGGCTGTACAAAGAGATAAAGAATTGAAGAACCTAAGATCTCTAAAGGAGGTTTAAGTGTGTCTTGGGATTGGACCTTTAGGGAGGCTTTTAAAGAGAACTGCTTTTTCTAGACTGACATTCTTAGATAGCACAGCTCCTGTGTTGATCATCTTTGCACAGCCAGGCTGTAGCCTAGTGTCTAAGATGTAGGAGGCAGCCTATAAATGGTTGTTGATGAAATAAGTGAAAGAAAGAAAACTTTTCCCTCTGGCAAGGAAAGACTCAGATAAAATTCCCCATGACTTCTAAAGGTGCTCCTGGGCATTACTTTTCATTGTTTTTCCTGGGGATGCTGATTCCTCAGAATGTCGTTGTATTATAGTACATTCCTTAAGGGATATGGTTTTCATTTTCCTGAATGTTGCTCCTTTCTCTCATTTTACCAGCAACTTGTTACTCCCTTTCACTTTCAGACTCTTTTCTCTCTTTCCCTTCTCCTTCAGCAACTTCTCTCCCCATTGAAGTTAGAAGTAAAATGTAACAATTAATCAACCATTTTAATAGGGACTATTTTCCCTTTGGGATATAAGATAATGTCTCTTTATCACACAGGTCATCCTTCACAATGTTTTCTTGCTTTTCAGATGTGCCAGTTAACTGTATTAGTCTATTCTCACATTGCTATGAAGAAATACCATAGACTGGGTAATCTGTAAAGGAAAGAGGTTTGATTGACTCACAGTTCTGCATTGCTGGATAGGCCCCAGGAAACTTACGATCATGGCGGAAGGCAAAGGAGAAACAGGCACCTTCTTCACAGGGCATCAGGATGGAGTGAGTGCAAGCAGGGAAAATGCCAGATGCTTATAAAACCATCAGATCTCATGATAATTCACTCACTATCAGGAGAACAGCATGGGGGAAACCTCCCCTATGATCCAATCACCTCCACGTGGTCCCGCCATTGACATGTGGGGATTATGGGGATTACAATTCATGGTGAGATTTGGGTAGGGACACAGAACAAAACCATATCATTAACCATGGAGGTACATGTATTAGTCTGCCAGGACTGCCATAACAAAGTACTGCAGACTGAATGGCTTAAACAACAGAATTTTACTTTCTGAGTTCTGGAGGTTGGAAGCCCATTATCAAGAGTCCAGCAGGGTTGGTTTCCTCTGAGGCTTTTCTTCTTGGCTTGCAGATGGCCACCTTCTCCCTGTTTTCATACAACCTTCCCACTGTATCGCTCTGTGTCCTAATTTTCTCTTTTTATAAGGTCACCAGTCATATTGGATTAGGGCCCACTTTAATCGACTCATTTTAACTTAATTAGCTCTTTAGAACCCTGTCTCCAAACACAGTCACATTCTGCGGTATTGGAGGTTAGAATTTCAACATATGAATTTTAGGGCAACACAATTCAGCCCCTATCAGTATATCTTACAATTTTTTTTTTCTTTTTAAAAATCACTGGTATTTGCTAAGTGGCTGATCACTAGAATTACCTGGAGATATTTAAAAATACAGATTCCTGGCCCCTCCTTAGTAGACTCTCATTTAGTGGGTCTGAAATGGGGCTGGAAATCTTTACGTTTAAAAAATATTTTAAGACCTGGGTATGGTAGTTCACACCAATAGTCCCAGTGATTTGGGAGACTGAGATGGGAGGGTCACTTGATCCCAGGGGTTGGAGGCTGCAGTGAGCTATGATCACACCACTATACTCCAACCTGGGCAACAGAGTAAGACCATGACTCAAAATATAAAACCTTAGATAATTGAGATAATTAGTGAGGTTTGAGAACGACCCTTATAAGGAACTCCTGGCATTATTTATTACCATACTAGGGAAGATCAAATTGAATGAAACAATGGTAGTTGCTCAGAGGAACCTCAGAAAGATTACACCTAGTAAGCACCACTTTGAAACTTTACTGTTTCCTTTTATTTGGTTCCATGTGGTTTTCTGTCTTCTTCATTGCTTTTCATTTCTGCATGTATATATAAGCTCTTAAAGCATCCAACACACTTTGCTCCACATTTATAATTTAATTAGCTGTGTCTATTGGACTTAGGTTCCAAATAATTTCTGACACACATGCTCCTATCTGAAATACAAATATTTATCAGGCATTGAATGTTGTATGAGTGCAGCTGTCATGTTTGATGATGATGACATAAAGAAGAGTGCAATAAGGTCTCTCCCAAGGAGTTCAGGGACTTTCTTTGTTAGATTGTCAAAAGCATTAGCTCTTCATGCTACCATATTATTATTTGAAAGAAAATCTGATTGTTGGAAATTTGTAGTGGGATTGTTGTTCCCCTTTGCTCCATGGAAATTTATCATATTTTTTGGTTGTTTTGACTGTTATGACTGATTTACTAGTGATAACTGAACTCGGGGTCAGTTACCTCAGTTCTATGGCTCTAATGCCTGCTTTGTGGCTGCCATCTTGAGAGACTGGCATAAGTTCCCCAGCATTCTTTCCCTTAGCACAACTTAACCATGACTTAGCACATTCCAAAGGTTTAGCTAAGCATAACTGCCCCTAGATAAGTTTTAATACTTGATTGTAAACAACTTCATCAGTGTGCTTGCAGAATTACAATGAAAGTATGTTTCATTTCAATTGAAGTAAACCCAATGGCAATTGTCAAAATGGGAGATAATATTGCTGTGTGTCCTAAGAAGAGATAATTTAGGCATTTGAACATGAAATGTAATCTCTTGTTTTTTTTTAAAAAGAGATTATGCAAAGGTAAGAATGGGGATCTTTCTTTTTCTAGAAAGTCATTGATCTATGATCCCTTGAGGGTAATATAAAAAAAGTTAATTATAGATTTTAAAATTTGCTTCAGATCTGTTAGAATAAGAAAGTGAGGGAGGCAGAAACAAAGTGGAATGGATTCAGTCATTGAGAGGAGAGGCAGAGTTCAGTTTGCACTGTAAGCTTCAAAGTGTTAGCATAAGCTGTCTACTGCTCTTTGGCTTGTTATTCATTTACTTTTTCTTCCAGTCATTTCTTAAATCATTTATCAAACATTTATGGAGAATTTATCTAGAGTTATAGAGATAAATACAAAGCTATATCTATTCTTAGTCGCAGGGGCTCAAAGTCCTGGGAGAGATGGACACATCAACCAATAGTAATAGCAGGTGTGATGGGTGTATATGGAGATATGCCCAGGGTTACGAAGAGCCTGGAAAATAGATGACCAACCAGCAGGCTGGGTTAGGGTGTGGTTTCAGAGAGGAAGCACTGGACTAAGACTTGAAGAATGCATTGGAAGAGCAAATCAGGCAGAAAAGAGGACAGAGTCATTTTGCTCAGAAGAAACAGCATGTGCAAATGTGCCACAACCATTCAAAGCAAGTTGCTGCTTAAGTCTTGCCCACAACTTTTCATCTGAAAAGTGGAGTAGCTGAAGCAGCCAATGCTGGTGGTTATAATTCTTGAGGATGCAACAGTAAGAACGGTAAGAAATATTCTGCATGTCAAGGGTCTAATGAAGCCTCCTGGTTTGGGCTGGGCCAGGCACGGGGAAAGAGGTACACACCTTTTTTCAGTGTAATTTTTATTTTCAGGGACTGTTCCTGGCACCAAATAGACATTATATACATATTTATTGAATTGATTTGACAGATTTTTTTGTTTACTTATGAAGATAAGAAAGTAACAATCTCACCTCTAGTATTTCTCTTATAGAGACGTAACTGTCATTTTAAAGATGTTATTATGGGGTCGACATTCCATGTCAGTATGTTTTATATCCATGGAGCAAAGGAGAATGACAGAGCTACTGCAAACCAAAAGCAAACCCTGCCGCCCGCGCACACCCTCCCTGGTGTACCAGAATTTGTACTCAATGGTGACTCAATTGATTTTCCATTAGTAAGACATTTGATCTGTGTCATTGTTCCTCTCTTCTAGGAAAGGAAATAACCCCCGAAGCCTTTGCAACTAAGGACATGTATCCTTCAGACAAGTGTTTACTGGGCAACTTCTTCGTGCTGTAATTGAGTGTGGCCGATTGCTCACAAAGATGTTTGCAAAATCCCTCCTGTCCCCTAACTCACTTCTCCTTGCAGTGTCACTCTGCCAACTTCTCCTGTCGATTGGTGAAGACTGTTTCTCCTCCCCCTTGAATATGGGCTGGGCTTGTAACTTGCTTGACCAATAGAATGCAGAGAAATGAAATGCAGCCTTCAACATTCAAGGCTATGCTCAAGGAGTCTAACCCTGTGGATATGCTGTTGTCAAATGAGGGAGCTTCGATTAGCCTGTTGAAGACACACAGACGACCCGACAGGCAATACCAACATTCAGATATGCAAGTTATGCTGTCTTAGACCATGCTGCCCAGGTGAACTTTTAGACGACTGCAATTTGTGAGTGACTCTAGGCAAGACCAGAAGAAACTTCTAGCTAAATCTAAACCAAATGCCAACTCAGAATTGTAAGCAAATAAAACGGTTGTTGTTTAAAGACACTAACTTTTGGGGTGTTTTGCCACACCTCAATACATAACTGTTACACTAATTATTTTTCATTGTGAAATCTTCAGCGTCTTATTCTGTAATCAAACCAGAATGTCCTTGCCTTCTTAGCACTTTGCCACAGTCCAGTGGGGTGAATAGACAGCAGCTGCTCATTTATGCTCATGCTCATGTTCATAATTTGCATTTGGACTAAAAGGAGCTCTGTTCTCCAGGACAGAACTATTCTAAAGCTCTTCAGGAACAGGAACAGGAGTCCATCACAGACAGCGAAATCAAAAGCGCCCTACATAGAGGCATCCAGACTGAGAGCTGAAAGGGATCTGGGAAATCATTTAGTCTCACTCCCTCATTTTCCATTCAGACCACAGGGATGAAAGAACTTGCTGAAGTTCTCACAGCTCTGTAGTGGCACAGTCAGAACAAGGATCCCAATCTCCTAACTACTAACATAAAATGCTTTCAGCATGCAAGTTGAGCATACAATGGGACAGTTTAAATTTAAATGGTGTTTTGAGCAAGGGGAGAGTCTAATTAATTACTTCAAAGTATAATTTTGGAGTCACCAGAAAGGCGTTAAAGACAAAAAAATGCTTTGGAACCTAGGTGCTTCATATCTGAAATTGGGGCAGGTACAGGTGTATTCCTACCACTAAAGGGTCATTAGTTGGTTGGGTAGTCCTTTAGTGTTCTTGGTACTAAGCACAAAACATGGGTAAGATGGTTCAAGGCTGGTTGTGGTGGCTCATGCCTATAGCCCCAGCATTTTAGGAGGCCAAGGCTGGAGGATAGCTTGAGCCCAGGAATTCGAGACAAGCCTGGGCAATATCGCAAGACCTTGTCTCTACAAATAATAATTTCTTAAGAATTGGCTGGGCATGGTGGCACACACCTGTAGGCTATTTGAGAGGTTGAGGTGGGAGGATTGCTTTAGTGTGGGAGGCTGAGGCTGCAATGAGGTGATCACACTATGGTACTACAGCCTGAGAAACAGTGTAAGATCCTGCCTCAAAAAAAAAAAGTTTATGTTCTCAAAGTGCTCATAATCTAGTGGTAGTACAGTATTTGAGATATTAGAGCAGTTTCTCCTCCTTTTGCAACTAAGGACATGTATCTTTAAAGCAGAAGGAATGGCAGAGTCGTGTAATAAACCCTCAAGTACCATTACTTAGCTTCAACAACTATCGACACTCTACTGTTCTTGTTTCATTTATGCCTCACCTCCTTCCCATCCCCCACTTGAATATTCTCATCCTTTTTTTTTACAGTTTTTAAGATAACAATTACATAACTGAAATGCACAAATCTTAGCTGTACAGTTTTGACATATGGATACACCTGTGTAACCAATGACTGTATCACAACATAGAGCATTTCATCTCCCCAGCAAGATCCATGTGTCTTTTCCTAGTTAATGCCTCTTTATTTCTGAGATGGTTATTGCTCTGCTTTTGTTTTTCATGTTAGGCTAGTCTTGCCTGTTCTAGAATTTCATATAACTGAGAACATACAGAATGTACTCACTAGTAGTGTCTGACTTTTTCACAAAGGATAATGTCTGTGGTATTCATTCATGCTGTTGTATGCATCAGTAGTTTATTTTCTTTTTACTATTAAGTAGTGTTCTAAGGACTATTTTAATAGCATCCCACAAAGGGGGTATGATATGTTCTATTTACATTATTATTTGGTTTGTAATATTTTATATTTTCTCTTGTGATTTCTCCTTTCACTCATGAATTATTATAATAAATTTTTTAAAGTGTATTATAATATATTTAGTGAAACTGTATTATTTGATTTACTAATGTCTGGTGCTTTTGTATCTGGTGTTGTTGGTTTCTAATTTAATTACATGGTTTTCAGAGAATATACTCTGAAAGATTTTAATCTTTTGAAATTTATATATATACTTTATAGCCTAGCATATGGTATAGCTTGGTGAATGTTCTATGTGTTCATGAAAGGAATTCTGAAGCTACTGGGTATAGTTTTCTACAAATGTCAATTAGGCCAAGTTGCTTGATAATTTTTTTCAAATATTTTATATCTGTATTGATGGTTTTTCTGGATGGTCTTTCAGCTACTGAGTGAAAAATGTTAAAATCTCTAGTTTTGATTGTGGACATGTCTAATTTTTCCTTTAGTTTTATCTGTTTTTGTTTTACGTATTTTGAAGCTATTATTAGATTAATAACATTCATAATTGTTATACTTTCTTTTTTTATTTCTCTTTTGTTATTCCCATTTTTTCATTCTCTCTTATCATTAAGAAATGTCCCTGCTTATCTCTAGTGATAGTTTTTGCTTTGAAGTCTATTGTGTTCCATTGCAATATAACCATACTAGCTTCTTTGTGATTGGCGTTTTTTGAGAAATCTCCATTCTGTTTTCCATAAGGGTTACATTCCCATAAACAGTGCATAAGAGTTCCTTTTTCTTTACATTGTCACCAAAATTTGTTACTATTTGACTCTTTAGTAATTGACATTCTGACTGGAGTAAGATGATACCTCATTGTGGTTTTAATTTTCATTTCTCTGATTAGTGATGTTGAACATTTTTTTATATACCTGTTGGCCATTTGTAAGTTTTCTCTTAAAAAATGGCTATTTGTGTTCTTTGCTCACTTTTTAATAGGATTATTATTATTGTTATTGTTATTGAGTTGAGTTCCTTGCATACTCTGAATATTAATCCCCTGTCAAATAGATAGTTTGCAAATATTTTATCCCATTCAGCAGGTTGTCTGTTCATTCTATTGATCATTTGCTCTGCAAAAGCTTTTGAGTTTAAGTGAGTCCCATTTGCCTATTTTTGTTTTTCTTTGCCTGTGCCTTACTCATTTCCTTTTCGTGGAAGTATGTTCTTCAAGTAGGTTTTGTTCAGTGAGGGTCTGTGGACAGTTATGTCATTGTCTTTGTATGTCCTAAAATGCCTTTTTCCCTTTACTTTAACTTCTTGGAGTATAATTAAGCTAGATATAGAATTCTAGACTGACAATTATTTTCCCTCCTTCCTTTAAGATACTCACCTGTTGTCTCTGGCATACATTGTTGATGATGAGAAGCATTCTGTCAGTCTTCTTGTTGCTCCTTTTTAGGTAACCTGCCTTTCCTCACTGATAGCTTCCAAGGTTTCCTGTTTATTCTGGATGGTTCTCTAGTTTTAGTTTCATAATGAGGTGTATACGCAAGCCTTTGTTACTCTGTTACTATGTCGTTTAATTTTGGGTATTTTCTTTTCTTTTTTTTTTTTGAGATGGGATCTCACTCTGTCACCCAGCCTGGAGTGCAGTGGCATGATCTCGACTCACTGCAACCTCTGCCGCCCAGGTTCAAGCAATTCTCCTGCCTCAGACTCCTGAGTAGCTGGGATTACAGATGCCTGCCACCGCTCCCAGCTAATTTTTGTATTTTTATTAGAGGCGGGTTTTCACCATCTTAGCCAGGCTGGTCTTGAACTCCTGACCTCGTGATCCACCCACCTCGGCCTCCCAAAATGCTGGGATTAACAGGCATGAGTCACCATGCCTGGCCAATTTTGTGTATTTTCATATGACATCTCATAGCTTTCTTCAAATCTGAAAAATTCTCCACTATTGCCTCAAAGTTCCGTCTTCCCAATTCTCTTTAGTTTTTTCTTCTAGGGCACCTACTAAACATGTCAGGGCCTTTCATTCCAGCTGCCATGCATCTAACTTCTCTTTCATATTTTCCGTTTCTTTACTGATCTGAGCTGTGTTCTGAGTGATTTCCTCAGATCCATATTCCCATTCATGAATTATTTTTTTATCTGAGTCTATTGTTTAACCTGTTTATTGTTCTTTCTATTTTGGCTACATGTTTCACTTCTGGATGTTTCCACTTGGTTCATTTTGAAATCAATCTGTTCTTATTTATTTTGTATCTTATAAAAATTAGATTCTACATTTTCTTTTCTTTTTGTACAGTTAAAATATTCATTAAAAAATCTATTTAACAATACTCATATTTTTGGTTTCCCAGACATAAATTCTTTGTCCAAATTTCCCTTTTTATTTTGTATTTCTTCATGTGTTTCATAGTTTAGGTCTACAAGCTTATCTTCAGGAGGAGTTACCTTTAGAGGGAGTCTTGTCCATGTCCAGATATTGCGGAGGCCTCTTCATGGCAGAGGTTCACCATTGCCCTTGCCCAAGTCCTACTGAGTTCACTGATTCCAAACCATTGTTTATACTAGGCTCTTAGCTCCTGATTCCCATGGTGCATGGGCAATAAAAAGGTGGTTGATTTTGTGGTAGTGCATGATGCGGGTTCAAGATTCAAGCTTCTCAGTGTGTGGTAGGACAGCTGTTGGAATCTCTGCTTCTGAGAGCCCCAGGAAGTCAGCTTACTTTTTCCTGTAACTCTTGGCCTGCTGGAGAAAATTTCCAGGTGATGTTCATAAGATTTTCAGCACATTTTTGGGCAATTAGTGCTAAGCAGGATTCCCCTTTTCTACTCCTTGATGTATTTGGGGCCTGAGGAATCAATTCCTCTTCCACAAAGGTATGAACACACCAGCCCTTAAAATTATGTCTGGTCTAATTTCTCTCAAGGTCTGGGTGGTTTCGAAAACTGCTTATCTTTGTAATTTTGAGTCCCTTATTAATTCTTGGCATATAGAGATGTCCTTTTTTTTTTGAGCCCAACTGTGCCTTAATGTGGAACAATATGTGTATCTCCATGGGAGTGGAGATTCTCGCACCTAATCAGCTGCCTTCTTGAAAGAAGTGCTATGGGACCTTTGTTTATACTGTTTAGTTTCCCTGAAATGTCCTTCTTGCCCTTTGTATATAACCATTCCCCAGTTATATCTCTTCTTGTGATTTCAATTCAAACAAAACTGCCTCCAGGCTCCCTAAGATCAGAGATGTGTCAGTTTTTCACCATAGCATCCTACTACTATCAGAATGGCTGTCACACAGTAGGTGCTCAAAAAATATTTGTTGAGTGAATCAATGAACAAATGAGTATTTTGCTATTGTAATCAGAAGAAAATGCATATAGAAAAAATTCAGTTCTAATTTATCACAGTCCTACTTCTTGTTGTATGTTCCTACATACAACTCCTAGGAGAAGAAATAGTCCAAATGTCAAGGGCTGAGATAAACGAATAAAACTCAATGTCAGTAAATCTAAGCCCCCATTTAGAGTTTTTGTTTTTAAGTCTTTACAACTATAAAATAACTATGTAATGTTTATGACATGGTGTTATCAACATATTTTTATAATCAGATTTAATTGTGGTACTTAGGAGAATTACATGTAATTAAAATCTTACAGTTTCTAGCTCTCAAACCTGAAATCAAAGAGTGGAAACCCATTCTAGCTTGAAGCTAGGTGCCCACTAGGAAATGTGAAAGAATGAGGGAAGAGGGATTAGTCCAGATCTAGCTCATATAATAAAAACATTAACAAGTCTGTGAACATTCTTATGTGGTTCCAAAAGCCTTTTTAAAAATTAAACAGCAGGGTCAACGGGCCTAGATAAGGCACTGGTAGAGTAGATTAGTTGAAATTTAGATTTAGAGTTGCACAAAAGCAACCCGAGTTGACAAACACGTTTTACATGGAGTCATAAAAAGTTATTTTAGCTTTGTAGCAAGGAAAGATGCTGCAACCATCTCCTGGGATATACTTGACTAGTCTAACTAGGTTGTTAAGTACCCATTGCTCCAATTAAGCAATTTTGCTGAGGTAATTGGACTGAACCTTCAGGACTGCTATTCCCACCTTCTCCACTAAAATGCCCTTTTACCTTCTTCGACTGCAGTTTCTCTCAATAAGCATCGATTGAGCAGCTATTCGACGCTTAACAGAGGACTGCATCTATCTAGTGCTATGGAAGGGCAGGGTGAGAGCAGAGCTCAATTCCAGCCCTCAAAGACTTATAAGGTAGTCTGGAGATAAGCCACAGGCAGTAGCAGGATGAAAAGGTATACATTATGAACATGACAAGCACAGAGAAGCAATACAAGAGAAGCTGCAAGGCTGCTTGTGGTTATGAGCCAAGTATTTCAGATAGTGTTATGGATTTTATTACCTTGGGAGTCATACATTTCTTCCACCTTGAGATGAGACACCATTTTCTTTTCTACGTTGCATAGCACTAAGCTTAATGCCCCATCCTACAAGGATATGTTTTTCATTTCTTTAATTCTCTACCGAGAGTTTGAGATAATACGTGGAAGTGCATGGCCTCCTGTCTGGCACATAATATATCCTTAGTATATATTCGTTCATGTCTCTGAAACCTCCTTTCTTTGCATTCTTTCAAAAGTGAGGTCACTACAACTGGTGGCCCATAGCAAGGAATTTCCTGGGTAGATGAGTTGAGTTGATGTCTACAGTCCAAGAGAGAGAGAAAGGTTGAAACCCAGAAAGGAGAGGCGGTAGAACTGAGGGTCAAGTAGCAGAAAGAAAGTGAGTTTGGCGTGCAAATAACTAACTGGCAAACTGATCAGTAAACTAATGCAATTTTGTTTGTTTGTTTGTTTTGAGACAGGTTCTTGCTCTGTCGCTGAGGCTGGAGTGCAATAGTGTGATCATGGCTCACTGCAGCCTTGACCTCCTGGGCTCAGGCAATCCTCCCACCTCAGCCTCCTGAGTAGCTGGGACTAAAGGTGCTAGCCACCACACCTGACTAATTTTTGTATTTTTTGTAGAGACAGGGTTTTGCCATGTTGCCAAGGATGGTCTCAAACTCCTGGACTCAAGCAATCTGCCCATCTTGGCTTCCCAAATTACTGGGATTACAGGCGTGAACCACCGCGCCTGGCCAACTAGTGCAAATTTATAAACATCAATCACATGAGGACTATGGCATAAGTTTAAAGCCAGTGAATTAAGTTAATGGCTAGATTATGTGAAAATCAGGCTAGGATGCTTTTAGGCTACAAGTTTGTCACTGAGATTGAACCAATTAAAATAAAATCTTACCTTTAAACAAGTCTGTTGACTAAGTATGTAAATTGGAGCTTGGAGGCTTAAATGTAGAGAATTCATTTACTAATATTTCAAGGTCATGCCCAAAATAATGGTAATGTTGCTCTTTTAATTTTGTCTTTGATGTCAGTTCTCACTTACATAAAAATATTTTTAGGTAGGCCAGAACTAGAGGTCTAATGACTGTCTACCTTTGATGAGTTTCCTCTTCCTTTTCTTTTATTCTAAATTCAGGCAAAAAAATCATTTTTTCAACATATTTTAATTTCTCAAGTACCAGTTTTCTTGAATTGTTTGAAGCAATCTAAGAGTAAATGAATGAACCCAGTAAAATACAAGAAGTACAAAAATAAGTTACTTCAGTCAAGGTACTTTGTCTTTCTGGGCCTTGATTCAAACAGTGATAAAAAGAAGAGATTGGATTAGATGATACCCAAGTTTCATTCTCTCTTTTTTTTCTTTTCTTTTCTTTCTTTTTTTTTTTTTTTTTTTGAGACGGAGTCCCGCTGTTTAGCCCAGGCCGGATTGCAGTGGCGCAATCTCGGCTCACTGCAAGCTCCGCCTCCCAGGTTCACGCCATTCTCCTGCCTCAGCCTCCCGAGTAGCTGGGACTACAGGCGCCCGCCACCGCGCCCGGCTAATTTTTTGTATTTTTAGTAGAGACGGGGTTTCACCGTGTTAGCCAAAATGGTCTCGAACTCCTGACCTTGTGATCCGCCCGCCTCGGCCTCCCAAAGTGCTGGGATTACAGGCGTGAGCCACCGTGCCCAGCCTTTTTTTTTTTTTTACCTAGTCACTTTTTTTTTTCCAAACACACTTCTTTTTTTAATTTTTTTATTTTTTTTTTTAAGTTTTGGGATACACATGCAGAACATGCGGGTTTGTTACATAGGTATAGATGTGCCATAGTGGTTTGCTGCACCTATCAACCCATTATCTAGGTTTTAAGCCCCACATGCATTATGTATTTGTCCTAATGTTCTCCCTCCCCTTACTCCCAACCCCCGACAGGCCCTGGTGTGTGTTGTTCCCCTCCCTGTGTCCATATGTTCTCATTGTTCAGCTCCCACTTATGAGTGAGAACATGCGGTGTTTGGTTTTCCATTCCTGTGGTTTTCTTTTTTTTTTTTTTTAATACTGTAAGTTCTAGGGTACACGTACACAACGTGCAGGTTTGTTACATATGTATAAATGTGCCATGTTGGTGTGCTGCACCCATTAACTCGTCATTTACATTAGGTGTATCTCCTAATGCTATCCCTCCACCCTCACCCCACCCCATGACAGGCCCCAGTGTATGATGTTCCCCTTCCTGTGTCCAAGTGTTCTCATTGTTCAATTCCCACCTATGAGTGAGAACATGCAGTGTTTGGTTTTCTGTCCTTGCAATAGTTTGCTGAGAATGATGGTTTCCAGCTGCATCCATGTCCCTACAAAGGACATGAACTCATCCTTTGTTATGGCTGCATAGTATTCCATGGTGTATATGTGCCACATTTTCTTAATCCAGTCTATCATTGATGGACATTTGGGTTGGTTCCAAGTCTTTGCTATTGTGAATAGTGCTGCAAAAAACATACGTGTGCACTTGTTTTTATAGCAGCATGATTTATAATCCCTTGGGTATATACCCAGTAACGGGATGGCTGGGTCAAATGGTATTTCTGGTTCTAGATCCTTGAGGTATTGTCACACTGACTTCCACAATGGTTGAACTAGTTTACAGTCCCACCAACAGTGTAAAAGTGTTCCTATTTCTCCACATCCTCTCCAGCACCTGTTGTTTCCTGACTTTTTAATGATCGCCATTCGAACTGCTGTGAGATGGTATCTCACTGTGGTTTTGATTTGCGTTTCTCTGATGACCAGTGATGATGAGCCTTTTTTCATGTGTCTGTTGGCTGCATAAATGTCTTCTTTTGAGAAGTGTTTGAGTTCTTTGTAGATTCTGGATATTATATCTGGATATAAAAACTGGAGCAGTTTTGAGTGAGTTTCTTAATCCTGAGTTCTAGTTTGATTGCACTGTGGTCTGAAAGACAGTTTGTTATAATTTCTGTTCTTTTACATTTGCTGAGGAGTGCTTTACTTCCAACTATGTGGTCAATTTTGGAGTAAGTGTGATGCGGTGCTGAGAAGAATGTATATTCTGTTGATTTGGGGTGGAGAGTTCTGTAGATGTCTATCAGGTCTGCTTGGTGCAGAGCTGAGTTCAATTCCTGGATATCCTTTTTAACTTTCTGTCTCATTGATTTGTCTAATGTGGACAATGGGGTGTTAAAGTCTCCTATTATTATTGTGTGGGAGTCTAAGTCTCTTTGTAAGTCTCTAAGGACTTGCTTTATGAATCTGGGTGCTCTTGTATTGGGTGCATATATATTTAGGATAGTTAGCTCTTCTTGTTGAATTGATCCCTTTACCATTATGTAATGGCCTTCTTTGTCTCTTTTGATCTTTGTTGGTTTAAAGTCTGTTTTATCAGAGACTAGGATTGCAACCCCTGCCTTGTTTTGTTTTCCATTTGCTTGGTAGATCTTCCTCCATCCCTTTATTTTGAGCCTATGTGTGTCTCTGCACGTGAGATGGGTCTCCTGAATACAGCACACTGATGGGTCTTGACTCTTTATCCAATTTGCCAGTCTGTGTCTTTTAATTGGAGCATTTAGCCTATTTACATTTAAGGTTAATATTGTTATCTGTGAATTCGATCCTGTCATTATGATGTTAGCTGGTTATTTTGCTTGTTAGTTGATGCAGTTTCTTCCTAGCATCGATGGTCTTTACAATTTGGCATGTTTTTGCAGTGGCTGGTAGCTGTCGTTCCTTTCCATGTTTAGTGCTTCCTTCAGGAGCTCTTTTAGGGCAGGCCTGGTGGTGACAAAATCTCTCAGCATTTGCTTGTCTGTAAAGGATTTTATTTCTCCTTCACTTATGAAGCTTAGTTTGGTTGGATATGAAATTCTGGGTTGAAAATTCTTTTCTTTAAGAATGTTGAATATTGGCCCCCACTCTCTTCTGGCTTGTAGAGTTTCTGATGAGAGATCAGCTGTTAGTCTGATGGGCTTCCCTTTGTGGGTAACCCGACCTTTCTCTCTGGCTGCCCTTAACATTTTTTCCTTCATTTCAACTTTGGTGAATCTGACAATTATGTGTCTTGGAGTTGCTCTTCTCGAGGAGTATCTTTGTGGTGTTCTCTGTATTTCCTGAATTTGAATGTTGGCCTGCCTTGTTAGTTTGGGAAAGTTCTCCTGGATAATCTCCTGAAGAGTGTTTTCCAACTTGGTTCCATTCTACCCATCACTTTCAGGTACACCAATCAGATGTAGATTTGGTCTTTTCACATAGTCCCATATTTCTTGGAGGCTTTGTTCATTTGTTTTTATTCTTTTTTCTCTAAACTTCTCTTCTCACTTCATTTCATTAATTTGATCTTCAATCACTGATACCCTTCCTTGTAGTTGATCGAATTGGCTACTGAAGCTTGTGCATTTATCATGTAATTCTTGTGCCATAGTTTTCAGCTCCATCAGATCATTTAAGAACTTCTCTACACTGATTATTCTAGTTAGCCATTCGTCTAATCTTTTTTCATGTATTTTAGCTTCTTTGCAATGGGTTCGAACTTCCTCCTTTAGCTCGGAGAAGTTTGCTCTTCTGAAGTCTTCTTCTTTCAACTTGTCAAAGTCATTCTCCGTCCAGCTTTGCTGCGTTGCTGGTGAGGAGCTGCGTTCCTTTGGAGGGGGAGAGGTGCTCTGATTTTTAGAATTTTCAGCTTTTCTGCTCTGTTTTTTCCCCATCTTTGTGGTTTTATCTTCCTTTGGTCTTTGATGATGGTGACGTACAGATGGGGTTTTGGTGTGGATGTCCTTTCTGTTTGTTAGTTTTCCTTCTAACAGTCAGGACCCTCAGCTGCAGGTCTGTTGGAGTTTGCTGGAGGTTCACTCCAGACCCTGTTTGCCTGGGTATCAGCAGCGGAGGCTGCAGAACAGCAAATATTCCTGAACAGCAAATGTTGCTGCCTGATCGTTCCTCTGGAAGCTTCGTCTCAGAGGGGTACCCAGCTGTGTGAGGTGTCTGTCTGCCTCTACTGGGGGGTGCCTCCCAGTTAGGCTACTCTGAGGTCAGGGACCCACTTGAGGAGGCAGTCTGTCTATTCTCAGATCTCAAACTCCGTGCTTGGAGAACCACTACTCTCTTCAAAGCTGTCAGACAGGGACATTTAAGTCTGCAGAGGTTTCTGCTGCCGTTTGTTCGGCTATGCCCTGCCCGCAGAGGTGGAGTCTACAGTGGCACGCAGGCCTCCTTGAGCTGTGGTGGGCTCCATACAGTTCGAGCTTCCTGGCTGCTTTGTTTGCCTACTCAAACCTCAGCAATGGTGGGCACCCATCCCCCAGCCTCGCTGCCACTTTGCAGTTCTATCTCAGAGTGCTGTGGTAGCAATGAGCGAGGCTCCATGGGTGTGGGACCCTCCGAGCCAGGCGTGGGATATAATCTCCTTGTGTGCCATTTGCTAAGACCATTGGAAAAGCGCAGTATTAGGGTGGGAGTGACCCGAGTTTCCAGATGGTGTCTGTCACAGCTTCCCTTGGCTAGAAAAGGGAATTCCCTGACCCCTTGCGCTTCCCAGGTGAGGCAATGCCTCGCCCTGCTTCAGCTCACGCTCGGTAGGCTGCACCCACTGTCCTGCACCAACTGTCCGATAAGCCCCAGTGAGATGAACCCAGAACCTCAGGGGGAAATGCAGAAATCACCCATTTTCTGTGTCACGCTGGGAGCTGGAGACTGGAGCTGTTCCTATTTGGCTCAGGTTCATTCATCTTTAATCTTCTGCTTCAAAGAATATTTGCAGTTTGAATATAATATTTTGAGTAATAATATGTGTCATTCTTTGTTTTTTTTTTTTTTTTTTTTTTTTTTTGACACAGAGTCTTGCTCTGTCGCCCAGGCTGGAATGCATTGGCTCTATCTAGGCTCACTGCAAGCTCTGCCTCCTGGGTTCATGCCATTCTCCTGCCTCAGCCTCCTGAGTAGCTGGGACTACAGGTGCCCGCCACCATGCCCAGCTAATTTTTTTTTTCTGTTTTTAGTAGAGATGGGGTTTCATTGTGTTAGCCAGATGGTCTCGAACTCCTGACCTTGTGATCCACCCAGCTCATCCTCCCAAAGTGCTGGGATTACAGGCATGAATATGTGTCATTCTTAAAGTGATGGTCAGAACTGCATGGCTTTTGAAACTGTGATGCAGGCTGATCTCACCCATAAGCATTAATAGACAGTGGCGGTGTGATTATTAACAGCTTTGAGAACTTTATCAAAAATATCTATGATGTCTGAAATTTCTACCATTGACCTTGCCTTCATTAAGAAACATGGAAAAACTCAAACCCTGTTCCAGTAGGGCAGTGTAAATAGAGAGGAGAGTTGGAGTGAAGCAGATGATGGGCCTGGATAAATAGAGGAGGGCAGTGTCTTTCCAAGAAGAAAATTGCTGCTCATCTCCAGCCAGTTTTTGCCATGCAGAAATAGTGGTTTACAGATTTCAGTGGTCTAAGTTTTCAAGAGATGTGGGATGTCCTGATTCTCTGTGAAGTATCCTAATTTTAAAGCACTAGATCAACATTACTTGGGCCAATAAATATGTCTTCAACTTAAGTTGTCTCATGGACTGTCAGTTTGCCATGTATATTTAGGAGTAATCAGTTAAGATACTAGCTATGGACTGAAAGTTTGTGTTCCCCAAAATTCATTTGTTAGAGACTAATCTCTAGCATGATGGTATTTAGAGGTAGTAGGGCCTTTGGGAGGTGGTTAGGTCATAAAGGTGAGGCCCTCACAAATGGGATTAGCCCCCTTACCAGAAACAGATAAAAGCTTCCTTTCCCTCTCTCTCTGCTCTCCCTTAAGTGAGGATACTAGGAGAAGGTTGTCATTGGCACACTCAGAAGTGGACCCTCAGCAGACATGGGATCTGCGAGCACCTCAGTCTGGACTTCCCAGTCTTTAGAATTGTTAGAAATAATTGTTGTTTAAACCACCCAATCTATGGCACATGTGTATACATATATACACTTATACACATACACATAGTGAGACCCTGTCTCTTAAAAATTATGTATCTAGGCCGGGTGGGGTGGCTTATGCCCATAATCCCAGCACTTTGGGAGGTCGAGGTGGGTGGATCACCTGAGGTTAGGAGTTTGAGACCAGCCTAGGCAACATGGTGAAACCCCATCTCTACTAAAAATACAAAATTAGCCAGGTGTGGTGGCACATGCCTGTAATCCCAGCTAGTTGGGAGGCTGAGGCAAGAGAATCACTTGAACCTGGGAGGCAGAGGTTGTGGTGAGCCATGATCATGCCACTGCACTCCAGCCTGGGCAACAGAGTGAGACTCCATCTCAAAAAAAATTATGTATCCATAGTGTGAAGTGTTACATGCAATGCAGTGTTATACACACTACACGCTATAGATAATAAAATTTTTAAGAGATAGGGTCTCACTATGTTGCTCATACTGGACTCAAATTCCCAGGCTCAAGCCATCCTCTGCCACAGCCTCCTGAGTAGCTGGGACCAGAGTTGTGAGCCACTACACCCAGCTGTCTATGGTATATTTGTTATAGCATTCTGAACTGACCAAGACAATGCTCAAACCCTCGAGAGTGACCACATATTAACACTTTTTTGGCAATGTCAACATTATGAGATTATGAGAGGACCATTCCCATTTGTATGTGGACAGGACAGCTTGGAAGCAAAAGTCAGGGGTGGTAGTGAATGGAAGGCCTGGGCTCTGGGCGTGGAAAAGCAGGTAATTAGGGACCTTCGGAGCATGCAGGGAGTAGGTCCTTCTGTTATCTGCATGATTTCAGTGTTGTGATCCTCCAGCACAGATTTGCAGAATCCATCAGATAACTTTTCCAAACCTAAGACAGCCTGATAGATGGGAAACATATTATTATGAATATCGAATCAAGTAGATGAGCAATCTGGGTGGGGAGTTGTCAGATACCAGCATGAAATTCCCCTTGTTAAAGAGTTGCAAAAGGGTCTCAGTATGTCCGTCTGGCTACAGAAAAATTAGTAGAAAAATCTGGGCCAGGCAGTGGTGGCTCACACATGTAATTGCAGCACTTTGGGAGGCCAAGGTGAGAGGATTGCTTGAGGTCAAGAGTTCAAGACCAACCTGGGCAACATAGTGAGAACCCCCTCATCTCTACAAAAAATTTAAAAAAAATTAACTGGGTGTGGAGTCCTAGCTATGTGGGAGGCTGAGGCAGGGGGATTGCTTGAGCTCAGGAGTCTGAGGCTGCACTGAGTTATGATTGCACCATTGCCCTCCAGCCTGGGCAACAGAATAATACCACACCTTTAAAAACTAAGAAAGAGAGAAAAATAAAAATCTGTGTATTTTTGGTATTTAAAATGTGTTAATGTTTACAATAATTTAGTATACAAGTGTATCTATCCGATTAACTTTCTAATCCAACTTTTAAATATTAGTTGATTTTGGATTTATAATTTTTCTAGAAAAATGTTTTATTTTAACTTTTTTGGTACATCATAGGTGTATATATTTATTGGTTACTTAAGATGTTTTTAGATAGGCATGCAGTGCATAATAATCACATCAGGGTAAATGGGGTAGTTATCACCTCAAGTATTTATCCTTTGTATTTCAAACAATTGAATTGTACTCTTTATTTTTAAATGAACAATTAAATTATTTTTTACTATAGTCACCGTGTTGTGCTAGCAAATAATAGGTCTTATTTATTCCTTCTAACATTATTTTGTACCCATTAACCATCCCTCCTCCCTATTCCCCCTCTCCCCCAATACCATTCCCAGCCTCTGGTAACCATCTTTCTATTCTCTATCTCCATGAGTTCAATTGTTTTAATTTTTATCCCCCACAGATGAGTGAGAATATGTGAGGTTTGTCTTTCTGTGCCTGGCTGGATTTATCATTTTTCATTCAGAATTTTACTGTTTACAAATAGCATGGCAATGTTTAAAAGAACATAAGATTAACTACATTCATACATTTAATTTTATTAGACTTTACTAAAATTGAATACTTGGGAAGCATTTTGCTTGGTAGACATTTGAAGAACGCAGAAATTTGAATATATTTCTTTTGTAAATTCAGTTTAAAATATTAAAGGGAGTTAATAAATTGTGTTTACAAATGGGACCAAATGTAGATCAAAGTTTCTTTTTGTGAAAATTAAAATTTACCAAATTATAAATAGAATAATAGGGTTTTAATTTGAAAGCTTAAGAAAAAACTTTTTGAATTTGTAGTTTTAGTAAACTTAATATTAATTCTTAATAAAGTTAGACTCTAGAAAAGTCTTTTTTTTTTTGAGATGGAGTTTACTCTTCTTGCCCAGGCTGGAGTGCAATGGCGCAGTCTTGGCTCACTGCAACCTCTGCCTCCCAGGTTCAAGTGATTCTCCTGCCTCAGCCTCCTGAGTAGCTGGGATTACAGGCACCCACCACCATGCCTGGCTAATTTTTGTATTTTTAGTAGAGATGGGATTTCACCATGTTGTCCAGGCTGGTCTTGAACTCCTGACCTCAGGTGATCCACCCGCCTCAGCCTCCCAAAATGCTGGGATTACAGGCTTGAGCCACCGCACTTGGCCTAGAAAAATATTTTATGTGCTCAAAAGCTGGCCTCATTCTAAAATAAAAGTTGAAAAAAAAGAAAATAATGAAAAAAATAAATAAAATAGATTTCTATTTCTTTGAACATAAATGAAAAAAGCTGGTCTCAAGGATATAAAAGCTCACACCAACACTCTTACCTTTGCATCCTCAGAGCCTGGAACAGTGTCTGGCTCTCAGAGGCAGCTTAATTAATGTTTGCTGAGAACTGCAGCTTAGTACTGTTAAGAAACAAAATTTTAACACATTTAGTTTAAAGATCTAATTGGCCTTTACTACTGATTCATGAATCGGGCAGCATCTCATCTAAAGAACAGATGAGCATGCCATCGGATGGCAGAACAGTTGAATTTCATCAGTTAGCTTGAGCAGCAGCAAAGAATCAGCATAATACAAAGAGGATTGGTTTACAAGTTATTTCAGGTTACTTTTCTTGTAAGAGTTAAAGCAGAGGGGACTTCCTTATCATGTTGGCTAAAACTGGACCGTTTGGAGATTTGGCTATTATCTTTCTCCTGATTATTTGAAAGCCAGATAAGCAACTTAGTTTCAGTTTGGTGACTGGGAACTTTAGCATGAGTGACTCCATTTTGTGTTGATCTGTTGAGGCGTAAGGCAGGAACTCAGTCCAAATCAATGGTCTCCCATAAACTTTACTTAGGAGTACTTAGAACAGCAAAGAGGGATGCCCAAAGGTGGGGTGGGAAGATGCCTTTGGCTTGAAACTCGTGCCTGGTGTTGTCTGTGTAGCGCTTACCTAATCAGAATAATTTGGAATAAAATGAAGGACCCATTAGTCGTTTTGGTCAAAGAAAGTAACATATATCTTAAGGGAGTTATTTCAAGTGTCAGTACTTTTTCTTGACTTCTAGAGCAACTCTTTTGCCTTGTGATTCTGATGCAAATATTTGAATCGAGGTACGTGGAAGTATGTCCTAGCCAACCCAGAAGGCTGTGTGATCACTTCCCTCTAGTGGAGTCCCTGATACAGGGCCATAAAGATCATTTGATTCATGGCTTGAGAGTTTGTCTTGTTTCTTATTTTTCTTTCCTTTCCTTTCCTTTTTTTTTTTTTTTTTTCTGAGACAGAGTTTCACTTTTATTTCCCAGGCTGGAGTGCAATGGCATGATCTCGGCTCACTGCAACCTCCGCCTCCCAGATTCAAGCAGTTCTCCTGCCTCAGCCTCCCTAGTAGCTGGGATTACAGGGCCTACCACCACGCCTGGCTAATTTTTGTATTTTTAGTAGAGACGGGATTTCATCATGTTGGCCAGGCTGGTCTTGAACTTCTGACCTCAGGTGATCCACCCACTTTGGCCTCCCAAAGTACTGGGATTACAGGCATAAGCCACCGTGCCCAGCCTTCTTATTTTTCCTTAAGGTAGAACTGTTTCCCGTTTTTTTTTTTTTTTTTTTTTTTTGAGGTTGGGGAGTGTCTTTTATAATATTAACATTTTTGAAGAGCTTATCCCTTCACTTTCATCCTATTCGTTGTTTGAATCTTACCTTACAATCATTACCAGGTGATGCTAGTCTTTGTTTAAACACCTTTAGTGACTGGAAACTATTAAGATGGCTCTGTAGACAAACTGCTGTGTTCTAATCCTATCTCCCACGAGGGACCTTGGGTGACCCAATTACTCATTATCAATCTTAGAAAATATAACATTGATATATTTCTATTATCTGATGTGAACTGTAAGTCTACATTTAAATTTCTCTAATTGTCCCAATAATGCCCTTTATAGCATTTTTTTAAAAAGCCAGGATTCAGTAAAATATTTTGTGCTGTAGTTCCTTTAATCTAGTCTGTAGTTAACCTAGCTATTGTAGTTTCCTTTAATATAGAACATTTTCTCTGCTTATTTATTTTTTTCTTTCCTGACATTGATCTTTTTTTTTTTTTTTTTGAGATGGAGTCTCGTACTCTTGCCCAGGCTGGAGTGCAGTGGCGCCAACTCAGCTCACTGCAAGCTCCGCCTCCCGGGTTCACGCCATTCTCCTGCCTCAGCCTCCCAAGTAGCTGGGACTACAGGCACCCCCCACCACACCCCGCTAATTTTTTGTATTTTTAGTAGAGACGGGGTTTCACCATGTTAGCCAGGATGGTCTCCATCTCCTGACCTTGTGATCCGCCTGCCTTGGCCTCCCAAAGTGCTGGGATTGCAGGCGTGAGCCACCGTGCCTGGCTGACATTGATCTTTTTGAAGGGTCAGATTGGTGGTTTGCAGAATAACCCTCTATTTGGTTGTGTCTGAATATGACCATTTGATTTTTTTGACACCTCTGAATTCTGGGAAGTTCTTATTTCTATAGAGCTAAAATTTTGTGTCATTTTTACCTGCTGATGCTACTTTTAACTCTAAAATGAGAATAAAAGCATTCTGCAAAGTAATTATTTGTTGAAAAACGGACTGAATGAATGAATGAAAATAATGAGCTTTCAGTCAAAAAGTGAAGGTATCAGGCAAAGGACTCTTGGTGTCTGGGAACATGGAGACTTGGTCCTTTTTTGATCCAGAGTACTCACTAGGTGTCTGGCCCAGCAATCCATGTTGTTAGAAGGCAGCAATTGCATTCATAATGGGGGGGAAAAAGCAATAAACAAACTCTTTAAAAAGTGTTAGCATTTGGGGTTGGGTGTGGTGGCTCAGGTCTGTAATTTCAGCTCTTTGGGAGGCCAAGGCAGGCAGATAATTTGAGGTTTGGAGTTCAAGATCAGCCTGACCAACATGGTGAAACCCTGTCTCTACTCAAAATACAAAAAAATTAGCTGGGCATGGTGGCTCACGCCTGTAGTCCCAGCTACTTGGGAGGCTGAGGCAGGAGAACTGCTTGAACCTGGTAGGGGGGAGTTGCAGTGGGCCGAGATAGTGCCACTGCCCTCCAGCCTGGGTGAACAGAGTGAAGAGAGTGAGACTCCATCTCAGAAAAACAAAAAAGTGTTAGCATTGACATGTGTCATAATTCCCTTCCAGTTGAGACACATCCTAGCTTTGCTTGAATAAAGAGAAGAATTTTGTGTGCTACAGAAGTGAGGTGGAAATCAACCCCTATGTATGAACAAAATTTGTAATTTTAGCAACTACTAATAGTGTCATAAAGATTTAAAAAATATTTGGTCTATTAGATGTTTAGTCTTATTAAAATCAAATATGATGCATCCAAATTTACATTTACATTAAACACATAATTGCATAGTTTAGTGACTCATACTAATAGGAATATATCTGAGGATCTGGAATTCTGAATAAACGTTCTTGATAAAAATCAAATGCTTCTCACTGTGGTTTTGATTTGCATTTCTCTGATGGCCAGTGATGATGAGCATTTTTTCATGTGTCTTTTGGCTGCATAAATGTCTTCTTTTGAGAAGTGTCTGTTCATATCCTTTGCCCACTTTTTGATGGGGTTGTTTGTTTTTTTCTTGTAAATTTGTTTGAGTTCATTGTAGATTCTGGATATTAGCCCTTTGTCAGATGAGTAGGTTGTGAAAATTTTCTCCCATTTTGTAGGTTGCCTGTTCACTCTGATGGTAGTTTCTTTTGCTGTTGCAGAAGCTCTTTAGTTTAATTAGATCCCATTTGTCAATTTTGGCTTTTGTTGCCATTGCTTTTGAAACCACAATGAGATGTCATCTCACACCAGTTAGAATGTCAATCATTAAAAAGTCAGGAAACAACAGGTGCTGGAGAGGATGTGGAGAAATAGGAACACTTTTACACTGTTGGTGGGACTGTAAACTAGTTCAACCATTGTGGAAGACAGTGTGGCGATTCCTCAGGGATCTAGAACTAGAAATACCATTTGACCCAGCCATCCCATTACTGGGTATGTACCCAAAGGACTCTAAATCCTGCTGCTATAAAGACACATGGACACGTATGTTTATTGCAGCACTATTCACAATAGCAAAGACTTGGAACCAAGCCAAATGTCCAACAATGATAGACTGGATTAAGAAAATGTGGCACATATACACCATGGAATACTATGCAGCCATAAAGAATGATGAGTTCATGTCCTTTGTAGGGACATGGATGAAATTGGAAATCATCATTCTCAGTAAACTATCACAAGGACAAAAAAACCAAACACTGCATGTTCTCACTCATAGGTGGGAATTGAACAATGAGAACACATGGACACAAGAAGGGGAACATCACACTCTGGGGACTGTTTTGGGGTGGGGGGAGGGGGGAAGGATAGCATTAGGAGATATACCTAATGCTAAATGATGAGTTAATGGGTGCAGCACACCAGCATGGCACATGTATACATATGTAACCAACCTGCACATTGTGCACATGTACCCTAAAACTTAAAGTATAATAATAATAATAAAAAAAATCAAATGCTTCATAAGCTTGGCGGTGTCCCTCAGGAGCTGGGAATTAAATCAGGTTAGTACACAGTTATTTGATGCTCTGAACAAAGCTGTTAGAAAACCTAACCTCGATGTTGAGAATAAGAGTTAACCACACAGGATGACATGAAAGCAGAAGACCTAAACACCTGCTTGTTAGAAAAGGCGTCACAAAGCAGAATGTGAGCAATTTCCTAGTGAACTGTAAAGACCACAGATTTAGAAGAATGCAGAGGAAGGAGAGTTATGTGGAAGTCCAGCCCTGCCTTTAACTCTGAGAAGGTTCATTTTAACTCTTTCCACGTCTGTTAAAACAAGGGCATTGGAGTCAATAACGTCTAACATTCCTTTCAGTGTTAATGATATTTAATTGTATTATTCTGTGAGAAGTCCTTGTGAAGAAAGTATTTGATGTGAATAAGATTTGGATGGGGTGAGGAGGACTTGTAATAGGTGAAAATAATTGAGCCATCCACTTTTATCCCTCTTTAAATAAATGACACCACCACCACCATCATCTCATCATTTATTGATTACCTATAAGGTGCCTGTCTTCCTGACAAGAAAAGATGTTTTCATCCCATCAATACCTAATTTATTGACGGTTTTTAGCATGAAGCGTTGCTGAATTTTGTCAAAGGCCTTTTCTGCATCTATGGAGATAATCATGTGGTTTTTGTCTTTGGTTCTGTTTATATGCTGGATTACATTTATTGATTTGCATATATTGAACCAGCCTTGCATCCCAGGGATGAAGCCCAATTGATCATGGTGGATAAGCTTTTTGATCTGCTGCTGGATTCGGTTTGCCATTATTTTCTTGAGGATTTTTGCATCAATGTTCATCAAGAATATTGGTCTAAAATTCTCTTTTTTGGTTGTGTCTCTGCCTGGCTTTGGTATCAGGATGATGCTGTTCTCATAAAATGAGTTAGGGAGGATTCCCTCTTGTTCTATTGATTGGAATAATTTCAGAAGGAATGGTACCAGTTCCTCCTTGTACCTCTGGTAGAATTCGGCTGTGAATCCATCTGGTCCTGGACTCTTTTTGGTTGGTAAGCTATTGATTATTGCCACAATTTCAGAGCCTGTTAATGGTCTATTCAGAGATTCAATTTCTTCCTGGTTTAGTCTTGGGATGGTGTATGTGTCCAGGAATTTATCCATTTCTTCTAGATTTTCTAGTTTATTTGCGTAGAGGTGTTTGTGGTATTCTCTGATGGTAGTTTGTATTTCTGTGGGATCAGTGGTGATATCCCCTTTATCATTTTTTATTGTGTCTATTTGATTCTTCTCTCTTTTCTTCTTTGTTAGTCTTGCTACTGGTCTATCAATTTTGTTGATCCTTTCAAAAACCCAGCTCCTGGATTCATTAATTTTTTGAAGGGTTTTTTGTGTGTCTATTTCCTTCAGTTCTGCTCTGATTTTAGTTATTTCTTGCCTTCTGCTAGCTTTTGAATGTGTTTGCTCTTGCTTTTCTAGTTCTTTTAATTGTGATGTTAGGATCTCAATTTTGGATCTTTCCTGCTTTCTCTTGTGGGCATTTAGTGCTATAAATTTCCCTCTACACACTGCTTTGAATGTGTCCCAGAGATTCTGGTATGTTATGTCTTTGTTCTCATTGGTTTCAAAGAACATCTTTATTTCTGCCTTCATTTCATTATGTACCCAGTAGTCATTCAGGAGCAGGTTGTTGAGTTTCCATGTAGTTGAGTGGTTTTGAGTGAGTTTCTTAAGCCTGAGTTCTAGTTTGATTGCACTGTGGTCTGAGAGACAGTTTGTTATAATTTCTGTTCTTTTACATTTGCTGAGGAGAGCTTTACTTCCAACTATGTTGTCAATTTTGGAATAGGTGTGGTGCGGTGCTGAAAAAAATATATATTCTGTTGATTTGGGGTGGAGAGTTCTGTAGATGTCTATTAGGTCCGCTTGGTGCAGAGCTGAGTTCAATTCCTGGGTATCCTTGTTAACTTTCTGTCTCGTTGATCTGTCTAATGTTGACAGTGGGGTGTTAAAGATGGGACGTATCTCAAAATAATAAGAGCTATCTATGACAAACCCACAGCCAATATCATACTGAATGGGCAAAAACTGGAAGCATTCTCTTTGAAAACTGGCACAAGACAGGGATGCTCTCTCTCACCACTCTTATTCAACATAGTGTTGGCAGTTCTGGCCAGGGCAATTAGGCAGGAGAAGAAAATAAAGGGTATTCAATTAGGAAAAGGGGAAGTCAAATTGTCCCTGTTTGCAGATGACATGATTGTATATCTAGAAAACCCCATTGCCTCAGCCCAAAATCTCCTTAAGCTGATAAGCAACTTCAGCAAAGTCTCAGGATACAAAATCAATGTACAAAAATCACAAGCATTCTCATATACCAATAACAGACAAACAGAGAGCCAAATCATGAGTGAACTCCCATTCACAATTGCTTCAAAGAGAATAAAATACCTAGGAATCCAACTTACAAGGGACGTGAAGGACCTCTTCAAGGGGAGCTACAAACCACTGCTCAATGAAATAAAAGAGGATACAAACAAATGGAAGAACATTCCATGCTCATGGGTAGGAAGAATCAATATCGTGAAAATGGCCATACTGCCCAAGGTAATTTATAGATTCAATGCCATCCCCATCAAGCTACCAATGACTTTCTTCACAGAACTGGAAAAAATTAATTTAAAGTTCATATGGAACCAAAAAAGAGCCTGCATCGCCAAGTCAATCCTAAGCCAAAAGAACAAAGCCGGAGGCATCACACTACCTGACTTCAAACTATACTACAAGGCTACAGTAACCAAAACAGCATGGTACTGGTGCCAAAACAGAGATATAGATCAATGGAACAGAACAGAGCCCTCAGAAATAACGCCACATATCTACAACTATCTGATCTTTGACAAACCTGAGAAAAACAACCAATGGGGAAAGGATTCCCTATTTAATAAATGGTGCTGGGAAAACTGGCTAGCCATATGTAGAAAGCTGAAACTGGATCCCTTCCTTACAGCTTATACAAAAATTAATTCAAGATGGATTAAAGACTTAAACATTAGACCTAAAACCATAAAAACCCTAGAAGAAAACCTAGGCATTACCATTCAGGACATAGGCATGGGCAAGGACTTCATGACTAAAACACCAAAAGCAATGGCAACAAAAGCCAAAATTGACAAATGGGATCTAATTAAACTAAAGAGCTTCTGCACAGCAAAAGAAACTACCATCAGAGTGAACAGGCAACCTACAAAATGGGAAAAAATATTTGCAACCTACTCATCTGACAAAGGGCTAATATCCAGAATCTACAATGAACTCAAACAAATTTACAAGAAAAAAACAACCCCATCAAAAAGTGGGTGAAGGACATGAGCAGACACTTCTCAAAAGAAGACATTTATGCAGCCAAAAAACACATGAAAAAATGCTCACCATCACTGGCCATCAGAGAAATGCAAATCAAAACCACAATGAGATACCATCTCATACCAGTTAGAATGGCAATCATTAAAAAGTCAGGAAACAACAGGTGCTGGAGAGGATGTGGAGAAATAGAAACACTTTTACACTGTTGGTGGGACTGTAAACTAGTCCAACCATTGTGGAAGTCAGTGTGGCGATTCCTCAGGGATCTAGAACTAGAAATACCATTTGACCCAGCCATCCCATTACTGGGTATATACCCAAAGGACTGTAAATCATGCTGCTATAAAGACACATGCATATATATGTTTATTGTGGCACTATTCACAATAGCAAAGACTTGGAACCAACCCAAATGTCTAACAATGATAGACTGGATTAAGAAAATGTGGCACATATACACCATGGAATACTATGCAGCCATAAAAAATGATGAGTTCATGTCCTTTGTAGGGACATGGATGAAATTGGAAATCATCATTCTCAGTAAACTATCGCAAGGACAAAAAACCAAACACTGCATGTTCTCACTCATAGGTGGGAATTGAACAATGAGAACACATGGACACAAGAAGGGGAACATCACACTCTGGGGACTGTTTTGGGGAGTGGGGCGGGGGGAGGGATAGCATTAGGAGATATACCTAATGTTAAATGACGAGTTAATGGGTGCAGCACACCAGCATGGCACATGTATACATATGTAACCAACCTGCACATTGTGCACATGTATCCTAAAACTTAAAATATAATAATAATAAAATAAAATAAAATAAAATAAAAAAAGAGAAAAGATGTTTTCATTTACATCCATGTGGCTGCAGAAAAAAGCCAATCTTCTTGAGGTACCTGATATCTTGAAAGAAAATGACCAAGAAATTGGCCTATTGGACAGATCACATGGCAGCATCACAGACACAGCCACACACCAGTATGGGGGCTTGAGGTGGCCTCTCTTCTGTAGAGCGGAGCAATGATGCATCACTATATGATTCATTTCTGTAATTCAACTCCTTCCTTCCCCTTCAAAGTGAGATGGCCTGAGGGGTGTGGTTGTCTAACTGGATTTTTTGTAAGGCTGAATCCAGATTCTCACTTACAAAGTGCACATTAGAATCCTTTTGAAAATTCACCTGGTTTAAATCACTGTCAGGGCTTTCATTCTTTTCTACAATGGGGATCTCGAGATTCTACTTATCAGCACCTTAATTTGTACAGATCTTATCATCATGAACTGGGTCCCTAATGTGGTCCTTACCGAAATCTCTGCTATAGGTAGACCTCTCTGGATTAGCTGAGATCCCACTCTCTGGGCAGTTCGACACTGGATAACTAGTTGATAAAATGCTACAAATGAGCCACCAAACACTGTTTTCTCACATTCACAGTATCGTCTCTCTCTGGTTATCTCAATTCTTGAAAACATTGAGTCCCCTTGTTAATATTGTATTATTAATTAAAATATTTTATTACTAATTAAAGTATTTTATTAATATTTTATTATTAATTAAAATATTTTATTAATATTTTATTATTAATATTTCTTGGAGATGATGGTTCACTGCCACCATCATGAAGGGTTGTTACCCTTTTGCATTCTGAGCTCCTTTGAAAGAATCTGTTGATATCTATGAAATATCTTCATAACAAAAAAGTATACATATGTGCTTATTCCAGTAATTTTTATATTTCAGGGATTTTTACAGGGAAGAGTTGGTTAATGTGTATAAAACTATAGTTAGACAAAAGAAATAAGTTCTAGTATTTGATAGTATAATAGGGTGAATATAATTACAATAATTTATTATATATTTCAAATTTGCAAGAAGAGAGGATTTTGAATGTTCCTGACACAAAAAACATCTGACGTGACAGATATGCCAATGATCCTGATTTGATCATTACATATCATATACATGTATTTAAATATCACATGTACCCCACAAATATGTAAAATTATGTGTCAATTAAAAAGTAAAAAAATTCAAGGACTTATTATAAACCTTTACTGAAAACTGCCTATGAAATTAATTTTTTTGTTAAGTCTATGTCAAAAAATAATAAAATTGCATTACTATATGATTTATTTCATTAATTCAAACCCTTCCTTGCCCCTTCAAAATGAGATGGTCTCAGGGATGTAGTTGTCTAACTGGAATTTTTGTAAGGCTGAATCTAGGTTCTCACTTATAAAACACACATTAAAATCCTTTTGAAAATTCAGCCTCGATAATATAAGACACATATTATCTGAAGCAGGCTATGGTTTCTATTCTGTGTTCCATAGACTTTCAGGCATTAGGTTTTATTTTTTTTCCCATAATGTTTGTAATTGCTACTTTTACTTGCATAACTTTATCTGCCAAGTGTGTTCCAGCAGTAGGACAGGGGCCTGATATACCCATCTTTGCTCCACTCTACAGAGGAGAGGCCACCTCCAGCCCCTTCACTGGGGTGTGGCTGTGTCAGTGATGCTGCTGTGTGATCTGTCCAAAAGGCCAATTTCTTGGTCATTTTCTTTCAAGACAGCAGGTAGCTCAAGAACCTCCCAACTATGTTTTGAACTCTTGTACACAGTTCTTTAACTACCATGTCTAGCTTTTGCTTTATGTTGATAAAAAACAGATTAGGTTATTCATTCATGAATCTAAGCAAAGATTATTTTGATTGGCCTCTTTCCTACCATCTCTAGTTACTATGTTCTCAGCCAAATGAGTAGCACTTAAACCAGTCCTTCTTGTCTGTCTTCCAGTTTAGCCAAAGACAGAGTCCAGGCTTGGCCACTCTCTCTGCTCCATCCTCAGCGAATGTGTCCTACAGTGAGATGTGGTGGGCTCCGATGTTAAGATGCTGAATCAAATCAGTCAGGAGTTCTGAATTTTCTGCAGTCAGAGTCTATTTCATTTGAGTGGATGCTTTGGGAAGGGCTTTCCATCCCTCTTTTCCATTTTTCCCTAGGCTGTCATCACTTCCTACCTATTAATACAAATTTCTCTCAGCCAGTTTGGCAATATTCTATATCTACCTCTTCCAAAGTCCAGCAATACATTTTTCAATAGCCTCCAGCCATTACAAAGATCAATCTAAATTCTATGAGGCTTCATATGAGAATCCATTCTCATCTGTCAATGAAAATTATAGACTCAGGATTTGAATGGTTGTTTCAAATGTGATGTGGACTTTGTCAAAAGTTCTGAGCTTCAAAGAGTAGAAATTCTAGAATTCCAGAAACAAAGAGACTTAAGATAGCACCTACAAAAACCTTTTTAGGTTACAGATGAATAATTTGAAATCTAGAGTTGTTAAGATTACATACCTAAGATTTGAAAATGGAAAACAGTTTCCAAAAATGATACAGCTTTGGCTGGCATTTTTTTAAGCTTAAAATTAAAGCATAATGAACCTTGTAGAAAACAGTTTTTTTCCAGGAAAAAAATAACTTTTTCCAGGAATTAAAAAGCTTTAAAATGTATTTACTGAGATGTGAAGTGCTAAATGGCAACCCCTAAAAAGTCCTGTAGAAGTTGCTAACTGATTTGTGATGATTTACAGGGTATCCTTTCCTTTCCCAGGTTTGAGTCTGGGGAGGACAATCAGGACAGGGTAACAATCACAGGGATATCAGAAACCCCTTAAGTCCTACCCAAAGAATCTGTGGGGCCACACACCATCTCTGGTCCTCTGGCAGGCTTCCTGAGTGGTCAACCCTGGGCAGCTGCCAGCTTTACTACTGCCTTCACTGTTAAAGCTGTTCACTACTGTGGCCCACATGGGCAGTTGCGACTTCTGCTTGCGCTGCTGGACACAGTATTTTCTTCATAAATGCAGAATGTGCTAGTTATGTAATGGCCACATATAAAGGGATAGTGACCCTTCTTTTAGTTTTCTCCCCTAGCATCTTGATGAAGTCAGAGTATGTTTGAATGGTATTAATTAGGTAAACTCAAAATAATGTCTCCCTATTGGTCACCAGCAGCATCCATGTTCCTCATACCAGGGAATTGAATCATTGAAGTTAGTGACTCACTTCACTGTCCTTGCCTTCAAGCTGCTCCTTCCAAACAACCACCCTGAGGGAGGGTGTGCTCAAGAGCTTGACACACAGGCCCTTGATAGCTTGTTTTCTGGCCTGTCTGGCTTTATACCCTAAAGCAGTTGTGCACACTGGCACCTACTCTTTGCTCCAGCTATAGTTGATCCTTACTATTCATGGATTTGAAATTTGCAAATCTGCCTACTCACTAAAATTTATTTATTTAACCCTCAAATCATTATTCATGGTGCTTTGGCTGTCATTCATGAACACGTGCCTGCATATGTGAAACATCTGAGTCATCTGATGTTCATGTTTCCACTGAGGTCAAACAAGCTGACACTCTGCCTTCTTATTTTCAGCTCTTATGCTATAAAAATGTCTTTTTTGAGGTCTACTTAGTACCATGTTTTCCATATTTTGTGCTTTTTGTTGGTGACTTGGCTGTTTAAAATGGCCTGCAAATACAGTGCCAAAGTTCTGTCTAGAGTTTCTAAGTGCAGGAAGGCTGTGATGTGCCTTATGGAAATATATACATGTTAGATAAGCTTCATTCAGGCATGAGCTATAGTGCTGTTGGCTGTGAGTTCAAAGTTCATGGATCAACTATATATATTAAATAAGGTGTGTTTAGACAGAAATATAAATAAAAGAAGGGCATGGATTGACCAGTTAATGAAAATGTTGTGACCAGTCACTCTCAGGAATCTAAACTTGTATTTCCCCTAGAAGCAATGGTTCAGTATTTACTCATTCAGTGTTTTTGAGACTTTACAGAATAAAACTACTGAATATAACAAGAATTAACTGTCTGTGAAATGACTTATAATAATTTTGTTGGGGGACAGTGTTTCTCTTTTTTTGAGACAGGCTGGAGTGCAGTGGCATGGTCATAGCTCACTGCAGCCTTGACCTTCTGGACTCAAGCAATCCTCCCATCTCAGCCTCCTGAGTAGCTGAGACTATAGACACGAACCACCACACCCTACTAATTTTAAAATTTTTTTTGTAGAGACAGGGTTTTGCTATGTGCCCAGGCTGATCTCAAACTTCCGGACTTAAGCAGTTCTCCCACCTTGGCCTCCCAAAGTGCTAGGATTACAGGCATGAACCACCACACCCGGCCTTATAATTCCTTAAACACACAAAGTGCCAATGTGTACTTGTGTCTAAGAGTATCCTATGCCTAAGAGTTTCACCTGTCTGGCCAACTTCTCTCCAGCTCCTCAGCCTGCCAGCCCCTTTTCCTTCATTAAGGCATAATTTATAAATTCATTTGTCCCTTAGCTTAGAGTGTGCTTCACCCACAACTCATTGTGTATATTTATATGCTTACTTTCGTATGACAGTGAAGGATAATTTCAAGGGGAAGCAAGATCTCAGAAGTGCAGGTGGTGCTACTGTGGAAAGGAGGGACAGTCCTCTGATTTGCTTTGGTGATGAGGCAGTTCCCTGCAGGAGGAGAGGGACAGTTTGACAAGGTTGCTTTATTTTCTGCTTCCTGCATTTTGCATACATTCTCACATACTCCCATAGTTTCTTCTGTCTCTTTTGGTGATGACTCTGATGGGAATTTGAATGATTTGGGATGGAAAACACTTGAAGATGAACTATGTTACAATAAATATATGTAGAAAAGCTGACAGCAACAGATAACCTGCTGAGTGTTTCCAGGGGAGAAGAAAAGGAGAAACTTAGAGAGCAGAGACATAAGTGGGCTCATAGAGAGAGGTCTCATGCCCATCCTCCTCCCTGAGTCCCAGATGGCAGCAAAGCCCTCAGTTTGAACTGTAGAATTCAAGAACATGAAGGAGGGAGCTGTACCCAGTTTTCCTGCTAGAGGCTATGAAGGTGGCAGAACTTCAGAGTAAATCACCACAGAGACTGTTCGGCCCGAAGGGGACTTAGCAGCCCCACAGTCAGTTAAACTCCATAACGTGGGGGAGCTGCAGAAAGATTTCACCAGGTAGAGAGGCCACCAAGCCATGCATTGTCCCAAAGGGACCACGAGGTTGATTTTCTTCAACAAGCAGACAGGCTGACAGAATACAATCCTAATGGATGCTGGTGTGTACAAATGCCATCAATGGACAGACTATTTCCCTCTTTCAGGTGTCTGCCCACCTCTTGGATTTAGGCACAGATCTAGAGAACTACAAATCACTGACATGAAGTTTCTGCTACTTCAGCAGAATGGAAGATTTACATAGAAAAGTAGCAAAAGCTCTAGTATATTACTTACACAGCTGAGTCACTGAGATTTGTACCTATTAGAAGATTTAAAAATATCACCCAGAAGAACTATATATATATATATATATATATATATATTTTTTTTTTTTTTTTTTTTTTTTGAGGTGGAGTTTTGCTCTTGTTGCCCAGGCTGGCCAGGCTGGCATGCAGTGGTGCCATCTTGCCTCACTGCAACCTCCGCCTCCCGGGTTCAAGTGATTCTCCTCCCTCAGCCTCCCGAGTAGCTGGGACTACAGGCACGTACCACCATGCCTGGCTAATTTTTGTTTTTTTTTTGTTTGTTTGTTTTGTTTTTAGTAGAAACGGGGTTTCACTAGATTGGTCAGGATGGTCTTGATGTCTTGACCTCGTGATCCATCCACCTCAGCCTCCCAAAGTGCTGGGATTACAGGCATGAGCCACCGCACCTGGCCCCAGAAGAACTACATTTTTGAATCTGCAATAAATGTCATAGTAAGCTAAGTCACTCATGAAGAGCTTGCAGGTGTAATGTACTGAAACTCTCAAGTAAAAATGTAAATTTGTGGCATATTGGGCATAAGTCTTTATGATACTTCATAAAACCTTCCATTTATACTTTTACATAGACCCTGCATATTCTAGATATCATTTCCAGCCTCATCATCTGCCCCTTCCTGACACCTTGTCCAATGCCTGACCTCCAATAGGTATCAGAAAATAATCATTGAATTAAGGAATGGATGCAAAGAACACATACCTATTCATGAGACCCTAGAAAACTAACATCAAAGGATAGTCTTTTTGCTTAAGACGCTATAATTGGCTAACATGATTAGTTGTTTACTCAATATTTATTCCCACCTTTATGGGGGCAGTGTGCCCAGCCCTAGGTGACAACCACTATTGGAAAGTGGTTTCCTGCTTTCCCAGACTATTTTACGTCTCTGGTGGTTATACGACTCAGTGCTGGTTGTTCCCAGATACCAATAAGGTAAGGCTTTATATCCGGAGTGTCTTCTAGGAAATCTTTTTCTTTCCTTATAAAAGAGACAGATGTGTTTAGTAAAATACCTAGTTCCACTTTTTTCTGCCTTAAATGTGGCAGCAGCCATTTTATAACCACGACAGAAAGTTCAGGAGAATTGTAGAGATACCAGCTCTGACATTGTTGAACTGCTGAACTGATGCCAGAAGTTGTCTACTTCCAAACTTCTTGTTATATGAAAAAAACAATCCCTGATTGTTTAGGCCATTGTTCTGTTACTTGCAGTCAAAGTATTCCTAAGTGATACATGAATACTGGTTAGAAGAGATAAATGGAAGACAAAGAAATGAAGGACAACTTTACATGGTGGGTAGTGCTTTCTCTGATTTTTCCTTAAAAGAATTTTTGAGTTATGGTCTTTCTGAAGGAAGTGGGGAGCTGTAGAAATGTATGAGTCAGGATAGGGTAGTTTATGTTGAAGTCACAAAGAAAGCCCGACATCTCAGTATCAACACTATAAAGCAAGGGTCAATGAAATACTGCCCTTAGGCAAATCTGCCCTGCAGCCTGTTTTTGTAAAAAAACAGTGTGGGATGCCAAGAGATTAATGAATGCCATTAGGCTATTAGTTCCTCAAAGCTCCTGTTTTTTAATTGATTTAAATGTAAATTAATTGAAATTAAAAATTCTGTTCCTTAGTTGCTATTCAATATTAAGGAATGAATACAAAGAACACATACCTATTTATGAAATCCTAGTAAACCAATATCAGAGGATAATCTTGGAGCTTAAGACATACAATAATTGGCAAACATGGTTAGTTGTTTACTCACTATCCATTCCCACTTTGGTAACTGCTAGTCATATTTCAAGTGCTCAATAGCCATATGTGGCTAGTGACTACCGTATTGGACTGTATAGATATAGAACATTTTTGTCACCATAGAAAGTTTTATCGGACAGCATTGCATTATAGAAGGGATTGGCAAACTTTTTCTTTTTTTTAATTTTATTTTATTATTATTATACTTTAAGTTTTAGGGTACATGTGCACAATGTGCAGGTTAGTTACATATGTATACATGTGCCATGCTGGTGTGCTGCACCCATTAACTCATCATTTAGCATTAGGTATATCTCCTAATGCTATCCCTCCCCCCTCCCCCCACCCCACAACAGTCCCCAGAGTGTGATGTTCCCCTTCTTGTGTCCATATGTTCTCATTGCTCAATTCCCACCTGTGAGTGAGAACATGTGGTGCTTGGTTTTTTGTCCTTGCGATAGTTTACTGAGAATGATGATTTCCAATTTCATCCATGTCCCTACAAAGGACATGAACTCATCATTTTTTATGGCTGCATAGTATTCCATGGTGCATATGTGCCACATTTTCTTAATCCAGTCTATCATTGTTGGACATTTGGCTTGGTTCCAAGTCTTTGCTATTGTGAATAGTGCTGCAGTAAATATACGTGTGCATGTGTCTTTATAGCAGCATGATTTAGAGTCCTTTGCATATATACCCAGTAATAGGATGGCTGGATCAAATGGTATTTCTAGTTCTAGATCCCTGAGGAATCGCCACACTAACTTCCACAATGGTTGAACTAGTTTACAGTCCCACCAACAGTGTAAAAGTGTTTCTATTTCTCCACATCCTCTCCAGCACCTGTTGTTTCCTGACTTTTTAATGATTGCCATTCTAACTGGTGTGAGATGGTATCTCATTGTGGTTTTGATTTGCATTTCTCTGATGGCCAGTGATGGTGAGCCTTTTTTCATGTGTTTTTTGGCTGCATAAATGTCTTCTTTTGAGAAGTGTCTGTTCATGTCCGGCAAACTTTTTCTATAAAAGATCAGTACTATGGTTTGCATGTTTGTCCCTCTCCAAACTCATGTTGAAATTTAACTGCCATTGCAACTGTATTGTGAAGTGGGATCTTTAAGAGGCAATTAGGCCATGAAGGTGCCACCCGCATGGGTGAGATTAATGCTGTGATAAAAACGCAAGTTTGGCCCCCTTTTGGTGTCTTTGCCTTTCTGTCATGTGAAGCCAAGCATTCTCCCTCCAGAGGATGCAGTGTTCCATGTGTCATCATAGAGTCAGAATGGCCAAACCTGTCATGCCTTGATATTGGAGTTCCCAATATCAAGATCCAGTTCCTCCAGAACTGTGGGTCAATACATTTCTGTTTATAAATTATCCAATCTGTGGTATTCTATTACAGCAGCACAAATGGACTAAGACAGACAAGTAGTGTACATTTTAGGCTTTGCAGGTCAAGAGGCCATTGACATTGAAGATATGCGTGGCAACTATTCAACTGCTATTGATACTCAAAGGCAGCCTCAGATAATATGCAAACAAATGGGTGTATCTGTGTTTCAGTAAAACTTTGCAAAAAAGCAGGTTCTGGCCTTGTTTTCTGACTCCTGCTTTATCGTTTTGGCTATGAGATGGTGAGCTTTCTTTGTAATTTCAGCATAAACTGTCCTAATCTGACTAATATTTCTATCCCAACTGGGTAGTCAATAGAATGTACACTTGATATCATTCTAAAAATGTCATATAAAACATTATCAACATATGCTTAGAATAAATGTAAAGAATTAGAACTTAAAGTTTGTTTTTTGGGTTAAAAATATTCCTGCTTCAGTATGATTTTATAATTTTTAAATAATTTTATCCACTTGCAAATTCTTTGTTTCTTGTTGTTTCCTCAAACTCTGAAATCATCTTGATGGTGACTAAAGTGCCCTGTTGAGTATGTTGCAGGCTTAAAACTGGCACCAAAAAATCATAACACATTTAATAAAAAGTACAAATATTATCGGTGATTTGATTTAGACCAATTTGATTTCTTATATCTGTTGAATGTTTGCAGGGCAGCCGACAGACCTACCAGAGCACTGGATTGGAAGGCAGAAGTAGTAAATATTAACTAGCTTTGTCACCTTGGGCAAATAATTCATATGATCAGGCTTGTGTTTTCTAAGAATATTATCTTCTAGAACTTAAAATGTTATCTTAAAAGTATACAGTGGCTCAATTATTCGAAGCAACCACCCAGGCGTGTGCACTTTTATTAGATGATATCGCCCTCTGCTGGACACCTGCTGCATCTGCACCGGGCGCTCTTTCCCACTGCAACCCTCTTGCTTTGCTTCCTTTAATTTAGCACAGCACAGCTGGGCGGGGTGGCTTATGCCTGTAATCCCAGCTACTCAGGAGGCTAAGGCAGCAGTTATCTCATGAGCCCAGAAGTTTGAGGCAGCAGTGAGCTATGATTGTGCCACCGCAGTCCAACCTGGGTGACAGAGTGAGACCCCATCTCTTAATAATTTTTTTTTTTTTTTTTAAGGATAGACAGACCTCTGTATATCACTCCATGAGCTGTAGTATTTCATGATCAGTGAGGCAAAAGTGTAGAGAGAGGGAATTGGAAAAGTCCCTTCACTTTTATTATTTTACTAAAATAAAAAAAGTCACACTATATCATAGAATTATAGTTAGAAAGGACTATAGATATCATGCTAAAAATTTCCAGCACGTACTATATACTGTTTTCAAATACATAATTACATTGGAAGAATATAAAAACACAGGCAGGAACTGTACACGCCAACTTTAGAATAGAGGTTGCACCTGGGAAGGGAGGGAGGTAAGTGGTAATGGGAAGGAGGGACTGTTACTGTATCTGTAATGCCTTATATTTTTTAAAAAGGAGGATCTAAGCCAATATGGCAAAATATTCATGTAATATTTGGCCTCCGTGTGGCAGATGTCATTAAAAATAATTTTATGTTCTCATGCCACTTCTTTCACATATGCCATGTGGAAATCTCACTTCCCAATCCTTTATTGATTTTTTGAGCAGATCCCATAGATTTTGATGTCACTTTTAGGTATTAATTTATAGCCTCCTTTAAAAGCCTTTAAAATGTCCAGAGTGATCTAAACAAAAGCTTTAATCGCTCATTCAAATGAAAACATCCCTGCCCTTGCCTGGCTTGGACTGGAAAGGCTCAGACATCAGCGTCTTCTACACTTCTCTGACTTGCTCTGTGGTGTCCTTGATCTTCAAGGTACATGACTGGCTCAGATTGCAGTTTGGGATGATGCCCTCTTGCAGTGGCAGATGACTGTGTGATGTGGGAACACATCTGGAGCTATTTGGAGACCTCTACTCCCTGAGGGAACCTGTCTCTGTACCTTTCTCTGACACCATCTACCACTCCTGCCTCTGGTGGTACACCCCACACAGACCCTCTCTGCTGGGTCATCTAGTATGGCAGATAGACCTTTTGGGTAGAGTTGTTTCTGGATGTTGCAAGCTTGCTATCTTCCATGGGGTCCCTTCTGGCTTTAGGAACTGTATCTCCCTATGGTCAGAAGTACTGCAGCCCTATCTTGAAACCTCCTCCCCTCCTGGCACCTCCAGGCATTATCAGCCACTGTGTCCTCCAGGCTCCAGGGAATCTTGTCAAGTGGCCCTCACATGGGAATAGGTTGGAGGGGACCTACCACCCATGGCAAGTGGAGGAGGCTTAGCACTCTAACAGTGCTCTCCAAAGGGATCCTCTCTACCAATCTTAGGGAATATTTAGCCTTTTCTTTTAAAGCCTGGACATTGTTAGGCATAAGGTGGTGAAACATATTTCAGATAACCTTTAGCAAGTTTTACCTCAGTAACTTTGTATCTCTTTTAGAATGGACCAGCACACACATCTTTTATTTTACCTCTTGGGTAAGTGTCTATGCCCTTGCAAAAATGTAATTCCACATGGGAGATCTCTGTCTAGAATCCTGTATCTGCAATTTCCAGCCATAGGTATGTGTGCCTTTGCTCTGCAGGGCAGGCTTCATCCTGGGCCTCCCTTTATAATTCTGAGCCTTTTCTAATGAGTCAGGTTCACAGGGGTACCAGTACATTTATAAAGTTTGGGCTTTAGGCACATGGTGTTTGTTATATTACTTTTTTGCTATATGGAAATATTTCTTAATATTATTTAAGAAGTTATTCTAATCCACTCCACAGGATTCTACTTGCGAGGACACTACGATCAAGATAGGCTAAGCCATCTGCCCCAACTCACACATCCAGAAGTAGAACCGAAACCCCCAGGTGCCCAGCATTGGCTACATTGCCTTGAAATCTGTTGTATCATTTACCCAGAGTACAGAAGTGTAGTGCTCAGTGTCTTTTTGAATTTATATGATTGTAAGGATAAAAATATTCTTAGCTTAATTAATAGCAAAGGGACCAGCTATAAAAGTATTCTTAAAGGCCATCAAGTTAGAGGTAACTTTCTGAAATATGGTGGTAGCTTAATCATCTTCCAAGGAGTAACAAATATACTTTCAAACAAATCCAGGAATAGTACTATATAATCATGTGCTGCATAATGAAATTTTGGTTAATAATGGACGGCATATATGAGGTGGTCCCATAAGATTACTATACTCTACTTTTTAATCATTATTTTAGAGTGTACTCCTTCTACTTATAATAAAAGTTAACTGTAAACAGCCTTGGGCAGGTCCTTCAGGAGGTATTCCAGAAGAAGGTATTGTTATCATAGGAGAAAACAGCTCTTTGCATATTATTGCCCCTGAAGACCTTCCAGTGGGACAAGATGGGAGGTGGAGACAGTGATACTGATGATCCCAACCTCGTGTTGGCCTACGTTGATGTGTGTGTGTGTGTCTTAGTTTTTAGCAAAAAGTTTAAAGAGTAAAAACAAAAGAAACTAAAAACAGAAAAACGCTTATAAAATAGGCTTATAAAGAAAGAAAATATTTTTGAATAGTTGTACGATATATTTGTGTTTGAAGCTAAGTGTTATTACAAGAGTCCAAAAGTCAAAAAAATTAAAAAGCTTATAAAGTAAAAATGTTACAGCAAGCTAAGGTTAATTTATTATTGAAGAAATTTTAAAAATACGAATTTGGTGTAGCCTAAGTGTATAGTGTTTATACAGTAGTCTACAGTAGTTTACAGTAATGCCCCCAGGCCTTCACATTCACTCACCACTCACCGACTTAGAGCAACTTCCAGTCCTTCAAGCTCCTTTTGTGATAAGTGCCCTATATAAATGTACCCTTTATTATCTCTTATATCCTATTTTTACTGCACCTTTTTGCTTAGATATGTTTAGATGCACAAATACTTGCCATTGTGTTATAATTGCCTACAGCATTAAGTGCAGTAACATGCTGCACAGGTTTGTAGCCTAGGACCAATAGGGTATGCCGTATAGCCATGTGTGTAGCAAGCGATAACATCTGAGTTTGTGCAGGTACACTCTGATGTTCACATAATGACAAAATCACCCAACAATACATTTCTCAGGATATATTCTTGTTATTAAGTGACTCGTGACTATAATTACAAATCAATCCAGAAATAGCAATATATTTACACGCAGATCCAGATCATTAGCACATACACACATACACACACACACACACACATAAACACATAATGACATGAGGTCATTGTGAGACTGAAGACACATTGTTCTAATTACCTGATAATTTTGGTAATGAACAGTTAAACCTATTGTAGTTTTTAAAAGGCAAACCTGTGTAAGTCATGGTCCAACACAGAGCTCATTAAACAGTTTATTATGTCATTGAAAGCTTCAGCAGCCTTCTATCTTCCTGGGATTGTTTTCACAAGTCCCTCCATTTGTTTGTTAATCCATCGATACATCCATTTTTCCATCCATCCATCCATCCAACAAACTTTTATTTAGTGCCTGACATGTCTGTCACACTTCTGCCCCCAAACCTGATGACCTTTTTTTTCTGAAACACATCCCACCCAGGTATCAGCTTACTTGATAAAACTAACCACTTACGATAGTTTGCCTCTGCTGTAGTCTGCCAAAAGGGAATGGCCTCAAGTTGCCGGGGCCTTTAGGGTTAATGATGAGAATGGATCTAAATTGTGATGAAAGGTGAGAACACGCTTTAGAAATTTAAAGGTGCATCCAAATGTAATAGATTTTTATTAAGCAGTGGGGTTTTTGATCGTGTTTCCCTCATGCCGCACTTCTGTTGCTCTGTTCTTGCTCATTGGTTCATGGATTCTTACCCTTGTTCATTTGTTTCTATTCTGACACACTGTGTCTTCCTGCTTGAAAATTGGTATTCCTGGCAGTGAGGAGGTGAGTGTGGCACCTGTCGAGGACTATATGGTGTGTGTGCATGTGTGTGTAAGTGTGCATGTGTGTGTGCACAAGAAGCCTGGAGTTTTAACTTTTAAGTGAGATATTCATATAAATCCCTTCTACTTTTAGTGCATATTCAAAGAGGTGGAAGTTCAGAATGCTTCAGATTAGGTCCACATTTTTTCAAAAATCATTTTTAGGACTTTTAAATTATTTAAGAAGTGCATTGTGTGATTTGAAGTATGTGCTGCAATTTAACTATCTATGAGGATGAATACTATTCTCTTAGGAGAACAGCTTTCTTCAGTTCACTGAGTGGGAGAGACTAAACACTTTGAAATTTTCAATCTTTTGTTAAGAGTTTGCAAACATGTGAAACAAATGCACATTTTACAAGAGTAGAGAGCTGCAGCAAGAGTGTGGGATTGGGGAGAGAGCATGGCTGGTTGCTTAGAGCAGGCCCCCCAAACCACTATCCCTGTGATGAGGTCACATGGGCAGGACAGGCCCTCGGCATTGCTCCTCACAAATGCAGTTTTGCCAGTGTTGAGCACAAGATTCCGTGTGTGTGTGTGTGTGTGTGTGTGCGCGTGTGCCTGCATGTACCTATTAACATCTCATAGAATTAGTTTTCCATGAAAATCAGCTTGGGAGATTCTGGCCTAGGTAACTAATAATGGTAATTGTGATCAGAACGTTCTTTTTCTTGGATAATACCAAAATTACCATGAGGTTTTCAGAATCTCCCTCCTCTGGTTTTCATGAACATCATTATCTTTGTTGATGCAACTCTAAATGTTATGAATAACTACACAGCACAAATGTTACCAACTTACATTATGATTTCTCTGCTGAGAGTTAGAAGACATTCCTCTCCCTAAATGAGAGAGAAATAAGATGAGAAACATCTTATTCTCACTGGGAATAGTGAAGTACTCCTGTAGATGACTCATCTTATTTTCTTATCCACATTTGATTGAATTCACATTTGAAGGATGAGTGGGTAAAGTGTGTCTCCCTAAAATTCATTTTCATCTGAAACATCAGAATGTGACCTCATTTGGAAATAAGGTCTTTGCAGATGAAACTAATTAAGAATTTCAAGGTGAAATCATCCTGGATTTAGGTTGGACCTGAATCCAATAACTGGGACCTGAATCCAATAACTGGGACCTGAATCCAATAAAAGAGATAGGAGAGGGATATCAGACAAGGGATATTCACAGAGACAGCCGTGTGAAGACACAGGCAGAGGGTGGAGTGGTGCAGCTACAAGCCAAAGAATTCCAAGGATTCTGGGAGCTACCAGAAGCTGGAAGAAGTAAGGAAAAATTCTTCCCTAGAGCCTTCCGAGGGAGTGTGGCCCTGCCTACACCTTGGTTTTGAAGTTCTGGCCTCTAGAACTGTGAAATTTTTGTTGTTTTAAGCCACCAAATTTGTGATTTTTCCAGTAGCCTTAGGAAACTAATAAGAAGGTAATATTTTTGTTATTTTCCCCAAATTATTCTGTAGCTCATGACTCATTCATTACATTTGGTACAAGGGGTCTTACACTGATGAGTGAGTTGTATCCCAAATTTGTTTGGGAGTTAGCTTACATTTTCCAATAGATTACTAATAAAAATATGGTGACTATATTCTTAAGACAGTCATTCATTCACTTATTTATTCATTAAAAATATACACACATGCATAACATTCCTAAAGTTAATGAGTCAAGAAACATCTTCACAAGGACTTATTTACTCGTATGATAGCCCAAGTTATAGCAGTAGCCTGATTTCTGGAATAGAGTTATTTAGTGCAGGACAGAGGAAATTAAAAAAAGTTACTTCCTCTTTCTGGGACATAGAACCAATCAGACCTTCTTTTTTTAAGTAGATAAAGTTTGTATTCAACATCCTCCCCTTAGTCTATGTGGCACACGGTTTCCTCATGTGCCTTTACCTTATCCCTGCCCCTGCCCCACTCCACAGAAGACCCCGCACTCTAGACTCATCTCATTACTATCATTGCCCACATCACCTTCTAAAAGACAATTGCTCCCTATGAGGTTTGTCTTTTCTAGAATTTGGTTAATCAATCAGATTACTTCCAGTTTATATTAATGGATGCATGCTTGACTTTCTTATAATCTACGGACATTGGCATTTTAAAAGAATATTTGTGTATTTGTTACTTGCCGTACTTCCATTCAGTAAAAGTTGGACTGATCTTTAATGCTTTATATTTAAAAACAAAGTAGTTTCATCAGAATTCTGCTGCATGTTTGCAGTGCTTGGTTTGGTCTGTATGGGCCAGTGTTGCACTATCCCTGCGATGAGGGGCAACAGCGAATGGCCTGAGGGTCTCATCTGGGAGACCAAGGCTAAGGGGAGTGGGGTCTAGTTTCAAGGCATTGAGGCAACTGGAGGAGAGTGGGCCCTGGTCCACTGGTACTGACTGAGGTGACACCCATGATCACAGAGTTCTGTCTGATCCTGGGACTCGCACTGGGGACTCTGGGTGAAGAAGAGGGGAGGGAGGTTGGCCCAGTCACTCCACATCAATTGTACTGCAGAGAGAAATAGGAAGGACTGTCCTCACCAATTAGCCATCCCTGTCTTTTAAAAGTCTGGATTAATCTGGATTAATATTTCAGATCTCAAAAGCAAGTGAAACAATCTAAATCTGTTTAAAGAAAATAAAGAAAAAGTACAAGGCTAGAATAAGCTGTGATCATACCACTACACTCCAAGTTGGGCGACAAAGTGAGACCCTGTCTCAAAAAAAAAAAAAAAGTACAAAATATTACCTCATCCTCTGCTTTCTCATCCCCTCAAGATAGCTAGCCAATCAATAGCTGTGTCTATCCTTCCACATCCCATGTGAACATATACACAATTGTTCTCTTTTGTCTTTATAAAAATGGATTATACTATAAACATTATATCATGGACTTATCTCTGGGCAACATGGATATGTGTCTCATGCACTCTGTTTAATAATTACCTAACATCCCATTGTACACATTGGTGTCCTTATTTTTTGTAGCATAAGATTTCCCAAAGTGGATTCCTGGGCAAAGAGGTTTATTTAAAAGATGTTTCCACTTTACTTTCCAAAAATATTGCTGCATTTTACACTCCTATCCACAGTGGAAGAATGCCTGTTCCTTACAGCTTTGCCAGCATTGGATGACATCACTTTTTTATTTTTGCCATCCAGATGGATGAAGTTTTCTCATTGCCGGTTTTACTTGTTTTTCTCACCCAGAAACTTTCCTGGGTGTTGGGAAAAAAAAGGAATCTGCTGGGCTGTAGTTTATAAACACAGCCATTGGAAATTGATAGACCTGTTTTAAATCCTGGCTCTGCCAATTCCTACCTTTGTGGTCTTGGGAAAGTTAATTAAGATTTCTAGTTTCAGGTTTGTAATCTATAAAACTGTTGTAATTATTAAATAAAGTAATGCATGTAAGCTTATAATACAGTTTTGAACAGCTACAAGAACTCAACACATGGTAGTTATTATTATAATTAATAAGTAATGATATAAAGGGCTGGGGATGGAACTGTGGATTCATTATCCTATTACTGCTCTTGATCACCAAAGTGGTCACCTCAATTTACAAACTAAGTTTAAATGAATTACCAATGCATTTAAAATCTATTTGTTTTAGTCTTATAGGGATAGTTTATTATTCTTCATTAAGTTATTCAATTAAGACTTTAAGAAAAGTAATTGATATAAGTACTATCCTAAGCATTATGGATTTATGAGTAAAGATACATTAGGCTAAGTTATGGTAATAAACACTATTAACATTTTGGTGGCCTAAAACACAAAAATTTATTTCTTGTTCTTACTACATATCCACTGAGGGGCACTCTTAGTCATCTAGTCCTCATTTGGGAACTTATTGTGATCCGGTAGCCGCTATCTGGCAGAGGGCAAAGAGTACATGACAAATGCAGGTTGATTCTTAAGGCCCTTGCCCTGAAATGCACATCATTTCTGCTCACACTTCATTGGCCAAGGATAAATGTGAAGTGTCATCTATCATTCACCAGGAAGGAGAGAGCTGGATATTTGTGAATTGTCCTAGTGATGACCATGCAAGATAAAGATGAAAAAGACAAAGTCTTGACTCTGAAGGAGCTTCTAGTTGGAAAGGAAGAAGGGCATTCAGACAAATAATTTTAATTAGTACTGTTTTAATTATCACTGGAGATGAAGAGGAAGGAAAGACTAATTCGGCTTGGTGTTGGGGACAGGGAAAGTTTTCACAGAAATGTTGATGCTTGAGTTTTTTATTTTATTATTTTTTAAAATTTTGATAAAGTACAAACTACAAAATTTACCATCTTAACCATTTTTAAGTGTACAGTTCAGTGGCACTAATTTTATTCACAGTGTTGTACCACTGTCATCCCCATCCATCTACAAAGCACTTTCATCTTGCAAAATCAAAATTCTACATCCTTTAAACAATGACTCCCCATTTCCCTAATCCCTCAGCCTCTGGAAACCATCATTCTACTTTTTTGTCTCTATGAATCTGACTACCTCTAGGTACCTTCTATAAGTGGAATAACACCATGTTTGTCTTTTTTTGTGTGACTGGCTTATTTCACTTAGCACAATGTCCTCAAGTTTCATGCATGTTGTTGCCTGTGTTAGAATTTCTTTTTGTGGCTGGATAATATTTCATTGTAGGTATACGCTACATCTTGTTTATCCATTCATATGTCAATGGACATGTAGGTTGTTTCCACCTTTTGGCTATGTGAAGAATGCTGCTATGAACATGGGTGTACACATATCTGCTTGAGTCATTACTTTCAATTCTTTTGGGCATATACCAAGAAATGTAATTGCTGGATCTGATTCTTGAGTTTTAAAGGATAAGAAGTTCACCAGGAAGACCAGCTGGGAGGGATATGCCAAGGAAGGAGAAGAACCAGTGCCAAGGCTGGGAAATGAGAGGGAACCAAGTACTGGGATCAGCAGTTTGCTGTGGTTGAAAGATCAAGTGGTGGAGGAGTTTTTGGAGTGAAACTGGGGCTGGAGGGTAGAAGCTCAGGAGCTTGGCTTTGACTTCACAGCTCTTGTGGGACCCTCTTAATGACAGTGTCACCCTGTCAGCTGAACACATGGTTTGGAAGGTTCACTGGGAGACCTTCCAAAAGAGTTTAAATGATTTTTCCGTAATCAACTCATTTCAAATAATTTAGAAAATATCTAGTATATTGTTGATACTCAAGAAATTGCTTAATAATGGTAATTTAAACAGAAGAAAATAACAGAGAAAATTCCTATGATCTTTCCAAACTTTGAGTTTCTTTAATGCCTCGAAGACTTCTTGCATCCTTTTCCAATTAAATAAAGTACAATATCAGGCAGCTGTTGTCACAAATGGCCAAATTGCTTTTCTGAAGTGGCCACTTTTATGCTCTTTTTGCTTCCAGACAGAACTTTAATAGCATTAAGTACACTCAAACAGAAGAAGAAAGTAAATAAAAAATTCCAATAGCTGTTAACTTTGGACAACTCGCATGTAACATCTCCACGCCAGCTGTGTTCACCCAGAGGTTCTGGGGACTCATATCACAGAAAAAAGTTATTGAACTCTTTATAATGGTAAAACTGTACTGCAGAAATCTAAATATGCCAGTACTTTATTAAGAAACAGATAATTTGTGTTAGACGTATATGTTCAAGGTTCTTATAAAAACTACTTGCTGGAGAGAGAGAGAGAGATCAATGTGGTTGTGTTCCAGAAGCTGTTTTGTTTGAAATGGTACAGTATTCTCTTTTGGCCTTCTTCAAGTCAAGAATTGGTTGGATCTATTAAAGCTGTCCTTTTCAGGGCCTTGCAGTGTTTAAGAACAATGTTTGGATTTTCTTCAGCTGACTTGGGACAAAGACAAGTGGAAGAACCTGTTTCAGATGAAACCAAGAGATGTGTTTATACAATTTTACCCTAAATGACCGACTCAAATGGAATGTGCCAAATCATCTTTGAGTGAGGCTGGACCTTGGTGAATACCATACTGTTTCTTCCCCAAATTGCCAACCTGTTAGTGGAGGTGAAATCAAGTTTAATAAAATATAAAGCAATGTTGATGGAGAGAAAGAAGACATCACAAACACAACTGTAGTTAGAGTTAGTACTTTGGTGGTGGTGGCTTACTTTTATGGAACATGTATGCTTTTGTTTCTGTTTTTTTTGTGTGTGTGTGTATATTTTTCTCTTCAGTGAAAGGAAGGACAATATTCTTTTTCTGACCTAATGTGATGTTGTTTGAGGATAAAATTGTGTCCCTTTGGTCAGAACCCCTGTAGCCTGTTTCCAGAGGAGGTCATAAAGCCCTTTACTTAGGCCTTACTACAAAGGTTAGTAGTCAGGAATGTCACTTTGTTGTCTATTAGATGGGGTGGAGAATGAGGATATGTAGCTCTCATCAATCAGAGTAGGTATATTGATACTTCAGGTGCCAATCAAAGGTCAAACTTGTGTTACTACAACCCAGTATCTACCAAAACCACAGGCAAAATGCTGATACATTAAAGATAAAGTCATTGCTTTGTTTTATGTTGTTTGTTGTCAATATGTTAATATGACAATATGCAGTTGTCCAGGATTTCTAAGCTCTAGCCCTTTGTTGAGTTAGATGATGTTCAGGAGGCCCAGGAGGTCTGGACTCCAGTCAACTCCATGGCTGAATTGTGTGATTAGGATGTGTTTTCACATCTGTAAAGTGTGAACAGTGAAGCCTGCTAGGCTCACTTCAGTGTAGTTGTGCATATCAGATATATGTGAAATATGAAGTCCTGGCTAGGCGTGGTGTCTCACGCCTATAATCCCAGCACTTTGGGAGGCCGAGGCAGGTGGATTACCTGAGGTCAGGAGTTTGAGACCAGCCTGGCCAACATGGCAAAACCCCATCTCTACTAAAAAATACAAAAATTAGCTGGGTGTGGTGGCAGGCACCTGTAATCCCAGCTACTCGGGAAGCTGAGGCAGGAGAATCACTTGAATCCGGAAGGTGGAGGTTGCAGTGAGCCGAGATTACGCCATTACACTCCAGCCTGGGAGACCGAGCAAGACTCCATTTCAAAAAAAAAAAAAAAAAAAAAAAAAGAAAGAAAGAAATATGAAGTCCTATACATAAAAGACTTGTTAAGGAATTACTATTATTATTATTTTATAAATATGAAAATATACACTTTGGGTAAATGTGGCTGGGAGAAAAGAAGACAGCTCAGACAGACACATTTGGTATCATCAAATCAGTAGCAAGGAAATCTTTAAGGATAGCTGTTTCCTAAATTGGTATGGAACCTCCCTCCTGCCCTTTAAGCCAGGGTGACTAAATACACTCTATGAATCCAAGAATATCCCAGAACTCTTTGAGGTCACTGCATGGGCCTCTTTGCTTGGAATCAGTTTCTTTTGCTTTGGTCTTCTCTTTGCCAAATTTTGAACTCCTGTCTATTTACTCTGCTCGGATTCTGCATCTGGAGTTGGTGTTCAGTTTGGTTGCCCAGTGCTTAGACTCTCCCCTCTCCTAGTTGAATTTAGCTTGGATTACCCATGGGCATTGCCACAGCTCTCTTGGCTGACAACAAGTTTAGTTCAGCCTTGCCCCACCACAAATAGGGAACTGAGCAATGTGAGTGTCAAATGCTTAAACCAGCCTTCCTGTGGGATAAGCCAGTAAACATGGATTGGTCTCATAGATCAATGTGAATGTAATTCCCTTGTGTGTATACTCAACCTCAGTAGAATTGTATCCTCATCGTGGGGAGTGGATGCACAGGGAAGCCAGGAGAGTCATCTGGCCTGTAAGTATACCTAAAATGCCAGACACATACAAGCAGATTTTCTCTTATGGACCAATATTGTTCAATTTTATCTGCTAATTTTGCCGTAATTATGAGTGTCTGTGTAGATCTTCCTTAGAATGGGAGAAAATTTTTGCAAACTATCCATCTAACAAAGAATTAATAATCAGAATATGTAAGTAGCTCAAGCAACTCAATGGGGGAAAAATCTAACAATCCAATTTAAAAATAGGCAAAAGATCTGAATAGATATTTCTCAAAAAGAGACATACAAATGGAAAACAGGTATATGAAAATGTGCTCAAAATTATTGATCATCAATGAAATGCAAATAAAAACTACAATGAGATGTCATCTCGCCACAGTGAAAATAACTTTTAATAATGAATGCTGGTGAGCATGTGGAGAAAAGGGAACCCTCCTACACTGTTGGTGGGAATGTCAATGAGTACAATCACTATGGAGGACAGTATGGAGGTTCCTCAAAAAACTAAAAGTAGACCTACCATATGATCCAGCAATCTTACTCCTAGGTATATCTCACCAAGAAAGGAAGTCAGTATATAAAAGAGATATCTGCACTATTATGTTTATTGCAGTACTATTAACAATAGCCAAGATTTGGAAGCAACCTAAATGTCCATCAACAGATGAATGAATAAAGAAAATGTGGCACATATACACAATGCAGTACTATTCAGCCATATAAAAGAATGAGATTCTGTCATTTGCAACAACATGGATGGAACTGGAGGGCATTATGTTAAGTGAAATAAGCCAGGCACAGAAAGACAAACTTTGCATGTTCTCACTTGTTTGTGGGAGCTAAAAATGAAAACAATTGAACTTTTATGGAGGCAGAGAGTATAATGATGGTTACCAGAGGCTGGGAAGGGTAGTTGTGAGGGAGGGGGTTGTCAAGTGGTGTTCGTTAATGGGTACAAAAATATACTAGATAGAATGAATATGGTCTAGTACTTGATAACACAACAGGGTGACTACAGTAAAAAATAATTTGTTGTACATTTAAAAATAACTAAAAGAGTATAATTGGAATGTTTGTAATATAAGAAATGATACATTCTTGAGATGATGGATACCTGCTTTACCCTGATATGATTATTATGTATTGTATGCCAGTTACAAAATATCTCATGTATCACATAAATATATACACCTACTATGTACCCAAAACAATTAAAAAATTGACAATGCCTCCATGATGAAGGCTCCATAAAATTCCTCAATTATGGGGTTCAGAGAGCTTCCAAACTGATGAACACGTGGGAATGTCTGGAGGATAGAGCATCCAGAGAGGGCATCAGAGCTCTGTGCCCTGCCCCACATTCCTTGCCCAGTGTATCTCTTCATCTGGCTATTCATTTGTATCCTTTGTAATATCCCCTATAAAAACTGTAAATGTAAAAAAAATTTTGGGAACCAGGCTTCCAAGGAAGAGCAGTGGATGCCAAAGAGTAGGTGCAATAATAATTCCCATATTAATCCAGGAACTCAGGGGTGAGTGCACAAAACCACATGGTGCATTGTGATGTGTGATTTTGAACTTGGCTGTGTGTTTAGGCATGGTGATCTAGAGAGAGGGGCTCCAGGGCTAGGGGTATTTGCTGTGGGCAAACATGTGATTTCCTATGTTCTTTGAACATCTCCTTTAATAAGTTCTTTCCTTCCTCATATGAAATTAATTTACTGGAAACATTGTTAAAACCTTAGGCAAAGTATTTACCATGTTATCTGGCTTCCAAGGGTGAGTCTTTTCCAGAGTTGCAGATTTAGGAGAAGGTCGACTTTGGGGAAGGGAAAGGCAAGTGTTCAGTAGTCCAGGGTCGCTGTGGGGAGGCCATGGAATTATTAGAGGCTGGCCTGAGGATTGCATTTAAACTTAGGTCTGGAAAGTGCTTTCCTCCCACGGTCCTCCTTCTAGAGAAACCAGTTGCCAGAAAGTTCTCGGAACTGCTATGACCTTATGATGGTATCATGAAAAAAGGAGCAGGAAAAGGAGAGGGAGCAAATGATTCTTGAAATCCTACAAGTAACTTCTCAGGTACTTTATTATTATTTTTATTATTTTTTGAGACCAGGTTCCACTCTATTGCCCAGGCTGGAGTGCAGTGGCGTGATCATAGCACACTGTAGACCTGAACTCCTGGACTCCAGCGATTCCTTGCCCCAGTCTCCCGAATAGCTGGGACCATAGGCACATGCCAACATGCCCAACTATTTTTTTAAATTTTTAGTAGAGATGCGGTCTCACTATGTTGTCTGGGGTGGTCTTGAACTTCTGAGCTCAAGCAATCCTCCCACCTAGCCCTCCCAAAGTGCTGGAATTACAGGTGTGAGCCACCATGCCCAGACATCTGGTACTTTTTTTTTTTTTTTTGAGACAGAGTCTCACTCTGGTGCTCACACTGGAGTGCAGTGGTGCGAACTTGGCTCACTTCAACCTCCACCTGCCAGGTTCTAGCGATTCTCATACCTCAGCCTCCCGAGTAGCTGGGATTACGGGTGTGCACGATCACACCTCATTAATTTTTGAATTTTTAGTAGAGACAGGGTTTCACCGTGTTGGCCAGGCTGGGCTCAAATTCCCAACCTCAGATGATATGCCCACCTCAGCCTCCCAAAGTGCTGGGATTACAGGTGTGAGCTACTGTGCAGAGCCATCAGGCACCCTAAATAGTATTTTCTTTTAAGTTGTTCCTCAAGCCTTTAAAATGTGCTTTACCCCTTATACTGATGTAGGAACTAGATTCATACCAGTAAGACAACTTCCTTGAATCACAGAGCTTATTGGTCTGCAAACCTAAATCTGGCTTCCTTCTGGTGCACAACACGGGTGCCCTCTCAATGGAGACATGCTGGAACCAGTTAAACAGCCATTGAAAGCTTTCTGAAACAGGATCTGTGCTTCAAGGTAGGCATGTTCCAATCCTGTGGTTGGGATTGAGCTGGTTGGAGCAAACCTGGTGTCTGGTCTTCAAAGCACAGAGAGGCTTGTGCCTGAGCAGGAGCAAATTGACATTGTGCTGTGTTGATAGACATCATGTGATTCAAATTAATAAACACTGGGGAATTCACAATATATTTTAAAAATCTGTCTTCTTCTATTTTCATTTTCCACTTTCCTTGCTAGGATTCTGAATGAACCATTGAAGGAGGCTAGATCTAAGATAGCAAGGATTTGTGGACAGGCTCAGAAGCAGGTGACTGAGGCTGGGTGCAAGGGAGAGCATGGTAGCAATGATGCAATGACAGGAGGCACAGTGATAAACTAAAGCTTGACTAACAGCAATTCTCAATCTGGCTGTATGATGGCATCACCTGACAGAGTTTTAAACTCTACTGTTACCTAACCCTAACTCCAGGATTTCTGGTTTATTTAATTGCTTGGGGGTGAGGGCTGGGCAGCAGTATTTTGAAAAAACTTTGTGTTAGGGAAACTTTCAATTATATATATATATATATGTCCATATATATGGTCATATATATATACACATATATATACACATGTATATGTATATATACACACATATACATATATACATATACATACACATATATATGGTCATATACATATGGTCATATGTATATATATGGTCATGTATATATATATGGTCATATATATATATGGTCATATATATATATATATGGTCATATATATATATATATATATATATATGTATGTGTAGAGGGAATATTATAATAAACCCATCAGTGAGTACCTATCACTCAGGTTAATCAGTGACCACTAAAAGCTGTCTTGTTTCATCTATCTCTGCACCTATTTCCCTTCACTTCTGTGCAATATTTTGAATCTAATCTCAAATAATATATAATTTCTTATACAAATATGTCAGAATATACTCTTTTAAAAAGCTCTTTTTATAAAAGCAGGTGAGCTTTGTGCTATAGCTGGCTTCCTAACAGGAGGTCAGGAAGTCCAACAATGGGTAAAGGAGAGTGATTGAGTGGAATGCAGATCCCCAGGGCAGCTCAACCCCTGAAGGTTTAGTACAGGTTGTTTTTTCCAGGGCTGCCAATTTCACTAGATTTGGAGCAAGATTTCTGTCTTGAGCTCTGGGTCCATATATCCAACTAACTATATCAATCTCCACCTGGCTAGTCCATCTCAATCTTTCCCCTCGGATATTCTATCTTGCAATTGGTACAACCATCCACTCCTGCAGTCCAGAAATAAGAAAGTTGTCTTGTGAATCTTCCCTTTCCTCTCTCATTCCTCACCATCTAATGAATAACCAACCTGCAAAGAGGTTTAATCTAATGAAAATATTACCCCCACCTCCACCTCTATCCTCTGAGGCTATCAGATTTATCAGTTACTTATGTATCCTACCAGGATGTACCATCCTAGACAAACAAAAATACATATATCTCCTCTATAGTTGTGCACAGCTGTAGCATATTATAGACAACTTCTGTCCATTGCTTCTTTAACTAAGTGTGTCTTGTCAACCTGTCCTTATCAATACATAAAAAACCTCTTCATTTTTTAAAATTTTATTATTATTATATTTTAAGTTTTAGGATACATGTGCACAATGTGCAGGTTTGTTACATATGTATACATGTGCCATGTTGGTGTGCTGCACCTATTAACTCATCATTTAGCATTAGGTATATCTCCTAATGCTATCCCTCCCCCCTCCCCCCACCCCACCACAGTCCCCGAAGTGTGATGTTCCCCTTCCTGTGTCCATGTGTTCTCATTGTTCAATTCCCACCTATGAGTGAGAACATGCGGTGTTTGGTTTTCTGTCCTTGCGATAGCTTGCTGAGAATGATGGTTTCCAGTTTCATCCATGTCCCTACAAAGGACATGAACTCTTCATTTTTTATGGCTGCATAGTGTTCCATGGTGTATATGTGCCACATTTTCTTAATCCAGTCTATCATTGTTGGACATTTGGGTTGGTTCCAAGTCTTTGCTATTGTGAATAGTGCTGCAATAAACATACGTGTGCATGTGTCTTTAGAGCAGCATGATTTATAATCCTTTGGGTATATACCCAGTAATGGGATGGCTGGGTCAAATGGTATTTCTAGTTCTAGATCCCTGAGGAATCGCCACACTGATTTCCACAATGGTTGAACTAGTTTACCGTCCCACCAACAGTGTAAAAGTGTTTCTATTTCTCCACATCCTCTCCAGCACCTGTTGTTTCCTGACTTTTTAATGATTGCCATTCTAACTGGTGTGAGATGGTATCTCATTGTGGTTTTGATTTGCATTTGTCTGATGACCAGTGATGATGAGCATTTTTTCATGTGTTTTTTGGCTGCATAAATGTCTTCTTTTGAGAAGTGTCTGTTCATATCCTTTGCCCACTTTTTGATGGGGTTGTTTGTTTTTTTCTTGTAAATTTGTTTGAGTTCATTGTAGATTCTGGATATTAGCCCTTTGACAGATGAGTAGGTTGCGAAAATTTTCTCCCATTTTGTAGGTTGCCTGTTCACCCTGATGGTAGTTTCTTTTGCTGTGCAGAAGCTCTTTAGTTTAATTAAATCCCATTTGTCAATTTTGGCTTTCTTCATTTTTTTATAAGTGTGTAAGTGTTTCATCGTAAAGCAAGACTCCTACTTATGGATGTTTATGTTGTTTACAATCTTGTTGCAAAAGACTTTTGTTAATATGCCATTTTGCACATTTACGAATATATCTGTAGAATAAATTCTTGGAAGGGAAATTGCTGGGTCAAAGGGAATGTGCTTTCGTAATTTTGATATATATTGCTAAATTATTGTTGAAGGGTAGTTTTTTAAAGGAAGGCTATAATAACAGCACTCATATAGATATAAAATAAACATGTTAGAAATTTTTAAAAAATTATTAATTAATGAAGAACCAGTAATGTAGTAACCAAGTTCAAAGTATATATGTATAAAGTAGCCATACATATAGTCAAATAATGAAGTACCATACATCTATAGTCAAATAATAAATGATGAAAGAATTTACAAATTTATAGATAGATGCAAAATGGATCAATAACCAATTATATTCTACTGGACATGACTAATTTTTATTCCTATAGGCAAAAATAATTTTCCTTATTGTCAATTTTCTACAAATTACAGAGTTGTCAGATAGCTTAGACAATGAAAATGTTTGAAGATAACCCAGGGGGAGTGTTAGACTGAACACAGAAGAATCCTTTTCCTGCCCCTTCAAAAATCTTTCATGCCTGATGCCCCTCCAGGAAAATTTTATCAACTTACATCTTACTCCCACAATGTGTAAGGAATAGAATCCTCTTTTTAAGACACAAGTCAGATCATGGAATTCCTATTCTTACAACTATTCCATGGCCCTCCTCTGCCTTCCTGATACATGTCTCATACCCTAACAGGCTTACAATGTCCCCCAGGATCTGGCCCTTGCGTACTAGTACAGCCTCTTCTTCTCTGGTCACTCTGAAATACTGTCATTCTGGAATGCTCCATGCAGTTTTATGCTTCTAGGTTTTTGCTTACCAACCTTTCTCTGCCTGGAATGATTTTTCCAGCCTGGTCTGTCCCAATAAGTGTATTTCTCACATTTTTTCCTCACTTGGTTATTGCTTGGGGGAATCATTCTTGATGCCACTACTGTGGCATCTACTGAATTGGCTCCTCATCCCTGGGTCTCTCTCAATGAACACTCTGTGAACCCCATAATCTGCATAATTGCTCAGCTAGGAAGATAGGATACCTTTTGAGACCATATGCCTAATGGACATAAATGTTTGAAACAACATGCTCAATTTCACAAAATCCCAATTCTTCTCTGATAGTCTTACACACACTATTCACCAACTGTTTAGAGGGATAAAAAGATGACTCTCATAATATCCATGAGGGGTCCATTATTTGATGCCCAATGGCCTCCTCAGTATTGTCAGCTTGGAGGATGAAGAGAGAATTATACAAATCTTCATCTTGGCATCTTTAAGAAGGGATATTTAACCTGGGTATTGAAACCAAGGTTTGCAAACTACTGGGTCAATATTGCATATGAATACAGTGACACTGCAAGGTATGAGCAAATCAATTATTTACTATACCCAAAGTTAAGGGCAACTCTATTTATTTATTTATTTTATTATACTTTAAGTATAATAAAAAATTAGGGTACATGTGCACAACGTGCAGGTTTGTTACGTATGTATACATGTGCCATGTTGGTGTGCTGCACCCATTAACTCGTCATTAACATTAGGTATTTCTCCTAATGCTGTCCCTCCCTCCTCCCCCAACCCCACGACAGGCCCCAGTGTGTGATGTTCCCCGCCCTGTGTCCAAGTGTTCTCATTGTTCAATTCCCACCTGTGAGTGAGAACATGCGGTGTTTGGTTTTCTGTCCTTGTGATAGTTTGCTGAGAATGATGGTTTCCAGCTTCATCCATGTCCCTACAAAGGACATGAACTCATCCTTTTATATGGCTGCATAGTATTCCATGGTGTATATGTGCCACATTTTCTTAATCCAGTCTATCATTGATGGACATTTGGGTTGGTTCCAAGTCTATGCTATTGTGAATAGTGCTGCAATAAACATATGTGTGTATGTGTCTTTATAGTAGCATGATTTATAATTCTTTGGGTATATAGCCAGTAATGGGATGGCTGGGTCAAATGGTATTTCTAGTTCTAGATCCTTGAGGAATCACCACACTGTCTTCCACAATGGTTGAACTAGTTTACATTCCCACCAGCAGTGTAAAAGTGTTCATGTTTCTTCACATCCTCTCCAGAACCTGTTGTTTCCTGACTTTTTAATGATCGCCATTCTAACTGGTGTGAGATGGTATCTCATTGTGGTTTTGATTTGCATTTCTCTGATGACCAGTGATGGTGAGCATTTTTTCATGTGTCTGTTGGCTGCACAAATGTCTTCTTTTGAGAAGTGTCTGTTCATATCCTTTGCCCACCTTTTGATGGGGTTGTTTGATTTTTTTCTCGTAAATTTGTTTAAGTTCTTTGTAGATTCTGGATATTAGCCCTTTGTCATACGGGTAGATTGCAAAATTTTTCTCCCATTCTGTAGGTTGCTTGTTCACTCTGATGGTAGTTTCTTTTGCTGTGCAGAAGCTCTTTAGTTTAATTAGATCCCATTTGTCTATTTTAGCTTTCGTTGCCATTGCTTTTGGTGTTTTAGTCATGAAGTCCTTGAAGGGCAACTGTTTTTAAAAATTATTTTTACCAGCACTTTGGGAGACCGAGGTGGGTGGATCATGAGGTCAAGAGATCGAGACCATCCTGGCTAACATGGTGAAACCCCGTCTCTACTAAAAGTACAAAAAAATTAGCCAGGCGTGGTGGTGGGTGCCTGTAGTCCCAGCTACTCGGGAGGCTGAGGCAGGAGAATGGCGTGAACCCGGGAGGCAGAGTTTGCAGTGAGCCAAGATAGCGCCATTGCACTCCAGCCTGGGTGACAGAGTGAGACTCCGTCTCAAAAAAAAAAAAAAATTTAATTTTTGTGGGTACACAGTATTTGTATATATTTACAGGGCACAATTTTTTTTTGACACAGGCATGCAATGTAAAAAAAATACTATAATGGAGAACAAAGTATCCATTCACTCAAGCATTTATCCTTTGTGTTACAAACAATCTAATTACACTCTTTTAGTTATTTTAAAATGTATAATTAAGCACTATTGACTAAAATCACCTTGTTATGCTATCAAATAGTAGGTCTTATTCATTCTTTCTAGTTATTTTTCATACCCATTAACCACCCCCACCTACCCCCTTTCCCCAGTCCACCACTACCCTTCCAACCTTCTGGTAACCATCTTTCTACTGTCTATGTCCATAAGTTCATTTGTTTTTCTTTTTAGACAAAGCCAAGTCTGACTTATTTCTTTTGCCCTGAGCTAGACTTTGATGGTTGCATTTGGGTGGTGCTGGTTGTGGGTAGCATGGAATTGTTGAGTATCAATAGAAAAGAAGGCAGAGACAGTCTCTTATCAATAATATTTTATTATACTTGTTTATGTAGGAGAAGAAAGACTTTTTTTCTTCCCTCTGAGGTTCTGTGGCTGGGCCTGAGCATTTAACTGGCAAGGGACAGATTGAGAAGAGAAAAGCGTACATATTTTATTTGATGTCAGTATTTTTTAAGTGTACATGGAGGTCTTCATGTAAAAGAAATAAAGAGCCAAAGAAGCTAATAAGCCTGAGAGCTTATATACCATTTTAATAAAGAACAGTAAATTGTGGAGATGTGACAAGAAAAAGAAAAAAGGGTTTTGCTTAAGGGTGGTAAATAGTGGGAAAGTGAGTAAGAAATATATGGGGGAAGCTAATGGAAGGTAAGGGTTATTTTAGTAGGTTTGTTTGCACATATTCATCAGTGTTGACTCCCCTATCTCTGGTGATGAGAAGTTTCCTCTTCCTTATACAGGGAGAGCACTTTTCTCATAGAAAATGTATGCTTTACTTTTAGGTAGAAAGAAAGGAGGAGGTCAGAGAACTCTTTTATATCTGCTGTTTCTGAATTGCTTTCAGATCAAAATAATCAATAAGCCAAAGTGGCAATAATTTAGATCCTCTTCATTTACATGCCTATTTTTTTTCCCTCCAATCCTTTTCAACTCAGAGTTCAGGAGAGATTTTTACCCCTAAACCATCAGGTACTCATTGTGTGTGATGAATTAACTTCTGTCCTATGCATCTATGGTCCTAGTTTCATCCTTGGGAAACTTGAGAAAATAGTTACTCAAATAATTTTCTGTAGGGCATCTTCAGATCCTGGTTTAGAAAGGCTATAAGCTACTTGAAGGTGGAAACTATGTCTCCGTCCTCTTTCTATCACTAACACCAAGCACAATATCTCGCAGGGTGTAAATGCTCAATGAATATTTGTTAATTAGTTGAATAGGTGAATGAACATGAAACATCCACTCTGTCTATGCTGATCTTCTTTTCCTCCTCTTTTAAAAACAATCTATGCTTAGTCAGTCATGGTGACACTAGTCTTTAGTCCCAGCCACTTGAGAGGCTGAGGTGGGAAGATCACTTGAGCCCAATAATTTGAGGCCAGCCTTGACAACATAGTGAGACCCTGTCACTAAAAAAAAAAAAAAAAAATCTACTTATGCAGTTAGCCAGATTATATACAATATTAGAACTATGACCCACAATCTGTAGCAACCAGTCTAAGAAGCCAACCTATTATCCACAACTCAGACTTGTCGGAAACCAAACAACGATCTTGAGCTACTAGTCTAAAAAGCCAGACAATCACCCCTGTGGCAGTATGGCCCAAACAGCTAGGACTTGATTAATAAACTAGTGTCTTCCCTAATTTTGCCCCTGTTTCCATCTTGGGGCCCACTGGAGAAAGTCAAACATGTACCCCTAGCCAATTATATAGGATGCTCCATTTTTAGTTAGTTCACCTACAGCTTTCCTATGCTAATGGCCTCCAGATAGGGCACACCTGAGGTCTTTGCTTTTTTCCACCATAAATCTTTCTGCCTCCTTGTCTGCCTATGAATATCTGCCAAATGTAGGTGATGATGGTTGACTCTTTTGCCATAGCAAGCGCAGAATAAAAAGCCTTTGCTTGTTCTGATTTGGGTGGTCTTCATTTATTTCCACACTATTCTTAAGTAGGGCTTCCTGTATGAAATTTTCTCAATCCCCTAGCCCATGATGATACAATGATCTCTTTCGATATTGATCTTTTTGGGGTGTGTGTGTTTTGTCCTTGCCATGAAATGCTATGCTTTTTGAGAGAAGAAAACAGATATTTTCTCTAACCTTTTCTCAAAAATAGCACAGTTCTGTGTACTTAGTTAACATTTGTTAATATGCAGTTAATAGATTTATTTTATTTCCATGAAAACTGATAATTTCTGTGGCAGAGTCAAGCTAGATGTTCATCAATTTATTGCCTTTTCCTAGGCATATAAGAAAGCTGTATTTCTCAGCCTCCCATGAGGTTAGGTTGGGAACATTGAACTGAGTTCTGTTCAATGAAAACGTGATGATTAATGATATGATATTTCTTATATGAAGCAGGAAAGACAGGGTGGAGCTTCTCTCCTCTCTCCCTCCCCTTTTTGTGGCTAGAAGCAAAGAACTCCAAGGTGATGGTGATGAAATTCAAAGATGGAAGCGCCTCCACTCCCCACCCAGGCTGCTTGGAGAAGAGCCTCACAGGATTATTTTCAAACTAGACTCTGCTAATGACATGCACAAGAGGTAAACCTTGAGTAAGCCTCTGAGATCAAGATCTCCCCGCAAACCCTCAAACTGTTAGCACAGTTTCTTCCTTTCATAGACACTGTGGAGGTCTATCAATTGTGCCCTGCACCCTCCATGAAAACTTTCACCAAAGTAAACAATTTTGCAATATTTTTACCATTTCAAAATGTGTATTTGGTATGATTGCCTCAAGTACACGGAGTTCAGGGCTGGCTTCAGGGGTTTGCAAGCTGTTTAGAAGGGTGTCATACTTGATTTAATGCTCTGATATTGCTGTCTTAAAATTCTAATTTTTGAACACAGGGCCCTCCATTTTCATTTTGCGCTGGGCCTCATGAATTATGTAGCAAGTTCTGACTGAGTAACATGAAATGAGATTGAAAATGGGCATCGGCTGTGATGAAGGTGAGGCAGATTTCCCTTTCAACAAATGACGAGATGCACCATTTAATTCCTAAAACTTAATGAACTTGAGAATGACATAAAAGATCTCAGAGGCCGGGTGCGGTGGCTCACGCCTGTAATCCCAGCACTTTGGGCCGAGGAGGGTGGATCACGAGGTCAGGAGATTGAGACCATCCTGGCTAACACGGTGAAACCCCGTCTCTACTAAAAATACAAAAAATTAGCCGGGCATGGTGGGGGGCACCTGTAGTCCCAGCTACTCCGGAGGCTGAGGCAGAATGGCATGAACCTGGGAGGCGGCGCTTGCAGTAAGCTGAGATAGCACCACTGCAGTTCAACCTGGGCGAAAGAGTGAGACCCCGTCCCAAAAAAAAAAAAAAAAAAAAAAAGGTCTCAGAAAACCATGACCCAAAATAAACAAAGAAAGTTGCCCTGCTTCTTTGTTCTCCTCTGGGTAGCTGGTGCTCACACCATGAGAAGTACCTTTGCTGGAAGTTCTTTGAGCATGGGAAAAGCTCACATTGTTTTGTAGGCCAATAGATTTTTTAAAATTTACTTTTCATGTTAACATACACATAGGGATATCTTGCATTCTTCCTAAAGTGAAGTAAGATATGAAAACATGAACATGATATGGGTTATGAGTTAAATTGTGTTGTCTCCCTAAGTCATCCCCAAAAAGTTATGATAGAGTTCAAACTGCCAGTACCTCAGAATATGACCTTATTTGAAATAGGATCTTTACAAAGGTAATCAAGTCAAAATGAGAACATTAGGGTCTTCCTAATTCAAAATAACTGGTGCACTTATAAAAAGAGAAAATTTGGACCCAGACAGACACACATAGAAGGGAGATGATGTAAAGAGATACAGGGAGAAGATAGCCATCTACAAGCCAGGAGAGAGGCCTGAAGCAGATCCTTCCCTTCAAGCCTCCAGAAGAAACTACCCTTGCTAACGCCTCGATCTTTTTGTTGTAGCCTAAAGAACTGTGAAACAATACATTTTTGTTTTATATGCCACCTAGGATGTAGTACTTTGTTATGGCAGCCCTAGCAAGCTAATACAGCATGCATATGTAACAATAATAACATAATAATTGCGTAATAATAATAATAACATAATAATTGCTATCATTGCATATTTCTTCAAGCTATCCAAAATGGATATACTATACAGAAATTTAATTTCACAAGACACACATACAGTATTTTTAGCTCTATAACTTTGTGAATGTTTGAGGGCATTTATTATATGACTACAATTCATGAGTTGGCTGTTTTTGCACAGTATTAAGATGACTTTTTTAAAAAAAATATAAGAGATGGGGTCTTGCCATGTTGACCAGGCTGGTCTCGAACTCCTGGCCTCAAGCGATCCTCCCATCTTGACCTCCCAAAGTGCTGGGATTACAGGCGTGAGCCACTGCGCCTGGCCAAGTGTTACATCTTGAACTCTTCCATTTCTTCTTCCAGTTTTGATCTGTATTTGTAAGTTAACTTTGGCATTTATGGAATTGGAAAGAGCAGTCAGGATTGCTTTCAACATAGACTTCCTTTTAAAGTATTGTGAAAAGTGATGGATACAGCAGTTACAAGATTGTTGCTATCTCCTTGTATCTGGGCACTTTGCCCTATCATACATCTTTGGTTAGTCGATCTTAATTGTACAGACAATTAAGACTATTTATGGAGACAGGAGAGAAGGAGGAACCTCAAAAACAGTGAGCATCCTTAATGAAAGAAAGAAATTTTTTAGTTATAAAGTTAAATTTATAAGTTGAACTTAACTATGATCCAACAACTAAAGCAAAATAGATCCAAGAAAAACCCTGGCTATTGGCAAAACAAACTTCATTAGGGTGGGGACATTTGGCTCTGAGGTGGATGATAAATTCAGAAGCTGAGAGTTTGGATGTTGTGATGTTTGATTTTGCTTTAAAGACCTCAATGTAGAGCCAGATGAACAATTCTAGGCACTTAAGAATTTGGGAACTCCATTTTCTACTGGCATCAAGTAAGAAGTGAAATCTCAACTGAGTTGATGGGGTCCAAACTAAATTCAAATGTGAGAAATCTATAAATCACAATGCCAGGATCTGGAACCCAGGGGACACTGGCCATAATCTGTGGTTTGAGACTTTGAGCCAATGTAAGGACTGTGGCCAAAAGACAGGAAGTAAGATCACGAAACCAAACAGGGGTTCAGGCATTACTTTGGAGGTGCATCTGGTTCTGTAAGCCAAGAGGGAGGCAGCCAAGAGAGCCAGGCCCAGCATGCAGACAGCATTCTGCCAGGCAGAGACAGGCAGAATCAGCACCTTGGAAAAAGAGAAGTAGGTACTGTTCCAGCAATCTTCCGGGCACGTCCCTCCTCCATGGCAGAACAGCACACGGGGATGGTAAGTGGGCTGTCCCTGGTTTAGAGGACCAAGAGTAAGTAAAAGACTAGGTAACCCTGAAATGACCTTTTTGAGGCATGCCATAGTTAGGGCTTTCTATGTCTCTAGCCCTTTAATATGAACCTACATGGATTATGGGATGTTGGAATTAAACTAGATTAAAGCAAAGTCTAATTAGCTATCTTGGAATCATTATTAATGGTGGAAAAGGGAGTCGAGGAACTTTTCATTCAACAATTAAGTGTCTTCTGTGAGCCCAACACTGTACAAGGCAGTGTGAAAACAAAGATGAAAAAGATTCAGTCTGTGCCTTCAAAGAGCTCACAGACCAGAAAGGCAGATGGACTGAAGGCAAATCATCACAGTGCAGCAAGATGGTGCAGAGTGCAGCAGGATGTGCATGAGTGGCTCAGGAGTCTAACAGGGGCTTTGGGGCAGCAGTCTCACGGAGGGGTGGCACCCACTATAGAAGGACCTGTTCTGAAGCTGTGTTTGCATGCAAGCATATTATTTCTTCCTTTGGCTGTGTGCTTATTTGGGGTGGTAGGAGGAAAGGGTTTGGCACCACCAGGGCTGGCCCTGGGGTAGGGCATTTGAACCACTTTCTTTGGGTGCAAAATGTAATGGACTACCAAAAAAATCAATGATCAAGATAAAGAATACTTTAATGCAAATTTTATTTTTTATTTATTTTTGTTTTCTGAGATAGGATCTCTCTCTGTCACCCAGTCTGGTGTGCGGTGGTATGATCATGGCTCACTGCAGCCTCGACCTCCTGGCTCAAGTAATCCTTCTGCCTCAGCCTCCAAATAGCTGGGACTGCAGGTGTGCACCCCTACACCCAGCTAATTTTTAAAATTTTTTTTGTAGAGACTGGTCTTGCCATGCTGCTCAGGCTGGTCTCAAACTCCTGAGTTCAAGCAATCCTCTCATGTTGGCCTCCCAAAGTGCTTGGATTACAGACAATGAGCTATCACACCTGGCCTTTGCAATATTTTTTAAAATAAAAATTAATGCAAAAAATAAAATCCATCGTGAACAAAACTTCAAAATCTTCAATAGAGACAGAGTCACCACCAAGCTATACTGGAACCTGAAGCAAAAGGAAAAAGTATCAGTGATTCTTATACTTTGTCTAAAATTTTGATATTTTGTTAATCATGGCTTTTTGTCATTAATGTTTATTATTAAAATATTGCATTAAAATATATCTTCATTATGCTAAGTGAAATAAGCCAGTCACAAAAGGACAAATATTGTATGATTTCATTTATATGAGGCTCTAGAATTAGCAAATTCATAAAGACTGAAAGTAGAATAGTGGTTACTAAGGATTGGAGGGAGAAGGAATGGTGAGGGATTGTTTAATAGGTATGGTACAGAGCTCCTGTCTGAGAGGATGAAAAAGCTCTTGAAATGGATAGAGGTGATAGTTGTACAATGTGAATATATTTCATGCCACTGAATTACATGCTTAAAAATTGGTAAAAGAGTAAGCATTATATATATTTTCCCACAATATAAATATAAATATAAATATGATTTATCTTGATTACTGAATGTTTTGGCACCCTCTTACTGGCTTCTGCTTTAAGTGCCCCATTTTCCTCACTCCAATCCCCACTCTGGCATCAGCCGGTTATGCAGGAGGTTGAGAGGCAGTACAAAGAAAAGAAAGACCTTGTGAGAGAGGGAGGGAAATGCAGGTGTCAGGGTAGACCTGGCAAGGTGGTATTAACTGAGCTCAGTCTTGAAGCTAGAGGTGGGTGGATGGAAGACATTCCCAGCAGAAGGACTAGCAAATGCGGACCATGGGAGCTGGTGTCCCATTGTGTCCAGAATTGGTGGGTTCTTGGTCTCACTGACTTCAAGAATGAAGCCTCGGACCCTCGCGGTGAGTGTTACAGCTCTTAAAGTGGCGCGTCTGGAGTTTGTTCCTTCTGATGTTCGGATGTGTTCGGAGTTTCTTCCTTCTGGTGGGTTCGTGGTCTTGCTGGCTTAGGAGTGAAGCTGCAGACCTTCACGGTGAGTGTTACAGCTCTTAAGGCGGCGCGTCTGGAGTTGTTGGTTCTTCCGGGTGGGCTCGTGGTCTCGCTGGCTTCAGGTGTGAAGCTGCAGACTTTCGCGGTGAGTGTTACAGCTCATAAACGCAGTGTGGACCCAAAGAGTGAGCAGCAGCAAGATTTATTGCAAAGAGTGAAAGAACGAAGCTTCCACAGCGTGGAAGGGGACCCCAGCGGGTTGCCACTGCTGGATGGGGCAGCCTGCTTTTATTCTCTTATCTGGCCCCACCCACATCCTGCTGATTGGTAGAGCCAGGTGGCCTGTTTTGACAGGGCGATGATTGGTGCGTTTACAATCCCTGAGCTAGATACAAAGGTTCTCCACCTCCCCATCAGATTAGTTAGATACAGAGTTTCTACACACAGGTTCTCCAAGGCCCCACCAGAGCAGCTAGATACAGAGTGTCGATTGGTGCATTCACAAACCTTGAGCTAAACACAGGGTGCTGATTGGTGTGTTTACAAACCTTGAGCTAGATACAGAGTGCCGATTGGTGTATTTACAATCCCTGAGCTAGACATAAAGGTTCTCCAAGGCCCCACCAGAGCAGCTAGATACAGTGTCGATTGGTGCATTCACAAACCCTGTGCTAGACACAGGGTGCTGATTGGTGTGTTTACAGTCCCTGAGCTAGACATTAAGGTTCTTCAAGGCCCCACTAGAGCAGCTAGATACAGAGTGTCCATTGGTGCACTCACAAACCCTGAGCTAGACACAGGGTGCTGATTGGTGTGTTTACAATCCCTGAGCTAGAGATAAAGACTCTCCAGTCCCCACCAGACTCAGGAGCCCAGCTGGCTTCACCCAGTGGATCCCGCACCAGGGCTGCAGGTGGAGCTGCCTGCCAGTCCTGTGCCATGCGCTCGCACTCCTCAGCCCTTGGGCTGTCGATGGGACTGGGTGCCCTGGAGCAGGGGGCGGCATTCGTCAGGGAGGCTCCGGCTGCACAGGAACCCACGGAGCTGGGGGAAGGCTCAGGCATGGCGGGCTGCAGTCCTGAGGCCTGCCCCGTGGGAAGGCAGCTAAGGCCGGGCGATAAATCGAGCACAGCGCCGGTGGCCTAGCACTGCTGGGGGACCCAGTACACCCTCCGCAGCCGCTGGCCCGGGTGCTAGGCCCCTCACTGCCTGGGCCGGCCGGCCGCTCCGAGTGCAGGGCCCGCCAAGCCCACGCCCACCCGGAACTCCAGCTAGCCCGCAAGCGCTGCGCGCAGCCCCGGTTCCCGCTGGCGCCTCTCCCTCCACACCTCCCTGCAAGCTGAGGGAGCCGGCTCTGGCCTTGGCCAGCCCAGAAAGGGGCTCTCACAGTGCAGCAGCGGGCCGAAGGGCTCCTCAAGTGCCGCCAAAGTGGGAACCCAGGCAGAGGAGGCGCCGAGAGCAAGCGAGGGCTCTGAGGACTGCCAGCACGCTGTCACCTCTCACCATGAAAGGGTATGGAGCCATGCCAAGAAGGCAAGTGGGCCAGGTTTGCTGGAGGGGCAAGTTTGGGCTGGGGGTAAGGAGCTTTTGGAAATGAGATTACAAAGGTGAACTGGGACAAGGTCATGGAGGACCCGGTATGAGGGTTAATTGCAATATTTAGGCAGTGGTGGGATAGTGAAGTTTAAAAATAGAAGAGACCATTTTTTTCTAGAGTGCTGTGACGTGGTGTGGGATGGAGGTAAAAAGGGGAGGAGATCTGGAGCCTCGAGAGCAGCTCCATGTGGTGGGTGCTGCCATACCGAGAGAGGGGATGAAGGGGCAGCGCTTGTACAGAAGCCAAAGAGAGCCGGATGAGAAGTAGGATTGGAGAATGCTGTCAAATGGTAGAATTGACAGGATTCTACCCATCTGGGACATATGTTAAACTAGATAAAAAAGCGTTATTGGTTGAGTACCTCTTTAATTTTGCTAAGAGGAAGCTGCGTGGAGCAATGCTTTCCAGCTTTATTTCTGGGGACTGACTGGGCTCAAACTGTGGCTTGGTCACTTGTAGCTGAGTGACCTCAGGAAAGTTTCGTATCCTCTTAGTGCCTCAATTTCTTCATTTGCAACATGGGGATAATATTAGTAACCACCTCATAAGATTATCATTAAGATGAAATGAGTTACTATTTGTTAAGCAGTTAGAATTTGCCTGGCATGTAGTGAGCTCTAAATAACCATTTGTTAAAATAGCAGAAATAAATAAGTAAAATAATGTTGCAGATCACCTTGCTGAGGCATTGTCCAAGAATTCTGGGATAAAATTCTAGGAATGTTTAATGTAGAGTCACTATCAAGCACAAGAAAAATGCCTGGTGTCTGTTAAGTACCAGAAGAGATATAGGTAAGTAGATACTGCCCATATAAAAGAAGGCTCTGGCATTGGGTACATGGTGCAACATGCTAAAATGATGCAAAGATGAAGCAAAGAGCTCACTGGAATCCATAACTTCCAGCAGGTGGACGAAAACCAGAAAAATGCCCACTTTGTAGAAGACTTGGCCACTCCTCTCATTTCCCAGCACAGAAATTGACAACTCGGTTTACTGGAGGAATTTGGTCAATTGCTGGGAAGGATTTATTTGTATTTATTTATTTAGTCAATTTTATAGAAATAATGTCATAAAGACATGGATGCCTATGGCAAGGGTCACATCCAGGATCTTGCCCCTCCCTGCCTGGCAGCTGTCTTTCACATGCTTATCTCTCTGCCTGGAACCCATGCCCACTCCCACCCTCAGTAACTACTATTTGCCCTTTTGCTCTCAGTGATAATGTTAGTTCCTCAGGGAAACTCCCTCCACTCCCCTAGACTATATATCCACATGACATCGTGTACCTTTCCTTCATGTCTTTTGTCCTTGTTTGTAATTAATTTTGGGGATTATTTGTCTTCTCACTTAGACAACAAGTTCCACTAAGAGCAGGTGTTGCTTTTTCTTAACACTGTTTCCTTGGTGCCTACACAGCACCAGAACAGTGTAAGTGCTTACTAAATATTTGTTGAATATAGTGAAATATTTTTTGTTGAATGTACCCCAGCCACCTAAAGGGTCTCCTGGTTTCCTGAATTCATAGAGATTCCTTTGGAAGTAAGTGGTTGAGGTGGTTGAGCTTGACAGCTGCTTTCAGATCAAGATTGAAATTCTATGCTGTGTGTGGATGGTTGTGAGAGTCTTATTGTACACTCAAGCTCTTAGTCGATTTCCAGTCCAGGTGGCACAGAATCAGGCTTATCATCTCATGTGGGTTGTGTTTGTCCTCCTGTGGCTCTTAAGGGAACATCTCAGAGATGGCCAGTGGTGCTGCTCTATTATTTGGGCGGGGCGGAGTACTAAAAAGGGTGGGAAGAATGGAACCCCCCACCCCTCATCGATTTGCCTCACACCGTTAGTAATGGGGAAAAATGCTGTCGAGGTGTCATCAGTTCTAATGTGGCTGGCTATATTAAATGCTAGAAATAATAATGGAAGAAATGTGAGACTCTCCTTGCTGCAATGTGCGTTGCTGAGGAAATGAAGAACGTCGCATTCAAAACCTCATTTCCCTTCTTAACTACAAGGGATTTCAGCATCAAAGGGATTCATACTCAGACTTCCACCTTGTAAAAGCTTAGCCTGCAAAGCCAACCAGTAGAGGGCGCTGCTACCCTTTGTAAGAATCATTTGGGGCTCACCTGAAGATAGAGACATCTGAAATGTGGACCAAAGATCATCAAGTCTGATGTTTATGACACTCCAGTTACAAACCTGAAAAGGGAAAGCTTTATGATGGTATAATTTATGTGCTTTCTTTAAAAGTTAACAAAGCTTGTTTGTTTAAGCAATCTGTTTACCATATAAAATTGTCCTGAGTCTGAGAAAAAATCACCTTTCTGAAAGAAAGGCTGACAGGAGTGCTGGAACATGAACTTAACATGATCCAAATGCATGCATCTGTTTAGGGTCATCTGAGCTATTAGGAGTCGTAGGAGCTTGGCTAAGACTTCTCAGTGAATGTAGAAACACTGAGAAGGGAGGTCAAAAGATGATTATGATCGGGGGGTGGGGCTTTTGAGAATTATTATACTAAATGTGAAAATCTGATTTTAGCTCAGGCGAGGCCTTCAGAGAAAGCATTTAGCCAGCAGGAAGTTAAAGGGTAGCATGTGTCTTTATCTGTAGGGACATAGCTGGTTTATCCAGTTCTCTGGGATACAGTCCTTGATTTGAGGGGTCTGGGGTTTTGAAAATTGGCACCACCTGAGGAGTATGACCCTGTGCATTCCCATTCTTCAGCTGGATTTTGGGCTTCTCTCAGGGTTTTGCCTCTGACTGCAGTGGATGGTCACACCAGTAACTGCAGGCTCCACTCCATACAGCTCAAGGCCTGTCTGCTTCTGTTGCTGAAACTGAAAAAGCTGATCAACAGGGCCTCAGCTCCTTACAGTGGGGTGATGGCCCTTCCCACATCTCCAGGAGGGTCTGTCTGCTGAAGGCTGGAGGGGAGCATCCAAGCTGCCTTGATTGGTACTACAGATAACCCTCCCTAAGTCTCTCTCAGGCAATGGGGGAGTGCACAAGACATTGTCTGGGAAATGGAGAAAAAGCGTTTTCCAGGAGCCAGTCTGGAGCCAGGAATGATATGAGAGTCAAGGAAAGTAGACAGTCCTCTCCAATGCTCATTGAGGATTCTTCATTCCTGACTTAGGTTTCTGGCCACACGCATTTCCTGGGAAACATCATTCTTAGTACCTGTTTCTTTAGTGCAGGGCTATTTCTAATGCTTCAAATTCTTTCATATTAATGAAGGAAAAAAGTTTACTCCTCTGCTATTTTAAGCCAACAGAGTAGGAATTCTGGTAGAGGTTGGTGCTGCAAATTTTGAGGCTTGATCAGAAGTTTGAGTTGGGGTAGCCAAATAATGATCAATTTACTATGTTAAACAAAAGGCAAATATTTTATATCAAGCATCACTTGCAGCCTCCCTAATAAAAGATCTATGAATCTTTTTTCCTTGCAAAGAATGAAACACTCCAAAACTCCTGAGTGTTTAGGAATTTGCCTTTCCTCTCACTAGCTGCTCAGCAGCTGAAGCACTGCCAATGGTTGCATGGGGAACAACAGGAGGGGCTTGGGCTGCCTGACAGCCACACCTGTGCCTTGGCTTCAATAGACTAGAACAGGCCTCAGCTGGCTTAGGGGCCAGAACTTGGCAATGCAACACATGTGAGCTGTGGGCAGATGTTGAGTATTAAAGAGTAGAGAAAAGGGGATGATTCTGAGGAGCTGGAGTGGGATTGATTAATGGAGGTGGGGCCGACGCAAATTCAACAATCCCAGCAGACCACTGGCAGGAGAGCTGGTGTTTTAACACTTTTTGTAGGACTTCGTGGAGGTCTTTAGAAACAGGGTAAGTCCCCATGTGTCTGGAGGGTTAGTGGGAGATCTTCCCATAGGCGTGGGTGTGGATTCGATGAACCTTCAAAGTCTTTTCAACATTCTGATTCTGTGGTCAGGATTAGACAGACTCATGTGGCCACAAATGAAATAAAATAGGGATCTAATGGAATGTTTTATGTTCTGCATCTTTAGTTCCAAATGGGAGATAGTCTGTTGAGTGCTGCAAGATTGATCCTGTCCTGTTTCTACTTCAAAAGCTGATTAGAATTGATTCTCTTCATCTTGGCCTTAACATTCTACTTTAAATAAACGTAGAAACGTATTCTGAATCTCTCTGAAAAACCCAAAGCAAAGGACCTGAGAGAATGTACCATTCTAGGGTATTGCAAATGTACTTACTTGAATCCATTTATTTAATGCCTCCTGGCACCCAATTCCACCAAGGTAGTTTGGTTTTTCTGTTAACATTAAAAATTCACCCCAAAAGAACTAACAAACCCAAAATCCAAGTGTCTTACAGAAACTGTCTTTTTCTTTGTAGGTGCTTCTTGCTTGAAACAAGAGGATCTTGTGGCTTGATAAAATGTTTGGAATACCCAAGGAGGGCCTCCTTTTGAAGGCTTATGCAGTGCAGCCTCTCTCAAGATCTCAGTTTACTCAGAGAAGAAAGGTGAACTGCATTTGTTCCAAGTAAAATATACATCTGTATTATTCACCATCACACCCCTATTCCATTACAAACAAATACTGACCTTGTTCTTCTGATGTGAAGCCAGAGGGAGTGTGAAATATAGCAAGGAGAACAGTCTGATGCAGAAATATGAAAGTTCCAAGCAACAGAAACGCGGTATTTAAAAGGAGTAGAGAAGGGCCCCAACTTGGTCTTTCTAATTCCTTCTCTGCAGCTGACCCTGGGGAAAGTAACTCAATAGTTATCAGTCGCTTTGGGGAAACTGCCTACATTAGTTCAGATTGCCAGTTGGATTTTTTCACTCTAGGATCTATGTGTTGGTAGTCTCTCTGTTTTTTCTTTTGGCCTTAAGAACTTCTCTTGAGAACGCTCTGTGTGTGTGTGTGTGTGTGTGTGTGTGTGTGTACATGAACTTTTGACCTAAGTACTAGAAACCAGTTTCCATTTGGATGCCAAGCACGTTTCCTCCTTTTAGCAGGGCTGGGAGCTACCGCTTTGTGATTTCTCTCATCACGATGTTCTAGGAAAAGGCTTTTGAATGGTGGAGAAACTCAGCTAACATTACATTAGAAGAAAGACGGGGAACACAGTTTGGGAGAATATGTACAAGATATGAGATTTTGATGTTCAATGAAAACCATACCCAATGTTTTCTCTTGTAAAGTGGGGTAAGATGAGGATTAAATGAGATAATATAGTTGTTTCTCCTACAGTGCCATATACATCTTTCTAAAAAATAAATGTAATGTAGAATTTCATGCAATAAAAATGATGAGCCTTCTGGGAAAAATTTAATTGGGTGAAACACAACACCTGTATAGTCTAGTAAGGAATACTCTTCTAAAACCCTAATAAAAGCTTTAAAAATCTCAAGTCCCTTATAAAATTTAAAAAATACCATGGTACATAAGTGCTTCACCTTACAGAAAGCACAAGGTTTGCTTGGTGAGTCGTAAGTGCACAGTGGGGGCTTCTGAGTTATGGAGAAGGAGGAAAATAGTAGGACAAAATGCTATTGCACTAAAGGTGCTATGGTTTGTCCTGTTTACCTTTTACATTAATTTAAAATAGAAATGCAGAAGTTGTTGTTAGGCCATTTTCTCCTTTCTTTAAGAAGCTGCATATATGGCCTCAAGTGATATGGGAGACTGCTAGGCAGTGGGTGCTTTGCTCAGTGGGGTAATTGTTTTCAATACCTGTGGGTGCACATCAGCCCAATTATAGTGGCATATTTCCCTCTGGTGACAGTTACTGGACTTTTGTTATCATGGTCTACATCATCATCAACATTATTTATACCTTCCTCAGGCTTAATCAAGAGATGTTGCAGCTCTCATAGTTGTTCCTGCTGAATAGCTTTCTTTTATTTGAGATGTATTGTCACTGATGGCACACAATATGGATTCTGTTAGATCTCTTGTTCTTGTGCTATCACAAGTTCTCTTGTGTATTTGTAAATGTTTCAGTGTTCCAAAAAATGTTTTGTTGTTTTAAGCTTCTTCTCAAGACTTAAGGCATTCCCTTCTCATTTGCTACTTGGATTCATCTGCTCAGGATGCTTATTCCTGTTTGGGATGTTGGAGTAAATATTTTTAGCAAGAAAGTTTGAGAGGACAGCACTGTATACACACTCATAGGGCAAAGCCTGCAGGTCAAGTGGGGTAAGGGAGAAAAGATGAGGAGGTGTGTTTGTGTTTCTCCCATGGTCATTGCATTCAAGGGGTCGGCATTTCTTCATTTACTTGGTGCTGCTAGGTGGTGTAAATCATAGTCACCTTGTAAAACATTGCATATGAGCTATCATGATTTTGTGTCTTGGGGACTGTATCCCTGATTTATCTACATCATATGAATGAATATGCACAGTACAGAGAATGTAATGGCCTATCTTTTGTATTAGGCCATTCTTGCACCGCTATAAATAGATACCTGAGACTGGGTAATTTATAAGAAAAGAGATTTAATTGGCTCACAGTTTTGCAGGCTATACAGGAAGCATGGTGCTGGCATCTGCTTGGTTTCTAAGGAAGCCTCATGAAGTTTGAAATCATGGCAAAAGACAAAGTGGAAGCAGCACTTCACATGGTGAAAGCAGGAGCAAGGGAGAAAGAATGGCTGGCCAGGGGGAGGTAACATATACTTTTAAACCAACAGATCGTGTGTGAACTGAGTGAAAGCTCACTTATCACCATGGGGCCCAAGACATACATGAAGACATACATCCCCATGATCTAAATACCTCTTGTCTGGTCCCCTCTTGTCCCCCAAATTTCATATCCTTCTCATATTGCAAAATACAATAATTCCTTCCCAACAGTTTCCCAAAGTCTTAACTAATTCCAGCATTAATTCAAAAGTCCAAAGTCCTAATTTTTATCTGGAGATGAGTTACTTCCACCTTTGAAGCCATAAAATCAAAACAAGTTATTTACTTCTAAGATACAATGAGGGTGTAGGCATTGGGTAAACATTTTCATTCCAAAAGGGAGAAACTTTCCAAAAGAAAGGGGCTAGAGGCCTGATGCAAGTTCAAAACCCAGCAGGGCAGTCATTAAATCTTAAAGCTTCAAAATAGTCTCCTTTGACTTCATGTCTCACATCCAGGGCACATTGGTGCAAGGCAAGGGTTCCAAGGTATTGGGCAGCTTCACTGCTGTGACTTTGCAAGGTTCAGCCCCCAGGGCTGCTATCACAAATTAGAATTGTGTGCCTCTGGCTTTTTCAGGCACAGGGCACAAGCCACTGGTGGATGTACCATTCTGGGGTCTGGTGGAGGGTGGCCCCCTTCTAACAGCTCTACTAGTCAGTGCTCCAGTGGGGACTTTGTGTGGGGCCCTCAATCCTACATTTCCTGCCCCCCTGCACTTCCATATAGAGGTTCTCTGTGAGGGCTTCACCCCTGCAGAAAGCTTCTGCCTGGACAAACGGGCTTTTTTATACATTCTCTGAAATCTAGGTAGAGGGTGCCAGGCCTTTGTGCTTGCGTTCTATGTGGCTTCAGGCTTAACACAACATGGAAGCCACCAAGGCTTATGGCTTACACCCTCTGGAGCTGTGGCCTAAGCTATATTCGGGGTCCTTTAAGCCACAGTTGGAGCTGGAGCAGCTGAGATGTGGGAAGCAGTGTCCTGAGGCTGTATAAGGTAGTAGGGGCCCTGGGCCTGGCCCACAAAACCATTCTTCTCTCCTAGGCCTCTGGGTTTATGATACGAGGGGCTGCTGGGAAGGTTTCTCAAATGCTTTTGAGACATTTTCTCCATGGTCTTGGCTATTAGTGCTTGGCTCCCTTTTAGTTATGCATATTTCTCTAGCAAGTTGTTGCCCCACAACCTGCCTTAATTCCTCTCTTGAAAAAAGTGTTTCCTTTCTCTGTTGCATGGACAGGCTGCAAATTTTCCAAACTTTTATGCTCTGCTTCCCTTTTAAATATAAAAATCTCAACTTTAAGTCATTTCTTGGCTCCCACATCTGAACATAGGCTGTTAGAAGGAGCCAGGCCACATCTTGAATGCTTTGCTGCTTAGAAATTTCTTCTGCTAGATGCCCTGCATCATCACTCTGAAGTTAAAACTTCCACTGATCCCTAGGACATAAACAGAGTGCAGGCAAGCTCTTTGCTAAGGCATAACACAAATGACCTTTGTTCCAGTTCCCAACAAGTTCCTCATCTCCATGTGAGACCTCAATAGCCTGGACTTCACTGTCCATATCACTATCAGCATTTTGGTCACAATTGTTTAACCAGTTTCTAGGAAGTTATGAACTGTCCCTCATCTTCCTGTCGTTTTCTGAGCCCTCCAAACTCTTTCAGCCTCTTCCTGTTACCCAGTTCCAAAGCTGCTTTCACATTTTCAGGTTTTTTTTTTATAGCAATGTCCCATTCCTTGGTACCAATTTTCTGCATTAGGCCATTATTGCACTGCTATAAATAGAAACCTGAGACGGAGTAATTTATAAGAAATGATATTTAATTGGCCCATGGTTCTGTAGGCTGTATAGGGAGTATGATGCTGGCATCTACTCAACTTCTAGAGAGGCCCCAGGAAGCTTACAGTCATGGTAGAAGGTGTTGTGAAAGCAGGCACATCACATGATGACAGCAGGAGCAAGGGAGAGATAGTTGTGGGGGAAGGTGCCACACACTTTTAAACCACCATATCTTGTGTGAACTCTGAGAGAGAGCTCACTTATCACCAAGGGATGGCTCAAGCCATCCATGAGGGACCCACCCTTTTTTTTTTTTTTTTTTTTGAGACGGAGTCTCGCTCTGTCGCCCAGGCTGGAGTGCAGTGGCGCAATCTCGGCTCACTGCAAGCTCCGCCTCCCGGGTTCACGCCATTCTCCTGCCTCAGCCTCCCAAGTAGCTGGGACTACAGGCGCCCGCCACTACGCCCGGCTAATTTTTTTTTGTATTTTTAGTAGAGACGGGGTTTCACCGTTTTAGCCGGGATGGTCTCGATCTCCTGACCTCGTGATCCGCCCGCCTCGGCCTCCCAAAGTGCTGGGATTACAGGCGTGAGCCACCGCGCCCGGCCGGGACCCACCCTTATGATCCAAACATCTCCCACCAGGTCCCACCTCCAACATTGGAGATTACAATTCAACGTGAGATTTGGTGGGGACATATATTCAAACAATATCACCTTGTAATGAGAAGAGACAATACATGAAAAATACGAGCATACCAGACATATAATATAGTAAGCGCTCAATTAATGTAAGCTAATGATATATAAATGAACAACCCTTTTGGATTTATAACTCAGAAGCTTTTAGTAGAATGGCTGAGGTGTGCAAGGGAAGACTTTCCATGGTGTAATTCGTGAGGATAATTAGATGAACTCCTGTGGAATGAAGTGTGGGGTGATGCACAAGAGCCCTGGCTTTGCCACACAGTAGCAGTGTAACTGCAAGCACACTGCTCCATGTCTTCAACCCTGAAAAATGGAGATTTTAAAACCCACTACAGGAATTTCTATCTGTGAATTCTAAATAAGAAAGTGAATGGGAAAGCTCTCTGAAAACTATGAAGCACCATGGAAACATACAGAATGTTAATAGAATCTTTATTCTTAATAGAATCACTTACCTAAGAGATCACTATGTAGGAGGGTGAAAATTGTTTGCAGGTATAAAAAAAGCATTTTTCTCATACTCACAGGCACATGACTTGCTGTCTCATTTCCAGCTCGGTGGGATAGCTGACCACATGCCCTCCAAAGGTTGATAGATGGTGCAAAATTTCTATGTCTGTTTGTGTTTTCCTTTTTACTTGTGTCAGGAATGTGAAGGGGACATCTCTACTTAGAGCCTGCTTTAAGCCAAAGCAAGGCAGAGATGGTGAAACACTATAAGTTGTGCCCCCCATTTCCATATTTAGTCCTTATAAGACTATGGATAGTGTCTGAAATTCCTCCATGAGGTTTGTTTGGTTTTTGCTTTTTAAATTTGGGCAATCAAGCAGAAGTGATGTAAGGTTTTTATCATAAAGGCAGTGAAGTTTCTACATTGTCATGTGGAGCACTCACACTGGAGTGAGTAAGAAATTTGACAATCCTGAGTCTGCCATGCTGTGAGGAAGCCCAAGCCATTAGAGAAGCTGTGTGAGGTGCTCTGGTTGACAGTCCCAGCTGAGTGCTGCATCCCAGCACAACTGCCAGGCATGTGAATAAGGGGGCTTCCAGATGATTCCTCCCCCTGCTGTCAGGTTATCCCTAGCTTGTGAGTTGCCCTAACTGAGGCCACAGACATGGAGAAAAGATAAGCATCCCTGCTGTCCCTTGTGTGAACTGCTGCTAGAATCTGTGAGCAGAAACAAATGTTGCTTTACACCCCTAATTTTTGGGTGGTTTGTTATGTAGTAATATTAGTCAGAACAGAAGGCAACCACAAGTGTCCACCTCAGAAAAAGACCACCCCATTTTCTGAGCATTTTTACCTCACTCCACACACAGACAAATTTAAAGTTGTACGTAAATAAAGATACACACGACATATTTAGTTGTGTATGAACGAAAATGTTAACTGAATCATGCTGTAAGGGATTAGTGCATTTATTCCTAAACCTATATGCAAACCAAACTCTGGGAAGCTATTTAAAAATAAGGATTCCAGAGGTGTCTGTTCCAAGATAACCGAATAGGAAGAGCTCTGGTCTGCAGTTCCCAGCATGATTGACGCAGAAGACTGGTGATTCCGGCATTTCCAACTGAGGTACCTGGTTCATCTCACTGGGACTGGTTGGACAGTGGGTGCAGCCCATGGAGGGTGAGAAGAAGCAGGGCGGGGCATTGCCTCACCCAAGTAGTACAAGGGGTCGAGGGATTTCCCTTTCCTAGCCAAGGGAAGCCGTGACAGACTTGGAAAAATGGGACACTCCCATGCCTGGCTTGGCGGGTCCCACGCCCACTGAGCCTTGCTCACTGCTAGTGCAGCAGTCTGAGATCAACCTGCAAGGCTGAAGCCTGGTGTGGGGAGGGGTGTCCACCATTGCTGAGGCTTGAGTCAGTAAACAAAGTGGCCAGGAAGCTCAAACTGGGCGGAGCCCACGACTGCTCAGCAAAGCCTACTGCCTCTATAGACTCTACCTCTGTGGGCAGGGCATAGCTGAAGAAAAGGCAGCAGAAAATTCTGCAGACTTAAATGTCCCTGTCTGACAGCTCTGAAGAGAGCAGTGGTTCTCCCAGCATGACGACTGAGCTCTGAGAATGGACAGACTGCCTCCTCAAGGGGGGTCCTGACCCCCGTGTAGCCTAACTGGGAGACACCTCCCAGTAGGGATGGACAGACACCTCATACAGGGGGGTGCCCCTCTGGGATGAAGCTTCCAGAGGAAAGATCAGGCAGCAATGTTTGCTGTTCTGCAATATTTGCTGTTCTGCAGCCTCTGCTGTTGATACCCAGGCAAACAGCATCTGGAGTGGACCTCCAGCAAACTCCAACAGACCTGCAGCTGAGAGACCTGAGTGTTAGAAAGAAAACAAAGGAATAGCATCAACATCAACAGAAAGGACATCCACACCAAACCCCATCTGTAGGTCACCAATATCAAAGACCAAAGGTAGATAAAACCACAAAGATGGCGAGAAACCAGAGCAGAAAAGCTGAAAATTCTAAAAACCAGAGCACCTCTTCTCTTCCAAAGGATTGCAGCTCCTCGCCAGCAACAGAACAAAGCTGGACGGAGAATGACTTTGATGAGTTGACAGAAGTAGGCTTCAGGAGGTCGGTAATAACAAACTTCTCCGAGCTAAAGAGCATGTACTAACCCATTGCAAGGAAGCAAAAACCTTGAAAAAAGGTTAGATGAATGGCTAACTAGAATAAACAGTGTAGAGAAGACCTTAAATGACCTGATGGAGCTGAAAACCATGGCATGAGAACTTTGAGATGCATGCACAAGCTTCTTTTTTTTTTTTTTTTTTTTATCTTTGTGCCTGGAGCTATTGTGATTATTTTATTAAGATAATTTCACACAAACAGCATTACTGGATGTGTATAATTATGTATAACCATCTTTTTATATTTTTAATTTTTGTGGATACATAATAGGTGTATATATTTATGGGGTACATGAGGTGTTTTAATACAGGCATTAAATAAGCACATTATGGAGATTATGCATTTACACTTTGAGTTATGAACAATCCAATGCACTTTTTAGGTGATTTCAAAATATACAATTAAGTTACAGCTACCCTCTTGTACTATCAAACAGTAGGTCTTATTCATTCTTTTTAACCACTTTTTTTGTACCCATTAACCATCCCTACCTACCCCTCACCCTCCCACTCTCCTTCTCAGCCTTTGGTAACCATCCTACTCTTTATGTGCATGAGTTGAGTTGTTTTGATTTTTAGATCCCACATATAAGTGAAAACATGCAATATTTGTCTTATCTGTGCCTGACTTATTTCATTTAACATAATGATCTCCAGTTCCATCTATGTTGTTGCAGATGACTGGATCTTATTCTTTTTTTTTATTTTATTATTATTATACTTTAAGTTTTAGGGTACATGTGCACAATGTGCAGGTTAGTTACATATGTATACATGTGCCATGCTGGTGTGCTGCACCCATTAACTCGTCATTTAGCATTAGGTATATCTCCTAATGCTATCCCTCCCCCCTCCCCCCACCCCACAACAGTCCCCAGAGTGTGATGTTCCCCTTCCTATGTCCATGCGTTCTCATTGTTCAATTCCCATCTATGAGTGAGAACATGCAGTGTTTGCTTTTTGTCCTTGTGATAGTCTACTGAGAATGATGATTTCCAATTTCATCCATGTCCCTACAAAGGACATGAACTCATCATTTTTTATGGCTGCATAGTATTCCATGGTGTATATGTGCCACATTTTCTTAATCCAGTCTATCATTGTTGAACATTTGGGTTGGCTCCAAGTCTTTGCTATTGTGAATAGTGCCGCAATAAACATATGTGTGCACGTCTTTATAGCAGCATGATTTATAGTCCTTTGGGTATATACCCAGTAATGGGATGGCTGGGTCACATGGTATTTCTAGTTCTAGATCCCTGAGGAATCGCCACACTGACTTCCACAATGGTTGAACTAGTTTACAGTCCCACCAACAGTGTAAAAGTGTTCCTATTTCTCCACATCCTCTCCAGCACCTGTGGTTTCCTGACTTTTTAATGATTGCCATTCTAACTGGTATGAGATGGTATCTCACTGTGGTTTTGATTTGCATTTCTCTGATGGCCAGTGACGGTGAGCATTTTTTCATGTGTTTTGTGGCTGCATAAATGTCCTCTTTTGAGAAGTGTCTGTTCATGTCCTTTGTCCACTTTTTGATGGGTTTTTTTGTTTTTTTCTTGTGAATTTGTTTGAGTTCATTGTAGATTCTGGATATTAGCCCTTTGTAAGATGAGTAGGTTGCGAAAATTTTCTCCCATTTTGTAGATTGCCTGTTCACTCTGTTGGTAGTTTCTTTTGCTGTGCAGTAGCTCTTTAGTTTAATTAGATCCCATTTGTCAATTTTGGCTTTTGTTGCCATTGCTTTTGGTGTTTTAAACATGAAGTCCTTGCCCATGCCTATGTCCTGAATGGTAATGCCTAGGTTTTCTTCTAGGGTTTTTATGGTTTTAGGTCTAATGTTTACGTCTTTAATCCATCTTGAATTAATTTTTGTATAAGGTGTAAGGAAGGGATCCAGTTTCAGCTTTCTACATATGGCTAGCCAGTTTTCCCAGCACCATTTATTAAATAGGGAATCCTTTCCCCATTGGTTGTTTTTCTCAGGTTTGTCAAAGATCAGATAGTTGTAGATATGCGGCATTATTTCTCAGGGCTCTGTTCTGTTCCATTGATCTATATCTCTGTTTTGGTACCAGTACCATGCTATTTTAATTACTGTAGCCTTGTAGTATAGTTTGAAGTCAGGTAGCATGATGCCTCCAGCTTTGTTCTTTTGGCTTAGGATTGACTTGGCGATGCGGGCTCTTTTTTGGTTCCATATGAATTTTAAAATAGTTTTTTCCAATTCTGTGAAGAAAGTCATTGGTAGCTTGATGGGGATGGCATTGAATCTATAAATTACCTTGGGCAGTATGGCCATTTTCACGATATTGATTCTTCCTACCCATGAGCATGGAATGTTCTTCCATTTGTTTGTATCCTCTTTTATTTCGTTGATCAGTGGCTTGTAGTTCTCCTTGAAGAGGTCCTTCACGTCCCTTGTAAGTTGGATTCCTAGGTATTTTATTCTCTTTGAAGCAATTGTGAATGGGATTTCACTCATGATTTGGCTCTCTGTTTGTCTGTTATTGGTGTATAAGAATGCTTGTGATTTTTGTATATTTATTTTGTATCCTGAGACTTGCTGAAGTTGCTTATCAGCTTAAGGAGATTTTGGGCTGAGACAATGGGGTTTTCTAGATATACAATCATGTCATCTTCAAACAGGGACAATTTGACTTCCTCTTTTCCTAACTGAATACCCTTTATTCCCTTCTCCTGCCTAATTGCCCTGGCCAGAACTTCCAACACTATGTTGAATAGGAGTGGTGAGAGAGGGCATCCCTGTCTTGTGCCAATTTTCAAAGGGAATGCTTCCAGTTTTTGCCCATTCAGTATGATATTGGCTGTGGGTTTGTCATAGATAGCTGTTATTATTTTGAGATACGTCCCATCAATACCTAATTTATTGAGAGTTTTTAGCACGAAGGGTTGTTAAATTTTGTCAAAGGCCTTTTCTGCATCTATTGAGATAATCATGTGGTTTTTGTCTTTGGTTCTGTTTATATGCTGGATTACATTTATTGATTTGTGTATATTAAACCAGCCTTGCATCCCAGGGATGAAGCCCACTTGATCATGGTGGATAAGCTTTTTGATGTGCTGCTGGATTCGATTTGCCAGTATTTTATTGAGGATCTTTGCATCTATGTTCATCAAGGATATTGGTCTAAAATTCTCTTTTTTGGTTGTGTCTCTGCCCGGCTTTGGTATCAGGATGATGCTGGCCTCATAAAATGAGTTAGGGAGGATTCCCTCTTTTTCTATTGATTAGAATAGTTTCAGAAGGAATGGTACCAGTTCCTCCTTGTACCTCTGGTAGAATTCGGCTGTGAATCCATCTGGTTCTGGACTCTTTTTGGTTGGTAAGCTATTGATTATTGCCACAATTTCAGCTCCTGTTATTGGTCTATTCAGAGATTCAACTTCTTCCTGGTTTAGTCTTGGGATGGTGTATGTGTCCAGGAATTTATCCATTTCTTCTAGATTTTCTAGTTTATTTGCATAGAGGTGTTTGTAGTATTCTCTGATGGTAGTTTGTATTTCTGTGGGATCGATGGTGATATCCCCTTTATCATTTTTTATTGCATCTATTTGATTCTTCTCTCTTTTCCTCATTATTAGGCTTGCTAGTGGTCTATCAATTTTGTTGATCATTTCAAAAAACCAGCTCCTGGATTCATTAATTTTTTGAAGGGTTTTTTATGTCTCTATTTCCTTCAGTTCTGCTCTGATTTTAGTTATTTCTTGCCTTCTGCTAGCTTTTGAATGTGTTTGCTCTTGCTTTTCTAGTTCTTTTAATTGTGATGTTAGGGTGTCAATTTTAGATCTTTCCTGCTTTCTCTTGTGGGCATTTAGTGCTATAAATTTCCCTCTACACACTGCTTTGAATGCATCCCAGAGATTCTGGTATGTTGTGTCTTTGTTCTCATTGGTCTCAAAGAACATCTTTATTTCTGCCTTCATTTCGTTATGTACCCAGTAGTCATTCAGGAGCAGGTTGTTCAGATTCCATGTAGTTGTGCGGTTTTGTGTGAGTTTCTTAATCCTGAGCTGTAATTTGATTGCACTGTGGTCTGAGAGACAGTTTGTTGTAATTTCTGTTCTTTTACGTTTGTTAAGAAGAGCTTTACTTCCAACTATGTGGTCAATTTTGGAATAGGTGTGGTGTCATGCTGGAAAAAATGTATATTCTGTTGATTTGGGGTGGAGAGTTCTGTAGATGTCTATTAGGTCTGCTTGGTGCAGAGCTGAGTTCAATTCCTGGGTATCCTTGTTAACTTTCTGTCTCATTGATCTGTCTAATTTTGACAGTGGGGTGTTACAGTCTGCCATTATAATTGTGTGGGAGTCTAAGTCTCTTTGTAGGTCACTCAGGACTTTCTTTATGAATCTGGGTGCTCCTGTATTGGGTGCATTTGTATTTACGATAGTTAGCTCTTCTTGTTAAATTGATCCCTTTACCATTATATAATGGCCTTCTTTGTCTCTTTTGATCTTTGTATCTTTGTTGGTTTAAAGTCTGTTTTATCAGAGACTAGGATTGCAACCCCTGCCTTGTTTTGTTTTCCATTTGCTTGGTAGATCTTCCTCCATCCTTTTATTTTGAGCCTATGTGTGTCTCTGCACGTGAGATGGGTTTCCTGAATACAGCACAATGATGGGTCTTGACTCTTTATCCAATTTGCCAGTCTGTGTCTTTTAATTGAAGCATTTAGCCCATTTACATTTAAAGTTAATATTGTAATGTGTGAATTTGATCCTGTCATTATGATGTTAGCTGGTTATTTTGCTTGTTAGTTGATGCAGTTTCTTCCTAGCCTCGATGGTCTTTACAATTTGGTATGATTTTGCAGTTGCTGGTACCAGTTGTTCCTTTCCATGTTTAGTGCTTCCTTCAGGAGCTCTTTTAGGGGAGGCCTGGTGGTGACAAAATCTCTCGGCATTTGCTTGTCTGTAAAGGATTTTATTTCTCCTTCACTTATGAAGCTTAATTTGGTTGGATATGAAATTCTGGGTTGAAAATTCTTTTCTTTAAGAATGTTGAATATTGGCCCCCACTCTCTTCTGGCTTGTAGAGTTTCTGCCGAGAGATCTGCTGTTAGTCTAACGGGCTTCCCTTTGTGGGTAACCCGACCTTTCTCTCTGGCTGCCCTTAACATTTTTTCCTTCATTTCAACTTTGGTGAATCTGACAATTATGTGTCTTGGAGTTGCTCTTCTCGAGGAGTATCTTTATGGCGTTCTCTGTATTTCCTGAATCTGAATGTTGGCCTGCCTTGCTAGATTGGTGAAGTTCTCCTGGATAATATCCTGCAGAGTGTTTTCCAACTTGGTTCCATTCTTCCCGTCACTTTCAGGTACACCAATCAGACATAGATTTGGTCTTTTCACATAGTCTCATATTTCTTGGAGGCTTTGTTCATTTCTTTTTATTCTTTTTTCTCTTAACTTCCCTTCTTGCTTCATTTCATTCATTTCATCTTCCATCACTGATACCCTTTCTTCCAGTTGATCGCATCAGCTCCTGAGGCTTCTGCATTCTTCACGTAGTTCTCGAGCCTTGGCTTTCAGCTCCATCAGCTCCTTTAAGCACTTCTCTGTATTGGTTATTCTAGTTATACATTCGTCTAAATTTTTTTCAAAGTTTTTAACTTCTTTGCCTTTGGTTTGAATTTCCTCCTGTAGCTCGGAGTAGTTGGATTGTCTGAAGCCTTCTTCTCTGAACTCGTCAAAGTCATTCTCTGTCCAGCTTTGTTCCATTGCTGGTGAGGAACTGCATTCCTTCAGAGGAGGTGAGGTCCTCTGCTTTTTAGAGTTTCCAGTTTTTCTGCTCTGTTTTTTCCCCATCTTTGTGGTTTTATCTACTTTTGGTCTTTGATGATGGTGATGTACAGATGGTTTTTGGTGTGGATGTCCTTTCTGTTTGTTAGTTTTCCTTCTAACAGACAGGACCCTCAGCTGCAGGTCTGTTGGAGTTTGCTAGAGGTCCACTCCAGACCCTCTTTGCCTGAGTATCAGCAGTGGTGGCTGCAGAACAGTGGATTTTCGTGAACCGCGAATGCTGCCGTCTGATCATTCCTCTGGAAGTTTTGTCTCAGAGGAGTACCCAGCTGTGTGAGGTGTCAGTCTGCCCCTACTGGGCGGTGCCTCCCAGTTAGGCTGCTCAGGGGTCAGGGGTCAGGGACCCACTTGAGGAGGCAGTCTGCCCGTTCTCAGATCTCCAGCTGCATGCTGGGAGAACCACTGCTCTCTTCCAAGCTGTCAGACAGGGACATTTATTTCTGCAGAGGTTACTGCTGTCTTTTTGTTTGTCTGTGCCCTGCCCCAGAGGTGGAGCCTACAGAGGCAGGCAGGCCTCCTTGAGCTGTGGTGGGCTCCACCCAGTTTGAGCTTCCAGGCTTCTTTGTTTACCTAAGCAAGCCTGGGCGATGGTGGGCGCCCCTCCCCCAGCCTCGCCGCCGCCTTGCAGTTTGATCTCAGACTGCTGTGCTAGCAATCAGTGAGACTCCGTAGGCATAGGACCCTCTGAGCCAGGTGCAGGATATAATCTCCTGGTGCGCTGTTTTTTAAGCCCGTCAGAAAAGCTCAGTATTCAGGTGGGAGTGACCCAATTTTCCAGGTGCCGTCTGTCACCCCTTTCTTTGGCTAGGAAAGGGAACTCCCTGACCCCTTTCACTTCCCGAGGGAGGCAATGCCTCACTCGGCTTTGGCTCACGCACGGTGTGCTGCACCCACTGTCCTGTGCCCACTCTCTGGCACTCCCTAGTGAGATGAAACTGGTACCTCAGATGGAAATGCAGAAATCACCCACCTTCTGTGTCGCTCACACTGGGAGCTGTAGACAGGAGCTGTTCCTATTCGGCTATCTTGGCTGCCACCGCATGCACAAGCTTCAATAGCCAATTTGATCAAGTGGAAGAAAGGGCATCAGTGACTGAAGATGAAATTAATGAAATAAAATGAGAAGACAAGTTTAGAGAAAAAAGAGTAAAAAGAAATGAACAAAGCCTCCAAGAAATATGGGACTATGTGAAAAGACCAAATCTACATTTGTTTGGTGTACCTGAAAGTGACAGGGAGAATGGAACCAAGTTCAAAAACACTTTTCAGGATATTATCCTGAAGAACTTCCCCAACCTAGCAAGGCAGGCCAACATTCAAATTCAGGAAATACAGAGAACACCACAAAGATACTCCTAGAGAACAGCAACCACAAGACACATAATTGTCAGATTTACCAAGGTTGAAATGAAGGAAAAAATGTTAAGCACAGCCAGAGAGAAAGGTTGGCTTACTCACAAAGGGAAGCCCATCAGACTAACAGCAGATCTCTCGGCAGAAACTCTACAAGCCAGAAGAGAGTGGGGGCCGATATTCAACATTCTTAAAGAAAAGAATTTTCAACCCAGAATTTCATAGCCAGCCAAACTAAGCTTCATAAGTGAAGGAGAAATAAAATACTTTGCAGACAAGCAAATGCTGAGAGACTTTGTCACCACTAGGCCTGCCCTAAAAGAGCTCCTGAAGGAAGCACTAAGCATGGAAAGGAACAACTGGTACCAACCACTGCAAAAACATACAAAATTATAAAGACCACTGATGCTATGAAGAAAATGCATGAATTAATGGGCAAAATAACCAGCTAACATTATAATGACAGGATCAAATTCACACATAACAATATTAACCTTAAATGTAAATGGGCTAAATGCCCCAATTAAAAGACACAGACTGGCAAATTGGATAGAGTCAAGACCCATCAGTGTGCTGTATTCAGGAGACCCATCTCTTGTGCAGAGACACACATAGACTCAAAATAAAGGGATGGAGAAAGAACTAACAAGCAAATATAAAGCAAAAAAATAAAAAAATAAGCAGAGGTCCTAGTCTCTGAGTCTCTGATAAAACAGACTTTAAACCAACAAAGATCAAAAGAGACAAAGAAGGCCATTACATAATGGTAAAGCGATCAATTCAATAAGAAGAGCTAACTATCCTAAATATATATGCACCTAATAAAGGAGCACTCAGATTCATAAAGCAGTCCTTAGAGACCTACAAAGAGACTTAGACTCTCACACAATAATAATGGGAGACTTTAATACCCCACTGTCAATATTAGACAGATCAACGAGACAGAAGGTTAACAAGGATATCCAGGACTTGAACTCAGCTCTGCACCCAGAGGGCCTAATAGATATCTACAGAATTCTGCACCCCAAATCAACAGAATATCCATTCTTCTCAGCACCACATTGCACTTACTCTAAAATTGACCACATAATTGGAAGTAAAGCACTCCTCAGAAAATGTAAAAGAAGAGAAATAATAACAAACTGTCTCTCAGATCACAGTGCAATCAAATTAGAACTCAGGATTAAGAAACTCACTGAAAACTGCACAACTACATGGAATCTGAACAACCTGCTCCTGAATGACTATTGGATAAATAACGAAATGAAGGCAGAAATAAAGATGTTCTTTGAAACCAATGAGAACAAAGACACAACATACCAGAATCTCTGGGAAGCATTGAAAGCAGTGTGTAAAGGGAAATTTATAGCACTAAATGCCCACAAGAGAAAGCAGAAAAGATCTAAAATTGACACCTTGACATCACAATTAAAAGAACTAGAAAAGCAAGAGCAAACAAATTCAAAAGTTAGCAGAAGGCAAGAAATAACTAAGATCAGAGCAGAACTGAAGGAGATAGAGACACAAAAAACCCTTCAAAAAATCAACATATCCAGGAGCTGGTTTTTGAAAAGATCAACAAAATTGATAGACCGCTAGCAAGATTAATAAAGAAGAAAAGAGAAGAATCAAATAGATGCAATAAAAAATGATAAAGGGGATATCACCACTGATTCCACAGTAATGCAAACTACCATCAGAGAATACTATAAACACCTCTATGCAAATAAACTAGAAAATGTAGAAGAAATAGATAAATTTCTGGACACATAGACCCTCCCAGGACTAAACCAGGAAGAAGTTGAATCTCTGAATAGACCAATAGCAGGGTCTGATATTGAGGCAATAATTAGTAGCCTACCAACCAAAAAAAGTCCAGGACCAGATGGATTCACCGCCGAATTCTACCAGAGGTACAAATAGGAGCTGGTACCATTCCTTCTGAAACTATTCCAATCAATAGAAAAAGAGGGAATCCTCGCTAACTCATTTTATGAGGCCAGCATCATCCTGATACCAAAGCCTGGCAGAGACACACACACACACAAAAGAGAATTTTAGACCAATATCCTTGATGAACATCCATGCAAAAATCCTCAATAAAATACTGGCAAACCAAATCCAGCAGCACATCCAAAAGCTTATCCACCAAGATGAAGTCAGCTTCATTCCTGGGATGCAAGGCTTGTTCAACATACACAAAACAATAAATGTAATCCATCACATAAACAGTACCAATGACAAAAAACACATGATTATCTCAATAGATGCAGAAAAAGCTTTTGACAAAATTCAACATGCCTTCACACTAAAAACTCTCAATAAACTAGGTACCAATGGAACATATCTCAAAATAATAAGAGCTGTTTATGACAAACCCACAGCCAATATCATACTGAATGGGCAAAAACTGGAAGCATTCCCTTTGAAAACCAGCACAACACAAGTGTGCCCTCTCTCATCACTCCTATTCAACATAGTGTTGGAAGTTCTGGCCAGGGCAATCAGGCAAGAGAAAGAAATAAAGCGTATTCAGTTAGGAAAAGAGGAAGTCGAATTGTCCCTGTTTGCAGATGACATGATTGTATATTTAGAAAAACCCATTGTCTCAGCCCCAAATCTCCTTAAGCTGATAAGCAACTTCAGCAAAGTCTCAGGATACAAAATCAAACTGCAAAAATTACAAGCATTCCTATACACCAATAACAGACAGAGAGCCAAATCATGAGTGAACTCCCATTTACAATTGCTTTAAAGGAATAAAATACCTAGGAATCCGACTTACAAGGGATGTGAAGAACCTCTTCTAGGAGAACTACAAACAACTGCTCAATGAAATAAAAGAGGACAGAAACAAGTGGAAGAACATTCCATGCTCATGGATAGGAAGAATCAATATTGTGAAAATGGACATATTGCCCAAGGTAATTTATAGATTCAATGCCATCCCCATCAAGCTACCAATGACTTTCTTCACAGAATTGGAAAAAAACTACTTTAAAGTTCCTATGGAACCAAAAAAGGGCGCACATTGCCAAGAGAATCCTAAGCAAAAAGAACAAAGCTGGAGACATCACGCTCCCTGACTTCCAACTGTACTACAAAGCTACGTAACCAAAACAGCATGGTACTGGTACCAAAACAGATATATAGACCAATGGAACAGAACAGAGGCCTCAGAAATAACACCACACATCTGCAACCATCTGATTTTTGACAAACTTGATAAAAACAAGAAATGGGGAAAAGATTCCCTATTTAATAAATGGTGCTGGGAAAACTGGCTAGCCATATGTAGAAAGCTGAAACTGGATCCCTTTCTTACACCTTATACAAAAATTAATTCAAGATGGATTAAAGACTTAAATGTTAGAGATATAATCATACAAACCCTAGAAGAAAACCTAGGCAATACCATTCAGGACATAGGCATGGGGAAGGACTTCATGACCAAAACACCAAAAGCAATGACAACAAAAGCCAAAATAGGCAAATAGGATCTAATTAAACTAAAGAGCTCCTGCACAGCAAAAGAAACTATCATCAGAGTGAACAGGCAACCTACAGAATGGGAGAAAAGTTTTGCAACCTACCCATCTGACAAAGGACTAATATCCAGAATCTACAAAGAACTTAAACAAATTTACAAAAAAAAAACAAACAATCCCATCAAAAAGTGGGCAAAGGATATGAACAGACACTTCTGAAAAGAAGACATTTATGCAGCCAACAGATATATGAAAAAATGATCATCATCACTCGTTATCAGAGAAATGCAAATCAAAACCACAATGAGATACCATGTCATGCCAGTTTGAATGGCGATCATTAAAAAGTCAGGAAACAACAGATGCTGGAGAGGATGTGGAGAAATAGGAACACTTTTACACTGTTGGTGGTAAATTAGTTCAACCATTGTGGAAGACAGGGTGGCAATTCCTTAAGGATCTAGAACTAGAGATAGTATTTGACTCAGCAATCCCATTACTGGGTATATACCCAAAGTATTATAAATCATGCTACTATAAAGACACTTGCACATATATGTTTATTGCGGCACTATTCACAATAGCAAAGACTTGGAACCAACCCACATGTCCATCAGTGATAGCCTGGATTAAGAAAATGTGGCACATATACACCATGAAACACTATGCGTCCATAAAAAAGGATGAGTTCATGTCCTTTGCAGGGACATGGATGAAGCTGTAAACCATCATTCTGAGCAAACTATCACAAGGTCAGAAAACCAAATAGCACATATTCTCACTCATAGGTGGGAATTGAACAATGAGAACACTTGGACACAGGGCGGGGAACATCACACACTGGGGCTTATCACGGGGTTGGGGCCTGGTGGAGGGATAGCATTAGGAGAAATACCTAATGTAAATGACAAGTTGATGGGTGCAGCAAACCAACATGGCACATGTATACCTGTGTAACAAACCTGCACGTTGTGCACATGTACCCTACAACTTAATGTATAAAAAAATATATACACATATATATATACACACTCATATATATATATAAGGATTCCAGAGCCCACTCTCAGACCATGCTCACTCAGTTTGTCCTGGTGTAGGTATCAGTGTGTCAATGTTCAGAATCTCTAAGGCCACTCAAAGGCATGCCCCTGACTGAGAAACATTGAGTTAGAAATTCTACAAAAGCCATGAATATCAACATGCCATTGATGTCAGGCTGATAAATTATTGATGAAAATGAAAAGGTGTGAATCTTAAGGACTGATTAAAAGCTGACGTTGGCCTTGAATTCAAGTCTTTCAAAGCATATTTCAGACATGTTCACAAATGACCATGATTAGTTGAAGTGGGAAGGCCCAAGTGTGACTAATTTGGATATGTTTACTTTTCTAATGTATGCATTCTTCCTAATATATTGAACTATTAGATTGTTATGTGTCAAAGTGTAATGGGCCCACAATCACCATAAGTGAATTATAAACCCCCTTAAAAGATTTTGAAAATAACATGTGTTGAAATTGAATTGACAGAAACCACCAGTGGCTCATTTGGAATCTCTCGGAGGCCCACGGCACCATCAAACACACACAGTGTAACTACTTGGGGTTGCTCTCTAAGATTCCTAATAGCTCCATCCTGAGCAATTCCTCTCCATTTGGTGGCGTGGCTGGTCACATGGATGGAGGCCATTCACAACTGCACGTGGTCCTCATTAGCACTTCATTGCTCTCCATCGCAAAGTCTAATACTTGCTTGATTAATTGGATGCCATCAGCAGCCTTGGAGTGGACTTACTGAGAAGGTGAGACCACTAAATGAAGGCTGAAGGTGCCATGGTGTAGCATAAAGTTTCTGTTTAGGATATTTCTGTTTTATGATGACTGGAATTGAATGTGTGGACTTTCCCCTAGAGTAGTAGGTACCTGTTTAATGATTCCCCCTGCTTAATATAATGGGAAAACACCTTTTCCATTTAAAAATTTACTTTTTGAGAACTGTTAGAGCCTATGGTGAAAAGGTAGAAGTTTACTTTCTTTGAGTGGTGAGTGGGGAGATAAGCAAAACTATTTTTGCCATTTTTGCCGCCTTCACCAATGATTTGACAGTTCATGTAGATTATGAAAAACGGAGAGTTTGGAATTTGGTAAGTTTTAAATAATTTTATATAAAGGGATACTTCAGAGAGCCTATGTAGTTTAAAAGTATCCTTGGTGTGAAAAGGGGAATTAGATTTTCCAAATCATGGGGGTAAAGTAATTAGACTGTGGTGTCCTGGAAAAGCTCAGGATGTATCTAACTATATTAATAAGTAGTAGTAGATTGCATTTGAGAGGCACATGTGATTTAGCAGTAAAACAAAAGTGGATATTGCTTGGAAATACCTGCCAACCAGCAGCTGGCTGGTTTGGGGATGTAATAACCACAAGCCACATGGTGTTTGGGCACACGTGGGTAACAATGCTGCGTGCATGATGGAAAGTTTCAGGCTCCCGGGGGTGTATGTGCTGCTGGCTTCAGTGGGGGATGAGCTGGGTCTCAGATGGGACAAGATTGCAGGCCTAGGTCCCAAGATGCTGTGAAAGTAAAATAAATCTAAATCTTGAATTCTCACCCCCAAGGTGGTAAATATTTGTTGTTGGTGGGCAAAAAAATTTTTACTTTTGCTTTTAGTATATGAAGTACGACTATACATACAGTACATAAACGTACTGCAAATCTGTGGTATTAAAATTTCATTTCATTGGGGAGGGCATAAGAAAAAAAAGCTTAAGAAAAGCTGGTGAGGGAGGAATAATGAGAAGAAAAAGTTTAGATACATTACTTTAAATAAAGGGGAAAATTATCCCTGACAACACCATCTGAACAAGTCCAGACATTTCCATTGTGTGGAATGTTCTTTCCGAGTTCATATCCAGAATAGCAGAGGCCCATGGCAGGGACATCATCAGACTCTCCTGAACAGCACTGCTGTTTCCTTCCTGGCAGCCCCAGTGATGTTCTGTGTATGTGTGGACCAATGACTTGGAATGGGGTCTTCACTTAGGGCCTTTTTGTAAAAAATAAAAAGTATGTGCTATGCCTTTCCACCTCCCTGCATCCCAGAAGATTGTTAGAAATGATGACGGTGCTTCTTAACCTGGAGGTTGTTAAATTAAGTTTAGCCTACAGCTGCCTTCTTATATATTTTAAATTCAGCCTAAAGTTTTCTCTGTATAAAATGAACTGTAATCTAACTGGATGTGTAAACAGGCTATAACCTACTCTTGCGCCAGTCAATGAGTTTCGACCAATCAAAGACGGCCAACTGTTTAAACCGTGTCCAAATAAGCACACACTAACTAAAGCACACACCAAGCTGTAACCAGTCTGGCTGTTTCTGTACCTCACTTCCATTTTCTGTATGTCACTTTCCTTTTTCTGTCCATAAATTTTCTTCAACCATGTGGCAGTGCTGGAATCTCTCTGAATGTATTCTGGTTTGGGGACTGCCCAATTCCTGAATGTTTTTTTTGCTCAATTAAACCATGTTAAATGTAATTTGTCTAAGGTTTTCCTTTTAGCAGGTGACTGAGTGAAACCCAGAATGATGTTGCCAGGCCTCACTAGCTCCTGGTGTACAGAGGTCACAGGAACAGCCAGAATCTGTGTCTTCTGGTTCCTACTTGCACCTACTCATGAGGGACCACAGGGCCTCTCTTATCCCTTTTTAGTTATTTCTGGGAGGCCCTAATGTGTTTCTCTCTATGCTTGTGGGACCCAAGTGTCTCATATTTTTCTTCTCCAGAGACTCTGTTGGTGTCCACTGCTCACAGGGTAGTTAAGGGAGGGATCTTGCCCTTGCCCTTCTGCTGATGTGTCCACCCCAAAGGATCACAGGGTCCCCCTGCCATTCACTGCAGCTCCAGAGCTCCCTTAGAGAAGGAAGGTCCTTCCCTCCTCAGGGTCCAGTGGAGCCTCTCAGGTGGGGCTGGAGTGGATGCTATGTCCTTCCTTACATTATCCTCGTCTTCTCTGTCTCTCTTCCATATTCTTAACGTAAGATGACTGTCTTCTCATGGGATCCCTGTGTCCCTATGTCAATGAGCTCATCCATATGACACTGGGTGAGGGAATACCTCTGGCTCCACATCCAGCCCCATGTCAGTTTAGGCTCCACAAGGACCATCCAGCTACAACTGCATAATAATTATCAGTTGATGAGTAGTGTAAAAGTGAGCAGTGGTTCATGAACAGTGGCATGCTCTTTGCTTGAAGGGAACTCATTCATTTATTAACATTCAGCCTCAAATTCCCAGCATTTTCATAGGTTGTTCTTGATAAATACCCTGGCACATTTAGAAACTGTAAACACCTAGATAAAAGGAAGAGGAAAATAAATATCTGGGAACTTTTAACAGAGCATGAGAGACATGTTTAAGGAGTGACAGGGTGGAGTCTGGGTGGAAGACACACCCTGGGAAGGACTGACAAAGGAAGGTGAGCTGTCAGGCAACCTCACAGTATCAGGAGAATTAACACTGCAAGTCGAAAACAGGTCCACGCACCTCAGGTGTTGAGCACACATGGGTCTAAAAATCTTTTGTCTCATGATTTTTAACTCTACAGCAAAGTTTATTAGAAGATTTTCTTCAATTTCGTAGTGAAAATTAAAAGTTGGGTTTTCTTTACAATAGTCATCTTTTGTACCAGCTCTGCTCTAATACATCTCTGTGGAAGTACAGGGTTATTTATACATTGGCTTCTTACTTTCTTTAATTATGAAATTCACCTGTTTGCTTAAGAACAGGAGAGAACTGTGATGAAACTAAAGGGAATAAGGAAGTAGGTGCTGGAAAGAGTGAATGTAGTTTGCCTATTTCCAAGAATGATATTATATACCTATGTATAGCTCTCTGTCGTTTCAATCTCTATCTATAATCATAAACAGTAAAGGCATTGACTTGTCAGAACAGATATCTCTGTAGGTACAAATCATTAACCTTTTATTTGCTAGATTATGGGGTTGCTGGAAAGGAAGAGGACTCTTAAAGGAAAGTTGAAGAAATATTTCAACTTTTTAACAACTGGTACAACCATTTTAGTGAATACTAGGTTAGCACTAGCTCTGACTTTTCCTTTAATTAGCTTTGGTTTGTTTATTTTGATTTTGGAAGGAGCTGGGGGCAGGAGATGAAAATGATGACAGGTTTTGTTTTTTCTCTACACTAGAAATATGGGTAAGGATGGAAATTTAGAGAGACCCTGGACTGGGTGAATATGCCAGAGCCAAGGAAACTTTTGCAAGGCAAATGGCATTGCTATTGGAGGTATCCTGATTTTAAAAGTTGTTTGCAAGGGTGATTTATTTGCAAAAAGGTACTTCAGGAAAGGTTTTTAAAAAGTCTTTGCTGTTGTAGGCCACCCTAACAGTGTAAAATTTCCTAGGATTAGGTATGATTTCCAGACTTACTGTTTAGTTATTAAAAGACTCACTGGTCTTTTTAAGAGGGTCAATGGAATTAAAAAAAATATGGGTAAGGCCTTTTTACACTCTATTTACTTCAAACAGACCAGATATGCCAAGAAAATGTTCACGAGTCTGTATCTTACAAGACAGACAGATTTGAGCTGGCTGGACCTGTAATGTTTATCATTTTGCTGTTTTTATGTTGCTGCTCCTCATGGTGGGCTCCTATCATACTTTTTTTTAGAGTAGTAACACAAAGCTATTTTTCATTTGTAAACTTCAATTAAATCTGAGAGATTCAAAAGTATAATGATATTTCTTTTTACAGAATTGTACTGTGAGTCCTAGTCCCCAGCAATCCCATAACCTAGCATATATAAACTTTTGGTTAGAAATAGAACAGAAGTATTATTTATGGTCCAATTAAGGTAAGAGACATTCTATTCCTTTTGCTGTAGTACACAGTGAGGCCCAGCCTATGAAGAATGGTTCAAGTAATAAGATTTTCTTTTGTGGGCCATCTACCCTCTTAGCATCCAATCTACATTCATACTTTCCCCCCCAAATCATCATTTCTGTCAAAAGTTAGCTTTCCCCATTTAAATTCAACCAAGTGAGTGCCCCGTACTTGGAATCCCTTAAGTTTGTACCATATCAAATTGTGATTATAGATTACTCAGTAGACTTTATTTTTAAGAAATGAATCTTCCTATAGAACTTCATTTATTTATTCATTGATTCATTCAACAAGTATTTCCTGGGCGTCTGTTATTTACACTATGTCTCTTATATAGGGGGGTTGAATACTTATTGGATGAATGAATTAATAAATATCATGTTGTTTGTTGGTGCTGAGCATCCAGCAATAACTAGCTTACTGATCTCGTGGGGGTTACAATTTAGTGGGCAAAGAAGATAGATATTAAAAACTATATATGTAATGTAATTAATATTTATATTACCTATTTGATTATAACTAATTATTTAGTTATTACTGGAGGAGCTACCAAGGAAAAGCATATGGCGTGCTGAGAATGTTGGAGAGGAGGCCCTAACCTAGTATAGGGAGTGAGGACTGGTACCTGTGAGGAAGTGTCATTTTAAGATGAGACCTGAAGATGAGTAGACATCAAACTGATAAAATTTCAGTGGGGAGGATTTACAGCTCTTCAAACATTGTGAAATCTTTACATCTCCTGAGTTCACCACATTGCCTTGCACTACATAGGCACTCAATAATGAGAATAAATAAATCTAAAATTTAACTTAATTTATTAATTGAAATAGTTTTCTGTTTCATGGGGTTAGGCATGGGGTCAGGTGGGTGCCAAGGAAGTGGTGTCAGGGGAGGGAAGAATTTCCTACAGCATCCTCTGCAAATATCACTGGCTGTCTTCAGAGTCCTCCCTCACTATTGCCTAATTTTCCCTCAGCAGGTATCCAGAGCTGCCTCTTCAGTCAAACTGAGTCCATTGGCACAAACTTCCTCAATTTCCTATGTCCACTCTGCAAACTTCCTTTCTCTGCCCTCAGCCTCCTCTGATCTTATCACTAATCCTGGAAGACAAGGCATCTCTTCTCCCCAGACTGATTTTCCCACCTATGCACTTGATCCAATCCTCTTGGCCCTTTTCAGGACTGTGTTCAAACTGTTGAATCTAAAGAAATCCTCTCTTTTGCTTATGTCCTTGGTGGAATTTGGCTCTGTTGGCCATGTTTTATTCCAGCCTTGGAGTGTCTTTTTGTGATGACACAGATCCTTGGTCCTCCTTCAGCTGGTGAATATTCTGTTCTTCTCAGTCACTTTTCTTGGCTTCTCTTCCCACACTTGCCCCTAAAATGTTGGGAGATGACCAGGCTGTATCCTCTGCCTTATTTTCTCCATGCTTCCCGAGAGATCTTACTTATTCTTCTGGTTCAGACTGCCACTGATAAGCATCTGGCACCCAAATCCATAGCTCCAGTCCAGGCTTCATTCCTAGTCTCCAAAATGATTTATTTAACTGCCTTCAGTTTATCCTGACTTGTATTTTGTACAGTTGCTTCAAATTTGTTATGTCCAAAATGGAGCTCATTTTTCCCCCCACAAACCAAACATGTTCTTCCTATTGTATTGTCTCCCTTGGTATAAAACACTGCCTTATGCAACTGGAAAACTGACAGTCTTCTGTGACTCTGCCTTTCTCTTTTTTTCCCCAAAACCTAATTTAAGAACAAGTCAAAATCTCTCCTTTATACCCCTCCTATTCATCTCTTCTGCTGCTGATTTACTTTAGGCTTTCCTAATTTCATACCTGGATTATTGCAGCAGCTTCTGAGACCTCTTCCTTTAATCTTGCAGGTCTCCAATCCATTCTCCTTGCTGCTGTTAGAGTGTTCTTTCCTAGATAGAAATCCAGTCATGTCTCTATTACTTTAACCTCTTCCCTGAGTCTTCACAGCTAAGAATAAATTCCAGGCTCTTTAGATGGCTTTTAAGGTGCTTCATATCTGGACCTTGCCCACTTCTCTGGTTTTACCTTTTTTTTAAAAATGTCCCAACATATGCTGTAGTTCCTCATATCATTTTACACCTCCATGTTCTGCACCTGTGTTTTCCTTCATCTGAAAAGCTGGTTTCTCTTTACCATGTAAAGAATTGGGCCCTCCTTAGTATTTGGTGCAAGGACCAAGCATTTCTCAGATGGAGGTATACATGGACGTCTGTATGTGTGAGATTGATATCATTCACTCATATACACCCAGGACATAAATCACCCAACGAATTTAAGGGTTGGGGAGGGAAATGTACACATTATAATACTTTTTAGTGTCTTTGGTTATGTGTATATCACCCTTGAATTATCAGGAACAGCAACACAAGAGTCCTAACACTTTGGTTAGGAATGCTTTCACTAGGAGGTCCACAGTAAAAACTGATGGTCGAGCAATTGCCTGACATCAGGCTTTCGTAGCTCAATGATTCCAGGGTGGGAGTGGGCTGATAGCTGGGAGAGTGCTATGCATAAAGCTGTGAGACAGGCCCCAAAGAAGAGTAAATTAAAAATAGAAGGCCTTGGGTCTGCTGTTGATTTCCTCATTCAACATCTTAGAATATTGGTTGAGTGCAGTGCCACCTAGCCATCGGGTATCAAATACCTATGGTAGCAAGGCAACGAGTAGAAGTTGGATCTTCCTGGCTAGTCTGTTCTGTGTCTCTTATTTTGGCAAAGTGAATCTACAGGTAAAAGGGCAAGTTTATTATCTTAAAGCTATTCCTTGTTATTTCTCTTCGTGAAGATGAACGAAAAAGTGGCATGAAAAGAAAACAGATACATCTTCAAGTCTGAGGACACGCGGGCTCCTGGGAAAAAGTCTGTTTCATGACTGTGAGAATGACTGCTGAACCTCAAGAAAGCCCTAGAAGTATACTTGGTGTTTTTTTCTAGTTGATAGAGTGAAAGGCAGTTGGGATAGAGATGAAAGCCGTGTTAAATAGAATAGAAGGCTTGACTCTTTCTAAGTATGTAGTGCAATTTGCTAACAAAACCACTTATTTATTTTAGTAAAACCATAGGTTTAGCCAGACTTTGGTTTTATAGGTTTAACATAATTTCAGCATCATTTATTATAATCTAGCTCTTAAGGTTTTTGACCTTAAGAATCTTGAGAAGAAATAAAGTAGAAAATATATTGGACATATAAAAAGTGGAGATGAAATTTTCAGTGGAAATGTAACAATAAAGAGTAAGTTGGAGGCAGATTTCAACTTTGTTCTCAAATTAATTTTAGTCTGAGAGACTTTTTAGAGTAACAAACCTATTTTCTTGGCTGTGTAAAATGTCAAACTCTAGGCAGGCAGTCAAACTCCCTAATCCTGTTGGGTTTCCTCCCTTAAATAGAAAAGAATAAGCCAGGGGACTTGGTAGGCTGCTCTGGAGAATAATTTTAAATTAGTGTGACTTTGAAGTAGAGCTCCTGTTGATCCCACTAAATCTCTACTAGAGGAGAATAGCCACTACCTAATTGCTGAGGTTTACAGTGTTACACAGCAAAAACACCATTTGTTAGAATGACTTGAGAAAAATCTGCTCTTGCCATCAATGCTCTTTTTTGGCAGCTCAATACTTAGATCCCTTGCATCAGGGCTCTAACCTGCCCTGTTGTAGAGGTTCCGTTTACTCCATCCAGATGGAGAATCTTGCTTGTCAAAGGAATCTCAGGTCCACCTAGCTTCTCTCTCAGCAATCCATTTATAGGTCTAGAAAAGCCAACTATTTCCTCATCTCTGTGCTGAAGCAATATAGGGTTTTTGAACTCTATATTGCAGACATGAAACCACATTAAATTGATTCTATAGTGTTTTTTTGTTGAAGGATTTTTTTAAAAATTATTCTTTGAGTTCTGGGATACATGTACAGAATGTGCAGGTTTGTTACATAGCTTACACGTGCCATGGTTGTTTGCTGCACCTGTCGACCCATCATCTACATTAAGTATTTCTCTTAATGCCATCCCTCCTCTAGCCCCCAACCCTCTGATAGGCCCCATTGTGTGATGTTCCCCTCCCTGTGTCTGTGTATTCTCATTGTTCAACTCTCACTTATGAGTGAGAACATGTGGTGTTTGGTTTTCTGTTCCTGTGTTAATTTGCTGAGAATGATGGTTTCCAGCTTCATCCATGTCCCTGCAAAGGACATGAACTCATCCTTTTTCATGGCTGCATAGTATTACATGGTGTATATGTGCCACATTTTCTTTTCTTTCTTTTTCTTTTTTTTAACATTGCTTTAAGTTTTAATGTTTATTTCCCCAAGACAGCCTAGCCTGCACTTTACTTGGATACATTTTACAAGCTAGTTTTCTGCTGCTTCTAGTTTTAAACTTTAACCATTATTCTGATGACAAGGAATGTTGCAAAAATACTCTAGTTCAACAAAGAGTTATGATCACAAAATAATTTTTATCTATTCTACAGTGTTTCAGAATTACCAGTTGATTTTTAAACACAAAGTAGATATAGATGCTAATGGTGGCTAATCTGGTATGTTTCTTATAGCAAACTGTTGTTCATGCAACACTTGTGCTCAAAGGGGAAGGCACAGGATTTCTTACAATGAGCCACCTAGTTCTTTTTGTACAAATTAATTTATGTCACATTTAATTTAGTGTGCATAACATCAAAACTGAGGTATTATTCTGATTTATAAAAACCACTTGCATAACTTTTATGCAAGTTTTAAAAATACAAAGTTTTCTCCCTAAAGGGGCTCAAAATAGATTGTTCATGGTTGCCTACATCTAAGATAAAAAGATTCTGAAACAATGGAACAGATTAGGCATATTATTAAAGGTGTTCAAACCATTACTTGATTTGTACATCTACTCAAACCTCTTCATTGGTCTTTATTCAGCAGTACATATACACCAAATTCCATTTTAGAAGTTTCCATGTCATTTTCATAGAAAAGAAAGTTTGAAAACAAGTAACATTTAAACACAGCATGGTATTCTACCACAGCTGAAACTTTTTTTTCTTCTTCTTTACAGGACTCAACAAAACCTAAAAATGAACTATGCTATAGATTTACCTCATGCAAACATCTTTATGATATCTCTGAAAATGAAAAAGATGGCCTTTTAAGCACATTTTACTGTTTTTTACTATTATGGCAACTTGTGTACTGCAACACAGTCTACTTTGAGGGAAATTTATGATTTTTTTATGCAAAAATCTACACAAATTAGTTTTGATGCTATGGAAAGTTTTTCATAGCATCAAACATTCATCTGGTGCAAATGCACAGGGAATCCTTCCTGTAAAGTTTCCTGACTTGAGAAGCAACTAAAAAAAGGCACACTAGGTAAATAAAAACTAAAAAAAAAAAAAGGAGTTGGGTAGGGGGAAGGAGGTGGGAAAGGGGGAAATAGAAAACACAAGCTGTAGAGTAAACCAATGTCTGCTGCTAAACCAGTCTTTGTTTTCATGTCCAGTGTACATTAGCACTTATTATCTCATTTTGATGATTTACTAGGTTTGTTATCAGCCCCTGAAGGTGAATCAAGCTTACATGAGTTCACATACAGCACCACAACCACACTCTCATATAGAGTCACTCCAGTACTAGGAGTCTGCTTCATAAGTGACGAGCCCTAGATTTTAAAGACGAACCTGGCTCTCCATCACTGACCCAGACATTCATTCAACATTGTCCATTCACACATTGCTTCATAACAAGGCCTTGGCCTATTTTCCTTTGACTTATACAGGCAGCCTATTCTCTTTTATGCTTACAAGGTTGAAGATCACAGTACTGCACTTTCCCCTCAATTGATATAAAGCAAGTCAGTGTTCTTTCTCAGGCACTGATGATCTGTGACCTGTAGCCCTTTTTACTTTGAACAACGTAAATAAGCATTCATGTGAAGTTTCCATTACATTTTGCCACTCATTCTCACTTGCACCCATTCTCCATCTTGACCTCATTTGGGCATTTTCTGTGATTTCAAATGAAATCTTCACATTTTATTTCCCTATTTATATTTAATGCAGCAGCAGATCCCACGAGCCAAGCTTGATGGATCAAAACTTTGTATATATACACACATGTATACACATATACATACATGTATATATCATACAGGCCCCAGTGTATGATGTTCCCCACCCTGTGTCCAAGTGTTCTCATTGTTCAATCCCCACCTATGAGGGAGAACACGCAGTGTTTGGTTTTCTGTCTTTGTGATAGTTTGCTGAGAATTATGGTTTCCAGCTTCATGAACTCATCCTTTTTTATGGCTGCATAGTATTCCATGGTGTGTGTGTGTGTGTGTGTGTATATATATATATGTATATGTGTGTATATATATAGATGCATATATGTATATATATGTGTATACATGTGTGTATATATATCTCAGTGCTGCATTGTACCTAACTTCCATGACGTCTTTCTAAAACTAGAACTCTTCTGTTGGTACATTGGCAGATGAATTGAAACCAAATGTTCCGCCTTGAATTGCCTCTGGAACAAGGCTAGGGTCTTCATCAATTATCATCTGAACAGACGAACTGATCAATGATCTCATAGGCCAATTTGTAGATGTCTTCATTTTCATGATTTTGAAGTTGTTTAATTTTCTCCAGCCCTCCATCTTCTTCTATAAGATTGCCTGGCTGGGGCACGGCGGCTCAAGCCTGTAATCCTAGCACTTTGGGAGGCCGAGCCAGGCGGATCACGAGGTCAGGAGATCGAGACCATCCTGGCCAATGTGGTGAAACCCCGTCTCTTCTAAAAATACAAAAATTAGCTGGGCATGGTGGCATGTGCCTGTAATCCCAGCTACTTAGGAGGCTGAGACAGGAGAATTGCTTGAACCAGGGAGTCAGAGATTGCAGTGAGCCAAGATCGCATAATGGCACTCCAGCTTGGAGACAGAGTGAGATTCCGTCTGAAAAAAAAAAAAAAAAAAGATTGTCCATGGTTTATGCCTTATCTTTGGCCATTTTTAGTATATTACTTAGTCCATTGAGTACTGCCTGCACAACTTGTGCATCTTTTTTTTTTTTTGCCTCTGCATTTTTTTTTAAAATTATACTTTAAGTTCTAGGGTACAAGTGCACAATGTGCAGGTTTGATACATAGGTATACATGTGCCATGTTGGTTTGCTGCACCCATCAACTTGTCATTTACATTAGGTATTTCTCCTAATGCTATCCTTCCCCCAGCCACCGACCCCTCAACAGGCCCCGGTGTATGATGTTCCCCACCCTGTGTCCAAGTGTTCTCGTTGTTCAATTCCCACCTATGAGTGAGAACATGTGGTGTTTGGTTTTCTGTCTTTGTGATAGTTTGCTGAGAATTATGGTTTCCACCTTCATGAACTCATCCTTTTTTATGGCTGCATAGTATTCCATGGTGTATATGTGCCACATTTTCTTAATCCAGTCTATCATTGATGGACATTTGGGTTGGTTCCAAGTCTTTGCTATTGTGAATAGTGCTGCAATAAACACACATGTGCATGTGTCTTTATAGTAGCATGATTTATAATACTTTGGGTATATACCCAGTAATGGGATTGCTGGGTCAAATGGTATTTCTAGTTCTAGATCCTTGAGGAATCACCACACTGTTTTCCACAATGGTTGAACTAATTTACAGTCCCACCAACAGTGTAAAAGTGTTCCTATTTCTCCACATCCTCTCCAGCACCTGTTGTTTCCTGACTTTTTAATGATCGCCATTCTAATTGGTGTGAGATGGTATCTCATTGTGGTTCTGATTTGCATTTCTCTGATGACCAGTGATCATGATCATTTTTTCATGTGTCTTTTGGCTGCATAAATGTCTTCTTTTGAGGAGTGTCTGTTCATATCCTTTGCCCACTTTTTGATGGGGTTGTTTGTTTTTTTCTTGTAAATTTGTTTGAGTTCTTTGCAGATTCTGGAATGTTAGCCCTTTGTCAGATAGGTAGATGGCAAAAATTTTCCCCCATTCTGTAGGTTGCCTGTTCACTCTGATGATAGTTTCTTTTGCTGTGCAGGAGCTCTTTAGTTTAATTAGATCCCATTTGTCAATTTTGGCTTTTGTTGCCATAGCTTTTGGTATTTTAGTCATGAAGTCCTTGCCCATGCCTATGTCCTGAGCCTAAGTTTTCTTCTAGGGTTTTTATGGTTTTAGGTCTAACATTTAAGTCTTTAATCCATCTTGAATTAATTTTTGTATAAGGTGTGACCTCTGAACTTTTTATTGGCCTTCTGTTCCCCAAAGGGTACCCTGCTTCTGCTGGCTTAATGTCTCAGAACTTTGGTGTCATTGCTCGTTTTCAGACACCACTTTGCCATCCACTATCTGGCAGGTGGTGGTCTTTTGGATGGTTTGCATGGAGTTACTGCTGTCCAGGGCATCACCAAGATTGAAGTCCTCACCATCTTCCAGCAGGCGGTGGTAGGTGGTGATCTCAGCCTCCAGCTTGACCTTGATGTTCTGCAGGGCCTCATACTCCTGGGCCTGGCCCTGTCCTTCTGCCTGGGTCTGTGCCAGCTCTGACTCCAGGTGCGGCCGGATCCTGTTGAGCTGCTCCATCTGCAGGGTGTAGCGGGCCTCCATCTCCCTCAGGCTGTTCTCCAAGATGGCCTTCAGATTTCTCATGGAGTCCAGTCAATCTCCAAGGACTGTACTGTATGTCTCAGCTCCATAAGCATATCTCAGCAGCTCCAACCTCGGCAAGCTGCGTGGTGACCACTGTGGTGCTCTTCTGAATCTGCTGAGACCAGTACTTGTCCAGCTCCTCTCGGTTCTTCCGAGCCAGCTTGCCATATTGGGCCCAGTTTTCTGCCATGATCTTGGCGAGGTCCTGAGATTTGGGGGCATCTACCTCCACAGTCAACCCAGAGCTGGCAATCTGGGCTTGTACGCCTTTTACTTCCTCTTCATGGTTCTTCTTCATGAAGAGCAGCTCCTCCTTGAGGCCTCAATCTCTATCTCCAGCTGCAGCTGAGTGACATTGGTGTAATCAATGACCTTGCGGAGCTCACGGATGTCGCTCTCCACAGACTGGCACATGGCCAGCTCTGTCTCATACTTGACTCTCAAGTCATCAGCAGCAAGACGGGCATTGTCGATCTGTAGAACGATGTGGGCATTGTCCACAGTATTTGTGAAGATGAGCCCTCAGATCTTCCTCAATGGTCTTGAAGTAATGGCTCCAGTCTCTGACCTGGGGTCTCTCTTCTCCAGGTGCTCCCAGATATTGCTCTCCGGCTACCAATTCTCGGTCTCCAGGTTCCTCACTCTGTCCAGGTAGGAGGCCAGGAGGTCGTTCAGGCTTTGCATGGTCTCCTTCTCATTCTGGATGCCTCCCATTCCTGCCAGACCCCCGGCCATCCCTGTGGACAGGCCTCTGGACCCCATGCCACCCTGTAAGCTGGTGGAGTGGGACAGGGAGATCTGGGAACCAGAGCCCCCAGCACCTGCATAGATGCTGGCCACGCGCTGACTGTCCAGGCGCCCCAGGGACTGGTAGTTGGTGGAGAAGGTGGAGCAGGTGGAGAAGGTGGAGCAAGTGTTGAAGCTCATGCTGTCTGGGGAGGAGAGTGAGAGGACAGGACTCAGGCTTTGCGGACGACCACTTGTGCATCTTTTACAGTCAGCAAGTTGCAAAAAGGTGGGATAACATTCTGCTGGATAAGGTAAGCCACTTGATCTTTCCTTCCACTAACTTTTAAGTTACTTATGGCCCAAGCAGCTTCTTTCTGAGTGCCAAAATCCCCTTATCCAAAAGATGTATTGTCACTGGTACAAGATTGGCATCAATTACTGCCTGTACCTGCTGCTGACTTCCTGCAGTGATATTAGAGAGGAACCACACTGCTTCTTTATTGATTTTCTCTTTGGGATGTGTCAGGAGTGCTGGGAAGTGTAAAAGGGCATCACAGTTCAACACTACTTGTGTTTGCTCATCAGTTCCCATAATAATGTTGCCCACAGCTCGAAGTGCAGCAGTCTGAACTTTAACTTCGTGGTGGCTGAGGAAGCCAAATGAGGAAATATTCCAGAGTCTGTTACCATCTGTATTTGATAATTGCCAGCATCAGTAAGGTAAGAGAGGATCAAGACTGTATCTACCAATATATTTACGTCTATGTGATGAATTAAAACACAAAGGGCTGGAAGAATCTCCTGAATGGTTTCCATTGGTGGTGGTGGGTCTTTGTGGCGACATAAGTTGACCATAACCCAAGTAACATTTCTTAAGAATGTTGCATGTTCTCACTCATAGGTGGGAATTGAACAATGAGAACACTTGGACACAGGAAGGGGAACATCACACACTGGGGCCTGTCGTGGGGTGGGGGTGGGGGGAGGGATAGCATTAGGAGATATACCTAATGTAAATGATGAGTTAATGGGTGCAGCACACCAACATGGCACATGTATACATATGTAACAAACCTGCATGTTGTGCACATGTAGCCTAGAACTTAAAGTATATATATAAAAGAATGTTATAGGAATAGTTGGACTTATGAAGGAAAGTAAAGGTTTCACAACTCCCAGACTTATGACATAATCTCTACACTGGGGCCCATCACCTATGCTATTTCCCAATGCCCACACTGCTTGCTCACAGACATTCTGATGGGGTGAATGGAGAAGCCTCAGGAAAAGTGGCACAGCATTGGACTGGACTGAGCTACTGCTTGAGTTTGTTCAGAAGTTCCAAATGCAATATTTGTCAAAGCCCATGCAGCTTCAAACTGTAAACAAGGATTGTCATCTCTTTCAAGACAATGGACTAAAATGGCCAATATTCCAGATTTTATTAAGTCATCAATTGGTGGATTTCGATCACTGGATAAAAGCTTCCTGGCAGCTTGAACTGCACTTAATTAAATTCGTTGATTATCACTTGAAACATTTTGAACAATAGCTTCTAGAGAGTTACTTTGCACTCTATAATCACCATCAATATCAGACTCTTCACAGATATCTTCATGTGGTACATTCCTTCTCTTTAAGAGATGTTCATCTCTTTTATTCTTCCTTAATTTAACTCCAAGCTCCGCGGGATCCGCACCAACTACCGTGCCGCACTGACATTCCCAGGAACCTGGCGCCGCCTGAGCTGCTGTGTCTGCTGTGTCCGCTGTGTCCGCTCCACCACCGCTTCCTTCTTCCACCGCTGCTTCCTTCTTCCTCCGCCGCATCCTTCTTCCTCCGCCGCATCCTTCTTCCTCCTCCCCCGCTTCCTTCTTCCTCTGTCGCGGCCTTCTCCTCTCCCCGCCCCACCCCCAAACCTCAACAGCTGAGTTGGGGAGGCAGCGTCGATCTTGCCACATTTTCTTTATCCAGTCTATCATCGATGGGCATTTGTGTGGTTCCAAGTCTTTGCTATTGTGAATAGTGCTGCAATAAACATACGTGTGCATGTGTCTTTATAGTAGAATGATTTATAATCCTTTGGGTATATACCCAGTAATGGGATTGCTGGGTCAAATGGTATTTCTGGTTCTAGATCCTTAAGGAATTGCCACACTGTCTTCCACAATGGCTGAATTAATTTACACTCCCACCAACAGTGTAAAAGCATTCCTATTTCTCCACATCCTCTCCAGCATCTGTTGTTTCCTGACTTTTTAATGATCGCCATTCTAACTGGCATGAGATGGTATCTCATTGTGATTTTGATTTGCATTTCTCTAATGACAAGTGATGATTAGCTTTTTTTCATATGTTTATTGGCCACATAAATGCCTTCTTTTCAGAAGCGTCTGTTCATATCCTTCACCCACTTGATTCTATAGTTTTTAATCTCCCTCCGGTGTCCAGTACGGCTTGCCTTCAGTTTGAGACGCAGAAGTCAGCACCTGAGGAGGCCTCTGGGCTTGCAGTGCTGGGTTTGCACTCAGATCATCCGGGCCTGATGACTGTATTCCCCTCAGGCTCGCTACAGACTGATGTGTACATCACAGGTGAATTGGTTGGTTTTCAGTGAGAAATATGCCTGGGAGAGGCTGGACACTTGAAAGTTGGCAAGTGCTTTCACTCCCTTAAAGTTGCTTGGCAGGTATGGAAGCACATACTCGAGATACAGAATCATAAAGAATTTTGTTTTGTTTGGAGGGTTTTTCTTCAGTCCTCAGACTTCCTTTTTTTTTAAAATTTAAATATTTCAGTTATTTTCCTCCTTGACAGAACTGAACAAACCTCGACAAATTCTTAACATTTAATTAAAGAGTTAGTTCACATATGTTTTCTTCAGGTATGCTGATGCCACTAACAAGTTTAAAGATTTTGTTAACGTTTCATCAAGACTAAATAATTTTTTCCAGTGCTCTTCCTTTGGTTTTTGGGGTGGAGATACAAGCCTTCTGCAGATTGCTGAGGTCGTTTGCCATGTGTTGCTTTCAACCCGTTTAACTTTTGGAATTCAGGGTTTTCTATCTCCCCATGTATTAACCATAGCCTGTCTTTGCAATAGTAATTACAGTGAATGATAGTATATTTTGTTTTGAAAATTTCACATCACAACCAGCAACAATAAGATACAAAAAACAGGCCAGAAAATATCTGCCTTAGAATAATTGTAAAATGATTTAAAAACTTTTTATTCAGGAACTCAAATGGGATATTGAAACCTGTTAAAAGATATAATGGAAACAATATTGCACTTATAATGGCAAAATATGCAAAGTGTCAAAACACAGTTAAGAAAAACTATAAAACATCCAGAAAAACACAAAAGTGGACTTCATCAAATGGGAATGCATATCAAGCTTTTGGATAGAAAGACTAAACATCACAAAGTTGTCAATTATAAGTTAATCTATAAATGTAATATTATTCCAATAAAAGTATCATAAGGTTGTGTAAAAAGGAACAAAGAAGGAAGAATATACAGGAAAACTCTGAAAAAGAAGAACAATGAGAAGGATAAATTCTTTCAGATATTATTTAAAACTTAGTTAAAATATACAAAACATATTATAAAGTTGCCATAATTAAAGTAGTGTAGTGTTTGCTCACAGAGAATGAGACAGAATAAAGCTCACTGCAAATGGGTATGGAGAATATGATACAAGCAGCATCTGAGTTCAGTAGGGGAAAAGATAGAATTTTGTTTATTTTGTTAATTTGAAATAATTTCAAACTTACCAAAAAAAAACTTGCAAGAGTAGTATAAAGAACCCTCAAATAATCTTTGGCAACATTTGCCAATTTTAAACATTTTGTCATATTTATTTTATCTCGCTGTCTCTTTCTTTACACACACACACACACACACACACACCCCCACACATATTTTATGTATTTTTGGAATCATTTGAGAATAGTTGTATACATCATGCTCCTTTACCTGCTAATATGTCAGTGTATATTTCCTAAGAGCAAGAATATTCTCATATATATTCACAGTAGAGTGAATTATCAGTTTTGGGACATTCAATATCAACAAAGCACTTTAATATACAACCCATATTCCAGTTCTGCCAATTCTCCCAATAATGTCCTTTACAGCATTTCCCCCCGCTCCCGCAAGTACAATATGGAAACTGGAACCATATATTGCTTTCAGTTGTCATATCTCTTTAGTTGCCTTTCTTTGTCTTTTTCCATTGCTGTATTGCTATATTTTGGAAAATACAGGCCAGATGGCACATCCAGACGGTGGAATGTTATTCAACACTAAAAAATGAGCTATCAAGCTGTGAAAAGACATGGGGGAAACTGAAATGCATATTACTAAGTGAAAGAAGCCAATTTGAATAGGGTACATACTGTATGATTCCAAGTATATGACATTCTAGAAAATCAAAACTATGGAGACAATAAAAAGATCAGTTGTTGCCATGGATTGGGATGGGGGAGGGATAAATAGAGCACAAAGGATTTTTAGAGCAGTGGTACTACTTTGAATGATACTGCAATGATGAATACATGTCATTGTTCATTTGCTCAAGCTTATGGGATATAAAACACTGATAAGATTTGGCTCTGTGTCCACACCCAAATCTCATGTTGACTTGTAATTCCCCACGTGTCAGGGGAGGGACCTAGTGGGAAGTGATTGGATCATGGTGGGGCAGACTTCCCCCATGCTGTTCTGGTGATAGTGATAAAGTTCTCTTAAGATCTCATGGTTTCAAAGTGTGGCACATCCCCCCTCACTCTCTCTCTTTCTCTCCTGCTCCACCTTTGTAAATATGTATGTGCTTCCCTTTTGCCTTCCGCCATGATTGTAAGTTTTCTGAGGCCTCCCAGTCATGGTTCCTGTTAAGCCTGCAGAACTATGAGTGAATTAAACCTCTTTTCTTTACAAATTACCTAGTCTTAGGTAGCTATTTATAGCAGTGTAAGAATGGACTAATGCAAATGCCAAGAGTGAACTCTAATCTAAAAATATGGACTTTGGGTGGTAATGATGTGTCAATGTTGGTTCATCTATTCTAACCAATGTACCACTCTGAGGGAAGAGGGTCTGTTGATAATAGGGGAGGCTAGGCGTGTGTTGGGGCACAGGGTATAAAGAAAATCTCTATACCTCCCTCTCAATTTTGCTGTGAACATAAAATAGCTCTTAAAAATAAAGTTTTTTTAATATAAAAAATCCATGACAGTAATTTTAGAGATTGACCCTCAAGTTTTGGTTTCTATGATGTTTCCTCATGATTAGATTTAGTTTTTACTTTATTTTGGTGGGAGATGAAATCCAAAATAGACAAGTGTTAGGATAACAGGGTAGCCATGTGGAAAAAGTACACATCAGGATAAATTCTAAATATATTTGAGATTTACCATAAAAATGAAGCTATACAATTATCAGATAAAAAACATGGATGAATTTCTCTATAACTTGGGAATGAGAAAAAAAATTTTATGATTCAAAATACATAAGCAATATGAGTTGATAAACATGGAACAAAAAATTGTTTTTGTGCCCCTGTCCCCCAAATAAAGTAAAACAGCAAGCTGGCAAAATATTTGCAACTTCTAGCACAGATAAAGGATTAATATTCTATTATTTCAATGGCTTCTAAATACAAAAAAAGACCAACAATTCTACAGAAAAATAAATGACATATTGATAACTCACAGCAGTTTAAATAGCCTTTAGAAATGTGAAAAGATAGGTAGTCTTATTTATAATAAAAGAAATGTAAATTAAAACTATACTAAGATATAACTTCTCAGCTATCACATTGGCAATAATTCAAAAATTTTACTTTAAATTCTGTCAGTTTGTGGAGAAATAAGTACTCAGGCATTTTGAGTAGGAATGCAAACTATTGCAGACTTTTGACAATAGCTAGCAAAATTATGTATGTACTTATTTTTTGGCCAAGCAATTTCACCTCTAGAAATCTATCCTGAAGACAAAAATAAGCTCCCAAGTTAGGCACAAAACAATTTATTAATGTAATGTTTGTAACCAAAAGGTTAGAAACAACCTGTGTCCATAACAGAGGACTGGTTGAATAAATTTTGGTACAGTCACTCAGTGGAGTACTATGTAGTTATACAAATAAAAGAGGAGTGCTATACAACTATAAAAAGGTAAAGTAAGTGAATATGTTTATATACTTTCATGATCACTAGGATATATTGTTAATATATTTTTAAGTGAAAGAAGCAAAATTAGAAAAGTGATCAAAGAAAGGAATATATATATATAAATATAAATTCTGATATTGAATAGGATACTCAAAAATGAAAAAAGTCACTTAAATTATGTTTGAATCTGTAGATTTGACTTTGAAACTATGTACATATTTTATATAGTTATGAAATGAAGTAAAATTTAAAAATAAATCTATAAAATAGCAAATAAAAAGTAAAACCAATGAATCCAATTATCAAGTTGATGATATCACCACATGAAGGTCTATTCCAAGAGACTTTAAAACCCAATACTTTACAACATATCCCTAGTGGTATATACACTTAAAGACTATAAAGGTCTATACAAAATCTAGGCTATATATTGTTATCGTGTTCTTAATAATAGTATTGTTATTCTGAAACTCTTATGCACGTATATTATAGAACAAAGAGAATAATTATGTAAATGTTTATGGTTAACTAGTATTTTTTAGCATAAGAGAAAAGAGATATAAAATCAAAGAAGTTAAGTAAAAACCCTATTATTATAGATTTAAATAGAAAATATCAGTATTTAGCCTAGAAAACATTGTGTGACCGCCCACCTTTATTTAGAAAAAAAAAATTAGCCAAGTAGGGTGGTGCTGCTGTGGAGGCTGAGGCAGGAGGATCACTTGAGCCTGAGATGTTGAGGCTGCAGCAAGCCATGATAGCACCACTGCACTCCAACTTGGGTGACAGGGTGAGACCCTATCTCAAAAAAAAAAAAAAAAGGAAAAAGAAAAAATATCAGTAAAAATGTATGGTATATGTTTTTTAAAAAACATTTTCTAGGGGCTGGGCACAGTGGCTCATGACTGTAATCCTAGCACTTTGGGAAGCTGAGGCAGGAGGACTGCTTGAGCCCAGTGGGGTTCAAGGCCAGCCTGGGAAAACTGGAGAAATCTCACCTCTACAAAAAAAAAAAAAAAATAGTGGGATGTGGTGGTATGTATCTGTAGCTCTAGCTACTTGGGAGGCTGAGGCAGAAGGATTTCTTGAGGCCAGGAGATGGAGGCTGCAGTGAGCCTCATTCATGCCACTGCATCCCAGCTTGGGTGACACAGCAAGACTTTATCTCAAAAAGCATATTTTCTATATTTGTCTATCGAGAATCTCAAGAAAAAATGACCAATCCAGTAGCACGGAGCACCCTAGCCCCCACATTGTGGGTTCTGAATACCATTTCCCAGTGAAAAGAACTAGGTTTCTTTAAAGAACTATCTAACTCCAGGTCTGTAATAGAAAATGTACAAGATGAGCCTGAAACATATTATAGCATAAAGCAGGGATTAATTAAAGAATATGGGATCCTGAGAAAAGAACTCAAGAACCAACTTGAAGAGATTGTCATTGGTTAAAAATGGGACAATTTGAGCACCAATAAACAGTAAACTAATAACTGAAATAAATCAAATTATACAAAATGCTTTAAAATTCACGAGTTCATAATGATACTTAGAAATAAAAACAAAAAATCCTTTTGAGGATGCTAGGGAACTAACTCATTATTTTGAAAAGTGATAAAGGGAAATAATTGAGAATTTTATCGTCTTTTCTTTACAAGGCATACCTCAGGATAATCCAATAGCTGCTGATGAAACATATCTCTTTAAATAAGTATTCATAACAGACAAAGAAAGGATAGATGGAGAATATCACCATTTTGCAACCATTAATGAGACAATCCAGGATGATCTGCAATGGCTACTAACATCACAAAAAGAGAGACAACTAGATATAAAGTGCCACCTGATCCCTATGTTTAACCACTCATGAAGTATCTTGTCAGAAAGTCAGACCTGAATGTAATCAAGCCTCTATACATAACAAATAGTTTTCAGGAAAAAACAGGGGAGGAGGGACATGTTAAATGACACCATGAGGATACAGCCAGCAAAATGCAGTGTGTGAACAATTATTCAGGAAAAAAGCCTGGTTTCTTCAATGACAAATTGTATGTGTGGGGGGTGGGTGGGTGGAGACAGGGGAAGAAAGAACACTATAGATTGAGATATGAGATATGTCAATTGCAATACATGGATCTTGATTTGAACAAACAATGAAAACTATTATGAGACAATCAGGGAAGTCTGATTACTGACTGGATATTTGTTGGTGTTACAGAATTATTTTTCAGTTTTTATATATGTTAATGGCCATATTAAAAAAGAGCCCTTATCCTTCAAAGATACAGATGGAAATATTTACAGATTGAAATATTTACAGATAAGATTATGTGATGTCTGAGATTTGCCTTAAGGAATCCAGTATTGGCAGAGGGGAGCGTGCAAGGTTAGAGATGAAATGTGTTTGGCCATTATTTGATAATTGTTGAAGCTAGGTAATAAATGAAAAGTTCATTGTATTAGTCTCCCTATTTTTGCTCATGTTTGGCATTTTCTATTAAAAAAGGGGAATACTGAGAGATAAGATTTTCTTTCACTCTAGTTAAACCATGGAATAAACTGACCTTTTAAAAAATTATTAAATGGGAAGCTTAACTAATATTTTGGAATTTTCAAAGTACAATGAAGAGGGCAGGTGTATCCCTAGAAACTACAGCATAGGTCTTCTTGGAGGTGTCACATGTTCTTGATGACTTCTAGTTCATTTTTGCTAAAATGTGTTCCCTCTAGGACACTGAGAGGAGTGCTTGTGATTTCAGATCTGAGGTCAGCTCTTGCAACTGTTTCCCAGAGGGCTGCACCAACAGAGTGTGCAGAGTTGAGGGGTTCTGCTGTGCGTTGTCTGTTAACTCAGAGTGTGAAGGGTGTGCAGCTCTCTCTCATTCCTTTCCAGAAGTATTTATGACTCCCTAGGTGCAGAATGGGGGTCAAGTGGATCTCTTATCAGGAGCCATGCTGAGACCTCCATCTCATTTTGCTCAGTGAGACTGTCAACTGGAATTGTTTTCCTGACGAGAAAAGTGTATTTCCTTTTACTATTGCTAGAGCCAGTTGTTCCCACCAATGGTATTTTAATTGCATACCAAGCAACTGTCTACATATTTTGTTGCCCAACATGTCTAAATTTGTCACAAAATGATTCCAATGTATTTTCTTTTAGAGCAACGGAATAGAGTATTTTGGAAGAGGATGTGTTGTACAGATAAATATCAGGGTGAGGTCCCTAACTGTCTGGAACTGATACAAAGAGTAACTTATTTTGACATCAAAAATTGAATGTCTTGAAATGGTACAGTCTCTTCTTTCACACATTTGGAGGCCATATTAAGACTACAGGATGTATAAATCATTGCTATGGTACAGTTGAGAAAATTTGTCAACTTTAGACTATTTCTGTTTTGATGATATAGTCTAGAAATAAAACTGGGTATGTTTGTCTTACCCCATTTTATTACCTATTCCCATGGGTATCTGAGGGCATATTCCCACAAATAGAGGTTCTCAAAATGTCCTCTGGACCTGACTTAACTTGAGAAATAAGGCTCAAAGCTATTGGATTATCATTGGGGTTGGGGCCAGGGAGCTAGTTCAGAACCAGCATCCAGATCTTTTCCATTCTTGCCCTGGTTAAATATGTTGATGTTGGCCTGTGCTTGCCAGTTGCTCTTTCACACATTCAGAGCTTTTTAACCCTCAGCAAATATGTCCAGAAGGTGCAATTAATGTCAAATGCAGGACAATGGCCTGACCCAAGTGTGTGAGTGGTGATGTGGCAACACCTAGTGTCTTGATTTGGGGTCAGAGTTGAGCCCTGATGAAGTGTCTGGAATTCCATTCTGAGCCCATGTAATTTCTGGATTTTGTGTCTTAAATGCATCATTTTATCTTGGAGAAGGAATATGTAGAAATAAATCTTCATTTATTTTTAAACATTGTGTTATCGAGATGGGACAAACATATCATCAAAATGATTCAAAAATTTGATTAAAAAACTAAAAACAACAATTTTGTAGTCAAAAGTAATTAAATTGATAGAAATTAGCACATTCATTTATTCATGTACAGAGTGTAGGCTCTGACACTTTTCAACATTGGGCCAATTGTAGGGAAACAGTGAGGAAGACAGTTTCTCTCTTCAAAGAGTTATCACCATCGGAAACCTGACAGTGATACAGCCGCACCTTTGGTGTTCATGGTTTTGACTCGTCTCGTGTTATCCTCAAGGCCTGACACGAAGCCATTTAGAATTTTGCAGAGGGACAGAGCATGGTGGGTGGAGGTGGGGGGGCGGTCACAGAAGTGACTATGCTCTGCGGACTCCTCCTCCATCCCTATACATACACACCAACCCTGTTAGAGCTCAGTTTTGTTATTATCTAATCCAGTACAAATTTTATAGTAGACAATCTATTATATTCAGGGCTTTGCTGGTATATGAAGATTTCAGGAATGCAAAGCTGGGAGTAGAACAGGTAAGGGCACTGCAGCAGCTGGCAGGAAGATCAGTGATCCAGCCTGGGTAGGTCAGAGAAGGCCCTGTGGAAGACAAAATGCTCATGTTGAGTCCTGGAGACCTGGCAGGAGTGGGCCAGGGAAATACACAGTAGGCAGTCACTGAATATCTGGAATGAATTTTGAAATCCATGCAGAGGAAACAGCATATTGAGAGAACCAGAGGGTGAACAGCACGGCAAATTTTGGAAGAGAGTAAGTAGTTCAGCCATTCAACATTTGACAAATATTTATTGAGCATCTAGTATATGCTAGACTCTTCTGTAGGGATTGGAGATATAATGGTGAACAAGATAGTAAAGCTCCTGTTTTTAGAGAGCTTGGGGAGAACTGTACTAAACTAAAAATAAGTAAACAAGATAATTTCAGACAGATAGAATTATAAGTGGATATGCCAGAGTGATTAGGAATAAAGCTAATAATTTAATGGCTATTAAATATTATTAAAAGCCATGACTTTTACATTAAAAATGATTATTTATTTGGAGGATTGAATGTCTAATTATATTTTAGAGGAACTTTTATGTTATGGCAGAAGAGTCCTTTTGGCTGTCCCTCAAATTGCCAAAAGTAAGATTGATCTTGCCCATGGGAATGAGTGGGGGCATAGGCAGGTGATAAGAGGAAAGAAGGTGTCAAGGAAAGGAAGAAGAGGGAGAGAGTGGTAGAAAGAGTGAGTAAAAAGATCACAGTGCATATTGTGGAGTAGATTATTAATAATAACTGCTGGTGGTTTTTTTTGAGTGCTCATGATTGGCCAGGCACTGTGCTAAGTGAATTAGATCTATTAATTCACTTTATTTTCAGCACAACCCTGTGAGGTAGTTACTATTATCATCTTCATTTTATGGGTAAGAAAACTGAGATGGACTATGCAAAAAATTGAAATTGGACCCCTTCATTACACCATATACAAAAATCAACTCAAGATGGATTAAAAACTTAAATGTAAAATATAGAACTATAAAAACCCTGGAAGACAGCCTAGGCAACACCATTTTGGACACAGGACCTGGCAAAGATTTCATGACAAGGACTCCAGAAACAATTGCAACAAAAACAAAAATGGACCAGTGGGACCTAACTAAAGAGCTTCTACCCAGCGAAAGAAACTATCAACAGAGTAAACAGACAACATACAGAATGGGAGAAAATATTTGCAAACTATGCATCTGACAAAGATCTAATATCCAGAATCTATAAGAAATAAACAAATTTACAAACAAAACACAATCCCATTAAAAAGAGGGCAAAGGACATGATCAGTTCTCAAAAGACACACACGTGGCCAACAAACATATGAAAAAATGCTCAACATTACTAATCAGAGAAATGCAAATCGAAACCACAATGAGATACCATCTCACAACAGTCAGAATGGCTACTATTAAAAAGTAAAAAAATGACAGATATTGGCGAGGTTACAGAGAAAAGAGAATGCTTATATACTGCTGGCGGGAATGTAAATTAGTTCAACCATCATGCAAAGCAGTTTGAGGGTTTCTCAAAGAACTCAAAGCACAATTACTATTTGACTCATCAATTTCATTATTGGCTATATACCCAAAGGGATATAAATCATTTTATCATAAAAACATATGAACACATATGTTTATCACAGTACTATTCACAATAGCAAAGACATAGAGTCAACCTAAATACCCATCAGTGGTAGAATGGACAAAAATATTGTGGTACATATATACCATGGAATACTATGCAGCCATAAACAAAGAACAAGATCATGTCCTTTGCAGCAACATGATGGAGCCGTTATCCTAAGTGAAATAATGCAGGAAGAGAAAACCAAATACCACATATTCTCACTTATAAGTGGCAGTTAATCATTGTGTACATATGGACACAAAGAGCAAAGAACAGACACCACGGCCTACATGAGGGTGGAGGTTGGGAGGAGGGCGAAGACTGAAAAACTACCTATTGGGTACCATACTTATTACGTGGGTGATGAAACAATCTGTACCTGAGACCTCCATGACATGCAATTTAGGTATACTGTAAACCTGCACATGTACCCCTGAATCTAAAAAAAAAAAAAAGAAAACTGAGTCAGAGACAGGTTTGATGAATTGTCCAGAGGCATAAAGCCAAAGGCGAGACTCAAAACCAGAGTTTAGACTCTGTAGTCTAAACTCCTCATCATGAATCTCATGGCTGCCCTCAATGGCTTTGGTATGCCTCAGTGGCTCCTCTGTCCTGTGTTCGTTTACTGTGCCCGCAGAACTGGGAGACTCATTTTTGGAGTTCCAGTGTCAGCTCAAGCTTGTGATTTTACAAAAGCAAGTTAAGCCTCCCTGGTGTCAAAGCTTTGGACTCAACCTTCTGTTGCCTTCTAGGGATGTCACCCAGGTAGACTTTGAGGATCTTGAGACAAAGTGGAATTCAATACAGGATATTTTCAGAATCTCTGTTTTGCCCAAGAGATAAAGCTCCCACCAGGCTGCAGATGGTCCCTCTGATTTATTTTTCAGTCCATCCCTGGACCTCTAGGATAGCTTATGAAAACCCTGGTGGTTTAGTATCATAGAATTGAAGCCTGGCAAGGAAATACCAGGGTTTCCTTCAGTGATGTCACATTGATAAGAATCTGGAAACAGATTTTAATGGCCTTCAGAAAAGGTGAGTTCATGGCATTATTGGGTCATCCATTCTTATATTTAACCACCCTGTGATCAGCACATTGTTTTCCTCTTGTACTTACTGTAACTCCATTGCAAGTGAAAAAACCCTTTCCCACCTTTTATGTACTTGAACTCTCCCCAGAATTTTCAGTTATCTAGGCTAAATGCCTAACATTTAAATTAGATCTAAATTCTAACACAGAGCTTATTCCAGACTCTCTATCAGAATTTTATACTGTTATCTCAAACCTAAGCAGAGTGGGGAGGATTATGTGATAGACATAAATTTTCTTTGACTGTCTTACTGAATTTACAGAATATTTCTGGAATTGCAATTTGATGTTTATAATATTAATTACTGCAAAATGATTTCTTTGCATATAAATGAGCATTGATTTGGATGATAGGAGACAACTAAAACCATAATATTATTACTGATATGATGCTACACAGAGGACAGAGCTGGGTTTGGACAACAGAGGCCTGAATCCTGGCTCCATGACTCACTGGCCAACCTTGAATCAGTCACTTAAATGTTCCACAGCTCAGGTTACTTAGCTGAGAGTGGAAGGTTTATTAGATGGCTTTTAAGTTCTTTCCAGTTTTAAAAGTCAGGGACTCCAAACCATGAGAAGCAGAAAGTAGAATGGTGGTTCCCCAGGACTGGGAAGGGGGGGTGGGAAAGGAAAGTTATCAGTGGGTGTAGAGTTTTAGTTTTGCAAGATGAAAAAGTTCTAGCAATCTGTTGAGCAACAATGTGCATATAGTTATCACTATTGCACTGTTTACTTAAAAATGGTTAAGATGGTAAATTTTATGTTATGTATTTTTACCACAATTAAAAAGTCACAGACTCCAGTGGACTTCCTTTTTTTGGCATTTCAGTGAAAATACTCTTAATACAAAGAGGTACACTGAAATTTTAAGTCATATGTATCTTGAGGTCTACATGAACTCTTACTCCCTACTCCAGAAACACACACACACACACACACACACACACACACACACACGTTTTCTGGGGAATCACTGTAGAAATGCCCCCTTTTAAGTGCATTTTAATGGCGAGGAAGTTGTCACAGTGTTCCTAACGTGAAGATTGTTTGGCTAGATTCATTTATCGTCAGGATTTTTTCCTTCTTCATGGCCTGGAAGAATTTAGAGTTTATCTCCAACAAGGGAAATATTATCCAGCAACTGTCTTCCTTAAAGCTTGTCCTCAAAGCCAAGGAGTTGGCAAAGACTCACATTTGGTGTCTGAGCAAAGAGAGCTGAAGTGATTGCTCCCTCTGTTCACAGCCTATGCCTGAAGGAGGTCCCCACATAGCTTTTCAACACTGGGTTGGATCCCCAGTGTTGACATGGTGACTCGGAGGAGAGCTGAGCTGCTTTGTGAACATCAGAGCATCAAGATCTAGCAGGGCTGGGGGGCGCTTCGAGGTGGGCCGGCTTGAATGTTGTGAACAGGAGCAGATGTTCCCAGCAACCTCCCACCCCACCCCTTTCCTTAAATAGTCCTTATTTATTTATTTGGTGCCAGTAATATTTTTCCATTGTGCATGTTGATATAGAATACGTTAGTGCTGCTGAAGCTCCAGAAAGTTTTAGAAAGAAAAATCTGAACAATCTTCTACTGAACATTTAGAAAAATCAAACCCACTGCCTGCCACAAAGAAAAAGAGGGACAAATACCCTTTGCAAAGGAGAAGTGCTCTGGGCTGCTGTGCCTATTGGGATGTTGCTATCCCCACCTCATCTCTTGTAGATTGTGGAAAGCTGTGGACTAACTTGAGGCACAAATTGACTCCACGTGTTTTCCCCCGTGGTGAACTCTTGCTTTCTGATCACTTCAGGGCAGGAGGAGAGAGGCAGTGCTTGGTGGGCATGTGGCTTTCTGCTAGTGGTGGGGGGCGGGGTGTGGGGTGGATTCTCCAGCTGAAACCAATAAAATCCACTCAGAAGAATTCTTCACAAAGTTAGATGGGAGTTTGACAGTCCCAAAATGCTCACACAATTTCTGCAGCTATGCAGTGAAAAAAAAAAACAACCCAAAACAACAACAAAAAAGTCTTAGAAAAACAGACAATGGTTCTAAATTCCTCTTCCCACCCACACTCTATGCCTGCCTCTGGGCACATCATCAGAAAAGCTCACTTCTCAGTGGTGTTAATTCATCAATCATTGGAAATACCCCTGTTCAATCATGTCTGAAGCTGGTCACAACATTTTTCTGCTTCTTGGTAGAAGTGTGGTCAGTTTCATCCCCATTGATTTTATCTGGGCAAATGGGCTCCCCTTTAAGTGTGTTGAGGTGTGAATATCAGCTCCTAGAGTTTTCTAATTTTGTATATGGCTAAGAAACCATTCAGGTTTTCTCCTCTCCTGGTTTGGGCCATCTTTTAAGTTTGTATTTTTGCACATGCTGCAACTTGTAGAAGAATGGGTGTTGAGTTGCTATCTTAAAAATGTGTTTTCCTTTCTTTTAAGGATCACAATAAATGGTGTTCTTCTCAGAAACTAGTATACAGTGTTTATAGCAGCATTATTTAACAACTTGTGTCCATCAATAGATAGATAAATAAAATGTTAGTACATACATACAATGGAATAATGATCTAGTTATAAAAAGGGGTGAAGGGCCGGGCACGGTGGCTCACGCCTGTAATCCCAGCACTTTGAGAGACCGAGGCAGGTGGATCACCTGAGGTCGGGAGTTTGAGACCAGCCTGACCAACTGGAGAAACCCCGTTTCTACTAAAATACAAAATTAGCCAGGCGTGGTGTCGCATGCCTGTAATCCCAGCTACTCGGGAGGCTGAGGTAGGCGAATCGCTTGAACCTGGGAGGCAGAGGTGGCAGTGAGCCGAGATCGCACCATTGCGCTCCAGCCTGGGCAACAAGAGCAAAACTCCGACTGAAAAAAAAAAAAAAGGAGTGAAGTAGGGATACATCTTACAATTTGGATGACTCTTGAAAACATGATGGTAACACATTAAAATATTATTAAAAAAGATATGAAATAAGCCAGACACAAAAGGTCACATACTGTGTAATTCATTTTATATGATAAATCTGGAATAGGCAAATCTATGGAGTCAGAGAGCAGATTAGTGGCTCCTGGGGGATGGGGGAAAGGGAGAATGATATGGTGTGTTTTTCTGGGGTGATGAAAAAGTTCTCAAACTAGAGAGGGGGAGTGGTTGTATAACATTACAAGTGCACTAAATACCACTGAATTGTGTACTTTAAAATGGTTAATTGTATGTTACATGACTTTAATCTAAAAACTTTTTTTTTTTAAAGAGGTATGTTGTTTGATTTTTAGAGGTGTCCTATTTTTGTTTGGGTTCGTGCCTTTCCTTCTGTTAGAAGCCAGCCCAGAGAGGCTTATTCTTCACATTCTATCTAAATGATCCGTTTCAGGCCCTTGAACTGGGTACAGTTGATACTTAGCCTATCTTCGTATATTCTCCCCCAGAAATTTATACATCCACAGCATCTCTCAATTTGCCTTTTTTTCTTAGTGACAAATATACCCTTTTCAGAATCTGTACATCTATGCTCAAGACTAACCCTGATTGCAGGTGAGAAGAACTCTGGAAAACTGATATAATCTCTGGAACTGGCAGCTCCAGATGAATAATTTGTTAGCTTTTCAAAGCTTTGGAGGTCAGAGTGCAACAAGTGGAGCTTTAAAAAACAAACAAACTGGCCGGGCGCGGTGGCTCACGCCTGTAGTCCCAGCTACTCAGGAGGCTGAGGCGGGAGAATGGCGTGAACCCGGGAGGCGGAGCTTGCAGTGAGCCGAGATCGCGCCACTGCACTCCACTCTGGGCAACAGAGTGAGACTCTGTCTCAAAAACAAAAACAAAACAAAACATAAACCAAAACAAACAAACTAAATACCTCCTTTGCTTCTGGTCTTTTATGCGATTTCCTTGGCTGATTTTTCTCTGTGGAATGTTCTAATAAAGGAAAGTATTTTCTTCCTGCCTATTTCTGTTTAATTAAAGCCTCAAAGTATTGGAAGATGCTAAAATGATCCTATTGGTAAAAGTAGATAACCCTATAAATCCAGTAGTCATTGGGCAATTGTAATTCATATTCTGGGAGTGGGAGCCCCTGACTAGGAAGAGACCCATGACTGAGAGGAGGCAGCAGATGAGGTTGGAGAGAATGATCAGGAAGGGAGTCAAGTAGGCCCATTAGAAGCAGAGGAAAAGGAATGATGATGGGTGTTTAGAGCCTGGAGATTTGCATGCATGGTGAGGCAAGACATACTTAGGATCACTGCTCCCCTGCTTCCATCGATGATGCTACAAGAATCTCTAGATATGATTGTACTTTAGTTTGGTAATCTGGTTCTTTGTTCGTGTCTCTTATCCTCAGGAAACAAGGACAGCAGTTTTCCTACTTAAACCAAGAAGAACTGACTTTATGAATAAACTTAGTGTTGAATCCTTGGGGGACCCAGATTGACAAGACAAGCTTAAGTGGAGGAGCTACCAGAATCAAGTTCCATGTACCAAGGGTAAAAATCAATCTTCTTGTTCAAGGATAAAGGACTGCAATAGCTTTTTAACAGCTCTCTGGACTTCAGATAACTAGTCAATATTCAGATAAGCTAAGTGATAGTTAATCAAAAACACACATTGAATTTATCTTGAAGTTCATGGGTTTTAAGATGACAGAGATTAGTTATCATAAGTTTGAGGAAGTTCAGCAAATGCTCCTGGGGTTGAGTTTGTAGGCATAGAAATTCTTTAGGTAAGAGTTCAGATGACTCAGAAGACTCTGCATCTGATCATTCATTGTTTACAAGCCCTTCTCAGTGGCATTAAAAAAGTGGTCCTTTCATAAGAGTTTCAAAACAAAGCCAAGATGGGCAATTCTTAAGAGAATAAATTTTGGAACAAAAAACATTGTTTTTGAAGTAAAATATAAAATTAAGACAACAGAAGAATCATTTGATCTATTCTTATATGAGATGTTCTTCATTTTCTCCCAGTGATACCCTCTTCTTAGTGCCTGAGACACACACAGCCAGGAAGGAGTCCTCCTATCCACAGGTGATTAGATTGGGGTGGGCAAGAGACTCAAGATGGACCAATCAGATCTTGTCACCTGGAGGAATATAGAACCAGGGCATGGAGACTGTATCAGTTCACTCTGAGTATCTAAGGCATCATGCTGCCCTTACTATATGAATGACTAAGTTGAGAAGCTGGTCTATGGAGAGAAGAGAATGAAATATATGTGCAGAGAGAAGCAGTCATAAGAGAACACTTGGTCCCAGAGAGAGGGGGAAAGGAAGGGCAAAGGTGCCTGGTGACTTTCTGGGTTCCCTAAGGCCAGCTCTGGTTCCTCTGTTTGGCCTCTTTGAGATTCCCTTGTGCGTGTCTTCATGATGAACTCGTTTTATTCATGCTGGCTTGAGTGGGTTTCAGTTTCTCACACTCCCAAAGTGATCCCCAAATAGTTCAGTTCTCTGCTCACCACCTAGTGCCAGCCCCTCCAGGGCAAATGGTGATCTCCATTTTAAAAGCTTTTCAGGGATGGGGATTCCAACTCTCATAAAACCCTATTCCAGTGTTTAGAAACCTTTAATTAGAGTCTTTCTTATTCCACACCAAACTTTTACAGAAATGATAGTCCATTTTTCTTTCTTTTTTTTTTGTCCAGTGAGATAGGTAACAATTTTATTTCTTACTCTAAGACTTTAGATCTTTTATTAGTATTTCTTACTAATGAACTTACCTCATTATAAGAATCCGATAGGAGGTGTGTGTTAAAAATTCAGATTCCCTGTCTACTCTGGATCTGATCCAGAGATCTAGGGTGGAGCTGGGAATCCGTATTTTTAACAAGCACCCCTAGCGATTTATATAATCAGGGAAGTTGAGAAAGACTGTATTTAACAATAGTTAACAAGTTACCCCTTGTGATTTACTGTCTCCAAAAAAATGTGTCACTTCTAATTGCCTCCCCACCTATGTCTACAAGTTTAAACTTCATTCTTTCCAAGGCTCAGAACAAATGCCAGTGTTTTCATGATCCCACAGCTGGGGAAATCTCATCCTCTATTTTGAGTTTGAGAAAGTGGTGACTGAGCAGCACTTGGTACAGGGCAATCTAACTTTGACCTTTGTCTCTGGCTTCCTTATGGAATTTGTTCTATTTTTTTCTATTATGGTTATTCAGTGACTTGTCTGGTATTCCCTGTCAGACTGCACACCCATCCACACAGGAATTCTTTGGAGCATGCCACAGGGGGCTATGGAAGGAATAGGTTCATGCAGGATGTGTGTAGGGCCTTTTGGTGATCTACCCTGGAGGCCGTCTTGCTGTAGCTCAGGGGTTATAGGAGAACCCACCCTGTTGAGAACAACTGTGGAATTCTCTAGAGCCAAATCCAAAGAGGACTTATCTCTCAATGTGTGTCCCCCACCCTACCCCATTGAGAGTGGCACAACAATTTAAGGCCTTTATTAAGAAAAGGTCTACCAGGGTGAGTGGGGGAAGAAGCTGACTTTGGGGGAAATGCAGTTTGTCAAGTGGCAATGGTATCTTCTTCCTCTTTTTGCCTTGGGGAAGAGAAGGTATTTGTTTTGTTCCTTCTACTTTCTACAAGATTGAGGGGTTTAGTCTTTTCTCTCCATAGTTAGAAACACAGTTTATTCTCTGAAAGTTACTATGCTCCTAAACCTGAAACCATCAGAATGTGCAGCACTGCCCATGAGGGGAAGGAGCTAGAGAGAGATGGCGGAAGAAAGAGGGTGCTGGTGTGGGGCAGGAGGCAGTCTGCTTTCCCATTGTCTGACTTGACCAAGGGATAGGGTGTTCCCTGTGGTCAAGGGAAGACTGCCAATGGGGGCAGGGCTTAAGTTATCTTGCTAGGAGCCTCCAAGTGTGATGTCTATTTGGGTGAGGGGACCTAAGCCATAAAAAGGTGTGGATGGGCCATCGTTTTAGTGGATAAGGGTTTTTAGTGGATAAGGGTGGGGAGGAAGAGGCAGAGCCTCTGAACCTCAGTGGCTTTCCATGTGGTAGGTACTATGCAGGAAGAGGTCCCTGAGTGATATGGTTTGGCTGTGTCCCTACCCAAATCTTATCTTGAATTCCCACGTGTTGTGGGAGGGACTGGGTGGGAGGTAATTGAATCATGGGGGGCAGGTCTTTCCCGTGCTGTTCTCATGATATTAAGTCTCATAAGATCTGATGGTTTTAAAAAGGGGAGTTTCCACAATGAGATACCATCTCACACCAGTTAGAATGGCAATCATTAAAAAGGATCCGGAAACAACAGGTGCTGGAGAGGATGTGGAGAAATAGGAACACTTTCACACTGCTGGTGGGACTGTAAACTAGTTCAACCATTGTGGAAGACAGTGTGGCGATTCCTCAAGGATCTAGAACTAGAGATACCATTTGACCCAGCCATCCCATTACTGGGTATATACCCAAAGGATTATAAATCATGCTGCTCTAAAGACACATGCACACGTATGTTTATTGCAGCACTATTCACAATAGCAAAGACTTGGAACCAACCCAAATGTCCATCAATAATAGACTGGATTAAGAAAATGTGGCACATATACACCATGGAATACTATGCAGCCATAACAAAGGATGAGAATGAGTTCATGTCCTTTGTAGGGATATGGATGAAGCTGGAAACCACCATTCTCAGCAAACTATCGCAAGGACAGAAAACCAAACACCATATGTTCTCACTCATAGGTGGGAATTGAACAATGAGAACACTTGGACACAGGGTGGGGAACATCACACACCGGGGCCTGTCATGAGGTTGGGGGAGGGGGGAGAGATAGCATTAGGAGATATATCTAATGTAAATGATGAGTTAATGGGTACAGGAAACCAACATGGCACATGTATACATATGTAACAAATCTGCACATTGTGCACATGTACCCTATAACTTAAAGTATAATAAAAATAAATAAATAAACAAATAAATAAAAATAAAAAGGTAAAAAGAAAAAAAAAAAAGGGGAGTTTCCTTGCACAAGCTCTCTTCTCTTGTCCTCTGCCATGTGAGACATGCCTTTCACCTTCCACTGTGATTGTGAGGCCTCTCCAGCCACATAGAACTGTAAGTCCATTAAACCTCTTTGTTTTGTAAATTGCCCAGTCTCAGGTAAGTCTTTATCAGCAGTGTGAAAATGGACTAATACACTGAGCATCCTCTGGAAGATAGCAAATGTATCCCCTTGAGACAGGCAGTATTTGGGTTCCTGCCACAGGGAGAGGAACAGCAACAAAGAACAGACAAAGGGATAGTGGACTTGCCACCCATGACTTATGGCCACTGAAGCACCCACTGCTTCACCACTGATACATTTGTGAGGAGCATGTGTTTGTCCGGGGGTGGTAAAGAAGAATGAAAGGAGGGAGTAAGAGGGCGGAGTGGGACAGCAGACCTTGCCCCACCTTTGCAACCCAGGCAGTTTGAACCAACAGCTCAGCTAAAGGTGAAGAAAAAAGAAAAAGAAAGCTTTGCACAGGGCATAAGATAGCTTTAATCACCAAAAAAGATGAAAAAAATAATGGGACTCAAATTGAGATTTTGTTAAGGGAGGTGGCTACCCAGCAGAAAGGGATTTTGAAAGGGGAGATTAGTAGCCATTATTTAGAAAATTAAAATGATTCCATGCTTATACTTCTTATACCAACATATGTAATGAATAGATTCTCTATTCAATTTCATTATATCATTTTTCAAATATGAACCCTAGACTAACCTCTGTACTTGAATAAAGGTAAGACCAGGACTGTTATAATGGAAAGAATACTTGCCAGCTCCTGCACAACAATATCATGTTGCCTTTCTAACAGTGCCTTTATAAAGATGATGTATAGATGCACTAAGCTATCCATTATCATGCCCATTTTTTACATTATTTGTAATTTTCTCCCTAAGTTCTATTTTGTGCAAGTGCTTTTATGGTTTTATTGAGGTATAATCAACATATAATGGATTATATATATTTAATATGTAGTGTTTTATAAGTTTCAACATATGTATGAAACAATGAAACCATAAACACAATTAAGATAATGAACATATCCACCACTCCCAAAAGTGTCCTCATGTTCTTTTATTTTTATTTACTTATTTTATTTTATTTTATTTTTTTGAGACAGGGTCTTGCTCTGTTGCTCAGGCTGAAGGGCAGTGGCATGATCATGGCTCACTGCAGCCTCGACCTCCTTGAGCTCAAGCCATTCTCCTGAGTAGCTGAGACTGCAGGTATGCAAAAATTAGCATACCCAGCTAATATTTTGTAGAGATGAGGTCTTACTGTGTTGCCTAGGCTTTTCTTAAACCCCTGAGTTCAAGTAATCCTCTAGCCTTGGCATCCCAAGTTGTTGGGATTATAGGCATGAGACACCACCATGCCTGGGACCTCATGTCCTTTTTTATCTCTTTCTCCTGCTGCCTCTTCCTATCCTCCTCATGCCCCCACTCCCCCAACTGTGAAATCCTCAGGCAACTTCTGATATGCTCGCTGTCATTTTTTGGATTAGTTTACATTTCCTAGAATTTTATGTAAATGGAATTATTCAATATGAATTCCTTTTTTTCTGTCTCCTTTCACTTAGCAGAATTATTTGCAATTCATCAGAGTTGTACTGTGTATCAATGGTTCACTCTTTTATATTGCTAAATAGTGTTCCATTGTATGTATATACCACAATTTCTTTATTCATTCACCTGTTAATGGATAGTTGGGTTGTTTACAGTTTTTGGCTGTTATGAATAAAGTTGCTATAGACATTTGTTTACAAATCTTTGTATGAACATATGCTTTTCTTTTTCTTGGGTAAATCTGTAAGAAGTAGAATGGATGGATCATATTGTTACTGGAAAGGGGTCCCAATCTAGACCCCAAGAGAAAGTTCTTAAACCTCACATAAGAAATAATTTTGGGCATGTCCTTAGGGTAAATTGAAAGCAAGTTTATTCAGAAAGTGAAGGAATGAAACAATGGTTACTCTATAGGCAGAGCAGTGGCGTGGGCTGCTCAGCTGATTATACTTGTAGTTATTTCTTGATTATAAGTTAAACAAGGGGTGAGTTATTTATGAATTTTCTGGGAAAGGGGTGGGCAATTGAGGGTTTCTCCCCTTTTTAGAGCATATTGGGTAACTTCTGAATGTTGCTGTTTCATTTGTAAACTGCTGCCATGTAAGATGTGCCTTTGCTTCTTCTTTGCCTTTTGCCATGATTGTGAGGCCTCCCCAGCCATGGGGAACAGTGAGTCCATTAAATCTCTTTCCTTTATAATTACCCAGTCTCCAGTATGTCTTTATTAGCAGTGTGAGAACAGACTTATACATCAGGTGTAAAATTTTCCACTGTGGCATCATGTTGGTGCTTAAAAACTTTCAGATTTTGGAGCATTTTGGATTTCAGATTCTTATATCACTAATTCTGACCTGTATAATTCTTCCCCTGGACAACCCAAGCATTTTACTTAACTTTCCATTAATGTATCTATCTCTTAGGCTCCCTAACCCAAAGACTCATCTACACTAAACACCTATAAAAAGTGGCATAAATGAGTACATTTTCAGATATAGCTTGACTATTAAATACCCCCTGAACTTCTTCTAGATATTAGTCAAATTGATTTTATTTTTTGTAGCATTTTTCTCTTTTATTTTTATTGAAGGAAGCACATGATTACTTTTTCTGCTTTATCACTCTTTTGGGTCCTCTGCTGAATTCAGAGCTCTTCCCCTGACTTCTTCTCACCAGGTTTGGATACAGCTCCCATTCCATCATGAGGAATTCACCACCCTACGAGGCTTTTATAGTTCAGGTTGTCATAAATCTTTTATTTATAGCTCACAATCACTCTTCCTGGGTGTCTTGCTTCCAGCACCACATATGTTTTAGAACAAAGTTTACTCATATGATTTTCAATTATAATTTAACATGCTTCCCTTTGTATTTCCTGCCTGGCTATTTTCCATAAGATTTCCAATTCTTATCTCTCTCTTCCTTGACATATTAGCTCTGTTAGAAAGGCTTAGTCTTATTGACTTTGTAAAACAATTAGAGTCATGATTCTTCTATGCATCTGTCCACTATCTTGCTACAAAGATGCCGAGTTTCTTGACTTACCAATTTGTCAATATGAAATTGTAAAATATATTATATGAGCCCTCTCTGTGGCCCCTTTAGAAAATTTGGATATTTGAAAGTATCTTTTTGTATTCATCTTAAATCTGATCTTAACAGTCCTAGAAGATTCTAATTTTGAAAAGTGTATATGTGTATATATATATGTGTATATGTGTATATATATATATGTATATATGTATATGTGTATATATATATGTATATATGTATATATGTATGTATATATATATGTATATATGTGTATATATTCACCCCCAATGCATTCTTAAAAGAAATGTCTTTAGCCGATTCATGAATATTCACAATTTTATTCAATGATAAATCTGGTATTTGACAACTGTTAAGCCAGCATGCTTTGGACTCTTCTTCTACCTACTTTTCCTGCAGTCACTATGGTGATTATACTAACTGTGAAGAGAGAAGTTTGGATCGATTTGAAGTAACATGTGAAAATGTGGTTGAGGTTCCTTACAGTCTCTAGTGGAAATCTGTCCACATCAGAGAACCTCTGCATGAGGTGGCATGATTGGTTTTATGTGTTCCAGGGATGCCTAGTATTTGACAAGCTGGGAATGTTTCGGATTAAAATGGAAGCATATTGGCAGAGTGATGTGGGGAAGCTTGCATAATGTATAATGCCTGTCAGCACCCTGCCTTGATCGAGCTGGTGCTTACAAGTCCCTCAATTTAATGAGTCCAATATACACCTATGAGTTTTTATAAGCTAACACCAAAGCAAGTTAGAAAAAGTTGAAACACATATGTTTTTTGACCAACTGTGATATTTTCAGGTACTCACCCATGAGGCTTTCAAATGCCTATAAAATTTTCTATTGGAAGCAGTTTCTGGAAGCAATAGTGTACTTGGCGTCTAAATTTACACAGCCCCTTGAAGGTGCATCACCTTCATGATCCAAAGATCTCCCTGGTAGCAATTCCTTTCTTCTTCATTCTTCTATAGTTTTGCACTTATATATTTTGGCCAGAAACTCAAATTTTTTGCTTACTCTAATGCCCTTTGATCCATAGAGTTATTCAAATTTTAAAAAGCCTTGAAACTACCAAAAGGGTTACTAAATGGTATAGTTGGGGGAGGAGAGAGGTGATTGTAATGGAATTATCTGAATAATAAAGACTTGATAATAAATCTATTTTATTTCCTACCTTGTTGATGAAAATTTTGGAACTTTTTTTTTAACCTTATTAATTTCAATATAGGAAGCATAATATAACTTTTCTCTAATGACTGAGAATGCTATTGTGCCCGAGGCTTACAGTTTTGGACATTGACTGTCATTGGGAATAGTTCCTTGCATACAATAGATGCTCAGTAAATATTTACTGGAAAAACAATGAATGCATTGCACAGTACTACCATTCCAGAAATGAGAGAGAAGGACTTAAGTCTTCATTGACCCCAGGGATACATTGCCTATTTTTCTATAAAAGATTGTCTTTTACTCTTTATTTTCTAAATTATTTTGTAAAAAGTGGAACACAAGATCATTCAACTGTTAAGTTTAGATGGGTTCTGATTAACTGAGCCTTAACAAAAGATTTTTAAAAATTTTGTCTTTTGTAGAGAGAATGTTGAAAAACACTGACAGTATTAGTAAGAAACAGGTTTGCTCAGATGTAGCTTAAGACATTGTAAAGCTGTCTTGAGCATTCAAGAATGTAGTGAGTTTTGTGTGTGCCAAAACCCTTTAGCTTATACCATCCCAACTCTAAGATCAGAAAGTTCAACAATCCACGGAGTCAAAAGGAGCACAGCTGAAGCCAAAAAGTGTGACAGGATGCACAGTATATATTGTATATTGCCCTCTTTTAAGGTTTGCTTTTTCAAAGAAGACATGAAATGAGTATTCCCTAGCCAGATTCTCTACTCTCTTCATTACAACATAATTGGCACTATGGTTTCCCTGACATCTGTACCAAAGATGTTGCTGATTGCTGAACACATGATATTGGCAGTGGTTGTCAGCTGTTCTGGGTTAGTGCAGCTGATGTAATCACCAAAGTTTCATTCACAACAAGCGCTCGTCTTATAAAGCCCCTTAACCACTCAAATATGGATTTGTGCTGTACAGGTCAAAGATCGAGCATGTATGCAGCACGAAGTCCAGAACGTTGTGGTAGATATTTTATTTGCCAACAATGTTTCTTTCAGTTGTGTCCAATAAAAATAGTTTGAGTGGATGAATGGTGTGGAGAGACAAGGTTCTTATACCTAGAGGTCTCTCTGATCTTTCATCTTTCCCCCTGAGATCCCTACTCCACTTTTCATCAAAAGCGCCAGAGACACGCTCCTTCAGGATTGATTCTCATGCTGGTTTCACAGGGATTGATGATGTGTATTTTTCTTGTGTAGCCATGTGGATGGAGTAACTGATCTTCCTTTTTGAGCAGTTAATGAGTGCTTTTCTTTGCCTGGCAGGCTTCTATTTCTCTTTTAAAACTTGGCTCAGACATCTCTGCAAGGGTTATTTCTTGACACCTCCCCCCTACCCCCAACAACTTTGCTTCTGCTCTCATAATATCATGTGTTTATGTCTGTCAAAGCACTCACAACACTGTATTGAAATTTGTGCTGTACATCTGTCATCCTTTCTAAAGCGTAAGCTTCTCTAGGGCAATGACCAGGTCTTAGTCATCTATGTATATCCTGTCCTGAAGCATTGGAGAGCAAAGAAGTATCTTTCTCAAACTGTAGAGTTTGCAGACAACTTTAGCTGGTGCAGGGATTGATTTTAAGTATTACATGGACCCAGCACTCAGTTACATTCAATTGCATATGAGAATGTTATTCCTCTTTATAATTTTTTTCCAATTCTTCTGATAATGACAAGAGGAAATTCTTACTTGGTTCTAACATGTTATTAATGTGTCCCTAACTTTGCTAAGGCTTTATTTTAATTGATCTTGGGGCTTAGAGTCTTTAACAGACAACTGTATCCACCCAGAATGTCATAATATTGTTTGTTTTTCATAGAGTTTATTTATTTTTTGGCTACCTTCTATTTATGGCAAGTGATACTGGTTTTTCTTTATTGTTGTGATATATAATTTCCTGTTAAATTTTAATTTATTTCAATTAAAATGAGTCAGATATTAATAAAAAGATGTAAGATGATACGTGAGGGTGGCTTCCCTATCAGATTATCATGTAGTATGTAACCTTGAGCAAGTTAACAAGCCTCTGTAGACCTCAGTGTTCTTCAGTAGCAGAAGGGAATGGAGTTAATCATCACATTAATGCAAATATATAAGGTCAACCATAAGATTACAAAGAAATCTGTTATGGAAACTTTCTCCTGTTTCTTGAGGATGATATTTACTTTCCTCGCCCATTATCAGTCTTTGTGTGGAAAAGACTGAGAAGTACCAGCAAAATTAAGAGTGTTTTGTTCAAAGCAAGGGCTGTAATAACTGAATAATCATAGAATTTAAATAGTAATACATTATAGGAGCTTTACAAACATTGCCTCTCATCCTTAAAACAAGCAATCATTAACAGACACTCTCAGCCCTACCTCCCTGCCAGACAACACAGAAATTTAGTGGCTTCCTCAGATTTCAGCTCCAATTTCTCTGATTCCAAAACCCACAAACTCTTTGTACTTTGCCACACTTGCATTACAAAGTGAAGCCACGAGGGCCTGAGATTCAGAAATCTGTAATGACAATGCATTTAAACAGGCACATAGTATCTACACAATTGCACATAATAACATCCTTTTTTTAAAGAGAAACTGGTTGGTATCTGAGGGCTCTAGAAACCATCTATTGGAGGGCAAAATCATGTAATAGTTGACCATTCAGTATCTGAAGCTTCACATTGTGTGCATGATCTTTGTGTAGAGGAGGATTGGCTAGAAAGCTTAGCATCTGTGCTTCCCCTTTTGTGTTTTTCATGGTTTTGTAAGAAGTTGGGAATCTTAAATGGTCTTCAAAGTGGAAAGAATAATATTGGTTCAAAAGGGGCAACAAAGATCCCACAATGTTTGGAACGGAGGAAGGTTTCACATCTTTCTTCTGATAGCTGTCAGGGGTAAATACCACTGACTGGCCTCAGAGAATCTACCCAATATGCTTAATTCCTCTCCTGAGCAGAGGATAGCAACACTTCAAAGATTATCCTAATTTTTTTATTTGCAAAAGTTTATTTGCAGAAGTTGTTTTTGCAAAAGTTGAAGAGTAGATAATCCCAACTTTCCATATTCATAGTGCTCACAAGTCGATTAACAAACCAACTCTTAACTCCTTTTCCAGAAAAATGCTTTGCATTAACAAAAGTGGAGATACTTAGATTGATTTGCTCCATTAGCTGGATCCATTACATATACTACTTGATATACTGTTCCCTAGTGGTTTGTATATGCCACTATAGTGAAATTCAAAAAAAATGTTCCAACCTATATTTGTAATATAAAATGTATATTTGGTCTTAGTCCCCATTTCCTGATATACAAGTCTTAAAAAAGCCTTAGAATCTCCAAAGTGATGTATTTTTGTATACTAGTAAGTTGACTGATGGTTGGCAGTCTCTAGGTAACTTCAGGATGGCTTCTAGTCACAGAAAGGAAGGCAGGAATGGAGGTTTGGGACTTTCAGCCCCTCTACCCAACCTCCAGGGAGGGGAGAAGGGCTCAAATTTAACGTGATCACCAATGGCCAGTGATGTAATCAATTATGTCTATGCAATGAAGCCTCCATAAAAACCCAAAAGGACAGGTTTTGGAGAGCTTCCAGGACAGCTGAACATGTAGGGGTTCCTGGAAGGCAGTGCACCGAAGGAGGACATGGAAACTCCAGGCCCCTTGCTCCATACCTTATCCTATGCATTTCTTCATTAGCATTGTTGGTAACAGCCTTTATAATAAACTGGTAAATGTAAGTGTATCTCTCTGGGTTCTGTCAACTGCTCTAGCAAATTAATAAATCCAAAGAGAGGGTTGTGCCACCTCTAATTTATAGACAATTGGTCAGAATTACAGATAAAACAACCTCTTGTGATTGGCATCTAAAAAGCGGGCGGCAGTCTTGGGGACTGAGCCCTCAGCCTGTGGGATCTGACACTATCTCTAGGTAGATAGTGTCAGAATTGAACAGTTAGAGGATACCCAGCTGTGGCCATTGCAGAACTGATTGCTTGCTTGGTGTGTGTGGAAAAACCTACACACATTTGGTCACAGAAGTTGTCTGTGATGATTGTTGTGGTGTGAGAGCAGAGGAAAAACAGTGTGTCTTTTTTCTACTCAAAATGTTATAAGTGCAAATGTCTTAGTCACATTCAAAACTGTCTTTATTTTTCTGACTTCATCTTATCTCCATTTGCCATCCACATTACCATAGAAAATAAAATCTTAGAAAATGTCAGGCAAACATGGTAATTTTAGGTTACAACCCAGTACACTTGAGGCTTTCCTTCTATCTCTTTTTCTTGTCCCAGTCAATGGTGCCATCTTCCAGGGTTCCACACAGGAACTCATGGGCCTGCAAACTTATTGGGGCATTCTATAACTGCACTCACTGGAGCAAAGGGCATGGGGACAGAGCAACAAAGTTGCTGTCTAAGAAGGTGTCATTATGTCTTATTCTTGCTGCCCTGATAATTCTGCTCCAAGGATTCCTTTGTCTTATGGAATTTTTATTGAGTCTGGACAAAAACCTTTTTTTTTTGGTAGTTTTAAAACTTTATTTGATGTATTTGATGATCAGCAGCTGGTTCTTATTCATATTGGCTGTAGATTTTTGAAAGTGGTAACAGGTACATAGATAACCAACGTATAGAGCTTGTTTAGTGAATCTTCATTCTCATTATGTTTTCCAGACAATAACACAGATATGGTATCAGATATTCCTTATTTCTTTGGCCCAGACAGCTTTGTTGAGCCTGGCATCAATGGACACATCTGGAGTGTCCATCTCCTTCATGGCAAATTTCTGGTTCTCTTGGAGTGCCCGAGGGGCATGCTTCTTGAAGCCCACTTCACTGATGCGCTTGTGAATGTCATTGATGGTGTAGTCTTGGGTCACCATCTTTTGATGGCAGAACAGCCCTTCTTCTCACCACCCTTTTTTTGTGGGAGCCATGGTGCCAGGCCTAAGTTGGAAAGGAAGAGCGAGAAGGATTCCCAACAAACTTATTATAACCATATTGCTTGCTTCTGTTATTATTTAAGCTAGGACCCAAACAATGCAATCACAGCTTGAAAGCCTTCCTCACAAGGCCATTGTTTCTTCCAAAGATTCAAAATTGTATTTTGAACCTCAAAACTGAGTTTGGACCAGTTTTGAGTTGGGCATATTGTACTTTATTTTATTATAACCCTTTTATGGCTCATACAGACATTTTATATGTATAATATTCCATGTGTGAAATATTTAAGAAAACCAACCTGAGTAGTGACATTTTGCATTTCTGCAGTAACAGCTTGACTCTGAGGGCATGAAGCTGGAGTATCCCAGCTGCCTGGGCTGGTAGCAGGCACCCTGGGGAACACGGGTGTGCAGGAGATGGAGGCTGTGTATTGTAAATTCTTCAAATCACTATCCTTCCATATATATGAAACTATTCATTTTTATAAGCCTGATGGGACATTAAATATTTTGTTGCTTCTAAATCTCACTGTAATGAAAGCTTATTCCTACAATCTACTGAAGGGTTCAATCAATGTTTTTCTTTTAATGTTTCTATATCCTTCCCTGCATGATAGAGTTGGTAACTATGACAGTCAGATGTGAAAGAGGATAAATACATTCTTAAGTCCTTCATCAGAAACTACACTTAAATAAAACAATTTTAATTGTGCACATTTGTGATATATGTTGTTCTTTTGAGATGAAGGTATATTTTGGAGGGGGGTAGAGTTAGAGGGCTTTATAACTAGTGGAATTTAGGCTAAAACTGTCAAGTAATATTGCAAGTGTCTAGCAGGTGGCAGCTGTTACCCTGGTTCCTGCATGGCAGGCCCTTGAGCACTGGGTAGTGCAGAGGTTCTGGAGTCAGGTGACTTGATTCCACAGCCTACCTTTTCTCTTGATGAGCTTCCTCAGGCCCACTCTGTGCATCAGCATCCTGGTCCATGAGGTGGTAATGATAAACCTATCTCAGAGGGTTGCTGTGGGGACACAATGAGTTAAAGTATGTGAAGTCAGGCCAGGATGTGAAATCTTAACCATCAAATCTTGCCTTCTATGCAAATCCAAAAGCACATTTTTTCTCATAACGATGATGTCTAATAGATGTTGTCCAGTTACATCACTGGGAAATTATTAGATATTTACCATGTATAAAGTGCTGTACTGTGGTGGACAGCAGGAATGTGAAATGGCCTAAAACATGGTCTGCCCCCAGGGAATTTAGAAATGTGGCAATAAAATGGGGACATAAAAAGGTGGTTTTCAGAGCAAGATAGTTAGTGCAAAGGGTCAGTTGAAGCCATAATTCTTCAGGGGCTATTAGCTCAGGCTGACATAGGCTGGGAGCCCAGGACTTTGTGTCTGGTATTCCATTTCATGCTTCTTTTGTTAGAAAGGTGTGTTTCCTCTCCAGGAAAATTTCCCTGGACCCATTTCTAACCTCTGTGATTACTGGCAAAGAATGGGGAGGGAATTCCATGCAGGAAGAATATCACACACACACACACACACAAAAAAAAAAAAAAAACAATGAAAGAACTAGAGAGCATGGAGGGCCTATGTGAATTGGGTTCTGTGAAAATATAAAATGTATCATGGGAAATAGTGGGGATGTTGCTGAGACAGGCAGGTGATGGGAGCCATCAGTAGCAATTGGGCAAGGGGTTGGTATAAGCAGACTTTATGTGTTAGGGAAAATCCAATGGCATTGTGGAGGATGGAGTCCCTAGGGGCAGGACTGAGTCAGGGAAATCATTAGGAGGCTATCATAATAGTCCAGATGAGGGTGGTTGTTGGGACCTGTAGCTTAGTACATTTAGAGAGGATGGGATGGTTTCATGAACTATTTGGGAGAAAAATCTGGTGAATTTACTGACTGGAGATCAAGGGTGGTATGGGTGATTTGGATTCATGAGAAGGAAGCACAGGAGAAGAAGCAGGGTCAGCTTGGGTGAAAATCATGAGTGTGAGGAGCCTGTGAAACATACAGACGGAGCGTCTTGTAGAGGTTGGATGTAAGTCGGGAGCTCAAGGGAGAGATCAGGGTTGAGAGAGAGATTGTGGCATTACTGGCATATGTGGATGAACTGGGTCAAGGAGGGTGTGGAGTAGGCAGAGAGCAGGTTCAAGATGGGTCCTGGAAAGCACATAAAGGTAGGAGGAGGAAGAGCAACCATAAAGGAGTCTGCAAAAGAATAAAGATGAGGGCAGGAACCAGAGTGCAGGGAGCAGGAAGTAAATGGGAGAAAACCCGTGTGGATTACGTTTATAAAGCTTGGTAGTTAAGATCTGGGGAGAGAAACAATAATTAGAAGAAAATGCACAGAAAGTTGTGTACTACTGGGATGATCCGGCCACAAGGTTGTGACTGCATGAACCAGGTTGATGACAAGCAATAGGAGGTAAGAAAAAATACCGGGGAACTAGGCAGGAGGGCTCCCCAAGGCTGGGAGACTAGACAGGTGGTGCTGCCATTGTCAGGAAAAAGGTGGTCTGTGGTCACACTGTTTCCAGGGATATGTGTTTCTTGGTTGATCATGGAATGGGAATTGTAAAATAGAATAGGATGTGGTGGAGTTACTATTTAAACTAAGATTTTACTTATATGTACTAGAAAAAAAGCTAGAATTTTTTTTTAATGAACACCTACTTTTTATTTAAATGTGCTGAGGTTGTGCCTAAAAATGACATATTATATTAGTTTGCATATCTTGGTTGGAAGGCAGGCAGTATCTCATAATGTTTAAACACTCAGGCTACTAGTTCCCACTTGTTAAAAGTGGGAATAAATAGAATACCTTCTTGAAGAGGTTGTTTTGATGACTACATGAGATCAACATACATATAAGCATAGGGGTCAGCCCATAATAAGCACTGAAAGAAGGTTATCTGTTATTTTTATTTTGATAGTCACTCCTGCATGCAATTTTTATGCAAATTGCAGTTTATTGAACAGGGTTTCAGTCATTTAAAACTTATGATAATTATACATAAGCTTATACTTACTTCTGAGCTACAAGAATGAGATATTCTTACCTAAATAAAATTACAGAAATTCTTAGAAGAAAATAGGTACCTACTTAAGAGAGCTGTTTGTTTGTTTTTTTTTTCCCACCATTTTAGGAACTCTTTTACATGCACATGATTGAATTCCATGTAAACTAAAGCTAACAGGTAGACACTTTGGGCACTTTACAAATTATTTAAATCTGTTTGCAAATGCAGGATGTCTATTAAATAACATTTAACCCAATGTATCCACCACAGAACTTAGCCTTCAAATTGTATTTGTTTATGTATATTCTATAGAAGAAAAAATTATACTGAATTCAGAAAACATCTCTCTCCAATATGTCAAAGTTACTTGGGGGTTTTGATACTTTTTATTTGTGTGAGTGTGTGTGTGTGTGTGTGTGTGTGTGTGTGTGTGTGTGCATGTGCTGAGACTAGGAAGGACTTCATCTTATATCCCTTTTAAATGTGACTTTCTCTGGAATGGTATTTTGGATATTGTAGATACTCAACAAATATTTCTAGTATGCCTACAAGAACAAAATAAAATTTTTGTAATAATTTCTAAAATTAGTTCATTATTTGATGCAGATATTAGATTTTGTGTTTATTTTAATCACCTCATATCAGGATGGGAAGATATGTCAGTTAATGGTATGCTTTTCTTCTGAAATGTATATCTATAGATTATTTCCCTTTCTTTCCCAGGTAATAGAATAATTCATTATGGATTGAGTTCCTAGGAAATTTGATTTCCATCAGGCTGAGATTACTATACCCAGGAGCAACACAAGTCAGGTTTCTTTTCTCATGGAGGATCTGGGTTTCATGTCAAGGAATATTCATTTATTTCATTTCTTCCACAAAATTCTGTGAGATATGGTATGTTTTAAGTTTAATCTGAAATACACAGATTTGTAACAATCTTTAAATAAAATTAATTCTTAAAAAGGGTTTTTAACTAACAATTACTTTCCCTTTCCACAGCTGTGGTGTTGGCTTTCATTATAAAATGAAAAAAAGGGGACAGGTTTGGGCTTTTTGTGCTAGGGTGCCTGTCAGAAGCTCACTTGTAAATAGGGAAATGCCAGATTATTCATTGCACAGAGCAAAATTCAGACTTAAGCTTGAGTTAAACGAATTTCTCACTTCCATTCAGTGTGATATTGCCCATTGGTCTTGATCAAGGGGTTTTGTTGTTTTTGTCTGTTTTTTCCTAATTTGACCAGCTCTGTTTCCTTTCTTTGGAGAAAAAAGATACGTTTTCAGAAATGAATCTGAAGTGATTTCAGCGTGGTCAATGTGGTCTAATTTGGCTGGAAGTAGAGGTACATGATTAAGGGAAAGCATGGAAGCTAAGGGCAAACCTGACTAGGTTTACCAAACTTTAACCTGCTTCACTTGCTTTTAGCTGGTTTAGCTATTTAAAAAAATTACTTACCCTGAATATCACTTAGCTAAGCAATGTATCACAAGACTCCCTTCAGTTTCTCTGTGGTAATGGTTGACTAAAAGGTTTTCAAATTACCATTGTGAAACTGAAGGGAGTCTTCAATTTAGGGAGGCTTCAGTTTCACAATGGTAACGGTTGCCTAAATTGATTTTCAAAAACTTACAGTCTCCTCTCATCCAGTTCGAGCCAGTTGAGACCACTGACTCTTCAGCTGGGCCTGTGCAAATGTCCAGTGGGTGACCTTTTGACATCAGAGGGCCATGAGCTCCACCCTCAGATCACGCTAATATTGCCATTTTGCAAACATACATCCTATGAAGGGCCATGAATCTTGACTAATTCTTGCACAGAACACAGATTACCACACTTTTCCTTATCCCCACTCACTTTTCTCTGCCTCACACCACTCTGCTCCGCTATTCCATAAGGATTCCCAATCCCCATCTTTGGGGAGGTGGGTTTGGGACCTGCTTTCCCATCTCTTGGTTTGGCTGCTACATAAATAAATGCTTTCTTTGCTGCAAAACTCGTTGTCTTGGTGATTGGCATACTGCATCATGGGCAAAACAGGCCTGGTTCAATAACAGCATCATTGCTTGGGAAGGAGGAGATCTCTAAGATTCCAAAATTCCATCTAGACATTGTTTTGGGCCTTTCTTTTTTGAAATCTCTAAAATATGAATTTCAGTGGATTGTATCATACTTACAAGATAGTCTACATTGTTTACATCACTTCACTAAATCCTATAGTTTATACGTGTCTAAAGCTTTACATCTAACAATTAGTGAAATGACATAAACTTCAGTGGTGAAGACAGAAAAAGATAGGTCTTCTCAATCATTTTTTAGTTTCTCCATTTTGAGATATGCATTGAAAAATGGGCAATATTTACCAAGAGCAAAACAAATAAACAAAAAACCGTTTTTGGAGCCTGATGCTTGATGGGATGTGACAAAAAAAAAAAATCTTGCACTAGATCCTGTGGTTATAAGGCTAAGGAGGCACTAAAGCTAACGTTTCAGCAGCGTGCAATTAAAAACACTCTTGGTAAAGTCTTTTTTCTTAAACACATTGTGTATTTCCCAGTCCCTCTTTCTGTATCTATTTTATATATTCATCAAGGTTCCAAATTCCCTTAATAACCAGAGAAAACCTTTTTGTTTTCCAATTATAGGTAAAGGTTCAAATGCAAATGAAGTGTGGGGTTTGAGTAATTCAAATTCACATTAAAGTGCAAGTGACTAACACCAGAGTCCTTCCTCAAAGTGAGGATCCTTTGCTACTGACCTGGAAGGCCTGAAACTGTTCTGTTCTGCGAGCAGGCATAATGCAAATTGGATCTGTTGCTTAATATTTCTCCTTTTTCTGTGTGACTCTGTTGTTTTGAATCAACAGATTGATTCTGTAGCACCAATAACACATTCATCACTTCTGCATGTTATCTCTTGGCTTTTGGATAATATGTAGCATTGGAATAATTATAACTGAGGCTGTTTTGTCATAGATTAAAAACATATGATTCGAAATAAACATACCTTTAGAAAAAGACATTTGGAACTTGTTATCTTTGTATGCATAGGTTTTTCTTTTTTTTTTAAAGACAATCGTATGGGATTCAAATGCTTTGACTGACCTAACAGAGAGCAGTAAAGAGCTTAATGCATTTCTTTCCTCACACAGCTTTCCTAGCCAGAGCTATGATCTGAATGATTGGCAAGCCCTGTAACTGAATTTCCAGGAAAACAAATGACCTCATAGATGGAGTGGCTCCATATTAGGAAGTGCAACAAAAGTTATGAAATGCAGTCACAGCAGGGAAAGAAGTTTGTTTGCACTTGGATGGTGACCTTTTGTTTCTAAGGTGCCATAGAGTGGGTCACGCTACTAAGTGCCATTACCTTGGTCCTAGGGGAAAATATTGGGTCTCTCTTCCCCTCCTTCTCTCCATTCTTTTGATCTCAGTTTTTGGCAGCATCTTCTAACCATGTGATATGTTTGAGGCTACCAGGTGAGAATGTTTTTTGGCCTGTATTTGATTCCAGGAAGCAGAGCTTCCTGGTTCCTGGCTCTTTTAGAACATTCATTCCCATAGCCCTCTCGGTGGTTTGTCATCATTTGTCTGCGTTGAAGTGTTGTATATTCTTTCCAATATTGTTATAGGAATTCAACAAGAGCTTAACTAGTACACCCTTTACATCTTTGTTCGATATGTTCAAAAAGCTATAGACGAGTGGGAGAGGTGGAAGCTTTGCCTCTGGAGAAGGGCTTGTTCTGGGATGGGATCTGGAGCTAGGAAGGAGACATCTCAGGAGTATTTTGGTCACCAGCACAACTTGTCAACACAGATATTCAGTTCTTTTCTCTACTGTTGTCTGAGTGGCCCCTAGCAATCTGGCTGACCATGTGCCTGACTGTATTCTCTTGTTATCTGAAGATTCTGCACTTATCTTTTCATTGTTACCTCCTTAAGTGCTACCCTAGATACTTGGGCTCAGAAGATTGTAAACTGAGAAGACTCTTCTTCCTCTGTCTTCCTAGTCTTGATTTTGTAGCCTGTCCTGATGATTTTTCCTTTTTTAAATAGACTATTCTTTAGAGGAGTTTTAGGTTTATAGCAACATTGAATGGGAGGTGCAGATTCCCTGTATAACTCATTTTTTCTTTGTATTGCCTTTGCTTCTTTGTCAAAGATCAGTTGACTATATCTGTGTGGATCTATTTCTGGGCTGTCTATCTGTTCCATTGATCTATGTGTTTATTCTTTTGCTAGTAAGACACTGTCTTGATTACTGTAGCTTTATAGTAAGTGTTAAAATTGGGTAGTTGCTAGCTAGATTAACAAAGAAAAACAAAGAAGATCCAACTAAGTATAACCAGAAATGACAAAGTTGACATTACAACTAATCCCACAAAAATACAAAAGATCCTCGGGGACTATAATGAACAACTCTATGCAAATAAATTAGAAAATATAGAGGAAATGAAAAAAAAATTCCTGGAAACACACAACCTCCCGAGATTGAACCATAAAGAAAGTGAAAACTTGAACAGACCAATAACAAGTTCCAAAATGGAGTCAGTAATAAAAAACTTACTGACCAAAAAAAGCCCTGGGCCAGATGGGTCTACAGCTAAATTCTATCAGATGTACAAAGAAGAAATGGTACCAATCTACTGAAACGATTCCGAAAAATTGAGAAGGAGAGGATCCTCTCTAACTCATTCAATGAAGACAGTATCAGCCTGATACCAAAATCTGGAAGAGACACAATGAAAAAAGAAAACTTCAGGCCAATATCCCTGAGGAATACAGACACAAAAATCCTCAATAAAGTACTAGCAAACCAAGTACAGCAGCACATCAAAAAGTTAACACACCAGCCTGGTGTGGTGGGTCACGCCTATAATCCCAGCACTTCGGGAAGACAAGGAGGGTGGATCACATGAGGTCAGGAGTTTGAGACCAGTCTGGCCAACATGGTGAAACCCCGTCTCTACTAAAAATACAAAAATTAGCTGGGTGTGGTGGTGTGCACCTGTAATCCCAGCTACTCAAGAGGCTGAGGCAGGAGAATTGCTTGATCCTGGGAGGCAGAGACTGCAGTGAGCCAAGACTGTGTCACTGCACTCCCTCCTGGGTGACAGAGTGAGACTCCATCTCAAAAAAAAAAAAAAAAAAAGTTAAGACACCATGATCAGGTAGGCTTTATTTCTAGAATGCAAGGGTGGTTCAACATATGCAAATCAGTAAATGTGATTCATCACATAAATGGAATTAAAAGCAAAAATCATATGATCATCTCAATATTTGCAGAAAAAGCTTTTGATAAAATCTAGCATCCCTTTATGATAAAAACCTTCAACAGAGTAGGCATTGAAAAAACATACCTAAAGATAATAACAGTCATCTAAGACAAACCCACAGCCAACATTATACTGAACAGACAAAAGCTGGAATGATTCCTCTTGAGAACTGGAACAAGATAAGGATGTCCACTCTTTCACTACTATTCAGCATAGTAATGGAAGTCCTAGCCAGAGTAATCAGGCAAGAGAAAGAAATGGAAGGCATCCAAATAGGAAAAGATGTCAAACTATCTCTCTTTGCTGACAATATGATTCTGTATCTACAAAACCCTAAAGACTCTGCCAAAAGGCTTCTAGAACAGATCAATGACTTTTGCAAAGTTTCAGGATACAAAAATCAATGTAAAAAAATCAGTGGCATTTCTATACACCTATAATGTTCATGCTGAGAGTCAAGTTAAGAATGTACTTTCATTTACCACAAACAAAAAAGTGAAATGTCTGGGAATACAGCTAACCAAGGAAGGGAAAGATCGCTATAAAGAGAACTACAAAACACTCCTCAAAGAAATCAGAGATGATAGAAATAAATGAAAAAAGCATTCCATGGTCATGGATTGGAATAGTCAATATCATTAAAATGGCCATATTGCCCAAAGCAATGTACAGATTCAATACTATTTCTTTCAAACTACCAACATAGTTTTTCACAGAATTAGAAAAAGTATCCTAAATATATGCAACCCAAAATGAGCCTGAATAGGCAAAGCAATCCTAAGCAAAAAGAACAAAGTCAGAGGCATCACACTACCCAACTTCAAACTATACTACAAGGATATAGTAACCAAAACAACATGGTACTGGAATAAAAACAGACACATAGACCAGTGGAACAGAATAGAGAACCCAGAAATAAATCCATACCTCTACAGCCATCTGGTCTTTGACAAGGCCAACAGAAACCAGTATAAAAACAGACACATAGACCAGTGGAACAGAATCGAGAACCCAGAAATAAATTCACACCTTTACAGCCATCTGGTCTTTGACAAGGCCAACAGAAACAAGCAAATGGGAAAGGACTCCCTATTCAATAAGTGGTGCAGGGATAACTGGTTAGTCATAGGCAGAAGAACGAAACTGGACCCCTACCTTCCTACCTTTCACCATATACAAAATTAACTCAAGATTCATTAAAATTCTAAATGTAAGACCTGAAACTATAAAAATTCTAGAAGAAAACCTAGGAAATACCCTTCTTGTTATTGGCCTTGGCAAGGAATTCTTGGTTAATTTTCCAAAAGCAATTGTAACAAAAAATTGACAAGTGGAACCTAATTAGATTAAAGAGCTTCTGCAAGGAAAAGAACTATTAACAGAGTAAACAGACAACCTACAGAATGGGATAAAATATTTGCAAACTATGCATCTGACAAAGGTCTAATATCCATAATCTATAAGGAACTTAAATCAACAAGCAAAAACCAAATAAGCCCATCAAAAAATGGGCAGAGGACATGAGCAGATACTTCCCAAAGGAAGACATACAAGTGGCCAACAAATAATTAAAAAAAGTTTTTCACTAATCATCAGAGAAATGCAAATCAAAGCCACAATGAGATATCATTGTACACCAATCAGAATGGCTATAATTAAAAAGTAAAAACTAACAGATGCTGGTGAGGCTGCGGAGAAAAGGGAATGTTTATACAGTGTTGGTGGGAATGCAAATTAGTTCAGCCACTGTGGAAAGCAGTTTGGAGGTTTCTCAAAGAACTTAAAACAGAGCTATCATTTGATCCACCAATCCCATTACTGGCTATATACCCAAAAGAAATCAAATCATTCTACCATAAAGACACATGCATGCATATATTCATTGCAGCACTAGTCAGAACAGCAAAGACATGGAATCAACCTAGGTGCCCATCAATAATGGATTGGATTAAAAAAAAAGTGGTACACATATACCATGGAATACTATGCAGCCATAAAAAAGAATGAAATCATGTCTTTTGCAGCAACATGGATACAGCTGGAGGCCATTATCATAAGCAAATTAATGTACAAACAGAAAACCAAATACCACATGTTCTCACTTATAAGTGGGAGCTAAACGCTAAGTACATATGGACACAAAGATGGGAACAATAGACACTGGGGAGTACTGGAGGGGGAAGGGAGGGAAGGGGGATTGGTTGAAAAACTACCTATTGGTTACTATGCTCACTACCTGGATGAGGGGATCCATACCTGAAGCCTCAGCATCATGCAATATACTCGTGTAACAAACCTGCACATGTACACCCTAAATCTAAACTAAAAGTTAAAGAAAAAAATGTAAAAAAATAAAAATAAACAAAGTTGGGTAGTGTTATTCTTCTGTCTTGGCTCTTCTCCTTCAATATTGTGTTGGCTATTCTGTCTTTTGCCTCTCCGTATACACTTTAGAATCAGTTTGTTGGTATCCACAAAATAACTTGCTGATATTTTGGCTGTACTGCATTGAATCTATAGACCAATTTGGGAAGAACTGACACCTTAACAATATTGATCTTGATTATTATTTAAGTCCTGCTTTGTTCAGCGAGGCACAATCTCATTTATGCCTTATAATATCCCTATGAGGTGAGCAAACTGCAAACACAGGCTCAGATAAAGTAGGTAATTAGTTCAAAGTCACACAAGTAGGAAATGGTAGAGACAGGATTTGAATGCTGATCTACCAGGCCCAAGAGTTCCTTCTCTGAACCAGTTTCCAAGGCAGTATTGTGAAGTGCTTCAGGAAGCAAGCTCTGGTGTAAAATTAGCAGGGTATAAACCTTTGCTCTGGTTTTTGCTGGGTGTGTAACCTGGCATAGAGCTTAACTTTTCTCTTTTTAGTTTCTTCATCTCTAAAATAGATTAGATACTATTATTAGTAGCTGCTTTAGTTGTTTGGAGCTTCATAGAGTTGGGCACATACAGTGATGTGAACAGGGCCTAGCACATAGTAAGAGCTTAATAAGCTTTAGCTACTACCATATGCCCACTCCTTGTTGGTCATAATGCCTTTTGGGTCCTGGGTCTTGACACATTTGGGCAATGAAGTCTAAGTATTATAGTAAGGGCAATGACTACCTGGCACATCTGGAAGAATGTCTGCTAATCAGTACAAAAACAGTTTTAAACCCAGCAAGTGTGTGCCCCTGTGAGGTGATGTGATGTGATGTGATGTGATAATTATTAAGGTTAACAATGGAGTAATCCTTTTATTCCATAGTGTGATAAAAGCCTTATAATTCCAATATGCCAAAAGGACAAAACTTGTCTTAAATTTTCCCTAATGTATACATGATTGATATGGCAAATATTTTCCTGAGTGCAAAAAAAAATTGTGTGTCAGAACTTGGGACCAGGGACTCCACAGGAAGAGAAAAGAATGCTGAAATGGCAACTGAGACACTAAAGACAATCTTCATTACAAAATGCAAAAAAGAAATGTCATTAGTAAAGCTACATCTCGTTTTCTTTCTAGATCCAGACCAATGTTTCTCAAACTCCATTCATTGTTGCCTCTCTGAGAAGAAAAATGGAATAAAATTAAAATTTATGTCTGTGAATTAGTTAATTTAATTAAAATTATTTTTTCCCTAGTGAGAGAAATTAAACATTGAGAAATAATATTTTTTCAGATAGGACGAAGCTTTGGAAGAACACAAACCATTGTAATATCTAAGAATTTTTTCGTGCCCCACCATCAACCAATTTTCTCTCTGTTGAGAATGCGTAAACTAGACCACAGTTGACTCATGTCTCACATAAATTATGCTGCTAGACTCATAACTGGGCTTGATGTCTTTAAAACTTTTAAGTTGATCTAAAATAACTGTTAATGGAGGCTTATTTGTAGCTTGTGACTGAAAGGAGAGAGTGAATTTTGGGGTCCTCAGACATTTCCTTGCCTCTTCACTCCTGGTTGAACCTGATTCTTAGTTTGAGTATGATGGGCATTAGTCTTCCATGAGCTTCTGACTAAATTCTGGGCACGTTTTTTAAAGCCTTCTGTCAAGAGGTTCCTCTGTGCCCAGTTCCTTTCACTTCTCTGGACCCTATTTATGGTAGCCGAGCCGGTCACTTTGCTTTCCTCCACATCAATATGCACTCTCTCCATGATTTCTTTTTAATGCTTTTCTGTCTATTCAGAAAGCTCTGTGTGTGTGTGTGTGTGTGTGTGTGTGTGTGTGTGTGTGTGTGTGTTTTCTTTCTAGTTCATGTAGGTGCTTGTTGGTTTTAACTATTCTGTAAACTCTTTGTTGAAAAGGACCGACCAGGGATTTCCCTCTCCACTGGGAATTCTTAGATCTCTACTGAGTACACAGAAAATACCAGAAAAACACTTCTAGTCTTCAACACTCCAGTCTATGGGTAAATCATCTGGAGACTTATCAAAGAAATCCTGTATTCATCATCTATTGCCATATTTAAACTACAATTTATGAGAAAGACAGTGAACTAGTTTAGTGACTTCTAGATGTTGCATTCTATGGAGCAATAGAATCTCAGGAACATACCTTTGGGTATAGAATAGAATTGATAACTTTTTTATTTTGCCAATTATAGGCAAATACTAGCAACTATCCCATATAGTTATATCATTTCATTAAAGAAAGCACAGTTGAATACTGAAGAACAGAAATGATATAATCTTAAAATTATAGTTCTTTGAATTGAATACATTTAACTTTATGAAAGACTGCGTTTTCCTTATTGTTTCTAATTTTTCCATCTGTGAATGAAAACTGATATGCACTAGCAGTTTTCTAAGGGTGAACTGATGAGCTCCATCCATCCTTCTCTTGATTGGTCCTTTGTGATATCTCTTTATTACCTATTCTGGAAATGGCCCCAGATAGTATGCAACAATACACTACAATGGCAAATAAAATAATTTTAAAATTAAAAGTCTGTCCACTGACCATATCTTTATCTGTATTTTTACATATAGTTGAGGTTCAAGTAGAGAGTATGTTCCAGGGCTGAATCAAATTTACTTTTGGGATACGTGTGCCATAACCATCCATATTTTTGGGGGACTTTTTTATCTAAAGACTTTTGTAAAACAATGATATAAGAAATATCAATATTTTCAGCAGTTAACATTTTGTTTGAATGCCTATAATCCTAGCTACTTGGGAGGTTGAGGCAGGAAGATCACTTGAACCCAAGAGTTTGAGTCCAGCCTGGGCAACATAGCGAGACTCTATCTCTAAATAAACTTTTAAAAACACCATTTATGAAACCTAAGCACACCCAATTTCATTTAGATTTTCTTGACTCAAAAATGTTTCTGTGCCATTAGTATTGTGACTCTAGAGCAGCAGATATCCTGGGGAAGATGGAAGCCGAGGGTAGAATATGGGAATATAATACTTGTCCAAATGGCTGGGTATCAGCTCTGATATTTAGAGCAAATATAATGCTTATGAAGTTACTGAAAAGATTTTGTATATTGATTTTGGTCATCAAGACACACAAGTAGGAATTGGAATCTGTGGTTCGTTGTCTTTCCCTTTTGCTTCTGAGTCAGCTACAGTCACATATTTTATTTTATTTTTTTAAAAACAGGGTGTCACTCTGTCATCTAGGCTGGAGTGCAGTGGCATGGTTACGGCTCACTGAAGCCTCTAACTCCTGGGCTCAAGTGATCCTTCCACCTCAGTCTCTCAAAATGCGGAGATTACAGGCATGAGCCACCATGCTCAGCCGAGTCTCAGGTTCTAAATTCCATTTGACTTGTGAAATATACAACACTCTTCATGAACTGCTTCATGTATGTGAGTTTCTCTGCTCTGCATGTAAGAAATTTCAGGGGCAAAATATTTATTTCTCTCCTAGGTGGATTGTGTGTTATTAAGGCCATTGGAGATAACATTCCTTTTGTACGAGGCCATTTTAAAGTTCTGCCTATTTGTGTGGGCACCCCCGGAGCTTAGTTCCATGTCCCCATCTTAAATGCATCTCTGCCTTGGGGAGTTTTATTGGATAAATGCATTAATTCTCAGCTAATTGGCCATTTCAGTTAAAGAGAATATTCTGATTTCTTAATTTTGCTTTTATATTAGGTGTTATTGTATGTTATAGACATATTTGAACATTACATAACCTTTAAATGAGTTCACCTACCTGTTTCTGAATATTTTAATGTGAATGTTTTTGTAGCAAAATATAAAAACCTTTAGGGTTTTTTGGCCAACCTTGTGCAATATTAATTGTGCTTTTGTTTTGTTTTGTTTTAAATGGAGAAAACCTTACAGAATGCGTAAGCTCTATTCTATGTCACTGTCAAAAATCAGTTAATGAACAGGCAGGATGGCATTGTTTGAGAGGTAGACACAATAACTAGGATAAGACAGAAGTTATGGCAGTTCTGGGGGAGTCTCACTAAGTGGGTGTGCCATCATGATATGCACTTGCAGGGGCAAATGATCTGTTAGAAGGGAGGGAGCAAGTGAATGGGGACAGATGGAAAATGGCATATTGAAAAAAATCATTACTTTAATTTCAGGTTATGGGAACGGTCATCTGGGAGAGGTTATAGGCCAATGATTCAGATGCTCCTTTAAAGCTTCTGAGTATTTTTGAAGAAGAATATGATGACTGAGGCAGAAGTGGCTCCAGTTCAGGTCCCTTACTGCCCCTTATTATCTATGATTAACTTCTCTGACTCAGTTTTCTCATTGGTAAAGTTGGGATAATAATAAACATATCTTCTGGGATTGTGAGAAGTCTCCACTGCCATTCAGGGTCTCAGGTTGATGAGGCTCTGCTATCACATACGTGTGAACTTCAAGTTCACTGTGCTTGTCTCAATTCCAATTAGCTCGAAGGGGAGGAGCATGGACAGTTTTATGAGTGAGACCTGGAAGTGGCTCATACCTCTTTCACTCATATTCCATTGGCTAGATCTCATCATAGGGCCAGATCCAATGCAAGGGAGGCTGCAAAAAGGGGGATTACCTATATACTCAAGGAGAAGAAAACATGGATTTTGGTGAAAATGGAGCAATCTCTAGGTGTAATAGTACTTGACAGAGTGTTTTTGTTACTATGAACTCTCAGCTTAATGGGCCCCATATGCCTGAAAAATATTCGTTCATTTATTCACTTGTTTATTCATGCCACACACACTCTTTAAGAACTTACTATGCATTATTCATTATGCTAGTTCTGGTAATTAAAATGGAAATGACTTAGATTTGTTTTTTCCATCAAAAGAGAAAAAAACCCAAATTTCCAAACATGCAAGTGTTATATTGCATCATAACATATAATGAATAGCAGAAGTCATGTAAACTTGTTGTTTTTTTACTGCATCAGAATTATACACCTAGCATATCTCTTTCTGACTCAATACAGTTCTGACTGAACACACAGAAAACACTCAAACATATCTGTTCATTAGCAGTATATTTATTTGATCAAGGAACAAGTGTGCCTGAAACCCATTAACAAATATGAATCAACCTATCCAATATGTTCCCTAAAAGGATTTAAATTTTAAGAGAATATTTTGTTATTTTTTAGGGATTTTGGCTAAATTCATTGACCACTTTATTTAGTGCTGTGTAGACAGGACCTTTAGCTCTTGGGGTAATAGATCTTATGGGACCAATTTAGTTTCATCCAGGAAAGCAAATTTCCCTGCTCTGAATGAGATCTGATTTTCATTAGATGGGTTTACTACAAGGTTATTCAGTGAAAGTAATGTCCAGAAGTTTCTAACTCAATTTAAATTGAGCTTTTTCTCATCCACCTGCATCCCTGTGGTGCCTGAGTCTGAAAGCATGCTGGAATTTCATTTGGGAAGCTACCATTGACACAATTTGGGCTGAAAGCTTAGCTCTTCATGGAAAATGAATGAAAGAATGCTTAAGCATGACTTTCCTCAGAAGAATAAATTAAGGATTAATGTTGCATTTCAACTAAAGTTGGCTAATGATTATTCTCTGCACCGTGGTTTCTGAAATAACATGATTGTTGGATGAATCACAGAAACAAAAGGAAGGAAGGAAAGAACTAGATCAACTCAGGGGGACAAGTTGCTTGGGAAAATAGCTGAACCACCTAAAGCATATTTTAATTAGCCACAGTGGAGCAAACACTAAATTATGCTTTGGGCTCAGCACACCTTGAAGCAGCTAGAGGGATTCTGGGGATGAAAGCTTTAATTTTGTCCAAAGGAAACCACTGTATAATACATCTGTTGGTGGTTAACAGATCTTCAATATGTGTAAAAGACTGAAAATATTGTATATTTAAGGAATATAATTTTGGATTCTGCTTTTTCATGAATTCAGCTGTAGAAAGGAAAACATTAGAAATGAGGCTCCCAGACTTTACTTATGAGAACTTTTACAGAAATATTCTAAGAAAAAAAATGTCATCAATCTTTATAGTGCCTGGAGGACCGCTAAGGACAACAACTTAAGGACCTCTTTGAATATCCCCTAGCCTATGCACTAGGTAGGCAGAAGAGTGTGCATTAATAATTGTGCAGTCAGAATTGTTGAGTTCTGATGGCTCTTAATTCCATATCACATAGTATCTCTTCTTATGTAGGGTATTGGTCTTCTTAGCAGAACCTACAGGTGGCTGGAGCTGGGAAGAATCTTGTCTATAGATTCGTAGTTGGAGAGGGTGGCAACTTAGCATGTCTTCCCTGGAAATGCTGGTTGCTGCAGAAAAGAAGAGTCCAGAAGTTGATTTCATAACTGCTGGGGCTGCTGCCTCCAATTACCATGTAAACTATCTTGGTATTTTCTTCTGTCTGGGGATTTTGGACATTGGAGTGTCTCTGGAGGAGATACAGTGGTTCTAAGCCCTGGCTACATGTTAGAACCTCCCAAACAGCTCTTTAAAAAAATGAAGATACCAAGACCCACTCACAGATATTTGATTTAATTGATCTGGGTTGGGGCCTGCTTTTGTGTATTTAAAAAAAATTTATTTGGGCATTAGTTGTGCAGTCAGGGTTGAAAACCATGGAGACAGAGGGAGCTTGATATTTTCCAAGGACTAGGAAACGGTTACACGCTGGACTTGCTCAAAGCCCAATTCAGTTTTTCTTCCCTTGTCACAGACTTTCCCACTAGAAGACATTTATGGAATAGGTCTGGCATTATTCTTGTAATATTGGATACTAACCAGTAATGGTTCACATTTTTCAGTCTATCTACATTGTTTGTAAATTGTTACTTCAACTATCAAAATTAGTTGGACTAGACCACACTGGCTACTGATTAGGGCCTAGTTAACTTCTCTCTGATGCTTTGAATTATTTTATGGTTTACTCGGTTCCTGTCAGTCAGTGATATGCAAATTAAAATTTGGTGTATATTTTTCATAGTGTATAATTGTACAATCTGAAATATCCAAACCATATCTATACCTAATCCTTTCCCATGCCACACCATTTCTTTTAAGCCAAATGTATATGCCCACTTACATGTTATAGTTAATGCAAACCCTGTTTTGTAGATGAAATTGGAATGGGTTTCTGTGCAGTGTTAAGTTGGCTGTGTGATTAATCCTGTATCTTTGTATTAGGTTATAGTCTCAGGTGATTACTTGGTTCCCTATAAGGTAGAGGCACTTCTTTAATTATCATAGGTTTTCTTTACAGATACAATTTACTTAGGTTTTTAAGGTGGGTCACACTGACTCAGAAGGATATGGTAGCTTATTGATTGTATTCCACGAGAAACATGATGTGGCAATCCACAAGAAACTTTCATGCATTTTTACTTAAAGTAACAAAAGAGTCACAAGGGTATTTACCATGATTAGTAGGTGAATGCTTGGTTAGTTAGTATTCTTCTGAAGACAGCTGATCTAGGGAGGCTAAGGATGGCAGAAAGAATACCTAGGGGCAACAGGGAGTATTCCAGATGGCGCTGGGCTGAGAATTGGGGAAAAAACTTGGAGATGGCTCTACTACTTACTGTATCTGGAAAATGACCTGGTTGAGCTAGATTATGCCTCAGGCTCTCTGCAGTCCTAAGAGCCTATGTTTTTGTTCATTACCATATTTTACAACTTTGTTTTTGTGTTAGATGATTGCCCTCATGGAGCTCAGGACCAGCATTTACATCGTCTTAAATGTCCATGGCATTTAGGGCAGCACTTCTCATTTTCCACAGTAAACTCACTGGTGATATTTAAAAGATTATTAATTTTTGAAAAAAAGTCATGCTTCTTCAGTCTTGTCAGGACACCTTAGGAGGGACTGGTTACTGAGTGATCTAGAGGAAGCAGTTGGGGGCCAGGGGAACATTAAAGGAGTGAGGGAATTAGCAAGGAGTGGAGGTTTCCTGAAAGAACAAGATGTGTATGAAAGGAGGTAGGAGTGGGAGAGTTTCATTTGAAGTTTCTTTCCTTGTCTCTGCTTGGAGTTGAAATCTGCACAGATGTCAAATCTGTATTATTATTTTACTTAGAAAAAGTTTGTGAATTATATTTGTTACTTTGAAGCTTTTCTCAACCTTTTGAAAGAAAGATTACTGAGAAAAAATCTCCTAGAAGTTAGTCTACCTGGGTCCAAGTGCCAGCTTGTGCCAACTGAACAGGCTGTAGCTCTGGGCTGATGTCAAGCTGAAGATGGGAATATGAAAAAAGAGTTCTGTTTTCTCCAATCCCTTATGGGCCCTTCTGGGCCCTGCTAAAGCCAAATTCAAGGAGGTCTTAGGGGATATGCCTCTAGGGCTGGCCTGAGTGAGGAATCCTTTGAAGTTTTCTGTTTTTTTTTTTTTTTCTGTTGTTTTCACTCCGTGAAGGTTTAAGATGAGACTCTGGTTCCACAGGAAGCAGCAGTTTAGAAGACAGACCCGGTAGAAACACAGGCATAACCAGCTAAACCCATCACTGGGAGGGCAGGTTTGGGAACAGAGTCATCTGAAGTTGTATTAGCATTGAGCTGAATTACTGATTTCCACAAAACTGGAAAACATTGTCCTGTGTTAAATAAGATGTTTGCCCTTTGTGTTTCTTTTTCAAACTTTGTTTTTGAAACTTCCTTACACATGACTCTTTTAATCAGTTTGTTTTTCTTTAACAAAACATTAAAACCACTGGATATGTTTATAGATTGGGGGAACTGGGAGAATATTTAAATTTTTGTTTTCTATTTTTTTTTCCTTCCCTTTTCCCTCCCTTACTGCTTCTGTGGGTCAGACATCCTCTCTCAAGTGCCTGTGCTCATCCTGACACTCTGAGACCCTCCATTGTCACTTGCTCCCTGGGCAGTGTGTCATGCTCCTGAGCTCTTGGATTCTCGGCCCCACCTCACCTCTCACCCCATTATGACACTGCCAGAACAATGGACTGTGTCCTCGGAGCTTGTTAGGAGAAGGGGGCAGTCTGTGAATTCAGGATAAAGGGTTAATGGACCATAATGGTCTAAAGCGAGGTCTAATGGACCATAATGGTCTAAAAACATTTTCTGTAAAGGGCTTGATAGTAGGTATTTTAGGCTTTGTGGGCCATACAGTCTCTATTGCAACTACTGAATTCTGTTGTAGTACTGAATAAGTAGCCATAGACAAAATTAAAGAAATGTATACATGTGCCATGTTGATGTGCTGCACCCATTAACTCTTCATTTAACATTAGGTATATCGCCTATGTAACAAACCTGCATGTTGTGCACATATACCCTAAAACTTAAAGTATAATAATAAAAAAGAAATGTACATTGCTGTATTCCAATAAACCATGGATATTGAAATATAAATTTTGTACAGTTTTCACTTGCCACAGAATATTATTCTTCTCTTGAAGTTTTCAGCTGTTTACAAATGTTAAAACCATTCTTAGCTCACTGACCAAACAAAAATAGCTTGCAGGTTGGATTTGGCCAGGGCCCATAATTTTCTGACTCCAGGTCTAAAGTGTGAGTCCTCTCAGATAATTTTTCTATATTTACCAGTATATTAGATTGCTTCAACAGAAGTAATCAGCAATTTCAGGTATTGTGTGTAGAGACATGGGGGAAGCTTCCAATCATAGCTCAGAGTTGACTGCCTGTCCATCTTCCTTCTTTAAGATCAGCTATGCAAAGAGCTCCATTTTTCAAATACATTTGCCCAGCTCTATAAAAGCTCAACTGTTGAGTAGGCACTGCTATGTAAACAGTCCATATGTGTCATTTATGTTTTAGAACGCAGAAGGCTCTGATTCATAATGCGAGTCAATCATGAAGCTCTGCTGATTTGTCCTTGAAAATTCTGCGCATTCTTTTTTTTTCCTCAAATCTTGCTGTCCTGTGGTAACATTTGTCAAGAGTGGCCCACTTTCCTTTTTCCCTCTTTTTTAAGGTATGCCAACTTTGGGGGATATGTAACAATGCCTAAAATCCCAATGGCTTAATCAAGGTTCTCACTTACATCAAGTCCAATGCAGGCTGATGTCCTTGGAGGTTGGTGGTGTGAGTGGGGGTGCAGGTTGGAGAGGTATATCTGCTTTATTCAGTTCCTCAGGGACTCAGGCTCTTTCATGTAGTGGCTTTGCCATTCCTCAACACCCAAGAGCATTCCACTGGATCCTCTGCGTCTGACTGGCAGACAATAGAGTATGTGGAGGATCCTGCAGGAAGTGTTTTAGGGTCCAGGCTGGGAGCTCAAATGGGATGTTGGCCAGGAACCTCGATTCCTTTCCATGTGAGACTCTCTGTAGGGCTGTTTGGTCCTCTTCATGGCATGGCAGCTGGATTCCATGAGCAAGTGTTCAAAAAATAGGAAGTAGAAACTGCCAGTATTTTAGAGCCTAGGCCTGGAAACAAGCACAGCGTCACTTTTGCTGTATTTTATTGTTCAAGCAGTTACAGAGACTGTCTCCATTCAAGAGAAGAGGCTATATTTCACCTTTTCATGGGAAGTGTTTCAGAGAATTTGAAGCCAACTTGAAACCAACACAGGGTGTTATGTTGAGAGTAAATATGAGTGAGTGCATGAGCATGACACTAATTCAGAAGTCCTCATCTCTATTCATGCCCCGCTGTGAACTATGGGTCAGCCATCCTAGGAGCATGTTGGAGTTACAAACTGATTGTTTAATGCAGGGGTTGGCAAACTACAGCCTGTGAGCTAAATCTGGACAGCTGTCTGTTCTTGTAAATACAGGTTTATTGAAACACAGCAATGGTCAGTCATGTATATGGTATGTGCTCTTTTTACACTACAACAGCAGAGTTGAATAATTGTTGTAGAGAGTATGGCCTGTAAAGCATACTCTCTAATCTTTTACTGAAAAAGTTTTTTGACTCTTGCTATAAAGAGACTAAAAAAATCTCTCATCATTAGGACCAAGTGCAAATAGACTTGCAAAAGTCAGACCTGCTATTGTGATTGACATGAGGGCACACACATTACTGATGGTCATGAATTGCTCTGTCTTTATTAACAGAGCCCCTGAAAAGTGAGTGCATTGTGCCTTGAAATTACCCAGCTCTCCAGCAGAATAAAATGTTCTGGTTATTTGAGTGTGTTTGCTCTTGACAATCCCTGCCTGGAAACTGGCAACAATCTATATGTTTCATTCCATCTTCTTCCTCTCATCCTCCAACTCCATTTCTGCAATCATGGGTGCAGTCGGTAGGACCACAGGTATGTTTTTAAACCTAGATACTTTGGATGGTGCTCCTGAAGGAGTCTTCTGGAGCTGAGTGGTTCTAGGCTTTTTGTGGCTCTTCTCAGACATTGCTTGCATTTTTTGGCTGGAGAAAGATTTCTCACTCGACACCCTTTCTTTTAGAGCAAAGTTCCAAGCACTGGTCTTATGTCTGTTTTTGCTTTTAAGTCAGCACTAGATTATCTGTATTAGTGGCATGTGTACATATTGTAGGGATAAGTTAAAAATAAATAATCACTCATTTGGAATTGACATTTGGAATTTTCTGTCTTTCTCCTTGTCCCTTATTTTCTTCCTCTCTGAAGCGGTATTTTAGTCAAGTAAGTGTTCAAAAATAATCCACATTGAAAATTCACTTAAAAAAAGCCTCACTGGGGAGGTATTCATCAAAGGGTACAATGTTTCAGTTATGCAAGATGAATAAATCCTAGAGATCTACTGTATAGCATGGTGCCTGTAGTTAACAATATTGTATTGTATACTTAAAATTTGCTAAGAGAGTAGATCTTATGTTAAGTGTTTTTATCACACAAAAATAATAAATGAAGGTGGGAGGAAACTTTTGGAGATAATGAATACGTATGTGGCATGATGGAGGTGTTGGCTTCATAGATATAAAAGGACATTCATATCTTTCTCTTGTTTTGAAATGTTCTCTGTTATTAGTTCTTTGATTAAACTTTCTACCCAAATCTCTCTCTCTAATTCTGCTTTAGGGCCTATAATTTTTAGATTTTCCTTTTTAAGGCTGTTTTCTAGATCTCATAGGTGTACTTTATTCTTTTTTTTTCTTTTCTACTTTTTTCTGTATAGGTGTATACGTATCTCCAAATTCATCAAGTTGTATACAACAAATATGTACAGCTTTTTGTATGTCAATCATACTTCAATAAAGTGTTTTTTTTAAAGCCTCACTGTAGGAAACCTAATGGTTTCTTTTCAAACCTCGTCCTTTCCCCTCCATCTTTCTCTCCATCTTTTTCTCTCCATCTCTCCCTCCCATCTGCTCCTTCTGTAACATCAGAGAGGGTTTATGGTCATGCCAATGACTTGGACTCCTGAGAATGATGTTTTAGATTACATGTGCTGTGTTCCCATTTACAACATGGGTCCCTTGGTTAACATTTTATCGAAAGAAACACGGAGAAGGATCTTTGCTCAACCTGTGCTTTATCACCTCGTAATTCATTTGGAAGAGCTAAAAAGAAACCTCTAAATATTTCACTTCCCAAGAAAGCCATGGACTTGAGGGCCTCCAGGAATGATGCTTTCAGCCTTCTTTAGACTCCATATCAACATGAAATTATGTGTTCTCTTTTTTTTTTTTTTGCCAATTCCAATGTGTTTTTCGATTTTATTCCTTTGATTTGTGCTAATCTGAAACAGGCTGTTAATCCAACACAGCAGAAACATTCACTGACTTGATTCTTAGCGTTCTGTAAATGTTTAGCAGAAGTCGGAATTAGAGAAGTGATAATGAAATGCGTGTGTGTGTGTGAGGTAGATCTCCTTCTCCACCTTTGCCCTTTACCCTAACATGGCTCCCAGCTTCTGGTAACCATAGTGGAAAGAGTGGAGTGGCTTTATTAGAAAAGGGAAGTGGCAGAAGAGAGGCATGCAGGAATTAACAACTTGGGCCTACGGATTTTGGAAAACACCTTGACTCCAAGATAAATGTGTATTTTTTTCTCCCTACAGACTACAAGAGCAACTGGGAGGTTCTGATCAGCAAACACAGCTATTCCTAAGCTCACAATCAGCACACTGCCCCCTCTACCTGGAGGAATTGCCATCTTTCCCTCACATATGAAGCCAGCCTGACTGGCTGGATCAATTTGAACCATCAATGGGGTGGCCAATGCTATATGCATATTACTCTGAAATTCACTCTCTGGGATACTATTTGGCACATTAGTCCAGTTGAGATTGACTAATTAGTGCCTTAGTATAGTAAAAATTGGATGCCCTTTTCTACTCAGCAATCTTGGCCCTCTCCAATGCCCCTTTCAAATATGAAATGCATTATACAAAGTACCTCTGCCTCAAAGGAGCTGGATCCATTCTTAACCCTTGGTATCTTTCAAGGATGTGAGAATGAAGATTCAGTATGTCCTGAGCATAATAGTTTGCAGGTAAGAAAATGAGGGTAGAAGGATGACATATGTCTTGCCTGAGTTCTATGAGCCTTTAGCAAACTGTAGATCACCACAGTCCTTTCCACCTTTCTCTCCTTCACTGACTTTCTTCCTCCCCGCTTGACTGCACTTTCTGCATTGATCACTGTCATGCTCTAGGCCAGTGTCTATGACAGACCCATGGACTTCAGCTCTAGCTACTAAATACCTGTTTTTTCCCTCTTCTCTTACATAAAAAAATCTGTGTTGCTTTATCCTGTATTTGTGTCTTAGGAGAACATTTGCTCTCTTAGCAGTTGTCAACTATCATTTCTCTTGGGCAGAGACTCACTCTTTTGGGGCTCTGGTGCTGGCTGGCATCAAGGTTTCAAAGAAGGGACTGAAGTTACTCTATGGGAAGCAGAAAGAGAAATTTGTGGCAGCTGACAAGTTGTGGAGGAAGGACAGCAAAGGGCCATGCACTAATGAGTTGCTTTACAGGGATGATGAGACACACCATCTTGACTGGGCACATCTTTAGTGAATTGCTAAACTTATAAGTCATTTTGTAAGAATAGACTTCTTTGTATAAACTAGAGAAGAGTTTGAATTTCTGACTGGATTAGTAAGGAGTAAAACAGAGTTTGTTCAACACTGAAGGCAGAATGGGAAATGGCCTTGTGGGAGCAAGTGTCAAGGGACTTTAGAAACCATGGGAGGGTTTGGACTGTCACAATCCATGGCATTAAGAGCTCAGGTCAAGTGTATGAGGTTTTTGAGGGTTGAGAAAGCCTGAGATGATGTTATCTGGAGCACACAGGTCAATCTGACTAAAGCAATATGATGCTTCATTAACTATTGCAACAGTCACATGTGAAGCCCTTCACTCCTCCAATAGGCTTAAACTTGGCTAGGAGAGGGACTGAAGTTTTCAATTGTTTATTTTTTGGAGCTCAAGTTAGGATACACTTGAGTAAAGTTACCAAATAGGAACATCTTTGACCACTGAATCCTGGGGATAGTAGGGTGCAGGGGACAAGTCAGAGTAGATAGTGGGCACTGAAATAACTGGACTGTGGCCCTCTGTGTGCCTGTCTTTGCTTCTCTATCTCTGTCTCTGTTTCTCTTTCACAAGATGGAAACTCAACATGGAGGAAGCAGGGTGGGTTGTGAAGTCAGTGCTAGTTTGGCTGGCATTTTCCCTGGGCAGATGAGGTGCCTCTCTTTCTTTGATTCACCCCTTCCCCAAATTCTCACCCATCAAGGTTGAAATGCCTTGATCAGGTTGTTAAGGACTTCTGTTTTTCTATTAGAAATAAGCCCTAAAACAACCACTGTTGAAAGAAGTTCCACCTTGATTTAAAATCTCAATATAGTTCAATGGCCACTATCAGACCTGGGATGGAGAGTGCGGAGGAAGCAGAGCACCAGGAGGGGTGAGGTGCAGAAAAGACGTAATGGTTACAGAGTGTCCTCAGTTTTAGGCATTCCTTGTTCATTTGAATTTACGCAGCAACTCCCATGAAAACAGCATTATTTTCTCTTTTTTTGTTAAATGAATTACTTCATGCACTTCCTTGACTCTGGGGATATAATGGCTGCCCAGGATCTCAGGAGTGAGGCTACATCTAAGGTCAATTTCAACCAGAAGGCAGCTGTAATTTCAGGAAACCACGAGATTGAATGCAAAGATGAGCACTTGTATTAAAGAACAAGTCTTTTTGTATAAACCAAGGCACAGAAAGATTAAATAGCTTGTTCAAGGTTGTGTGGCTATTGGCATACGAGGAATTAGATATTTATCAGGCCCTATCACACCTTATTGTGTACCAACTGTGGTGAAGTGAGGGGATAAAAGGTGTGTCAAAGAACACGATATGCTGAAGAGCAAATTTTCCTTTCATGGTTGACCTTAGGCTGGCTATGATGGTTGGTCATTGCGGTGGAAGGAGTTGGAGAAGGGAGGGATTAAGTGAGTCAGGGAAGGAGAAAAAGCAGATCGTGGGGAAGGGTTAAATCTGAAAGAAGAGAAAGCATAAAGTAGCAAAGAAAAGAACTTGGAAGAAGAAGAAAAGGAGAACAAAGAATTTACACAGGGGGATTTTTCTGTTCCCTTAGAAAACATGAGTTAAGTGGAGTGAAAGAAGAAAAGAGTTCAGCTTTGGAGCAACAGATATCCATGCCTATCTATGGAAAATTTTCCTTTGTGTTCATTTGAACAAAATAAATTCAATAGGATGTCATCATTGAAATTCAACCAAAATATTGTGTATGGTCTGGAATTGGTTTTAAAATTTTAAACAGTCTAGGAGAGATTCTTTGTTTTCCTGACTTTAAAAAAGTTGCAGATAAATATGCTTCTGATCAGAGAGGAAGCAAGGAGAGGGCACTGTGCCAAACATATGTAGGCAGGTGCTATACAACTTCTCCACACAGCCCTGCCAAAGCACTTGTGGGTGACCTTGGCACTTAATGAAAAATGTGTGCTTCTCTGTGCACACATGGCAAGGAGGATGAGACCTCCCAGCTTATCTGGATTTGATATTAAAACAATATTGGAACGCATCACTCCAAAGGTGTCAGAGTGGGCAATTCCCTCTTCATGTCTGGTTCTGCCCCATGCCTCCACCCAAACTCAATTCTTTTTATCTCCTAGAATAATGAGGCTGCTGAGCATCAATGGTAACATCATCTGAGATGTTGGCTGATTTTGAAAAAATAACAGAAAATAAGTCTGTCTTTTGGCCCACATCTTTACCCTTAGAGTGAGCAGGATTTTCTGCTTTGCCATCTAATTTTCTGTGATTAGAAAATACAAGGTCACAGAAAGGAAGCCTAATGAGATGGAGTGGATTTTCACCATCTCAGAACAGGTGTGGTGGAGGGTCCCGGCTCTAGTCCAGGTAGGTATATTAGTTTCTAAGGGTGGTTGTAACAAATTACCAAAAACGTGTTGGCTTAAAACAACAAATCAATCCTTTCCAATTCTGAAGGCAAGAATTTCAGAATCATAGTGGCAGCAGGGACACGCTGTCTCTGAGACTCTGGGTAGAATCCTTCCTCATCTATTCCCAGCTTCTAGTGGTGGCCAAGAATCCTTAGTATTTCTTGGATGGCAGCTGCATCACTCCAATCTCTGCCTTTGTCATCACCTGACATTCGCCCTATGTGTCTGTCTTCATGCATTTTTTTTTCTCCTTTTCTTATAAGGACACCAGCCATAACGGACTAGGGCCCACCTTAATGATCTTATTTTAATTTGATTCCACCTGCAAAGACCCTATTTCCAAATAAGGTCATGTTCACAGGTACCATGGATTAGGATTTCAGTGCATCTATTTGGATGACACAATTCAACACATAGCAACAAGTATTTGGGTCTGAAATGCTGGTGGAGCAGAGGCTACAATGAGATCTAATTATACTAGCTGATTCCATGGGGGTAGGGGCAGGAGCCTGGGAAGGAGGGGAAGGGAAGCCAGAAGGACAGGGTCAGTATGAGGTCTAGTATATTCTCTGGTTTACTCAAAGGAAACAGGCCTGAGGCCTGCAGAGGGTGGAAAGCTGTGTTGTCAGGGAACTCTGGGAGTTGGAAACTAGGGACAAGAGCTGCTTTGGTGCCCACGTGATTCAGATAGTGATACAGTTTGGCTGTATCCCCACCCAAATCTCATATTTAATTGCCACTTGCTCTGGGAGGGACCTGGTGGGAAGTAATTGAATCATGGGGGTAAGTCTTTCCGTTGCTGTTCTCATGATAGTGAACAAGTCTTATGAGATCTGAAGGTTTTAAAAAGAGGAGTTACCCTGCACAAGCTCTCTCTCTTCATGTACTGCCATCTGTGTAAGACATGACTTGCTCCTCCTTGCCTTCTGCCATGATTTTGATGCCTCTCCAGTCATGTTGAACTGTAAATCCATTAAACCTCTTTCTTTTGTAAATTGTCCAGTCTTGAGTATATTTTTAACAGCAGGATGAAAACAGACTAATACAGTAAATTGGTACCAGTAGAGTGGGATGCTGCTGAAAAGATACCTGAAACTGTGGAAGCAACTTTGGAACTGGGTAACAGGCAGATGTTGGAACAGTTCAGAGGGCTCAGAAGAAGACAGGAAAATGTGGGAAAGTTTGAAACTTCCTAGAGACTTGTTGAATGGCTTTGACCAAAGTGCTGATAATGATATAGACAATGAAATCCAGGCTAAGGTAGTCTCAGATGGAGATGAGGAACTTGTTGGGAACTGGATCAAAGGTGACCCTTGTTATGTTTTAGCAAACAGACTGGTGGTATTTTGCCCTTACCCTAGAGATGTGTGGAACTTTAAACTTGAGAGAGATGATTTAGGGTATCTGGCAGAAGGAATTTCTAAGTGGTAAAGCATTCAAGAGGTGACTTGGGTGCTGTTAAAGGCATTCAGTTTTAAAAGGGAAACAGAGCATAAAGGTTCAGAAAATTTGCTGCCTGAAAATGCAACAGGAAAGAAAATACCATTTTCTGAGGAGAAATTCAAGCCAGCTACAGATATTTGCATAAGTAATGACGGTCCAAATGTTAATCACCAAGACAGTGGGGAAAATGTCTCCAGGGCATGTCAGAGAACTTTGTGGCAGCTCCTCCCATCACAGGCCCAGAGACATAAAAGGAAAAAAATTGTTTCATTGGCTGGGCCAAGGCATGCTGTATGCAGTCTAGGGACTTGGTGCCCTGCATCCCAAGCCATGACTAAAAGGGGGCCAAGGTACAGCTCAGGCTGTGGTTCAGAGAGTGCAAGCCTTAAGCCTTGGCAGCTTCCCTGTGGTACTGAGCTTGCGGATGCACAGGAGTCAAGAATTAAGGTTTGGGAACCTCCACTTAGGTTTTAGAAGATGTATGGAGATGCATGGATGTCCAGGCAGAAGTTTGCTGCAGGAGCAGGAACTCATGGAGAACCTCTGCTAGGGGAGTGTGGAAGGGAAATGTGGAGTGGGAGCCCCTACCCAGAGTCCCCACTGGGGTGCTCCCTGTGAAAAGAGGGCTACCATCCTCCAGACCCCAGAATGGTAGATCCATCAACAGCTTGCACTGTGCACCTGGAAAAGCCACATTCAACACCAGCCCATGAAAGAAGCCAGGAGGGAGGCTGTACCCTGCAAAGCCACAGGAGCAGAGCTGTCTGAGACCATAGGAACCTACCTCTTGCATCAGCATGACACATATTGGAGACATGGAATCATTTTGGCCAATTTCTCCATTTGGAATGGGTGTATTTACCGAATGCCTATACCCCCATTGTATCTAGGAAGTAGCTAACTTGTTTTTTATTTTACAGGCTCATAGGTGGAAGGGACTTGCCTTGTCTCAGATGTGAGGTTGGACTGTGGACTTTTGAGTTAATGTCGAAATGAGTTAAGACATTGGGGTACTGTTGGGAAGGCATGATTGGTTTTAAACTGTGAGGAAATAAGATTTGGGAGGAGCCAGGAGCAGAATAATATGGTTTGGCTGTGTTCCCACCCAGGTCTCATCTTGAATTCCCAAGTGTTTTAAGAGAGACCCAGTAGGAGTTAATTGAATCCTGGGGACAGGTCTTTCCCATGCTGTTCTCATGATAGTGAACAAGTCTCATGAGATCTGATGGTTTTACACAGAGGAGTTCTCCTGCATGAGCTCTCTCTCTTTGCCTACTGCCATCCATGTAAGACGTGACTTGCTCCTTCTTGCCTTCCACCATGATTGTGAGGCCTCTCCAGCCATGTGGAACTGTAAGTCCATTAAACATCTTTCTTTTGTAAATTGCCCAGTCTTGGGTATGTTCAGCATCATGAAAATGGACTACTACAGTTAGGGAAAGGAAGGGAGGCTTTCTTTACTTTTTCAAGGAATACAGTGTGACTTTGGCACATGGAAGACCCCAGAAATACAGCACTGTTTGACACTTGGAGAGTTGACAGCCTTAAGGGTGCTAGGAGACAGGGGAGATATTAATGAGGACAGATGGCCGTGGTAGGGTGGGTTCTCTCAAGATGGCTTTTGATAGGAGTGAAAGAGCAGTAGAGAAAGGCAGGTCATAAGGACCCTCCAGAACCATTAGTTTTTTAGTAGTGTGCCCATACAGACAATTGCCTGAGCTAGAAGAATAAGAGTGTGGGAAGAGGGCACTATCAGTAATTACCCAGGGACAGCTGGAACTTCTCAGAGAAACCAGCCTCATGGCCACCCCACTTTTATTTAAATTTTATAAAAATTACATGTATTTAGGATGTACAATGGGATGTTTTGATATGCATATATACAGTAAACATTACTATAGTTAGCTAATAAATATATCCATTTCTTCACATAGCTCATTTTTTTTTATGTGTGGTGAGACCAGTTAAAATCTACTCCTTTAGCAAATTTGAAGTATACAATACCGTATTATTAATTACAGTCCCTGATACAGTTAGGCTTTGTGTCCCCACCCAAATCTCATTTTGAATTATAGTTGCCACAATCCCCATGTGCCATGGGAGGGACCAAGTGGGATGTAATTGAATCATGGAGGTGGTTTCTGCCATGCTGTTCTCATGATAGTGAATGAATTCTCACAAGATCTGATGGTTTTATAAGGGATTTTTCCCCCTCTTCACTCTGCACTTCTCTCTCTCCTGCCACCATGTGAAGAAGGACATGTTTGCTTCCCCTTCTGCCATGATTGTTAAGCATCCTGAGGCCTCCCCAGCCATGTGGAGTTGTGAGTCAGTTAAACCTCTTTCCTTTATAAATTACCCAGTTTCAGGTATTTCTTCACAGCAGTGTGAAAACAAATACAGTCCCTATGCTATACATTAGATCTCTTGAACTTATTCACCCTGTATAATTGAAACTTTATACCTTTCAACTAATACCTCCCTGTTCTCTTCCTCCCAGCAACCACCATTCTACCCTCTGTTTCTATGAGTTGGACTGTTTTAGATTCCTGATATCAGTAGTATAATGTATTATTTGTCCCTTTGTGTCTAGTTTATTTTACTTAGCTTAGTGTCCTCCAGGTTCATCTAGGTTGTCAGAAATGACAAGACTTTCTTCTTTTTAAAAGCTGAATAATATTCAATTGTATATGTGTACCGCATTTTTTTTTAATCTATTCACCAATTGATGGACACTAAGATTGTTTTCATATCTTGGTTATTGTGAATAATACTGCAATGAACAAGGGAGTGCAGATACTCTTTCACATACAGATTTCATTTCCTTTGTTTATGTCCTCAGAAGTGGGATTGCTGGATCATTTGGTTGTTCTATTTTTAATTCTCTTGAGCAACCTGCAGACTGTTTTCCATAATAGCTATACCAATTTACATTCCCACCAACTGTGTACCAGAGTTCCCTTTTCTTCACACCCTCACCAATGCTTTCTCTCTTGTCTTTTGGTAATAGCCATTCTAACAGCTATAAAGTGATATCTTATTGTAGTTTTAATATGCATTTTCCTGATAATTAATGATGTCAAGTTCCTTTTTATATATTTTTTGCCCATTTGTAAATCTTCTTTGGAAAAGTGTCTATTCAGTTTCTTTTCTCATTTTTAAATGAATTGGCTTTTTTTAAAAATTGAGTCATAGGAGATTCTTATGTAATTTGGATATTAACCCTTTATCAGATATATGGTTTGCAAATATTTTCTCCTATTCCATGGTTGCTTTTTTATTTTGTTGTTTCTTTTGTTGCACAGAAGTTTTTTCATTTGATGTAGTTCCACTTATTTATTTTTGCTTTTTATGTCTGTGCTTTTGATGTCAAATACCCCCAAAAAATTGCCAAGACCAATATCGAGAAGCTTTTTCTCTATGTTTCCTTCTAGGAGTCTTATGTTTCAGGTCTTATGTTTAAATCTCTAATCTATTTTGAACTGTTTTATTTGTGAGTGGTGTAAGACAAGGCTCCAATTTCATTATTTTGTATGTGGATATCCAGTTTTTCCAACACCATTTATTGAAGAGACTATCCTTTCTCTGTTGCGTGTTCTTGCTGCCCTTGTCAAAAATTATTTGACAGTATATGTGTAGGTTTATTTCTGGGCTCTCTATTCTGCTCCATTGGTCTATATGTTTTTTTTTTATTCCAGTGCCGTACTGTTTTGATTACTAAATCTTTGTAATATAATTTAAAATCAGAATGTATGATGTCTCCACCTTTGTTCTTCTTTCTCAAGATTGCCTTGGCTATTTAATGTCTATCATGGTTCCATATGAATTTCAGGACTGTTTTTTCTATTTTGGTGAAAAAATGCCTTTGCAATTTTGATGGAGATTGCATTGAATCTGTAGATTGTTTTGACAATCATCCTACTCTTTAGAAGCCTGTGGTACTGTGAGCACAACAATCCCTATCAGGGCTGACCCTAATCATAGGCACAGTGGGCAACAATCTTTTATTGATTTGAATTGGATTTGAGGTAGGCTATAGAGGACAATAAAGTTCATTGTTTTGATTTTAGGTTTAACTTTTAGAAAAATGCCCTATAGGCTTATTTAAATGATCTAGACTTTTGCCTTTGGATTGAGGGTCCCTTCAGTACAGTGCTCTCTTTGTTGACACAATACAAGGACTACAGGAAAATACACAAATGCTAACTCTTCAGGGGTTGAGGGCCCTAGCTGGGAGAGAAGTGATCTTCCATTATACTATCAATGTTGGCTGGGTTGATAGAATAGCAAGTGATCACCTTTGATACCATATCCTTACGGGATAAAGGTTCAATAGAGGAGATAAGTACTGGGGAGGAGATTGTTAGCCACTTGTCTTGGTCCAACCCAAAGTTGAGGGATGGGGAATAGAGGCTGGGAGCATTGATGAGAAAGAGTCTCAAAAAAGGACTCAAAGGGAATCTAAGATGTAATATGTCTAATTATCAAGGGTCCAGAAGCAAGCTGTCTTATATCCAGAGGGAAACTCTGAGCAAAGGAATTCAGAAATATTTCATTTCTCTTCTTGGCTATGTAACCATCCTTTTCCAGGGACCAGGATGTCTGGCTTCTCTGAAAGGTATGTTTCCAAATATGACATTGATGACTGAGATGCCATCCTGTTTTATTATTTTAGGGTCTCTCTTCCTGCTACTATGGAAGAATGGAAAGTTTAGCTCTCAGAGGATTTTTATGAGAATCAGAAAAGCTTATACCAGCAGTCCCAGCAAGCACTAAGCATTTCTGAGGCTGTCTCAGGTCCTCTAACTTTTCTCTTCTTAATTTTTATTTTTCACAGGTACACAGGAGTTACATATGTTTATATGGTACATGAGATATTTTGGTACTGGCATATAGTGTGTAATAATCTCATAAGGGTAAATGGACATCCATCACCTCAAGGCATTAATCATTTCTTTGTGTTACAAGCATTCCAATTATATTCTTTTAGTTATTCTAAAATGTAAAATACATTATTCTTGACTGTAGTCAAGGTGTTATGCTACTAAATACTTGATCTTATTTATGTTATCTATTTTTTTACTCTTTAACCATTCCCACTACTCAACCCCCCACCCCTGCCACTAACCTCTGAGGCCTCTCATAACCATCACTTTAGTCTCTATCTCCACGAATTTAATTGTTTTAATTTTTAGCTCTCACAGATAAGTGAGAACATGTGAAGTTTATCTTTCTGTGCTTGGCTTACTTCACTTAACATAGTGACCTCCAGTTCCATCCATGTTATTGCAAATGACAGGATCTCATTTGTTTTTATGGCTGAATAGTATCCATTGTGTATATGTACCATATTTTCTTTATCCATTTGTCTGTTGATGAACACTTAGTTTGTCTCCAAGTCTTGGCTATTGTGAACAGAGCTGCGATAAACATGGGGGTAAAGTTATCTCTTCAATATGCTGATGTCCTTTCTTTTGGATAGATACCTAGCGGTGGGATTGCTGGATCATATGGTAGTTTTATTTCTAGTTTTTTGAGGAACCTCCATAATGTGCTCCATAGCAGTTGTACTAATTGACATTCCCCCACCAATATTGTACGAGGGTTCCTTTTTCTCCACATCTTTGCCAGCATTTATTATTGCCTGTCTTTTGAATAAAAGACATTTTAACTGTGGTGAGATAATATCTCCTTGTAGCTTTGTTGTGCCTTTCTTTGATGATCAATGATATTGAGCCCCTTTTCATGTATCTGTTTGTCATTGCATGTCTTTTTTTAAGAAATGTCTATTCAGAACTTTTGCCCATTTTAAAATTGGATTATTGGATTTTTTCCTGTAGAATTGTTTGAGCTGCTTATATATGCTGATTATTAATCTCTTGTCAGATGGATAGTTTGCAAAAATTTTCTCACATTCTGTGAATTGTCTCTTCATTTTGTGGATTGTTTTCTTTACTGTGCAGAAGTTGTAAACTTGATCTGATCCCAATTGTTCATTTTTGCTTTGGTTGCCTATGCTTGTGGGGTATTACTCAAGAAATCTTTGCCTATCCCAGTGTCTGGGGGAGTTTCCCCAATGTTTTCTTTTAGTAGTTTCATAGTTTGAGGTCTTAGACTTAGGGCTTTAATCCACTTTTATTTGATTTTTGTATATGGTGAGAGATAGAGTTCTAATTTCATTCTTCAGCATATCGATATGCAGTTTTCCCAAGAATACACTTTCCAATTTAGATGCCCTTTATTTCTTTATCTTGTCTGATTACTCTAGCTAGGATCTCCAGTACTTTGTTGAATAAGAGTGGTGAACGTGGGCATCCTTATCATGTTCCAGATGTTAGAGGAAAGGCTTTCAATTTTCCCCATTCAATATGATACTAGCTGTGGGTCTGTTATATATGGCTTTTATTATGTTGGGGTATGTTCTTTCTACACCCATTTTTTAAGTCACAAAGAGTTGTTGAATTTTATCAAATGTTTACCAGCATCAGTCAAAATAATCATATGATTTTTATCCTTCATTTTGTTGATGCAATTGTCACATTGATTAGTGTATGTTGAACCATTTTTGCATCCCTGGGATAAATCTCACTTGGTCATAATGAATGATCTTTCTAATTTGTTGTTGGATTTGATTTGCTAGTATTTTGTTGAGAATTTTTGCATCAATATTTATCAGAGGTATTGACCTGTGGTTTTCTTTTTTGATGTATCTTTAGTTTTGGTATCAGGGTAATAATGGCCTCATAGAATGAGTTTGGAAGTATTCCCTCCTCTATTTTTTGAAGTAATTTGAATAGGATTAGTATTAGTTTTTTTTAAATGTTTGGTAAAATTCAGCAGTGAAGCCATCAGGTCCCAGGCTCTTTCTTGCTGGGATGTTTTTATTATGGCTTTAATCTCATTGCTAGTTATTGATCTGTTCAGGTTTTGAGTTTCTTCCTGGTTCAATCATGGCAGGTTGTAAATGTCCAGAAATTCATCCATTTCTCCTAGGTTTTCTGGTTATTGGCATATAGTTACTCATAGTAGCCTCTAATGATCCTTTGAATTCTGTAATATCTGTTTTAATGTCTCCTTTTTCACCTCTGTTTTTATTTATTTGGGACTCCTTTCTTTTTTCTTAGTTAGTCTGGCTAAAAATTTGTCAATTTTGTTTATCTTTTTAAAATACAACTTTTCATTTTATTGATTTCTTGTATTTTTTGTTTAAATTTTATTTATTTCTGCTCTCATGTTTATTATTTATTTATTTTACTAGTTTTGGGTTTGGTTTGCTCTTGCTGTTCTAGTTAAGATGCATTGTTATGTTGTTTATTTAAACCTTTTCCACTTTTTGGATGTAGGTGCTTATTGCTATATACTTCTCTCTTAGTACTGTTTTCACTGTATCCTATAGGTTCTGATATGTTGTGTTTCCATTTTTATTTTCTTCAATAAATTTTTAAAATTTCTTCTTAATTTCTTTATTGACCCACTGGTCATTTGAAAGCATATTGTTTAATATACATGTGTTTGTATAGTTTTAAAAATTCCTCTTGTTATTGATTTCTAGTTTTATTACATATGTTCAGAGAAGATGCTTGATATTATTTTAATTTTCTGAATGTTATGAGACTTGTTTTGTGACCTAACTTGTAGTCTGTCCTTGAGAATAATCCATGTGCTAAAGAGACAAATGTGTTTTCTGCAGCTGTTACATGAAATTTATGCAAATATCTAGTAGGTACTTTTGGTCTATAGTGCAGATTAAATTTGATGTTTCCTTATTGATTTTCTGTCTAAATGATCTGTTCAATGCCCAAAGTGGGGTCTTAAAATCTCCAGTCATAAATTTAACAGGGTCTATTTTCTTCTTCCTTCTTTAGGTCTAATAATATTTGCTTTATATATCTGAGTGCTCCAGTGTTGGGTGCATACATATTTACAATTGTTATATACTCTTGTGAATTGACACTGGTTATTATGTAATGACCTTCTTTGTGTCTTTTTATAGTTTATGTCTTGAAATCTATTTTGTTTGATATGAGTTTAGCTATTCCTGCTTATTTTTAGTTACCATTTTCATGGGATATCTTTCTCCTTCCCTTTATTTTTAGTCTCTGTGTGTCTTTATAGGTGAAGTGGTTTTTCCATAGGCAACAGATGATTTTTTTTTAATCCATTCAGCCACTCTGTGTCTTTTCATTGGAGAGGTTAATCCGTTTACATTCAATGTTATTGTTGATAAGTAAGGACTTACTCCTGTATTTTTGTATTTGTTTTCTGGTTGCTGTATAGTCTTCTCTTTCTTTTTTCCTTCCTTCTTGTCTTCTTTTTAATGAGGATGATTTTCTCTGGGGGTATATTTCAATTTCTTGCTTTTTATTTTTTATGTATTTGTTGTATGTGTTTTGATTTGAGATTACCATGAGGCTTGCAAATACTATTTTATAACCCATTATTTTAAACTGATGGCAACTTAGCACTGATTGCATGAACAATCTAACAAACAAAAAGAAAGCTAACAAAATGTTTACACTTTAACTTCACCCCCCCATATTTTAACTGTTTGTTATTTCTATTTATACTGTACTGTAGTGAATATGTCTTAAAAAGTTGTTGTAGTTACTATTTTTGATCAGTTCACCTTTTAGTCTTTTTACTCAAGATATGAGTAGTTTACACATCACAATTACAGTGTTATAATATTCTATGTTTTTCTGTGTACTTACTATTACCCATGAGTTGTGTACCTTCAGATGATTTCTTTTTGCTCTTTATTTCTTCTTCATGTTTGAAGGATATTTTCATTGGATATACTATCTTAGGATTAAAGTTTTTTCCTTCAACCTTTAAATATGTCATGCCAGTCCTTCTTGACCTTTAAGGTTTCCACTGAGAAGTCTGCTGCCAGACATACTGGAGCTCCATTGTATGCTATTTTGTTTCTCTTGCTGCTTTTAAGATTCTTCCCTTGTCTTTGATCTTTGGAAGTTTGATTATTAAATGCTTTTAGGTAGTCTTCTTTGGGCTAAATCTGCTTGCCTGTCTGCAACCTTCTTGTACTTGAATATTGATGCCATTCTCTAGGTTTGGGAAGTTCTGTTATTATTGCTTCAAATAAACTTTCTATCTTGATCTCTCCCTACCTCCTCTTTATGGCCAATAACTCTTAGATTTGCCCACTTTTAGGCTATTTTCTAGGTCGTCTAAGTATGCTTCATTCTTTTCTGTTTTATTTTCTTGTCTCCTCTGACTGTGTATTTTCAACCAGCCTGTCTTCAAGCTCACTAATTCCTTCCTCTGCTTGATAAATTCTGCTGACAAGCAACGCTAATGCAGTCTTCAGCTTGTCAGCTGCAGTCTTCAGCTTGTCAGCTGCAGTTTTCAGCTCCAGAATTTCTGCTTGATTCATTTTAATTATTTAAATGTCTGTTTAATTTATCTGATAGGATTCTGAATTTCTTCTCTGTGTTATCTTAAATTTTGTTGGGTTTTCTCAAAACAGCTATTTTGAATGTTCTGTCTGAAAGGTTACATATCTCAATTTCTCCAGGACTGTTCCCTTGTGCCTTATTTAGTTTGTTTGGTGAGGTCATGTTTCCTCAATAGTCACCATACTTGTAGATGTTCACTGGTGTCTGGGCATTGAAGCATTAGGCGTTTATTGTAGTCTTTTCAGTCTGGGTTTATTTGTACCCGTCTATCTTGGGAAGGCTTTCCAGGTGTTTGAAGGGACTTCGGTGCTGTGATTTAAATCTTTGGTAACTGCAGCCATATCTGCATTATGGGGCACATTAAGCCCAGCAACCCTTTGGCTCTTGCGGATGTGTAGAGGTACCAGCTTGGTAGTCTTGGATAAGACAGAGAAGAATTCCCTGGTTTACCAGGCAGTTGCTCTTGTTCTCTTCCCTTGCTTACTCCCAAACAAATGGAGTCTCTATCAGTGCTGGGCTGCCTGGAGCTTGGATAGGGCTGACACAAGAACCCCTGTGACCACCACAACTGGGAGTGTGCCAGCTCAGACTTGAAGCTAGCAGGGCAGTGGGTCTTGCCCAATGCTCATGGTAACCACTGCTTGGCTACCCTCTTTGTCTGCTTAAGGTCCTAGGGCTCTACAATCAGTGGTTGGTGCGGCCAGTCAAGCTTGTGTTCTTCCCTTCAGGGTAGCAAATTAATCCTGGCCCATAATGGGTCCAGAGATGCCATCTGGGAGCCAATGCCTGGAGTCAGAAATCTTAGGGATCTACTTGGTGCTCTATTCTACTGCAGCTGGGTTGGCACCAAAACCACAAGAAAGAATTCTACTCTTCCCTCTCCTTTCCACAAACAGAGGAGTGTTCCCATAGCCACTGACATCCCAGGCCCATAGTGAGAACTGCCTAGCTACTGCTGATGTTCACTCAAGGCTCAAAGTCTCTTCAGTCAGCCTGTGGTGAATGCTGCTAGTCCTGGGATTCTGCATTCAGGAAAGTTGGCTCTCATCTGACCCAGGGCAGTTCAAGACATCCCGTCTAAGAGCGAAGGCCTGGAAGAACCTACTTAGGGCTCTACCTTACTGTGGCCTAGCTGGTACCTAAGATGCAAGACAAAGTCCCATTTACTCTTCCTTCTCCTTTTCTTTTCTTCTCTTTTTTATTTTAACCATATATATTTTTAGACTTAAAAAATTTACCATACATTACCCTGTTTTCTTAAACAAAGACTAATTAACAGGATGATTATTAGAGTCTTAATTTCACACATAAATTATAGTGCCATTGTTTTTTAAGCCATCATTGATTTTATTGAAGAATTATAAATATATCATTAGATCTAGAATGTTTTTTGAAATAAATGTGATTGTAAATATAGGGAACCTAAGTAAGAAGCATTGGTTTTTTAGCATAAATATTTCTTTTCTTTCTTTTTTTAAACTTTAAGTTCTGGGATACATGTGCAGAACGTGCAGGTTTGTTACATAAGCATACATGTGCCGTGGTGGTTTGCTGCACCCATCAACCCATCATCTACATTAAGTATTTCTCCTAATGCTATCCCTCCCCTTGCTCTCCACCCTCAGACAGGCCCCAGTGTGTGATGTTCCCCTCCCTGTGCCCATATATTCTCATTGTTCAACTCCCACTTATGAGTGAGAACATGCAGTGTTTGGTTTTCTGTTACTGTGTTAATTTGCTAAGAATGATGGTTTCCAGCTTCATCCAAGTCCCGGCAAAGGACATGAACTCATCCTTTTTTATGGCTGCATAGTATTCCATGGTAGATACTTGCCACATTTTCTTTATCCAGTCTATCATTAATAGACATTTGGGTTGGTTCCAAGTCTTTGCTATTGTGAATAGTGCTGCAATAAACATATGTGTGCATGTGTCTTTATAGTAGAATGATATATAATCCTTTGGGTTTATACCCAGTAATGGCATTGCTGGATCAAATAGTATTTCTGGTTCTAGATCCTTGAGGAATTGCCACACTGTCTTCCACAATGGTTGAACTAATTTACACTCCCACCAATAGTGTAAAAGTGTTTCTATTTCTCCACATCCTCTCCAGCATCTGTTGTTTCCTGAGTTTTTAATGATCAGCATTCTAAATGGCTTGAGATGATATCTCATTATGGTTTTGATTTGCATTTCTCTAATGACCAGTGATGATGAGCTTTTTTTCTTATGTTTGTTGGCTGCATAAATGTCTTCTTTTGTGAAGTGTCTGTTCATAACTTTTGCCCACTTTTTGATGGAGCTCTTTGTTTCTTTCTTGTAAATTTCTTTAAGTTCTTTGTAGATTCTGGATACTACCCCTTTGTCAGATGGATAGATTGCAAAAATTTTCTCCCATTCTGTAGGTTGCCTGTTCACTCTGATGATAGTTACTTTTGCCTTGCAGAAGCTCTTTAGTAAAATTAGATCCCATTTGTCAATTTTAGCTTTTGTCAAAATTGTTTTTGATGTTTTAGTCATGAAGTCTTTGCCCATGTCTATGTCCTGAATGGTATGGCCTAGGTTTTCTTCTAGGGATTTTATGGTTTTAGGTCTTATATTTAAGTCTTTAATATAACTTGAGTTAATTTTTGTGTAAGGTGTAAGGAAGGAGTCCGGTTTCAGTTTTCTGTGTATGGCTAACCAGTTTTCCAAACACCATTTATTAAATAGGAAATACTCTTCCCATTGTTTGTTTTTGTCACATTTATTGAAGATCAGATAGTTGTAGATGTGTGGCATTATTTTTGAGCTCTCTGTTCTGTTCCATTGGTCTATATATGTGTTTTGGTATTAGTGCCATGCTGTTTTGGTTACTGTAGCCTTGTAGTATAGTTTAAAGTCAGGTAGTGTGATGTCTACAGCTTTGTTCTTTTTTTTTAGGTTGTCTTGGCTATATGGGCTCTTTTTTGTTTCCATATGTAATTTAAAATAGTTTTTTCTTGTTCTGTGAAGAACATCAGTGGTAGCTTGATGTGAATAGCATTGAATCTATAAATTACTTTGGGCAGTGTGGCCATTTTCACGATATTGATTCTTCCTATCCATGAGCATGAAATGTTTTTTCATTTGTTTGTGTCCTCTCTTATATCCTTGAGCAGTAGTTTGTCATTCTCCTTGAAGACGTCTTTCACATCCCTTGTATGTTGTATTCCTAGGTATTTTATTCTCTTTGTAGCAATTGCTAATGGGAGTTCACACATAATTTGTCTCTCTGCTTGTCTATTATTTGCGTATAGGAATGCTTGTGACTTTTGCACATTGATTTTGTATCCTGAGACTTTGCTGAAGTTGCTTATCAGCTTAAGGAGTTTTTGGGCTGAGACAATGGGGTTTTCTAAATATACAATCATATTATCTGCAAACAGAGACAATTTGACTTCCTCTCTTTCTATTTGAATACCCTTTATTTCTTTCTCTTGCCTGATTGCTTTGGCCAGAAATTCCAATACTGTGTAGAACAGGAGTGATGAGAGAGGGCATCCTTGTCTTGTGCTGGTTTTCAAAGGGAATGCTTCCAGTATTTGCCAATTCAGTATGATGTTGACTATGGGTTTGTCATAAATAGCTCTTATTATTTTGAGATGCCTTTCATTAATACCTAGTTTATTTAGAGTTTTTAGTATAAAGCATTGTTGAATTTTATCAAAGGCCTTTTCTGCATCTATTGAAATAATCATGTTGTTTTTGTCATTGGTTCTGTTTATGTGATGGATTATGTTTATTGATTTGCATAGCTGAAGCAGCTTTGCATCCCAGGGACAAAGCAGACTTGATCATGGTGGATAAGCTTTTTGATGTGCTAGTGCATTCGGTTTTCCAGCACTTTATCGAGGATTTTTGCATCAATGTTCATCAGGGTTATTGGCCTGAAAATTTTTTTTTCTTGTGTCTCTCCCAGGTTTTGGTATCAGGATGAGGCTGGCCTCATAAAATGAATTACGGAGGAGTCCCCCTTTTTATATTGTTTGAAATAGTTTCAAAAGGAATGACACCAGTTCCTCTTTGTACCTCTGGTAGAATTTGGCTGTGAATCCGTCTGGACGTGGACTTTTTTTTGGTTGGTAGACTATTAATTACTGCCTCAATTTCAGAACTTATTATTGGTCTATTCAGGGATTCAACTTCTTCCTGGTTTAGTTTTGGGGGGTATATGTGTCCAGGAATTTACCCATTTCTTCTAGATTTTCTAGTTTACTTGCATGGAGGTGTTTATAATATTTTCTGATGGTAGTTTATATTTCTGTGTGATCAGTGGTGATATCTCCTTTATCACTTTTTATTGTGTCTATTTGATTCTTCTCTCTTTTCTTCTTTATTAGTCTGGCCAGTGGTCTATCTATTTCGTTAATCTATTTTTTTTAAAAAACAGCTTCTTAGTTCATTGATTTTTTGAAGGGTTTTTTGTGTCTCTATCTCCTTCAGTTCTGCTCTGATTTTAGTTATTTTCTGTCTTCTGCTAGCTTTTGAATGTGTTTGCTCTTGCTTCTCTAGTTCTTTTAATTGTGATGTTAGGATGTCGATTTTAGATCTTTCCCACTTTCTTCTGTGGGCATTTAGTGCTATAAATTTCCCTCTAAACACTGCTTTAGCTGTGTCCCAGAGATTCTGGTATATTGTGTCTTTGTTCTCATTGGTTTCAGAGAACTTATTTATTTCTGCCTTCATTTTGTTATTTACCCAGTAGTCATTCAGAAGAAGATTGTTCAGTTTCCATGTAGTTCTGTGGTTTTGAGTGAGTTTCTTAATTCTGAGTTCTAATTCTATTGCACTGTGGTCTGAGAGATTTTGATATGATTTTGCTTTCTTTCCATTTGCTGAGGAGTGTTTTACTTCCAATTATGTGGTCAGTTTTAGAATGAGTGCAAAGTGGTTCTGAGAAGAATATATATTCTGTTGATTTGGGGTGGAGAGTTCTGTAGATGTCTATTAGTTCCGCTTGGTCCAGAGCTGAGTTCAAGTCCTAAATATCCTTGTTAATTTTCTGTCTCATTGATCTGTCTAATATTGACAGTGGGGTGTTAAAGTCTTCTATTATTATTGTGTGGGAGTCTAAGTCTCTTTGTAGGTCTCTAAGAACTTGCTTTATGAATCTGGGTTCTCCTGTATTGGGTGCATATATACTTAGGATAGTTAGCGCTCCTTGTTGCATTGATCTTTTTACCATTATGTAATGCCCTTCTTTGTCTCTTTTGATCTTTGTTGGTTTGAAGTCTGTTTTATCAGATACTAGGAATGCAATCCCTGCTTATTATTTTTTTTTTTTTTTGCTTGGTAAATAGTCCCCCATTTCTTTATTTATAACCTATGTGTGTCTTTGCACATGAGATGGAGCTCCTGAATACAGTACACTGATGGGTATTGGCTCCTTATCCAATTTGCTAGTCTTTGTTTTTTAATTGGGGCATTTAGCCCATTACATTTAAGGTTAATATTGTTATGTGTGAATTTGCTTCTGTCATTATGATGCTAGCTGGTTATTTTGCCCATTAGTTGATGCAGTTTCTTCATAGCCTTGATGGTCTTTACAATTTGATATGTTTTTGTAGTGGCTGGTACCAGTTTTTCCTTTCCATATTTAGTGCTTCCTCCAGGAGCTCTTGTAAAGAAGGCCTGGTGGTGACAAAATCCCTCAGCATTTGCTTGTCTGTAAAGGATTTTATTTCTCCTTTGCTTATGAAGCTTAGCGTGCCTGGATATGAAATTTTGGGTTGGAAATTCTTTTCATTACGAATGTTGAGAGGTGGCTGGCAAGATGTCTTAATAGGGATAGCTTTGGTCTGCCGCTCCCAGCAAGGTCAATGTGGAAGTTGGGTGATTTCTGCATTTCCAACTGAGATACACATCTCATCTCATTGAGACTGGTTAGGAAGTGCCAACGAATTGGCAGTGGGTGTGGCTCATGGAGGGTGAGCAGAAGCAGGGTGGGGTGTTGCCTTATGTGTGAAGCACAATGGATGAAGGAACTTTCTCCCCTAGCCAAGGGAAGCCCTGAGGGACTGTGCCATGAGGAATGGTGCATTCCGGCCCAGATACTACACTTTTCCAATGGTCTTCACAACCCACAGACCAGAGGATTCCCTGGGGTGCCTACACCACCATGGCCCTGGGTTTTAAGCACAAAACTGGGTGACCATTTGGGCAGACACCATGCTAGCTGCAGAAGTTTTTTCATATCCCAGTGGTGCCTGAAAAGCCAGTGAGACAGAACTGTTAACTCCCCTGGAAAGGAGGCTGAAGCCAGGGCGCCAAGCAGTCTAGCTCAGTGGATCCCACACCCACAGAGCCCAGCAAGCTAAGATCCACTGGCTTGAAATTCTCACTGCCAGCACAGCAGTCTGAAGTCCACCTGGGATGCTCGAGCTTGGTGGGGGGAGGGACGTCCTCCATTACTGAGGCTTCAGTAGGCGTTTTTTTACTCACAGTGTAAACAAAGATGCCAGGAATTTGAACTGGGCAAAGCCTACAGCTCAGCAAAGCCACTGTAGCCAGACTGACTCTCTAGATTCCTCCTCTCTGGGTAGGGCATCTCTGAAAGAAAGGCAGCAGCCCCAGTCAGGGGCTTATAGGTAAAACTCCCGTCTCCCTGGGGCAGAGCACCTGGGAGAGGGGGTGGCTGTGGGCACAGCTTCAGCAGACTTAAACGTTCCTGCCTGCCAACTCTGAAAAGAGCAGCAGATCTCCCAGTGCGGCACTTGAGCTCTGCTAAAGGACAGACTGCCTCCTCAGGTGGGTCCCTGACCCCCATGCCTCCTGACTGGGAAACACCTTCCAGAAGGGGTTGACAGACACCTCATACAGAAGAGCTCCGGCTGACATCTGGCGGGTGACCCTCTGGGATGAACTTTTCAGAGGAATGAACAGGCAGCATTCTTTGCTGTTCTGCAGCCTCCACTAGTGATACCCAGGCAAGCAGAATCTGGAGTGGACCTGCATCAAACTCCAGCAGACCTGCAGAAGAAGGGCCTGACTGCTAGAAAAAAACAAAAGCAAAAACAAAAACTAACAAACAGAAAGGAATAGCATCAACATCAACAAATAGGACATCCACACAAAAACCCCATTTGAAGGTCACCAACAACAAAGACTAAAGGTAGATAAATCCATGAAGATGAGGAAAAGCAAGCACAAAAAGTCTGAAAATTCCAAAAAGCAGAATGCCTTTTCTCCTCTAAAGGATCACAACTCCTCACCAGCAAGGGAACAAAACTGATGGGAGAATGAATTTAATGAATTGGCAGAAGCAGGCTTCAGTAGGTGGGAATAACAATCTCCTCCAAGATAAAGGAGCATGTTGTAACCCAATGCAAGGAAGCTAAGATCGCTGACAAAAGGTTAGAGGAATTGCAAACTAGAATAATCAGTTTAGAGAAATAAATGACCTGATGGAGCTGAAAAACACAGCACGAGAACTTCATGAAGCATACACAAGTATCTGTAGCTGAATTGATCAAGGAGAAGAAAGGATATCAGGGATTGAAGATCAACTTAATGAAATAAAGTGTGAAGACAAGATTAGAGAAAAAAAATGAAAAGGAAAAAACAGCCTCCAAGAAATGTAGGACTATGTGAAAAGACCAAACCTACGTTTGATAGGTGTACCTGAAAGTGATGGGGAGAATAGAATCAAGTTGGAAAACAGTTTTCAGGATATTATCCAGGAGAACTTCCCCAGTCTAGCAAGAAAAGCTCACATTCAAATTCAAGAAATACAGAGAACACCACAAAGATACTCCTTAAGAAGAGCAATGCCAAGATACATAATTGTCAGATTCACCAAGGTAGAAATGAAGGAAAAAATGTTAAGGGCAGCCAGAGAGAAAGGTCAGGTTACACACAAAGGAAAGCCCATCAGACTAACAGCGGATCTCTCTCCAGAAACCCTACAAGCCAGAAGAGAGGGGCAGCCCATATTCAACATTGTTAAGGAAAAGAATTTCAACCCACAATTTCATATCCAGCCAAACTAAGCTTCATAAGAGAAGGAGAAATAAAATCCAGACAAGCAAATGCTGAGGGATTTTGTCACCACTAGGCCTGCCTTACAAGAGCTCCTGAAGGAAGCACTAAATATGGAAAGGAAAAAGTTGTACCAGCCACTGCAAAAACATACCAAATAGTAAAGACATTCGGCACTATAAAGAAACTGCATCAACTAGTGGGCAAAATAACCAGCTAGCATCATAGTGACAGGATCAAATTCACACATAATAATATTAACTTTAAATGTAAATGGGCTAAATGCCCCAATTAAAACACAAAGACTGGCAAATTGGATAAGGAGCCAACACCCATCAGTGTGCTGTATTCAGGAGATCCATCTCACGTGCAAAGACACACATAGGCTATAAATAAAGAAATGGAGGACTATTTACCAAGCAAAAGGAAAGAAAAAAAAAAAGGCAGGGGTTGAAATCCTGGTCTCTGATAAAACAGACTTTAAATCAACAAAGATCAAAAGAGACAAAGAAGAGCATTACATAATGGTAAAAAGATCAATGCAACAAGGAGAGCTAAGTATCTTAAATATATATGCACCCAATATAGGAGCACTAAAATTCATAAAGCAAGTTCTTAGAGACCTAAAAAGAGGCTTAGACTCTCAAACAATAATAGTAGGAAACTTTAACACCCTACTGTCAATATTAGACAGATCAATGAGACAGAAAATTAACAAGGATATCCAGGACTTGAACGCAGCTCTGGACCAAGCAAAACTAATGGTCATCTAAAGAACTCTCCACCCCAAATCAACAGAATATACATTCTTCTTAGAACCACATTGCACTTATTCTAAAATTGAGCACATAATTGGAAGTAAAACACTCCTCAGCAAATGGAAAGGAAACGAAATAATAACAAACAGTCTCTCAGACGACAGTGCAATAGAATTAGAACTCAGAATTAAGAAACTCACTCAAAACCGCAGAACTACATGGAAACTGAACAACCTTCTTCTGAATGACTACTGGGTAAATAACAAAATGAAGGCAGAAATAAATAAGTTCTCTGAAACCAATGAGAACAAAGACACAATATACCAGAATCTCTGGGACACAGCTAAAGCAGTGTTTAGAGGGAAATTTATAGCACTAAATGCCCACAGAAGAAAGTGGGAAAGATCTAAAATTGACACCCTAACATCACAATTAAAAGAACTAGAAAGGCAAGAGCAAACACATTCAAAAGCTAGCAGATGACATGAAATAACTAAAATCAGAGCAGAACTGAAGGAGTTAAAGACACGAAAAACCCTTCAAAAAGTCAATGAATCAAAGAGCTGTTTTTTTTAAAAAAAAGATTAATGAAATAGACCACTGGCCAGGCTAATAAAGAAGAAAAGAGAGAAGAATCAAATAGACACAATAAAAAGTGATAAAGGAGATATCACCACTGATCACACAGAAATACAAACTACCATCAGAGAATATTATAAACACCTCTATGCAAATAAACTAGAAAATCTAGAAGAAATGGATAAATTCCTGGACACATACACCCTCCCAAGACTAAACCAGGAAGAAGTTCAATCTCTGAATAGACGAATAATAAGTTCTGAAATTGAGGCAGTAATTAATAATCTACCAACAAAAAAAGTTTAGGAGCAGATGGATTCACAGCCAAATTCTACCAGAGGTACAAACAGGAGCTGGTACCATTCCTTCTGAAACTATTCCAATCAATAGAAAGAGAGAAACTCATCGCTAACTCATTTTATGAGTCCAGTCTCATCCTGATACTAAAACCTGGCAGAGACACAACAAAAAAAGAAAATTTCAGGCCAATATCCCTGGTGAACATTGATGCAAAAATTCTCAATGGAATACTGGAAAACTGAATCCAGCAGAGCATCAAACAGCTTATTCACCACGATCAAGTCGTCTTCATCTGTGGGATGCAAAGCTGGTTCAACATATGCATATCAATAAACATAATACATCACATAAACAGAACCAATGACAAAAACCACATGATTATCTCAATAGATGCAGAAAAAACCTTTGATAAAATTCAACACCACTTCATGCTAAAATTTCTCAATAAAGTAGGTATTGATGAAATGTGTCTCAAAATAATAGAAGCATTTCCTTTGAAAACCAGCACAAGACAAGGATGCCATCTCTCATCACTCCTATTCAACATACTATGGAAATTTCTGGCCAGGGTAATCAGGCAAGAGAAAGAAATAAAGCGTATTCAAATAGCACGAGAGGAAGTCAAATTGTCTATTTCCAGATGACATGATTGTATATTTAGAAAACCCCATCGTCTCAACCCAAAACTCCTTAAGCTGATAAGCAACTTCAGCAATGTCTCAGGATACAAAATCAATGTGCAAAAATCACAAGCATTCCTATACAGAAATAATAGACAAACAGAGAGCCAAATCATGACTGAACTCTCATTCATAATTGCTACAAAGAGAATAAAATACCTAGGAATTCAACTTACAAGGGATGTGAAGGACCTCTTCAAGGAGAACTACAAACCACTGCTCAAGGAAATAAGAGAGGACACAAACAAATGGAAAAACATTCCATGCCCATGAATAGGAAGAATCAATATCGTGAAAATGGCCATACTGCCCAAAGTAATTTATAGATTCAATGCTATTCCCATCAATATACCATTGACTTTTTTTTAAACTTAATTTTATTATTATTATACTTTAAGTTTTAGGGTACATGTGCACAATGTGGAGGTTAGTTACATATGTATACATATGCCATGCTGGTGTGCTGCACCCATTAACTCGTCATTTAGCATTAGGTATATCTCCTAAAGCTATCCCTCCCCCCTCCCCCCACCCCACAACAGTCCCCAGAGTGTGATGTTCCCTTTCCTGTGTCCATGTGTTCTCATTGTTCAATTCCCACCTGTGAGTGAGAACATGCGGTGTTTGGTTTTTTGTCCTTGCGATAGTTTACTGAGAATGATGATTTCCAATTTCATCCATGTCCCTACAAAGGACATGAACTCATCATTTTGTATGGCTGCATAGTATTCCATGGTGTATATGTGCCACATTTTCTTAATCCAGTCTATCATTGTTGGACATTTGGTTTGGTTCCAAGTCTTTGCTATTGTGAATAGTGCCACAATAAACATACGTGTGCATGTGTCTTTATAGCAGCATGATTTATAGTCCTTTGGGTATATACCCAGTAATGGGATGGCTGGGTCAAATGGTATTTCTAGTTCTAGATCCCTGAGGAATCGCCACACTGACTTCCACAATGGTTGAACTAGTTTACAGTCCGTTCTAGGGTACATGTGTACAACGTGCAGGTTTGTTACATAGGTGCACATGTGCAATGTTGGTTTGCTGCACCCATCAACTCATCATTTACATTAGGTATTTCTCCTAATGCTACCCCTCACCCAACCCACACCCCGCAACAGGCCCCAGTGTGTGATATTTCCCTCCCTGTGTCCATGTATTCTCATTGTTCAACTTCCACTTATGAATGAGAACATGCTGTGTTTGGTTTTCTGTCCTGTGTTATTTTGCTGAGAATGATGGTTTCCAGCTTCATCCGTGTTCCTATAAAGGACATGAACTCATCCTTCTTTATGGATGCATGGTATTACATGATGTATACGTGCCATATTATCTTTATCCAGTTTGTTATTGATGGACATTTGGGTTGGCTCCAAGTCTTTGCTATTGTGAATAGTGCCGCAATAAACATGTGTGCATGTGTCTTTATAGTAGCATGATTTATAATTTTTTGGATATATACCCAGTAATGGGATTGCTGGGTCAAATGATATTTCTAGTTTTAGATCCTTGAGGAATCACCACACTGTCTTCCACAATGGTTGAACTAATTTAAACTCCCACCGACAGTGTAAAAGCGTTCCTATTTCTGCACATCCTCTCCAGCATCTGTCGTTTCCTGACTTTTTAATGATCGCCATTCTAACTGGCATGAGATGGTATCTCATTGTGGTTTTGATTTGCAGTTCTCTGATGCCCAGTGATGATGAGCATTTTTTCATATGTCTTTGGCTACATAAATGTCTTCTTCTGAGAAGTGTCTGTGCACATCCTTTGCCCACTTTTTGATGGGGTTTTTTTTTTTCTTGTAAATTTGTTTAAGTTCTTTGTAGATTCTGGTTATTAGCCCTTTGTCAGATGGTAGATTGCAAACTTTTTCTCCCATTCTGTAGGTTACCTGTTGACTCTGATGATAGTGTCTTTTGCTTTGCAGAAGCTCTTTAGTTTAATTAGATTCCATTTGTCAATTTTGGCTTTTGTTGCAATTGCTTTGGTGTTTTAATCATGAAGTCTTTCCCTATGCCTATGTCCTGAATGGTATTGCCTAGGTTTTCTTCTAGGGTTTTTATAGTTTTAGGTCTTACATTTAAGTCTTTAATCCATCTTAAGTTAATTTTTGTATAAAGTATAAGGAAGGGATTCAGTTTCAGCTTTCTACATATGGCTAGCCAGTTTTCCCAGCACCATTTATTAAATAGAGAATCCTTTCCTCATTGGTTGTTTTAGCCAGGTTTTAAAAGATCAGATGATTGTAGATGTGTGGTGTTATTTCTGAGCTCTCTGTTCTGTTCCATTGGTCTATATATCTGTTTTGGTACCTACCAAGCTGTTTTGATTACTGTAGCATTGTAGTATAATTTGAAGTCAGGTAGTTCGATGCCTCCTGCTTTGTTCTTTTTGTTTAGGATTGTCTTGGCTAAGTGGGCTCTTTTTGGTTCCATATGAGCTTTAAAGTAGTTTTTTCCAATTCTGTGAAGAAAGTCATTGGTAGCTTCATGGGGATAGCATTGAATCTATAAATTGCCTTTGTCAGTATGGTCGTTTTCATGATATTGACTCTTCCTATCCATGAGCATGGAATATTCTTCCATTTGTTTGTGTCCTCTCTTATTTCGTTGAGCAGTGGTTTGTCATTCTCCTTGAAGAGGTCCTTCACATCCCTTGTAAGTTGTATTCCTAGGTACTTTATTCTCTTTGTAGTAATTGTGAATTGGAGTTCACTCATGATTTGGGTCTCTGTTTGTCTCTTGTTGGTGTATAGGAATGCCTGTAATTTTTGCACATTGATTTTGTGTCCTGAGACTTTGCTGAAGTTGCTTATCAGCTTAAGGAGATTTTGGGCTGAGACAATGGGGTTTTCTAAATATACAATCATGTCATCTGCAGAGACAATTTGACTTCCTCTTTTCCTAATTGAATACCTTTTATTTCTTTCTCCTGCCTGATTGCCCTGTCCAGAACTTCCAATACTATGTTGAATAGGAATGGTGAGAGAGGGCAACCTTTTCTCATGCCAGTTTTCAAAGGGAATGCTTCCAGGTTTTGCCTATTCAGTATGATATTGGCTGCGGGTTTGTCATAAATAACTTTTATTATTTTGAGATATGTTCCACCAATATCTAGTTTATTGAGAGTTTTTAGCATGAAAGACTATTGAATTTTGTCTAAGGCCTTTTCTGCATCTGTTGAGATAATCATGTGATTTTTGTATTTGGTTCTCTTTATGTGATGGATTATGTTATTGATTTGCATATGTTGAACAAGGCTTGCATCCCAGGGATGAAGCCGATTTGATCATCATTGATAAGATTTTGGATGTGCTGCTTGTTTGGTTTGCCAGTATTTTATTGAGGACTTTCACACTGATTTCATCAGGAATATTGGCCTAAAATTCTCTTTTGTGTGTGTGTGTGTGTGTGTGTCTCTGCCAGGCTTTGATATCAGGATGATGCTGGCCTCATAAAATGAGTTAGGGAAGATTCCTTCTTTTTCTATTGATTGAAATAGTTTCAGAAGGAATGGTACCAGCTCCTCTTTGTATCTCTGGTAGAATTTGGCTGTGAATCTGTCTGGTCCTGGACTTTTTTTTGTTTGGTAGGCTATTAATTATTGCCTCAATTTCAGAAACTGTTATTGCTCTATTCAGAGATTCAACTTCTTCCTGGTTTAGTCTTGGGAGGGTGTATGTGTCCCAGAATTTTTTCATTTCTTCTAGATTTTCTAGTTTATTTGCATAGAGGTGTTTTTTGCATTCTCTCATGGTATTTTGTATTTCTGTGGGATTAGTGGTGATATCCCCTTTGTCTTTTTTTTATTGCATCTGTTTGATTCTTCTCTCTCTCTTATTTATTAGTCTTGATAGTGGTCTATCTATTTTGTTGATCTTTTCAGAAACCAGCTCCTGGATTCATTGATTTTTGAAGGGTTTTTTTGTGTGTCTCTATTTCCTTCAGTTCTGCTCTGATCTTAGTTATTTCGTGTCTTCTGCTAGCTTTTGAATGTGTTTGCTCTTGCTTCTCCAGTTCTTTTAATTGTGATGTTAGCATGTCAGTTTTTGATATTTCCTGTTTTCTCTTGTGAGCATTTAGTGCTATAAATTTCCCTCTAAACACTGCTTTAGCTGTGTCCTAGAGATTCTGGTACATTGTGTCTTTGTTCTCACTGGTTTCAAAGAACATCTTTATTTCTGCCTTCATTTCGCTATCTACCCAGTAGTCATTCAGGAGCAGGTTATTCAGTTTCCATGTAGTTGTGTGGTTATGAGTGAGTTTCTTAATCCTGAGTTCTAATTTGATTGCACTGTGGTCTGAGAGACAGTTTGTTGTGATTTCTGTCCTTTTACATTTGCTGAGGAGTGTTTTACTTCCAATTATGTGGTCAATTTTAGAATAAATGCAGTGTGTTGCTGAGAAGAATGTATATTCTGTTGATTTGGGATGGAGAGTTCTGTAGGTGTCTATTAGGTCCGCTTGGTCCAGAGCTGAGCTCAAGTCCTGGATAACCTTGTTAATTTGCTTTCTTGATCTGTCTAATATTGACAGTGGGGTGTTAAAATTTCCCATTATTATTGTGTGGGAGTCTAAGTCTCTTTGTAGGTGTCCAAGAACTTTCTTTATGAATCTGGGTGCTCTTGGATTGGGTGCATATATATTTAGGATAGTTAGCTCTTCTTGTTGAATTGATCCCTTTACCATTATGTAATGCCCTTCTTTGTCTCTTTTGATCTGTGTTGGTTTAAAATCTGTTTTTTCAGAGACCAGGATTGCAACCCCTGCTTTTTTTTTTGCTTTCCATTTGCTTGATAGATCCCTTTAGTTTGAGCCTATGTGTGTCTTTCCACATGAGATGGGTCTCCTGAATACCACACACTGATCCATCTTGACTCTTTATCTAATCTGCCAGTCTGTGTCTTTTAATTGGGACATGTAGCCCATTTACATTTAAGTTTAATATTGTTATGTGTGAATTTGATTCTGTCATTATAATGCTAGTTGGTTATTTTGCCCATTAGTTGATGAAGTTTCTTCATGGTGTTGATGATCTTTACAATTTGGCATGTTTTTGCAGTGGCTGGTACCAGTTTTTGCTTTCCATGTTTACTTCTTCCTTCAGGAGCTCCTGGAAGACAGGCCTGGTGGTGACAAAATCCCTCATATTTTGCTTGTCTGTAAAGGGTTTTATTTCTCCTTCACTTATGAAGCTTAGTTTGGCTGGGTATGAAATTCTGGTTTGAAAATTCTTCTCTATAAGAATGTTGACTATTGGCCCCCACTCTCTTCTGGCTTATTGGGTTTCTGCAGAGAGATCCCCTCTTAGTCTGATGGGCTTCCCTTTGTGGGTAACCTGACCTTTCTCTCTGGCTGCCCTTAACACTTTTTCCTTCATTTTGACCTTGGTGAATCTGACAATTATGTGTCTTGGGGTTGCAGTTCTCTAGGAGTATCTTTGTGGTGTTCTCTGTATTTCCTGAATTTGAATGTTGGCCTGTCTTGCTATATTGGGGAAGTTCTCCCGGATAATATCCTGAAGAGTGTTTTCTAACTTGGTTCCACTCTCCCTGTCACTTTCAGGTACACCAATCAAATGTAGATTTGGTCTTTTCACATAGTCCCATATTTCTTGGAGGCTTTGTTCATTTTTTTTTCACTCTTTTTTCTCTAATCTTGTCTTCTCACTTATTTTATTCATTTGAACTTCAATTTCTGGTATCCTTTCTTCCACTTGATTGAATTGGCTATTAAAGCTTGTGCATGCTTCGCGAAGTTCTTGTGCTGTGGTTTTCAGCTCCATATGGTCATTTAAGCTCTTCTCTACACTGGTTATTCTAGTTAACCATTCATCTAACCTTTTTTTAAGGCTTTTAGCTTCCTTGTGATGGGTTAGAACATGCTCCTTTAGCTTGGAGAAGTTTATTATTGCCGACCTTCAGAAGTCTACTTCTGTCAACTCATCAAAATCATTCTCTGTCCAGTTTTGTTCCCTTGCTGACAAGGAGTTGTGTCCCTTTGGAGGGGAAGAGGCATTTTGGTTTTTGGAATTTTCAGACTTTCTGCTCTGTTTTTTCCCATGTTTGTGGTTTTAACAACCTTTGGTTTTTGATGTTGGTGACCTATGGATGGGGTTTTGATGTGAATGTCCTTTTTGTTGATGTTGATGCTATTCCTTTCTGTTTGTTAGTTTTCCTTCTACCAGACAGGCCCCTCAGCTGTAGGTCTGTTGGAGTTTGCTGGAGGTCCACTCCAGACCCTGTTTGCCGGAGTATCACCTGCAGAGCCTGCAGAACAGCAAATATTGCTGCCTGATCCATCCTCTGGAAGGCTCATCCCAGAAGGGCACCCACCTGTATGAGGTGTCTGTCGGACCCTACTCAGAGGTGTCTCCCAGTCAGGCTACACGGGGGTCAGAGACCCACTTGAGGAGGCAGTCTGTCTGTTATTGGAGCTCAAGCATCATGCTGGAAGAACCACTGCTCTCTTCAGAGCTGTCAGGCAGGGACGTTTAGGTCACAGAAGCTGTCTGCTGCCTTTTATTCAAATATGCCCTGCCCCCAGAATCTAGAGCGGCAGTAGGCCTTGCTGAGCTGTGGTGGGCTCTGCCCAGTTCGAGCTTCCTTGATGCTTTGTTTACACTGTGAGCATAGAACCACCTACTCAAGCCTCAACAGTGGTGGATGCCCCTCCTCTGCCAATCTGCAGCATCCCAGGTTGATCTCAGACTGCTGCCCTAGCAGTGAGCAAGGCTCTGTGGGCATGGGACCTGCCAAGCCAGGCACGAGAGGGAATCTCCTGGTCTGCCAGTTGCAAAGACCATGGGAAAAGTGCAGTATTTGGGCAGAAGTGTACTGTTATTCCAGGTACAGTCACTCATGGCTTCCCTTGGCTAGGAAAGGAAAATCCCACAACCCCTTGCGCTTCTTGGGTGAGGCAACACCCTGCCCTGCTTCAGCTCACCCTCCATGGGTTGCACCCACTGGCCAACCAGTCTCAATTAGATGAACCAGGTACCTCATGTGGAAATGCAGAAATCACCAGTCTTCTGCATCAATCTCACTGGGAGCCATAGACCAGAGCTATCCCTATTTGGCCATCTTGGAAGTGACTACCATTGACTTTCTTCACAGAATTATAAAAAAACTACTTTAAATTTCATATGGAACCAAGAAAGAGCCTGTACAGCCAATACAATCTTTAGCAAAAAGAACAAAGCTGGAGGCATTATGCTACCTGACTTCAAACTATACAACAAGGCTACAGTAACCAAAACAGCATGGTACTGGTACCAAAACAGATATATATACCAATGGAACAGAACAGAGGCTCAGAAATATGCCACACATCTACAATCATCTGATCTTTGGCAAACCTGACAAAAACAAGCAATGGGAAAAAGGATTCCCTATTTAATAAATGGTGTTGGGAAAACTGGCTAGCCATACGTAGAAAACTGAAACTGGACTTCTTCCTTACACCTTATGCAAAAATAAACTCAAGATGGATTACAGACTTAAATGTAAAACATAAAACCATAAAATCTGTAGAAGAAAACCTAGGCAATACATTTAGAACATAGGCATGGGCAAAGACTTCATGACTAAAACACCAAAAGCAATGGCAACAAAAGCCAAAATTGACAAATGGAATCTAATTAAACTAAAGAGCTTCTGCACAGCAAAAACAAAACAAAATACAAAGAAACAAAAAACCAAAACACTATCATCAGAGTGAACAGGCAACCTACAGAATAAGAGAAAAATTTTGCAGTCTATCCATCTGCCAAAAGGCTAATATCCAGAATCTACAAGAAACTTAAATTTACAAGAAAAAGAACAAACAACCCCATTAAAAAGTGGGCAAAGGTTATGTAAAGACACTTCTCAAAACACGACATTTATGTGGCCAAAAACCATATGAAAAAAAGCCTGTCAGCACTCATCATTAGAAAAATGTAATTCAAAACCACAATGAAACACCATGTCACGCCAGTTAGAATGGCAGTCACTAAAAAGTCAGGAAACAACAGATGCTGGTGAGGACATAGAGAAACGAACGCTTTTACACTGTTGGTAGGAATGTAAATTACTTTAACCATTGTGGAAGACAGTGTGGCGATTCCTCAAAAATCTAGAACCAGAAATATCATTTGACCCAGCAATCCCATTACTGGGTGTATACCCAAAGGATTATAAATCATGCTACCATAAAGACACATGCACATGTATGTTGATTGTGGCACTATTCACAATAGCAAAGACTTGGAACTAACCCAAATGCCCATCAATGATAGACAGGATAAACAAAATGTGGCAGGTATCTACCAGGGAATACTATGCAGCCATAAAAAAGGATGAGTTCATGTGCTTTACAAGGACATGGATGAAACTGGAACCATCATTCTCAGCAAACTAACACAAGAACAGAAAACCAAACACTGCATGTTGTCACTCATAAATGGGAGTTGAACAATGTGAACACATGGACACAGGGAAAGGAACATCCCACACTGGGGCCTATTGGGGGGTGGGGAGCTAGAGGAGAGATAGCATTAGGAGAAATACCTAATGTAGATGACAGATTGATGGGTGCAGCAAACCACCATGGCACGTGTATACCCGTGTAACAAACCTGCATGTTCTGCGCATGTATCCCACAACTTTAAGTATAATAAAAAAATTAACATTAAGTATGGGGAAAGACAAATGATAATTACATAATTTTTAATACAGAATATGCAATAACAGCTATTCAAAAAGATGACAAAAGAATTAAAATAGTAATTATTTTTGTGATATCATTTTTAAAGGAAAGTTTTTTGTTAATTTTAGGTGTTTTTTTTTCTTCTAATGTTGAATATTGGTCCCCACTCTCTTCTGGCTTGTAGGGTTTCTGGAGAGAAATCTGCTGTTAGTCTGATGGGTTTTCCATCCCGATGGGCTTTCCAGATGATCTGTCACTGTGTTCCATCACTCCCAAATGGGACCTTCTAGTTGCAGGAAAACAAGCTCAGGACTCCAACTGATTCTAGATTATGATGAGTTGTATAATTATTTCATTATATATTCCAATGTAATAATAATAGAAATAAAGTACATGGTAAACGTAATTTGCTTGCATCATCCAGAAATCATCCCCCACCCCCTGGCCCATGAAAAAATTGTTTTCCATGAAACTGGTCATTTGTATCAAAAGGGTTGGGGAACTCTGCCTTAGAGTTCTCATTTTATGTTAGTGATATTGTAATGACTTCTCTGCTGTTTGATGAAGACTCCATTCACCTTTCTTACTTTCCCCTTTAATTTCACCATCACTCTGCAATGAGGCTGTGCATACTCCATGCCAGTGACAATTTTTTATTCAACAGGACTCTCTTACACATATGCTGTTGCACATAAAAGAAAGCTTAGATATGGTGTTTACCTTAAAGGAACTTTAATTAATATAATCATAGAATGAGATGTTACAATCTCACAGGATAATCATCTACGAAAAAATGAATTGATGATACCTATGAACAATTGCATATATCCATATGTAGCTTTTAGCCCAGAATCTGGCTCTTAGAAGTCTTGGGAGAAATGTTATTAATGATGATAATAACAAGAATGCTGGTGGTGGTTGTAATGATGTCCAGAGTAACATATTTATGCATGTACACATATACACAATGAAACCTTCTGGAGGGATTGTTCCAACTATATGTGTCCTGTCATTTCAGATGCAACAAAGGCAAAACTAAGTTTATAATATGCTCTTCACTTTCCTATTTATACAGGATAAGTGTTCTGTTAGTCATTCAGTTTTTTTTTTTTTATTATTTCACTTTAAGTTCTAGGATATATGTGCAGAATGTGCAGGTTTGTTATATAGGTATACATGAGCCATGGTAGTTTGCTGCACCTATCAACCCATCATCTAAGTTTTAAGCCCCACATATATTAGGCATTTGTTCTGATTCTTTCTCTCCCCTAGCCTCCCACATCCCGACAGGCCCCAGTATATGAATTTCCCTTCCCTGTGTCCATGTGTTCTCATCGTTCAACTCCCACTTATGAGTGAGAACATGTGGTGTTTGGTTTTCTGTTCCTGTGTTAGTTTGCTGAGACTGATGGTTTCCAGCTTTGTCCATGTCCCTGCAAAGGACATGAACTCATTCTTTTTTATGAATGCATAGTATTCCATGGTGTATATGTGCCACATTTTCTTTATCCAGTCTATCATTGATGGGCATTTGGGTTGGTTCCAAGTCTTTGCTACTGTGCATAGTGCTGCAATAAGCATACGTGTGCATGTGTCTTTATAGTAGAATGATTTATAATCCTTTGGGTATATACCCAGTAATGGGATCACTGGGTCAAATGGTATTTCTAGTTCTAGATTCTTGAAGAATCGCCACACTGTCTTCTACAATGGTTGAACTAATTTACACTCCCACCAACAGTGTAAAAGCGTTCCTATTTCTCTACATCCTCTCCAGCATCTGTTGTTTCCTGACTTTTTAATGATTGCTATTCTAACTGGTGTGAGATGGTACCTCATTGTAGTTTTGATTTGCATTTCTCTAATGACTGGTGATGATGAGCTTTTTTTCATATGTTTGTTGGCTACAGAAATGTCTTATTTTGAGAAGTTACTGTTCATATCCTTCACCCACCTTTTGATGGGTTTGTTTTTTTTTCTTGTAAATTTGTTTAAGTTTCTTGCAGATTCTGGATATCAGACCTTTTTTAAAAAATTTTTACTTGAGAAACAATTATATATAATTGTGGGATACAATGTGATATTTTGATATATCTGTACACTTCATAAAGAGTAAATCAAGCTAATTAACATATACATCACCTCACCTACTTATAAATTTTTATAATGAGAATATTTGAAATATATTCTTCTAGCAATTTTAAAATATTCAGTACATTACTATTAACTATGGTTACCATGCTATGCAATAGATCTCTAAAATTTTTCCTCTGTCTAACTGAAACTTTGTGTCCATTTGACCATCCTCTCCCCTTTCCTCACCCCCGACTCCCCACTTGCCTCTGGTAACCACCGTTTTACTCTTTGCTTTGAGCCCAGCTTTTTAAGATTTTTACATATGAGTGAGGTCATGCAGTACCTGTCTTTCTGTATCTGGCTTATTTCTCTTAGCATAACATCCTCCAGATTGATCCATGTTGTCCCAAAAGTTATTCAGCTTTGACGCCTCTCCCTCCCCTCCTCTCTCTGCCTGAAGGACACAGGAATCTAAGAGCCAGGTCTGCTTTCTCACTATTTTATCTCCAGGACCTGTCATACTCAAATGCATGAAGTACTGAATTTGAGCAGTTGGTAAGTCCAGTTCCCTCAGTTTCCATTCTTTCTGCACATATGCATTTATTAGGCATCTGTGATTTGAAAGGTGCCATGAGGAGAATGACTTGGCTATATAAAATCTCAGAAATGGTAGCCAGAAATTTGTGTGTAAAGAGAGTGGTCAGTAAGTTTAGTTTGGCTTAAATATACAGTCTGAAACCTTGTGTTACTGAGAAAGAGAATAAGTAGGTGGAAAGCATTAAGAAGCAGCCAATAGAGTTTTGAAGTCCACAGTTTTGTGATGGTTGTGACACAAATTAATTCAGAGCTGCAGCAGGCCTTTGCACAAAGAGACATCAGCCTGATATTTGTAACTAAAAATAGTTTATTTGGCTGTAGTGGTGGGTGGATGAGGAGATACAGCAGAATGTGGGAAAAGAGTAAGAGAAAAGATAAAGACTTTGAAGATAAAAACCATCTAATGAGAATCCAAATCAAATTCAATAAACTTCTCAATGGCAGACACTATTGGCTACCTACCTCAGAGCCACCCAACTTTCTTCCTTCCTAGCAGAATCTTGGGCTTATTCAGGTATCATTCCTTCTTGCATAAGTTTCTGAGGAGGTCAAGCTTATTGGCAAACCCAAGAGGTAAACTAAAAGTGGCCCAAGCCAATTTTGGTGCTACTCTTATTAGAATGTGTCTAGTTCTGGCCAATGAGGAGAAATTGTTTGAATGAATTCTGAGAAAGTTTTTCTCTTTGTTTTTGACTTTTGAAAGTTCAACCATAATTTATCTAGGTGAGAATCTCTTTGAACTTATTCTACTGAAATTTTCTTGGGCTTCTTGCATGTATGAATTAATGTTTTTCATCAAAATTGGGAAATTTTAAATCACTATTTCATCAAATACTTGTTTATGCTTGCCCATTTCCCCCTCTCTTTCAGAAATCTATTATGCATATGTTGTTACATTAATGGTATCTCACAGGTCTCTGAGGCTCTGTTCGCTTTTTTTTTTTTTTTTTTTTTTCTTGAGATGGAGTCTTGCTCTGTCACCCAGGCTGGAGCGCAGTGGCACAATCTCAGCTCACTGCAAGCTCCGCCTCCCGGGTTCACACCATTCTCCTGCCTCAGCCTCCCGAGTTGCTGGGACTACGCGCCCGCCACCATGCCCGGCTAATTTTTTGTACTTTTAGTAGAGGCGGGGTTTCACCATGTTAGCAAGGATGGTCTTGATCTCCTGACCTCGTGATCTACCCGCGTCGGCCTCCCAAAGTGCTGGGGTTATAGGCATGAGCCACCGCGCCCGGCCTGTTTGCTTTTATTCATTCATTTTTCTTCTGTTTCTTAGTCTAGGTAATCTTTATTAACCTATCTTCAAGTTTACAAATTATTTGCTCTAATAGCTCAAGTCTGTTGTTGACACCCTGCAATGATTTCTATTTTCATTTCAGTTATTTATTTATTCACTCCAAAATTTTCATTTGAGTTTAACATTTTTATAATTTCTACCTCTTTATTGATATTATCTATTTGATAAGACATAGTTGTGATACTTTCCTCTAATTCCTAAAACATGTTTTTTTCTTTAATGCTTTAAACATATTTATAATAACTGCTTTAAAGTTTTTGTCTAGTTAGTCAACATCTGGGACCCCTCAAAGCTAATTTCTGTTACCATCTCCCTTCATGTATGGACTATACTTCCCTGTTTCTTTGTATGTATCTTTCTTTTTCTTCCCTGAAAATTGGAATTTTCTTGTATGTATTTATTTATTTAAAAAATCCTTAACTTTTTAAAAGTTAATATGTGCAGTATAAGAAACTGAAAGACATCAGAATCAAAGAACAAAATTATTCACAGTCACAAGCGGTTTACAGTTTGATGTATCCATCTAGGTCGTGTGTGTTTATAGATACAACATCCAAATTTTATGAGATTGAGATTGTACAGTATGTATCATACTTTTTCAAACATTGTGAATGTTTACTGTGTTTTGATAATCAAAAATATACTATACCAACTCAATTTGTTAGAAAAAAATGTAATCTCACCTTTCCTGGGACAAAAATTTCACAGAAGACAAAAATCACAACGGGTCTCTAGATAAAAGTATTGGCAGAGTTACCTCAAACCAGCCTTCCCTTAATGCTCAATTTAAAATTAAACAGAAAGCAACAGAGTACACTAAGTATATTGTTTCTAAGAGAATTCATGATCAGATCTATAACATTAAAATATTAACAAGAAGGTATGTTTCCATTGAATTACTTAATGTATTCCTGCAGTACAGCCAAAAGAGATGTGCATGCATGGATGGCTATTGTCAAAATGTAAATATAAACACATCTACATATGTCTCTGCCTTTATACTTCCTCCTGCCCCTCTGCTGCTAACCTAATTAACAAGTTCTGACATACACTGGTTAGAGGTGGTTTAACAATTCCATGTCCAAGATTCATCTTTTCTATAAAGTATAGCAAAAAATAGTTATAAATTGGTCAATTCACTAGCTCTATTTTTTTATCATACATTGTCACCTCAGGACATCTATAAAGGTTAAATGTTGCAAAATAATGAACTTTGTCCATAATAAACACAGGAATTTTAGTAGAAATGCACATATAGACCTACAGTTGTAATCTAAAACCATCTTCTAGATATGGAGATACAAGCAAACAGCCCTCCCTTTACCCTTCTTCTTCTTCCTCTTCCAACATTCCAGTGACTAAATACAGAGTTACATCTAGCTACAAGAGGTGGATTAACAAAGGTCTACTCCCACAGTACAGCCCTTCCTAAAAACTAACAAAAGAATATTTATAAAGGAATTATTTTACTATCTCTACTTTTAATATACTTTGAGCTTTAGGACTTGTTTACCCTTTAAAACACAATATTAATTAAAATGCACACACAGAACAGTGGTTAGACCATCTGAACAAATCTAACTCATAGGCACAGAACCCTTCTCTTTCCCCTACCTGCCACTGCTTAGTAAACAGTCAGCATACTCTCTAAGACATCAAGTTTAACAATGTTATTCCCAAATCTAACTGATTGTATGAAATAACAAAAAATGCTTTAGCCATTTACTTTTAACATATGTTGTATGCTTTTAAACATCTAGAAAGAATAGATGTTTCAAATAGGACACAAGTTTTCCACTATATACACAGTAGCATTGAATAAATGTTACACATATATGACAAAAGCTATAATTTGAAAGTGTCTTCTAAACAAGAAACAGTCTGACCTAGAACCCTTCCCCTTCCTACCTCTATCAACTCAGTGAACAGGTGTAAGCATCTGTAATGCTTAGAGATTTTAACAATTTCATTTCCACAAGAAAGATGGTGTTTTTAAGAACAGTCTTTCCTATGAATTTTAACACAAAGTGTACTCAATATATTAGTTTACTAACTCTACTTTTGTCATACACTGGCAACCTCTTTAACATGTAGAAAGACTAGATGTTGCAAATTAGGACTTGTTTGTCTTTTATATACACTATATACTAGCAAAGTAAATGTACAGATGTAAGGGACAATGGTCAATTGTGCCTCACCGTTGGTATAAAGCCGTTTGTACTTTCTTCTTCCTCCATGACCCACCACAATTAGAATACCGTGCACTGCTCAGAGAAGTGGTGTGATCAATTTCCAGAAAACATTTTTTCTATGAATCTTAACCAAAGGAAATCTACAAAATGTGTTATTTACTACCTGTACTTTTAACCTACTTTGTATGCTTCTAAACGTCTAGAAAGACTAGATGTGAAAACTGGAGATTTTAGATGCTATAATGTGGCGACTCTGGAATAAGATATCTAACACCCCTGCTTTCTGGGTTTGCCCTTGTTGCTGTTTTGTTGTTGTCTGTTTGTTTAGTGACTTTTCTGGACAAATTTTTTAGCATTTGTATTTCTTGCAGTATATAGCCACTAAAATCTCTGCTTATTTTGTTTTGTTTTGTTTTTCTATTAACTTATTTTTTAAAATTCTTATTTTATTTTTAAGCCTTGCTTCCTAGGGGTTGAATCTGGGTCACCACAGCTTATCACCACAACTTAGTGGTCAGCAACTGATTGGTGAAATATTTCCTTAAATGCCTTGAACCAGTAAGTATTCCTACTTTTGATGAAGAGCTGGTGTGTGTGTGTGTGTGTATGTCTGTTGGGGGCAGACCTTCAACTCTCAAGTAGTTTATGAGTCTGTGTTAGCCTTTACTTCCTGTTAGAGTGAGTGATGGGAGCCCTTTCTGGTCTTTCTGAAACAGGAAATTTTCCCTGATCCCTTCACGGGCCTCATGACAGGGGTGCTTTGCTCACTCAGCCCACAGCTCTCAATCCCTCGTGGGATGGGGAGCACACAGGTGAGCAGGTACAGAAGCTGGGATGAATGCTTCTGGATGCTGGCAGAAGCAAAACTCTGTGCAGGCCCCATGGCAGCGTCTAGGGGGGAGTACCCACGACTCCTGAAGCCCCAGAGGGCATATGTTACAGTGCTCTTTTAGCTTTGCCATCTGTGGATGGCGTTAATGTTAAACAGCTCAGTGAGCCCTCTGACTTTTTATATGAGGTGGTTGCTCTCTACCAGTGAGGGCAGAGGGTCTGTGTGACATTCTTTAGCATCTGCACCTGTGGCACCCAAGCTCTTGTTCAGTGTTCAGGAAAATCAGGTCACACGAACTAATTGAAGGATAGTGAATGCAGGGGATTTTATTGCCAACAGAAGTAACTTTCAGCAGGAAGGGGAGCTGGAAAGGGGATAGAGCGGGAAGGTATTCTTCCCCTGAAGTCTGGCTGTCTCCCGCTGGACTTTTCTCCAAATTCCTGCCGTCAAGCCATCCCTCTGAAGCCAAACTGCTTCTCTCTGACATTCAGCTGTTATTCTCTTCTCCCCTTCTCTGCTGTCTATCAGTGGAGCCTGCTGTTTTTATGAGTACAGGATGGGGGTGGGTCAGGCTAGAGGTGGTTTTGGAAAAGGCAACATTCTGGCAGGAAAAGTGGAGATGTAAAGTTCTCACTTCAGGCTGTGGTTCCAGGCTTGACGGTGGGCCCCTTGCCAGGGACCCCAACCTTTTCTGCCTAGAATGTCTCTGTTTCCTGCCTCTGTTATTTCTTTGGACATAAGCATGGTCTGCACGTGTGCATGATCTTCTAGATCCCTAGGAATATGTCAGAATTTTTCAAAGCCATCTATAGAAACCTTTTTCTCTAGATCTTCCATATATATATTTTTCCAGGCTTTTATTTGCTCCAGCTGGTAAAACATCCTTTGCCAAATGGAAGTTTAAAAAATTGAAGCTGATTAGTTTCCTCAATGCCCTAGGGTCAAAGCTTTTCCTGTTTAGCTGAGCTCTGAGTCTGGTCAAATAGACAACACCCTGTGGATAAGGCTACTCTAGGGAACTGTGAGTCAGGTCAAAAAGTAACCGTGGTTTGGCAGTAGGATTTTTTCAGGAGCTCCAAACCCTGTCTGCCTCTCTGGTGACTGTTAGGCTTGTGGATTTCAAGGCCTGCCATGGAACTGAGGAGGGGGTAGATGGGAGTAACCTAAGTAAAAACTTTATTGTCCCTGGTCTTCTTATCAACTTCAGCAGTTTTTCAGTTCTTCAGATGTTGTAAGCCTTTGATCACTTTCCAGAGATCAAAAAAGTTGGTTTTGATAGTTTTGCCAGTATTTTCATGACTTGCATAGAAGAATGGATTTCTGGAGGTCCTGACTCTGCTATTCCAGAAGTCTTGCCTCCACCAAGTAGTTTCATCTTATTTTGTTTTGATTGTTTTTCTCTTCATGGGCAAAATAACCAGGAAGGCTCATTTCTCAATCCAATAAATTTAGGTCAGGATTCATTTGTAACTCTGGCCGAAGACTATTTTTCTGTACTAAAATGATTATTGTTCCATGGAAGAAAAAAATTCTATCCGTAATGTCTATCCTTGGAAACAGAGATCCTTTGTTTTTCATGTCTAGAATGTAGGAGTGGTGTCAACATTCCAAGCATACTGGATACTATCCAGTAATATCAAGTAAAACAGAAAGAATCTACAACAAATACTGGTGGTAGAGAATCTCACATTTATTGAGCATTTAGTATATGCCATTTCATTAGAAAAGTATGATCTTAGCCAATGCATAGTATTTAAATAGTGAATTATTCTATTAGATTCTTATATCAGAGGTAAGGGAGAATTACTAGGTAAGAAGATGCTTAGAGGCCACTTGAATTACTACTCCCCCACCCCACTATAATTCTTACTTATTTCTATGTGTAACTGAGACTGTTATGTGTATATGTGTGGAAAATAATAAAAGATGAACAAATACGTTGATCATATATACATTTAAGTTTTGCTCGTTTTTACTTTTGTAGATGTTGCAAATTTGCTTTTGATCTGCTTTTTTATTTGGTCCCAAGCTCTTTATCTATTCTTTTAATTTCATAAATATTGCTGATACAGGCCCATCTCTATACACAGCACATGCTCAGGAAGTTGTTGACTTACTGATAGTCCACTTGGAAATTCAATCTGAGCCTGGGACATGCCAAGGTTATTCCCTTGAAAAAATTTCATCTTTGTAGACAAAAAATAAAATTTGTATCATTGTTGTATAAAAATTGTCTATAAATTCATTTTACATTATAAGCTGAGGCATCAATGCCTAAAATATGTCCAAAATGCAGCAAAGATGAAGCAAGTATTTTTATTTTTCTTTGTTATTCATAATAATCGAAATTATATCTACAAATTTAAGCCCATGTAGTTACCCAGAAGAAACAATTTCTATTGTGCATCACATGCCACCTTTCATTCCTCTTTCTCACCCCTTTGATTTTGCTCCCACCCCCACCTTACCCTAGCATGTTGGAGTTACACTTCACACTGAGAGTAGACACTACTGGAAAGGAGGTAAGTGGGAAATTGAAGAGAGTTTGGGCTACAGCATGTTGAGGCAGACTGATGCCCAAGTGAGGCAGAAAAAGCAGAGAATTCTAAGATTATTTATTTTCCCAAATATTCCAAGAGTGTGTGACAGTCTTTACTATGTGTATGTATCTTAGCCTTGCAAGGGAACCTTGGAGAAAGTACAAAGAAAAGTCACTTCTAGATCACGTTCCTGATTCTGCTTTCTGTCTGCTATGGTTTGAATGTTTGTTCCCTCCAAAACTCATGTCGAAATCTAATTACCATTGTGACAATATTAAGACGTGGGACATTAGAGGTGGTTGAGTGCTCATGAGTGGGATTGATGCTGTTATAAAAGGGGGAGTTCAGCCCCCATTTTCTCCTTCTTATGAATGAAAAACCAAATGGGCTGGCATTAATATTGAAGGTTTTCTTGTATGTGTTCAATATCTTCAGGTTCATTAAAAAAATCAATTCATTAGCAGCTTCTAAAGTAGGAGTAATGAACTAATGAAAAGGCAGAATCTTCTTTGATAGCTAGCCAGGTAGACTGAAGGAATTAATTTGCATCACCTGAAGCTCAAGCTTAGAGTCTAGGGAAGCTTTCTGCATTATGTAGAAAATGTGAGAAATATGAAAATAATGATGAGTTTGAAACTTAATCTTCTGGTTCTAACAAAATTGTAGGTTTGACTATTCATAATTTAGTCTCATGACCTCTACTAACCACTGAAAATAGATTATTAATTTTTTCTCTTTGCTCCCTTGGCATTTTAAAAATTTTCCATAAGTTATTGGGGTGCAGATGGTATTTAGTTACATGAGTAAGTTCTTTAGTGGTAATTTGTGAGATTTTGGTGCACCCATCACCCGAGCAGTATACATTGCACCATATTTGTAGTCTTTTGTCCCTTGCTCCCCTCCCACTCTTGTTCTCAAGTCCCCAAAGTCCATTGTATCATTCTTACGCCTTTGCATCCTCATAGCTTAGCTCCTAACTATCAGTGACAACATATGATGTTTGGTTTTCCATTCCTGAGTTACTTCACTTAGAATAATAGTCTCCAATCTCAGGCAGGACTGCAAATGCTGTTAATTCATCCCTTTTTATGGCTGCATAGTATTCCATCATACATATATACCCTTTACTTTAAGTTTATGTGAGTTCTTGTGTGTTAGGTGAGTCTTCTGAAGGCAGCAGATAGTTGGTTGGTGCGTTCAGATCCACTCTGCAGTTCTGTATATTTTAAGTGGAGCATTTAGTCCATTTACATTTATTGTTAGTATTGAAATGTGAGGTACTGTTGCTTTCATCGTGCTCTTTGTTGCCTATATACTTTTTTGGTTTTGTTTTTTGTTTTTGCTTTTTACCTTGTGTTTTGTTTTATAGGTCCTGTGTGATTTATGTTTTAAGGAGGTTCTATTTTGATGTGTTTCCAGGATTTGTTTCAAGATTTAGAGCTCGTTTTAGCAGTTCTCATAGTGGTGGCTTGGTAATGGCGAATTCTCTCAGCATTTGTCTGTCTGAAAATGAGTGTATCTTTCCTTCATATATGATGCTTAGTTTCACTGGATACAAAATTCTTGGCTGATAATTGTTTTGTTTGAGGAGTCTGAAGATAGATCCCCAATCCCTTCTAGCTTGTAGGGATTCTGCTGAGAAATCTGCTGTTAATCTGATAGGTTTTCCTTTATAGGTTGCCTGATACTTCTGTCTCACAGCTCATAAGATTCTTTCCTTTGTCTTAACTTTTGATAACCTGATGACAATGTGCCTAGGTGAAGATTTTTTTGTGATAAATTTCCCAGGTGTTCTTTGTGCTTCTTGTATTTGGGTGTTTAGGTCTCTCACAAAGCTGGCTGAGGAAGTTTTCATTGATTATTCCCCCAAATATGATTTCCAGGCTTTTAGAATTCTCTTCTTTCTAAGATACACTGATTATTCTTAGGTTTGGTCATTTAACATAATCCCAGACTTCTTGGAGGCTTTGTTCATATTTTTTTTTATTATTTTTTCTTTATCTTTGTTGAATTGGGTTAATTCAAAGACTTTGTGTTCGAGCTCTGAATTTCTTTCTTCAACTTGTTCAATTATATTGCTGAGACTTTCCAGAGCATTTTGCATTTCTAAAGGTGTGTCCAAAGTTTCCTGAATTTTTTATTGTTTTTTTTTCTTTAAGCTATTTCCATGAATAATTCTCCCTTCACAATGTGTATAGTTTTTTGGATTTCCTTGCATTGGGCTTCTCCTTTCTCTGGTTACTCCCTAATTAGCTGAATACCTACCCTGCTAAATTCTTTTTCAGGTAAATAAGTGATTTCTTCTTAGTGAACTAGTGTGATTTGAGGGGGGTATGTTGAAATGCCTTGTTTTATCATATTACCAGGGTTAGTTTTCTGGTTCCTTCTCATTTGGGCAGGCTCAAGGCTATTGTTCAGATTCTTTTGTCCCATGCTGTGTTCCCTCCCCCTTTTCCTATGGACGTAGCTTCCTGTAAGCCCAACTGCAATGATTGTTGTCTCTCTTCCGGGTTTAGCCCCCAGTGACTCTACCCAGCTCTGGGCTGGCACTGGGGGTCGTCTGCACAGAGTCCTGTGATATGAACCATCCATGGGTCTCTCAGCCATGGATACCAGTCCCTGTTCCAGTGGAGGTGGTGGAAGGTGCAATGGACTCTGTGAGGGTTCTTAGCTTTGGTGGTTTAATGCTCTATTTTTGTGCTGGTTGGACTCCTGCCAGGAGGTGGTGATTTCCAGAAGGCATCAGCTGTAGCAATGTGGAGGGGGACCGGCAGTGGGTGGGACCCTAGAACTGTCAAGATTATATGCCTTTTGTCTTCCACTATAGGGGTGAATAGGGAAGGACCATCAAGTGGGGGCAGGGCTAGGCATGTTTGAGCTCAGACTCTCCTTGGATGGGTCTTGCTGTGGCTGCTGTGGGGGATGGTGGTGAGATTCCCAGGTCACTGGAGTTGTGTATTTAGGAGGATTATGGCTGCCTCTGCTGATTCATGTAGGTTGTCAGGAAAGTGGTGGAAAGCCGACAGTCACAGGCCTCACCCAGCTCCCTCACAAACTGAAGGGCTGGTCTCACTCCCACCATGCTTTCCCCAACAGCCCCAAGTCTGTTTCCAGGTGGAGGGTGAGATGGGCTTGAAAACTTGTCCAAGGCTGTCCACCTCCCAGATGCAAGAGAAAAGTGCTTTAGTTCTTCCCCTGCCTGTAAAGTCTGCATGCCTGATTCATGCCCTCTCAGAGTTCTGGCCAGGAGCCTTCTCACCTGGTTAAAATTGTTACAAAGTTCAGCTAGAGAATTCCTTCTCCCTGTGAAGTTTTACTCCCTGCTCCTCTGGCCACCCTCCCAGTAGATCCATGTGGTACCAGGCAGGAACGGGCTCCTTGGGGACCCAGCAAGCTCCTAGGGCCTTTCTGCTGCTTTCTCTACTCCTGTATTTTGCTCGGCTCTCTAACTTGACTCAGGTCCAGGTAAAGTCGGGAACTTCTCCCACAAAAAGACCTTCAGCTTCTCCAGTGTGGGTGTGTGGTCAGGAGAGGAGGGTCTCCCTTTCCCACTTCTGCAGATGGGGCACTCACAGTATTTGGAATGTCTCCCAGGTCCTGCAGGAGCAGTCTGCTTCCTTCAGAGGGTCTGTGGATTCTTGCAGTCAATCTGGAGCTAAAATTCACAGTGCAAGCCTCCATATGCTGCTCTGTCCAGAGCCGCAATCTAGTCCTGCCTCCTGTCCACCATGATCCCCTCTAAAAAAATCCTGTGGCTTTTTTTTTTTAAAACCATCTCTGTAATATCACTTATCAAAAACTTTAGGGCAACTTGTTTTCCTGAGTGTTGTTCTCTCTCTCATTTTTAGCTTCTCAAAGCAGGAACTGGGTCTTAGCCAGCCCTAATACAGAGCCCAAGCCTGAGGAAGTGCTGCATACATGTTTTGTGAATGGAGTTGGTTAGTGTCCACTCACACATAAAGAAATCCTCTTCCCTTGTGTCTTTTCTGGTTTTCTCTTCTTCAAGCCTTCTGCTGCCTTGCTGCCTGCTATCCCACAAGCCTGTCATTTTAATTCTTCCATTAAAGCAACTATTTGCAAACATTGCTTCCCTTACTGATTTTTATGCTACTGCTTTTATTCCCTTGAAGATGTCAACATTAGAGTGGGAGATGACTCATAAGTTTCCAGATATTTTTCTTTTTGCTTAATCATTCATCAGACTTTTTTCTTTTGGGCTTTAAATGTTTATTGGAACAACATTTTCATTGTACTTTCTGTCCAATAAGAACCAAGCACAGTAAATGACAAAACCTATCTTTAGAGTCCCCTGGGAAAAAAGACATGGATTTTTAACACCTTATTATAGATGCCACAATGCCTAAACAGAGCAAGTAGCTACTTTAGGCTATGAAGCCAATTACCAGCAAAGCCCACAAAACCAGTTGACTTTCCAATTCCCAGGTTAGTGTGTTACCTGGGGCCTTAAATATCCCCTATTTATCATTAAACACCTACTAAGGAAGAAACAACCAATCTAGACTCTTATTCAGTACCTGAGTTTTCCAAAGTAATAGCAATTTTATCTTCCTGTCTACCAAACCCGGGCTTTGTCCAGAGGGAAAGATGTTTTTGCAATGTTTCCTAAGACTGGCAGATCTGGATGCTTCATTTTTGCAGACTTGAAACTTGATTCTAGAATCATATGCTTCATACCATCATGTTTCACAATGACTTTTTTTCCTGTAAATGTGATGTCATTGTGAAGTTATTAAAATAATACAGTGTTACATGTTATATTTTGTAGCTGACTTACAAAAATGCTATGAGTTGACTGCAAGTTTCTTACTTTGTCATTCTGTAAATGAAAGCTGTAACTGCAATGCTTATTTTGATACAAATAGTTGGATGATATATATATATTTTTTTTCTCTTGGTATCCTGCAATTTCTATTTTATTGTAAACAAACTAATTAAGGAGAGGTGAGGCATTCCCAATCTCATGGGGACTAGAGCAGTATTGAATATAGAAAATTAAACAGTCTAGAAAATTATAAATAAAAAAGTATAGTTTACTGGAAATCCCACCACCACTGAATTTCACATATCCTCATGTGTGTGTATATATGCATATGCACAGGCCTGTTTTCTACATTTGTGTGTATTTGTAATCTTAGAGATATTTTGTTTACATTTAGAAACTGAAATCCTAAGTTTGATATTGGAAATGTAATAATACATGATTTCTTATACTAAGATTTGATTATCAGCAATATTTATTGAAGTCTTTTTCAATGTTATATGAGAGTTACCTTTACCTAACTTAATGGACATAAGGCTGAACATTTTATAAATTTGAATTTGGATATATTAATATTTTCTATTGATTTATAATTTGAGGTGATTTTTTTTAACTTCCACTTGACCTCCAGTTGGCAATGACAATAAATGTAAACATGCTTTTTCTTTCTTTTTTTTTTTTTGAGATGGAGTCTCGCTCTGTTGCCAGGCTGGAGCGCAGTGGCGCGATCTTGGCTCACTGCAGCCTCCGCCTCCCAGCGGTTCTCCTGCCTCAGCCTCCCGAGTAGCTGGGACTATAGGCACACACCACCATGCCCAGCTAATTTTTTGTATTTTTAGTAGAGATGGGGTTTCACCATGTTGGCCAGGATGGTCTTGATCTCTTGACCTTGTGATCCGCCTGCCTCAGCCTCCCAAAGTGCTGGGATTACAGGCATGAGCCACCACACCTGGCCTGTTTTTTCTTTATAAAAATACAATATGCCAGTTTGAAGCTACAGTGAGCTATGATTATGTCACTGCACTCCAGCCTGGGTGACAGAGTGAGACACTTTCTCAAAACAAAACAAAACAAAACAAAACAAAATGCCCATAAAACAATTTGGAGATTGCAGAAATGTTCAAAGAAGAAAATAGCCCTGTGAATCCCATCATGCAGAGATAACACTATCTTAGCTGACTATTGTCTTCCAGCTTTATGTGCTTGCATCTAATTTTTCTTTTTTTACCAAGTTGAGATTATGCTATAGATTCAATTTTGTGCCCTGCTTTTTTCCCCTTAAAGTATATTGTGAAAATTTCCTTATGTCTGTTATTTTTGAATGCAATTATGCCCATCATTTCTTGATTCTATAATGTTTGAAAAGTACAAAACAAGAAGATAAAATATCTCCCATAACCCTACCACTGAGAGAAAACCACTTACACATTAGTATTTCCTTCCAAGCTGTGAATTTCTTTGCTCCCCATCTTCAAACAAACAAAACTTGTCCATAACAACTCCTTATTTAATTTTCTTCAACTGAATAATATTCTTGCAAAATGAATTTCTTTAAAGAAATTATCATTATATGATATGATTAGAAAATTCATATTTTCACATTTTGTAGAACTTTTACATTTACAAAAGACCTCTAATCTAAGAAAATTGATTGTAACATTTTCTCCAAAAAGTCTATTTGCTCTGGATGATATATTTTAACAGCCAACATTACATTTAAATAACTTTTCTCTCAAAAATGAATCTATTCACTGGACTTTTGATGGACAAATTGCACATTATAATAAAATAGTTTTTTCTACATTTAAGAAAAAGCATCAATGTTGACTGCATAGAACTTTATCTGATCGTTTGGGAATTTGCAGTGTCACATATATTTCAGCAAGGAATTCAAACAGTCTCTCAGGATTTTAAGCACTTCTTTTTATGAAAACAAATTTTCATATTTATTTTCCCAAGCTGTCTCCTTACATATAGCACTTCAGAAAACTCACCATTACTGGTTTTACTGCCAGATTGCTTAAAAGTTAATTGGTTCAGCACCTGGGCAGGAAGCTATTTTGGCAGAAACTCTGTTTTCTTCAAGTTCTAGCTGTAAAATTTTGGAGAGTGAATTGTAATCAGGCACTTCTTTTTTCACTATGGAGAAGACAAGAATACTAATGTGTTGGCTGAAGAAATTGCAGTGCACTCATTTGGAATAAAACAGTTTATTGGTTATAATTTGGCATTAAAAGTGCACATCTCTTACTGAGTTGTGGGTCTAAATTTTTTATTCTCACTTAAAACATATCTGTTACTCGGCCGGGCGCAGTGGCTCACGCCTGTAATCCCAGCACTTTGGGAGGCCGACGGGGGCGGATCACGAGGTCGGGAGATCTAGACGATCCTGGCTAACACGGTGAAAACCCGTCTCTACTAAAACATACAAAAAATAATAAAAACAAATAATTAAATAAATAAAAAAATAAAAAATTAGCCGGGCGTGGTGATGGGCGCCTGTAGTCCCAGATACTTGGGAGTCTGAGGAAGGAGAATTGCTTGAACCCGGGAGGCGGAGGTTGCAGTGAGCCAAGATCGCGCCACTGCACTCCGGCCTGAGAGACAAAGTGAGTCTCCGTCTCAAAACAAAACCAAAAAAACAAAAACATATCTGTTACTCTTATGTACCTTCTTCTTACCATAAATTCTCCCTAAATGTATTATTTCATACCGTTAGTTAAGAGTGGGCCTCGATGTCTTAACCTTTGTCTTTCTCTAATTCTCTCAAGTTGTTAAATTAGAAATGAGAAGATGAGATTAAGTAAGGACACCCATGACTAATTTCATACCTATGTTTCTTAACACCTTAAATGTTGTTGTCACATTGCATACAATCTCTGTATTAATTTATGATGGGAAAAAAATGATAACATTGTATTTTTTGAGCAGACTAGCCCCAATCTGACAAAAGAAGTCTCATTGTTACCCAACAGTTTGTGTGGGAGTGGCTACAGGAAGAAGACCTGAGAGACATGGAGATTTAGTGAGTGTTATTGAGGACTATGAATTGGGATCCTTCTTATGGTTTTCTAGGAATACAATGAAATGTGGAATTCCTTTTAAATTATTTTTGGCTTTTGAACTGTTTCTTGAATTCATTACAGCTTCAACACTGAACCGCTTGTGCCAGGTGTCATGAAGATTACGTTTGCCCTAACAGAAGAAAACCTCCTACATATACTTAACTTTGCCATAATTCTTTGTCCACCCAAGCCCTCTACTCTTGTTCTATAAAAAGAAGAGAGCATTGGCAGGTTGCACTATAAGAATTCAGGAGAGTTGTATGTGTTTATCTGAGCTGAAATAGGAGCACTTGTCTACCCAGTTTATATATAAGCACATTGCTCTTGCCTTTGAAGTTTTCTGTATGCTGCTTTCTCATCTTATTGCTTTCTCATCTTATTGCTTTCCCTTCCACGTCCATGGTGAACATGATTTAAATTGTGAGTTTTTCAGTCTTTGCTTTTCTTTATAGTTTTGCCACATTCTGTGTTCCTGAACAATATATTTATTTTTTCTTATTCTAGAATGTTATATAAAGGAATCATATTGTATATATTCTTCTGTTTCTTGGTTTTAATTTTATTTTCTTTATTTTTATAAAATGTTATACATTTAAGATGTACAACATGACGTTTTGAGATACGTATAGACAGTGAAATGATTACCACAGTGAAGCAAACGTAACTGCAATTTTGTACTGTGACTTGTATTTTCTAGCCATATCATGTTCCTTTGATTTTTCCATGCTGTTGCTTATAGCTAAAATTTATTCACTTTCATTCACATATAATATTTCTCTATAGAAATATACCATAATTTATTTATAATTTCTCTCTTTAAGAAGTTTTCCTGAGAAAGGGTACATGGTAGGTAAGTATGCTGACACTTTGCATGTCCAAAGCTGTTATTTACTCTCATACCTGATTCTATTTGACTGGGTATAGAATTTTAGGTTGGAAATACTTTTTTCTCAGATTTTGAAGGCATTGCTCAAATGCCTTCAAGTTGCTGGTGATGTAACATAGAATTCTGATACAATTCCTTTCTTTATCTTTTGTAGGAAACCTGTATTAACTGGAAGTTTATCAGCTATTCCCATTTATCACAGGGTTCTGACATTTTATGATGTGTCTTGGTAGACTTTTTCATCCATTGTGATGGGCACTTGGAATGTGGAAACTCCTGTCTTTCTGTTCTGGAAAACTTTCTTCAATGATTTCACTCCTGTTTTCTCCTGAAACTGCTATTACTTGGATGTAGGATTTCCTAGGAAAGCCTTCAAATTGTTTTATCTTTTAGTTGCTATTTTCCATCTTTTGATTTTTTTGATATACTTTCTGAGATATTTTTATCAAATTTTCCTACCAAGCCTTTTATTGAGTTTTTCATTTATACCACTATACTGTTAATTTCCAAGAGCTCTTTTCTTATTCTCTGAATGTTTCTTTTTAAATTAAAAATAATAAGTCCTTGTTTTTGTTTTACAGTTGCAATTTCTTATCTTTTTGATGATAATGGTTATGGTATTTTTCCTTACCTGTACCAAGTGTTTATTTCCTCCTAGTTGCTTTTATCCTGTATGTTTGTTTTGAGCTCTAAAGCTAGAGGCGTTCTCCAGTTGTTGGCTGATCGGTCTACCTAGTCATATATAAGAGTGGGGCCCTGAAAGGCTCAATGGAAACTTCAAGTTTTGAGGGATCTTGTCGAAGGTTCTACTGCAGAGTGACTATCTGGATTGTTTGCTTGGGAAACCCTGATATTAGTATCTTGAAGTCATTTCTCTTGAGATGGTTTCATTTCCCAAGGAAGTGTGTATCAGTCTTCAGTCTAGAGTTTATATACCTGGCTGCCAGTATCATGAGAGCCAAATAGGGACAGAGAGTTGGGAGTTTCAGCCATCAGTATATAAGGTTTTTCTTAATCTCCCTGTTTGCTTTCAGCATTTCCTGCTCTTAATTGTATCTGGTGTTCCTGGTGCAGAAACTTCTGTTTTACCTTCTTCAGAAAATAAAGCTCCAGTCTATTGCTGAGGAAGGAGAAGGGTGTTAATCATGTTCTGAATAGAGATTCAGGCCTCACTCTGTCACCCAGGCTGGAGTGCAGTGGCTCAATCATAGTTCACTGTAGCCTCAAACCTCTAGGTTTAAGTGATCTTCCTGTCTCAGTCTCCTGAGTAGCTAGGATTATAGGCATGTGCCACCATGAATGGCTAATTTATATATATTTTTTATTTTTTGTAGACATGGAGTCTTTTTATGTTGCCAAGGCTGATCTTGAACTCCTGGCCTCAAGACAACCTCCTGCCTTGGCCTCCCAAAGTGTTGTGCTTACAGGTATGAGTCACTATACCTGGCCTTCCATATTTTTGTTTGTCTTATTCCACCTCTTCCTCCTGCTGCTTCTCGAACTCTTCTTCTTTCTTCTACTTTTCCTCCTCCTTCTCCTCCTTCTTTCTTAAGTAATGACAAAATAATTCTTATAGAGGAGGTTTCATGGAGAGGAATAGGTGAGCATTGGAATTTGTCCATGCTAAACTTAAGAACACATAGTCTCTTATTGCTCTGGAGTTCTGAATTTAAAGGATCAAATGATGATAGTTAACATGGTAGCTGGTGATTTTGTTCCTTTACTTTTGATGATACTGACCAGAAAAGGCAAAAAAGAGGAGGAGGAATAAATAAAGCTATAATTAATCTGAATCTTATAAATAAGTAAAATTAAAAGTTACTGTTCTGCACAATGTAATTTTTAACAAGGACACATTAAACAAATGAGACAAAGATTCTACCTTAGACATTTAGTACAAAGAATGGTATCAATTTTTCAGTTTTCAAATTTTAAAGGAGTGTCCCAAGAGTCAAAGAAATAAAACCTGCAGAATTTCAATTTAGGGGCGAGGTTAGGGTGGAAGGAGAGTAAATTCTATAGTTGGAAAAGCAGTTCTGGATAAAAGAATAAGAAAATTCTCTAGGGAACAAATCAGCTGTGGGCCAAATTTTAGTTTCTGTTCTTTCCCAATTTGAGAAGTTCTTGTTGCATATGTGCCTTGGATGTTATAAAACCCTTTCTTTGTCTGGCAATTTGCTGCCTGCCTGATTTTAACTATCAAGCTGTAGAGAAGCTCCAGTTATGATGGTTTTGAAAGAAAAGATTGAAAACCAATAAGAAGATTTGCTAAGCAAAGAGGGAGTCAGGAAGGGAAAGTTATTTTAACCTAAGAGGCTATAGAAAAGAACCCTGACATTTCAGTTTTTGGCAGTTTACAGCTGGTAAAAGAATTGGGAAAATTTTTGAGACAGAGGAAGTGATGTGTGGGGAGGGCTACAAAGTGAGTATGGTGCTAAAGGGGCTTGGGGTCTTTCTTGTGAATATGCTTTTCTCTGGTTCCTGCCAGAGGTGAAGATGTGGCCTTCGCTTTTAGCTTACTCAAGTATCCATGCCACCTAGGCAAATCAGGTGCCAATACTTCCTTTTAGGTACCACAGACTGTACAACCATGATCCAAGAATGGAAAGAATCAAGTAATTCAGAATTTAGTATCTGAAATGAGAAATTGGGCTCAGAATATCTTCAACCGCTGCCTTGTATTATCCCCTAACTCTGTGTGACTTCCCGTGTGTTTTTGCGATGCTTCCCTATGGAGATTGTCAGAAACTTGAGGCATAAGTCACATGCATTATTCACTCAACAATTGCTTATTGAGAGTCTATGATATTGTGGTCATTTTGCTAATGTTGAAAGAATCAAAGATGACTAGCACAGTCAAGGAGCTTAGACAATTTTCTAATGTTTTATTGTTTATCAAGGAATTTTCTTATACATTAACCATTAGCTAACTTAACCAGTAATGAACTAATTGATATACAATTGGTGCTTATTATTTGTGGATCCCATATTAGAAAATTTTCCCGTTTGCTAAAATTTATTTGTAACACTCAAATCAATGCTTGTGGTGCTTTCATGGTCATTCATGGACATGCGAATGCACAGAGCAGTGAAAATTTTGAGTGTCACTTATAGGTGGGAGCTAAGCATAAGGTACACATGGACATAAAGATGGAACAGTACCTTTAGGGAACATCAACAGTAGTCTGGAAGTACTCTTCATGGCCTGGAGTGGTGGTGGCTATAGAGTGAGGTTCCTCAGCCTTTGGAATGGGTAAGAAAAAGTGGGAAGGATTGTGTCATGTGGTTTAAGTGCCAGCTCAGCTGCAATACAGTAGAACATCAGGTAGACTTCTCAGGATTTTGACTCTAGTCCCCGAGTCCTGGACAACACTTCTGGAACCACCCAGGGATTAAGGGACCTCACTGCCCTGAAGGGAATGACACAGGCCTGGCTAGCCTTGCCACCTGCTTATTGTAAAACCCCAGGTTCTTGAGCAAAGAGAGACAATAGCCAGGAAGTAGTTACAGCAGGCCTTGAGAGAGACCCAGTCCTGTGCTAGCTTCAGTTCTGACCCACACACTGATGTGGTGGTGGCCACAGGGGTGCTTGTTTCACTCCACCCCCAGCTTTAGGTAGCTCAGAAAAGAGAGGGGTGGGGGAGGGATGGAGGGAGGGAGAGAGAGAGAGAGAGAGAGAGAGACTGACTCTGTATGTTTGGGAGAAAGTAAGGGAAGAGAATATTCTGCCTGGTAATCCAGAGAATTCTCCTGGATCTTGTCCAAGACCATCAAGGTGGTACCTCTATGTCTGCAGGAACCAGAGTTACTGGGCTTGGGGTGCCCCCTAAATCAGGTACAGCTTAGATCACAACACTCAAGTCCTTTCACATATCTGGAAAGCCTTTCCAAGAAGTATGGCTACAAATAAGTCAAGACAGTGAAACCTACAATAAATACCTAACTCTTCAATGACCAGACATTGAAGAATATCTACTAGCAACAACACCATCCAGGAAAACATGACCTCACCAAAAGAACTAAATAACAAACCTAGAGAATTATATCAATATCCTAGTATGAGAAGGTTATAAACCACCAAGGAGATTTAAGCCAAAAAAGCCTACCTCCAGGCATTTAAGAATAAAACTCCCAAAGGTCAAGGATAAAGAAAGGATCCTAAAAGCAGCAAGAGAAAAAAAAAAAAAAAACAAATAACATCATAATGGAACTCCAATACAACTGGCAGCAGACTTTCAATGGAAACCTTATAGGGCAGGAGAGAGTGGCAAGGCATTTTTAAAGTGCTGAAGGAAAAAACTTTACCCTAAAATGGTAAATCTGGCAAAAATATCCTTCAAACATGAGGGGGAAATAAAGACTTTCCCAGACAAACAAAAGCTGAAGGACTTCAGTAAGACCTGCTCTACAAGAATGATAAAGGAGGTACTTCAATCAGAAAGAAAATGATTTAATGAACAATAAAGAATCACCCAATGGTACAAAACTCACTGGTAATAGTAAGTACACCGAAAAACAGAATATTATAACACTCTAACTGCAGTGTATAAACTACTCATCCTAAGTAGAAAGACTAAATGAAGAACCAATCAAAGGTAACAACTACAATAACTTTTCAAGACATAGTGCAATAAGATATAAATAGAAACAACAAAAAGTTAATAAGCAGGGGGACATAGTTAAAGCATAAGTTTTTATTAGTTTTCTTTCTGCTTGTTTGTTTATGCAAATAGTGTTAAGTTGTTATCAGGTTAAAATAATGGGTTATAAGATAATAGTATTTGCAAGCCTCATGGTGACCTCAAAACAAAAAACATACAATGGATCCACAAAAAATAAAAAGCAGGAAACTAAATTTTATTATCAGAGAAAATCACCTTCACTAGAAGAAGACAAGAAGGAAAGAAAGAAGAAAGAGAATATCATAAAACAATCAGAAAACAAATGACAAAATGGCAGGGCAGGAGTAAATCCTTACTTATCAATAATAATATTGAATGTAAATGGATTAATCTCCCCAATCAAAAGACATAGAGTGGCTGAATGAATGCAAAAAAAGACCCTTTGATCTGTTTCTTACAAGTAACACACTTCACCTATAAAGACACACATAGACTGAAAATAAAGGAATGGAAAAAGATAATTCCAGGCCAATGGAGTCAAAAAAAGAGCAGGAATCGATACACTTATATCAAACAAAATTGATTTCAAAACCAAAACTACAAGAAGAGACAATGAAAGTCACTATATAATGATAAAGGGGTCAATTCAACATGAGGATATAACAATTATAAATATATATGCACCCAACACTGAGGCACCCAGATATATAAAGGAAATATTATTAGAGCTAAAGAGAGAGATGGGCCCCAATGCAATAATAGCTACAGACTTTAACACCCCACTTTCAGCACTGGACGAATCTTCTAGACAGAAAATCAACAAAGAAACATAAGATCTAATCTGCACTATAGACCAGATGGATCTAATAGCTATTTACAGAACATTTCATCCAAAAGCTGCAGAATACACATTCTTTTCCCCAGCACATGGATCATTCTCAAGGATGGACCATATGTTAGGTCACAAACAAATCTTAAAACATTCAAAAAATTGAAATAATATCAAGCATCTTCTCTGACCACAAGGGAATAAAACGAGAAATTAATAACAAGAGGAATTTTGGAAACTATACTAACACATGGAACTTAAACAATATGCTCCTGAATGACCAGTGGGTCAATGAAGAAATTAAGAGAAAATTAAAAAAATTCCTTGAAACAAATGGTAATGGAAAAACAACATACCAAAACCTATGGGATACAGCAAAAGCAGTATTAAGAGGGAAGTTTGTAGCTGTAAGTGGCCACAATAAAAAAGAGGAAAAATTTCAAATGAACAATCTAACAATGTATCTTAAAGAGTTAGAAAAGCAAGAGCAAACCAAACCCAAAACTAGTAGAAGAAAAGAATAAACATCAGAGGAGAAATAAATGAAATTGAAATGAAAAAAATACAAAAGACCAATGAAATGAAAAGTTTGGTTTTTTAAAAAAGTTAAACAAAATTGACAAACCTTTAGCCAGACTAATTAAGAAAAAAAGAGGGAAGATCCAAATCAAATCAGAAATGAAAAAGAAGATATTGCAACTGATACTGCACAAATTCAAAGGATCATGATAATTTAAAGGATCATTATGGGCAACTATGGAAAATATAGAAGAAATAGACAAATTCATAGATACAACCCATCAAGATTGAACCAGGAAGAAATCCAAAATCTGAACAGACTAAAACAACTAGTGAGATTGAAGCTGTAATAAAAAGTCTCCCAGTAAAGAAAGGCCCAGGACCTGACGGCTTCACTGCTGAATTGTATCAAACATTTAAACAATAATGAATACCAATGTGACTCAAACTATTTCAAAAAACAGAGGAGGAAGGAATGCTTCCAAATGCATTCTATGAGGCCACTAGTACCCTGATACCAAAACCAGACAAAGACACATCAAAAAAAAAAGAGAGAAAACTAAAGGACAATATATCTGATATGTATTGATGCAAAAATCCTTAACAAAATACTAGCAAACTGAATTCAACAATACTTTAGAAAGATCATTTATTATGACCAATTGGGATTTATCCTTGGGATCTAAGGATGATTCAACAAATGCAAATCAATCAGTGTGATACATAATATCAACAGAATGAAGGATAAAAACCATATGACCATTTCAATTGATGCTAAGCATGCATTTGATAACATTCAACATCCCTTCATGATAAAAACCTTCAAAAAAAAAAACTGGAGATAGAAGGAACATACCTCAACATAAAAAAAGCCATATATGACAGACTCACAGCTAGTATCATACTGAATGGGGAAAAACTGAAAGCCTTTCCTCTAAGATCTGGAAGACAAGGATGCCCACTTTTGCCACTGTTATTCAACGTAATACTGGAAGTCCTAGCTAGAGCAATCAGACAAGAGAAAGATATAAAGGACATCCAAATTGGAAAGGAAGAAGTCAAATTATCCTTGTTTGCAGGTAATATAATCTTATATTTGGAAAAATCTAAAGACTTCACCAAAAAGCTATTAGATTTAATGCAATCCCTATCAAAATACCAATGACATCCTTCACAGAAATAGAAAAAGAATCCTAAAATTTACATGGAACCACAAAAGACCCAGAATGGCTAAAGCTATCCTAAGCCAAAAAACAAAAATGGAGGAATCACATTATCTGACTTCAAACTATACTATAGAGCTACAGTAACCAAAACAGCATGGTACTGGAATAAAAACAGACACATAATCAGTGGAACAGAATAGCGAACCCAGAGATAAATCCATACATCCAGAGGGAACTTATTTTTGACCAAGGTGCCAAAAATATATATTGGAGAAAGGACAATCTCTTTAATAAACAATGCTGGGAAAACTGGATGTTCATGTGCAAAAGAATGAAACTAGATTCCTATCTCTCACCATATATACAAATCAAATAAAAATCAATTAAAGACTTAAATCTAAGACCTCAAGCTACGAAAGTATTACAAGAAAACATCGGGGAAAATCTCCAAGATATTGGTCTGGGCAAAACTTTCTTGAGCAATATTGCACAAGCACAGGCAACCCAAACAAAAATGGGCAAATAGGATTACAACAAGTTAAAACGCTTCTGCACAGCAAAGGAAACAGTCAACAGTGAAGAGACAACCCACAGAATGGGAAAAAATATTTGCAAACCACCCATCTGACAAAGGGTTAATAACCAGAATATATAAGGAGCTCAAACAACTCTATAGGAAAAACATCTAATCTGATCAAAAAATGGGCAAAAGATTTGAATAGACATTTCTCCAAGGAAGACATGCAAATGGAAAACAGCTATATGAAAAGATGCTCAACATCATTGATCATTAGAGAAATGCAAATCAGACTGGGCGTGGTGGCTCACACCTGTAATCCCAGCACTTTGGGAGGCTGAGGCGGGTGGATCACAAGGTCAGGAAATTGAGGCCATCCTGGCTAACACGGTGAAACTCCGTCTCTACTAAAAATACAAAAAATTATCCAAGCATGGTGGCATGTGCCTGTAGTCCCAGCTACTCGGGAGGCTGAGGCAGGAGAATCGCTTAAACCTGGGAGGTGCAAGTTGCGGTGAGCCGAGATCGCGCCACTGCATTCCAGCCTGGGTGACAGAGTGAGGCTCCATCTCAAAAAAAAAAAAAAAAAAAAAAAGAGAAATGCAAATCAGAAGTACAATGAGATATCATCTCACCCCAGTTAAAATGGCTTATATCCAAAAGACAGGCAATAACAAATGCTGGCAAGGATGTGGAGAAAAAGGAACCCTTGTGTGCTATTGGTGGAAATGTGTATTAGTACAACCACTATGGAGAAGAGTTTGGAGGTTCCTCAAAAAATTGAAAATTGAGCTACCATATGATCCAGCAGTCCCACTGCTGGGTATATACCCAAAAGAAGGGAAATCAATATTTGGAAGATGCTGCACTCCTATGTGTGTTGCAGCATTGTTTACAATAGCTAAGATTTCGAAGTAACTTAAGTGTCCATCAACAGATGAGTGGATAAAGAAAATATGGTACATATACACAGTGGAGTACCACACTGCCATAAAAAAGAAGGATCTAGTCACTTGCAGCAACATGGGTGGAACTGGAGATCATTAAGTGAAATAAGCCAGGCACAGAAAGACAAACTTTACATTTTCTCACGCATTGTATCTAAAAAGCAAACCAACTGAACTCATAGACATAGAGTAAAAGGATGGTTACCAGAGAATGGCAAGGGTAGTGAGGGGCTGGCAGGAAGGTGGGGATGATTAACGGGTAAACAAAATAATGTTCAGAAAGAATGAATAAACCCTACCATTTGATAGTACAGTAGGGTGACTATAATCAATAATACTTTAATTGTACATTTTAAAATAACTTAAAGAATGTAATTGATTTGTTTGTAACTCCAAAGGATAAATGCTTGAGGGGATGGATACCCTCTTTTCCATGTGTGCTTATTTCACATTGCATGTCTGTATCAAAATATCTCATGTATGCTATAATATGTACATCTATTATGTAGCCACAAAAATTAAAAATAAAAAAATGGCCCCCAGGAGTAGTGCTGAAGTGCTGTCTGATGTTCCTAAGGGCAAGAAAACAGTGATGTGCCTCATGGAGAAAATATGTGTGCTAGATAGCTTCATTCAAGCCTGAGTTATAGTGCTGTTGTCATGAGTTCAATGTTAACAAATCAACAATGAATATTAGATAATGTATTTTTAAGCAGAAACACACACCAAATAAGGTTATGCACTGATTAGTTGATAAAAATGTGACCAGAGATTTGTTGGAACCTAACCTTGTATTTCCCCAAGGAACAATATTTTAGTATTTATTAATTCAGTGCTCATGGAGTCTTTATAAGAAACGATGATGAATAATGAGAATCAACTATACTTTGACTCTAATTCTCATTTAACAGATGAGCAATTGAGTCTCAAAAAAAGAAATAATTTTTTTATGTGTCACTTCTATGGTAGAGCTGAGTTCCTAACTAAATCTTCTGATTCTAAATATTACAATTTCCTCATCATATATGTTGCTGAATGTCTTTACATTCACCAAACATACCACTCGTAGTAAACCTTCCAATACTGGCAGAATAAACCATGTTAAAACCTCCTAGTCTGGGAAAGTCCTAGTCCAAATTTCACATTTATAAATCTAAATATGGATATGAGCTAAATGAAACTACACCCAATTTCCATATTATTGCATTTCATTTAATGAACTACACATGTGTGGGTGTGTGCCTGCCTGTCTGTGTATGTGGCTAGGTCTCCATTTGATTCTATGAAAAACAAAAAAAGGAAAGAAATAATATCTGAAGATATTTTTTGATAAGACCGCTCTGACATTTTAATTGTCAAGCCTTTTACTGCTCCCAAAGTTCAAAATGCAATTCTAAGATGACATTTTACCTACAAGCTTTGGTGTTCCTTTTGATATTTGACTAATTTTTAATATAGCTGTACAAATCCGTGATAGGAGAAGGCTTGTTATTCACCAGGACACTGGCAATTTCTGAAAGGCCAAATTCCATGGTGTTTGCAATGAAGTTCAAAGGCTGGAGTCTGAAATGCCAAGGAAAATAACTTTATCTGAGCACATGAAAGTAAACTTATGATTCAAATAAACTAGTTTTCTATGCTTCCTTTTAAAGTTGTTCAGTATGGTGTAAAATTTTTCTGCAAAAAGTTTTACATTTTTTTTAAAAAACTTACTGAGATAGATGATTCCTAGAATAAAGGACTTTTAGCAATATGATTATTGACACTGAAAAGAAAATGACAACCCGGAAACATATTGTAAAATAAGTTACCATCAGAGTTGCAGTGTTTACTGGGGCCATCTGAATGGCCTCAAGCTCCTTGGTGATTCTTATGTTGGGTTACTGGGCATGCACTAGAGAAGTTCATCACTTGGAAACAGTGGTTCATCACCGTGTTCCCACAATATGCTGAAGGTACTCTCAGTGTATCTTTTCTTTAAGTCTTTTTAATGTATGGCAACTTTTAAATGTATTTGAAAATAAAATCCTTGAATGTAAAGGATCTGTATTGAGAAGTAATAGAAAATTATGCATCGCTGGTTCATCTCTACTGAGTAGAGGTGTCTATAGTTAGGACTTGTAATGAAGAAAGAGGGCTTAAGTTAAATATAAACATTCTTGATATTAATTGTAGCTGGTTACTGTGGCAAGTTATATCTTTTAACTTTTGCAGTATACTGGGAATATAAAGTGTATTTGCAAAGGCATCATATTTGGAGATGCACCTGCATGTGTAGAGAGGTAAGGGACAGTAATGTGCCCAAAACTGTCCTCTTGGGCTATTTGATCCTGACCTGTTGCCCTGAGTAGAATCCAGTCAGCCCCATAAGCCCTCTGCACCACTAATCTGAGGCAATATACCTGTAGCCATAACTCATGGAACATTAAGAGTCTTGGGACCAGGCTGTGGAGTTTCACAGGATGATGGTCACCCATGACATGTGGGAAGGGAGGAACACTCTGGGAGCCAGCAATCTGGTTTCTCGTTTTGGTTCTGGGCAGCACAAATGAGTGCTTAAGAACACAAAATCTGGGCTCAGATTGTTTGAGACTGGAATTCTATCTCAGTTTACTAATTGTGTGACTATTTTACTTAATTTTTCACTCTTAATTACTGCTTTGTCAGAATTCCAGAGGATTCTGGGATTAATCTAACTGATGAATGAGCATCTACAGCACTGTTGTATATGGATGATACTTTAGCACAGTGCCCGGTACATGGGCAACACTCCATAATTATTAGATATTATTTTTTTCCAGCTAAAGTTGATGAGCTTGGAAATGCATATCTTGATAGTTGCATGAATTGGTGAAGATGATGAAATCTCCACTGACAAGCTTTATAAATGAGCTAGCCTTCCTATTATTCTTTGATAGTTTAAGGTCCTATTGGACCTAACACTGGCGTTGGGAGTGGGGGTTTATAAGACCCTTTGGGTTTTCTTGAAGTTCACTTAGTTGATGACTTCTACATCTGCCTGATACTCCCACTCCTCTCTTGTGAACCTTGCCATTCACTGGTTATTTTCCACGGAGGAAAAGTACTGGAATTTGAAGGAAGTATATAGCTCCTCAATTTAATTCTTTTTTCTTTCCAGAATCCAGTCAGCTCAGACATTTGTTAGCTGTTTATAGGCTTTCATAAATGGTTGTAGAACAGTTTGATTTACTTGGACAGAATCTACCTCGTGAAATAAATTGTGTTCCAAAAGTTCATGTATAAATTAGTTGTCTGGAACTTTTGCTAATTTCTCCATATAATGCTATAAATGCCATAGCAGTTTTTAGACAAACCCAATCAAATATACTTAATGCTAGCTATTAGTAGACTCAAAATGCCTATTATACTACCATGTGTTCTAGGTTGTGGAAATGGGGGACGTATGGTGCAGGAGGAAGTGAAGGAGATAGAAGATTTCTTCATCCTTTGCAGGGTACAAGATTAACTCCACTGGAACTTCCAAATGGATGTGCTTTCTGGAGCCGTCACTTCCCTACCACCTTTTGTGCACCCTTGCTTATTCCGCAGCTCTGTTATCCTTGGGGCTTTTGGACTACAACAATTATATAGTTTTCCTTTCCCTGAAACTGCAAGTTTAGCATTGAGTATCCTACCAGCAGCTGTTTCCCTCTAGATATTAGCAGGCAAACAATTTGATGGAATTTCTACACATGACCATATCAATGATTAGTAGTCCTTAATTTTTCCAGTGGTAGAATTGAAAAGGGGGTCAAATAAATGTTTAATTAGCAGAATTCTAGACAGTTTAAGGAAGTGAAATGATATATTTAAGGGAAACTGAGGAGGAAGTTAGTACCGTTTGGAAAGGAGAAGTACTTCGTAAGAAATAGCAGCCTGTTCTTCAGAGCAGGCATAGAGGTCTTGCTTCTAAAACAGGGCACCTATTCATCAACCTGGATAGAAGATGTGGTTTATCTTCCTGGAGTGTCAATTTTCTTTATGGCAATTTAAAATATTTAAATATTAAGACAATTACAGAAGTATAAGTTATAGAGTGTGTACTCGTTTAATAGACCACTGGAGTTCAATGACATTTCCTGCTTGCTGTGGGTCACTCCAGGTTATGCCAGCAGACTCCACTGGGGACCAGTCTGCAGCCTCTGCTCTTCTGGATCCTGCAGAGGCAGCATCTGAGAAACCCTAGGCAGAACTCCTTCTGCACTGCATGGTTTCTTTTTTGTATGACCCCAGAGTTTCTCTAAAAGTTTCAAGATTTCCAAAACGGGTGGCAAGGAGAGGGGTGGGAGGTGGATCACTCTTCACCTAGTGTTTGCAAGTTGGAGACTAATTGTACTTTAAAATCTTCAAAGTTTTAGCCTATTATAGTTGAAAATGTCTGAAACAAAAGTAAAAGGGTCTTCTTTACCCTCCAGCATTTTCAAAATTTTAGTCAAGTCATTTCAGGGCTTTTCTTGAAAGGAATGTCATTATAATAAGCAAATGATGTTATTGTTGGTAATACATTGGAAGTTTTTTTGGCAGATTTAAAAATGCACACACCTGTGCAAGAGAGAGGTATCTCATAAAGTTTTTTTCGTCTCATTTTTTTAACCCAAGACCTAAGATAAAATCAATAATCTTTTATAAATGTAAGAAAATTCCAAGGATAAATTTTTTTCTGGACAATAGTGTGGATTATTAAAGTATTGACCTTTGACTAAAGTTTATGGAATACAGGGCTGGATTGTAAATGTCTTAAGTATACCATGATCTTAAATCTAGGTAGGAAAAGAAGTGGAATTTGGTTCCTTTCTTCTCTTCTTCTAAAAACAAAAATGATTAAATCTCTTAATCTAGGCTTAGTGTAGAACCCAAACCACACGGTGTAATCAAGAACAGGAAATTTGTCCATGTGGACATTCTATGAAAATACAGCTTGTATTTTCAATATTAAAAACAGACCAGCTCTCAATAAGCCTATGGTAGACCTTTATTAAGACAGATATTTCCAGTTTGGCTAAAACCTATCCCTGTGGTACTGAGAAACTAAAACAAAGTGAGTGCACAAGTCATGGTTAATAAGAGATAGAAAAGGAGAGAATTAATTACCTGTTTTTGTAACATAAAAGAACTCAGTTGTTTCCCATTACTACCTTTGTTTAGCCATTTGTCTCTCATTGCTTCCTCTGTAGCAGGCTGTGCAGGTCAGGCTCCGGTAAGGAATGCGTGAAACTCAGTTTCTAAAGGGAAATCCAGGTTAAAAATTTCAGGAAAAAACCCTCAGGTTTTGTGCATTCTCTAGGGAAATCCAGACTAAAAATTTGAGGAAAGAAACACTGAGGTTTTGTCACTTTTTTAGAACATTGATCTTAGATTCCCTCAAGGGCATTTTTTTTCCTGTTGAAACAAAACTTTGCCCATTATACAATTTCTATCTTTGGCACTTTGTTGACCACTTATATTTAAACAAACTTAAGCATGTCTTGTGAAAGGGTGAGTGTCTATTTTAGACACTTAAATTTTGAAAGACTTTGTTCTGGAAAGATCATATATGAATGAGTGAGGAGATGAAGGGAGGGAGAAAGACAGAATAGTTTTGGCTGATATTATAAAGCTCTCACACAAGAGCAATCATAAAAGAGCTCCACAGATTACTTATTCCACTGTTCATGTGCCTCTCAATTTTCCATTTCATTTGCTCATTCTTCTTTGAGAGAGAATTTGAGCTAGTGAATTCTTAGGTAATTTTTGTCACCTGTCTTGTACATTCTTTTTTCGTCAGAAAGTTCAACATGAAGACCTTTAAGTAAAAATGGCAGCCTTTCAGAGATAGTATGGATAGTGGTGATCAGGATTGCCTCATTCTCAGTTTGCATTGTCTGAATAAATCCTAATGAAAAACAACAGCAACAGCAATATCAGCAATGCTTCCTGACTGTAACACAGTTATCTTCAGTTTGTACACCAATAAGACTGGTATTTGAAGCCACTGGTTATCTCAATAGCACTCGTGTTCTTATAAAACCCTTGGTGCTGTTACCTCAAAATATCTCAAATGAATATTGTGGGTTGCTATTGCTGCCATATTGGGATACAGATTTTCCTGGATAAGATTCATATTGGGTTCTTAAAAAAAAAATGGAGAAGTCCCCAAAGTAACCCAAGATGCTGTGTGCTCTTGGAAGCTGGCCATTTTGTTGTTCTTGAGCTTCGCTACCAAACTTAGAGACCACAGTAAATTACCAAAGGAGATTTCAGGTAGGACATTGCTGATTGCACCAATCACCATCTTCTGATAGAGTTGCTCAATACTGAATATCTCCAATGTGAACGGTAAGGTGCCAGTCAGCATCAGAAACTTACCCCTCTATCAAGGGGAAGAAGAGGAACCATCTGAAAAGAAATTTTGCTCTTGGACAGAGAGGCTATCAACAGCAGCGTAAGACATGTGATTCTTTTCAAGTTAGTGTCCTACTCTGCCTCAGCAAAAAGAAGAACCAAGGTCAAATTTCTTGAAAAGAACGATGGAGTTTTAGTTCCTTCAGTGAAAGACTCTGTGGGACTTGTATCTCTGACTACGCATGTCCCTTTGTAGAACTATGTCTTGCAGCATAAAGATGTTTAAAATGTCTCAGAGGAAAATCTGAATGTTGATCACAAATTCCTAACAGGGGTGGTTCTATATCCTGTACATTTATGTTATCTTAATGTAATTTTGTGTTTTCCATTCAGAGCTAGACAAGCTGCAATCCAAAAATACATCCTAAAAAAACAGTTCTCCAGGGTTACAAATTAATTTTCATTGTGTCTCATAGATGGCCAGTCTTGAAGCCATAAAAGAACCAATTTAGTACATTTTTTCCAAACCCAGCCTCACCCCCCTACATGTTCAGCTAAGAGCAGAACTAAGGGTGTATTGCCCATGTTCTAGAAAATTACCTTCACCCAGTACAAGGGTGAGCCAGCTGCTTATATCTGCCTTAATGCATTGGTAATTCTTGGACACCCTGCTGACCCATTTGCTTACAGATAACATTGACCACTCCAATAAACACACTGCCAACTCTTTTTATTTTTTGCCTTCTTTTTTTTTTCCACTTTATGCTATTTGCAAAATGCATTTGGAACTGACCTTCAGATGTGAACTGACAGTAAAGTAGGATTTACATGGTGTGTGTGCTTAGGTTGGGTCTCTTTCTCTGCTTCCATATCCTGCCTGAAGTGTGAGTCACAGTCTCCGATTCCATACAAAGCGTCCTTTTCCTGAGATTTGAATTGGACTCTCAGGTTCATTTTCTCTGTTAAATTTATGTTCTGCTTGTTTCCTTGCTTCCACCCAAAGCCTGGAGTTATATGACTACTCAAGAAATGCCTTTCCAGGAGAGATGCTGGTTTTAAGCTGCGTGTGTGTGTCAAAGGAGTAGTGCCTTTCTCAGTTACTTTACTCACCTGATGGTCGAAACCAGATTTTTTGTTTTTAAACTTTGAGGAAGGCGGTGGGGGTAGGGTGGGGGAGTGGGGTGAAGAGGATATATAGTGTTTTACTTCTTTGCAAACATAAAAACTTCAGAAATTCTGTGCCAAGTTGCTGACTTTGGAATCTATTGGAGGCGATGATAAGAGCAGAGGCGATTGCAATGGGAGCAGATGAAGGAAACTATCTTGCCCACAATGTCTCCTAGCCCTTCTGTTAGATATTCCATTTTATCTTCTGCTTCTACTCTCCATATTTCTGCAGACTGTTTTCTACCCCAGGGCCACCTGCACGGACTGCAGTGATGGGCTTTGCTGCCTTCTGGCTACCTTTGGGCTCAGCCAATGGGGATCCCTGGCAGGAGATTGGAAGGAATGCAGACAGTGAGGTCAAGGTTTCTGTTCCTTGGCCTTTTCAAGATGTCTTGGACTGGTTGTTCACCTTGACTAAGGTTATATTTCCTTTCAAGAAAGCCAATGCTAAGTAACTTGACTTCTAGGTTCTAGTAACTTCTTCCCTCCTTTGTCCCTTTGGGCCTAGGAGAGGGGCAGATCTGCTGCTGTTAGCTCCAGGCCTCTGCATTATTCCTGTGATTCCCTTTTGTCCACTCATGACTTTGTAATCAGTCCCTTTGTAAATGATCTCTCCTTGAATTATCTTAATTTGAACATATTTGCTGCTGTCTGTTAGGATCCTGGCTAATATAATCAGAGTTTGAACTTATTAGTTAAGTTACTTATTGGTTAAGAAGCTCCTCATTTACAAATCAAATACATCCTGGAAAGGTTAAGCCTGTATTTATACTAAACTATGAATGACAAATCAGGTTTTTAGGAATCTGGTCTCCCCTCCCCTCCCCTTCCCTTCCCTTCTCTTTTCCTTTCTGTCCCTCTCCTCTCCTCTCCTCTCCTCTCCTCTCCTCTCCTCTCCTCTCCTCTCCTCTCCCCTCCCCTCCCCTCCCCTCCCCTCCCCTCCTCTCCTCTCCTCTTTTCCCCTCCCCTCCCCTCCCTTCCCCACCTTTCTTTTCTCGTTTCTTTTCTTTCTTTTTTCTTTTCTTTTTTTCTTGTGACAGGGTCTCACTCTGTGGCTCAGGTGGGAATGCAGTAGTGCAATCTCGGCTCGCTACAACCTTTGCCTCCTGGGCTCGAGCGATTCTCTTGCCTCAGCCTCCCGAGATGCCAAGATGACACGCATGTGCCACAATGCTTGGCTAATTTTTTGTAGAGACAGGGGTTTTGCCATGTTGCCCAGGCTGGTCTTGAATTCCTAGGCTCAAGCGATCTGCTTGCCTCTGCCTCCCAAAGTACTGGGATTACAGGCGTGAGCCATTGTGCCCAGCCTAGAATCTGATATTTTCAAGTTGGAGATTTGAAGGGAGGAAAAGGAAAGAGATTTTTGAAGAGTGGAGGGAATAGGAGAGGTGGGTAGGTATAAAAGATAAATGTAGGCTACGTCACAATGTTTTAGCTCTGTTTATCCCTGACAATTATCTATAGCAGAATGAAGGGGGATGGACAGGGCCTGTTGTTTCTCCACTAGAGGTGTTTCTCAATAAACATTGCTGTCCCCTTGGAACACTGTCAGAAGGTACGTGCCCTGCCTCTTAGAAAGTGGATGAAGCAGGTTGTCAAGGGCACACAGGAAACAGCTAAGATTGGGTTTGAACTCAGAGTCTGATTTCAGCCTCCAAGCTTTTAACCACTAAATGTATGTCTTTGACTGTGAGTGGCCTTTATGTGTCCAGGCCACAAAATAAATGGAGAAGCCATTCCTTTGATAGGAATCTTGGGATTTCAAGCATTTAAACCTGGCTGGGCCAGAGAGTTTAGAAATGTACGAAAACTACAGAGACTAACGAGAAAGCAGAATAAAATTCATGTGGAATTTGTGACCAACATTCAAATGTTCTTTAGAGATATTTTTATTATCTCATAGTTGTGAGACTTCTTGTAAAGGGACCCAGGGAAGGAGCCAGAAGCCAAGGGGAATGATCAGGCCAGAGAAGACCCGTAAGGAAGTAATAATGACTTTCACACTCACCATCAACCAGGATTTCCACTCACTATCAACCAAATTTGTCACTGAATCAGACACCTAGAGTAGAAAAACTCTTTATCCTACTAGTAATCCTCTAAGCTACTTAAATACTGGATTTAAATATTTTTCAGCTGTTTTTCCAGCCAGGTTGTGCCAAAAAGCTGTTTTTAGGTGGAGGTAGTGGGTGTTACTATTTGAGCGAAGCAGTGTTTTGGAGCAGATTGCCTGCATAAGCCTGAGGTCATGTTTTTTGGTTGGTGTTGGGGTTTAAGCAATCAGGCAGGGAGATCCTGCATGGTGGGGGATGTCTGGGAAATCTGTGCTGGGAAAACAAAGTGTTCATTTCAGTGGTTTAGGTGCTGCCTTGGCCATCCATGCTGTTATCTGCTGGATAACACAAATCATGTCGTGGTGAGTGGAACACAGGTCTCTTGTGCTTCCCACGCACTTACCAGAATATGAATGTTACAAAGAACAAATACTAGAGACAAAAAAGCAGCTGGGTTAGACTTATACAGGCAGTGGTTCAAAAGGTGATATACAAACTGTGTTTAGTCCAACAATTGTGAATTTGATATTTAATTTTAACTGAAACCCGGCAATACGTGAACTTGAAAATTTATTAGCTGTAACAGAATGCAACTCTTAACACTCCACTGAAATCTCTGACATGCTTTAAAGGCAACAGCTGGTTTGTTAATTTAGTGAACTTATGTCAAGTGTAATCATGTCTCAGCCCTCCGAAGAATCTTGGGACTAGATGCTCAAAAATAAAAACCAAGTATAGTGACTGTTGGTGTATCCTTAAAAGATTTTGTGTTGAATGTGTTGAATGGAAGTTAGAGCTAATGCACAGTTTGGTTTCTACAAAACAAACAAAGCAACAAACCCAAACCTCACTATATTTTGATTGTGTTTATCCTCAGAAGTTAGAGAGAAAAGGTACTTAATCAAAGACGAAAGAATGAGGAGGGCTGCTAACTTAGCCTTTTTTTAAATGTGAGAATTTAGGGTTAAAAATGTATCCTTTAACAAACTCTTCTAGTGTAAGGCTAAAATGTAGCGGAATCTAAATATGGCTGAAGAAGAGGTGGGAGGAAAAAGTCTTTAGGCCACATCTATTAGCTTTTCCTTTTTTTCTCCTTTCCTTACTAATTTACATTAAAATAATATTTCATCCCATTATCTTTCTTCATATAATAAAATATCAATTTAGACTTTTCTAGATTAGACATTGTGGTATTTTGGACACAGTAATTCTGACATGTTATTTGCAGTATTTATGAAGGAAAAGGTTTGTTACAAGAATAAAGAGTGCAAATATGATTTCCAAGGGGAGTCTTAAAATTCATTAAGATAAAATCCTTTTGCAGATTTTTCTTCATTAACTCTATGCTTCTATGGACAATTGAATCTTACTGGACAATAAAATGATAAAATGCTTGTAGAACATTGGCACATTAATTATCACATGCTCTTCTTTCTTAAAGTGATCCCATTTGACTTCTTGGACACCATTTGTTAGCATTAGTATATTTTAGCACAAGTTTGGCACATGTTAAACCTGAGCTCTGTCATTACAGTGTTCTGCTTAAATACCTAATGGCAGATGGAGAATGAATGGTTCGTTAATATTCATAGATAATTTGAAAGTTCATCCAGTAAACAATCAGTAAGCCCTGTTAAGCCCCCAACAGTGTGCTGGGTGCTAGCTCTGCAGAGATGATGACAGAGTGATGTCTAATCAGGGAGACCCATAGCCAAAGGATAATGATGTGACAGGGTGGTTCCACCACAGAGAAAAACAAAACACACTGGAGTTATTGAGCACACCACCCAACCAGCTTGGTGTTGGGGCTCAGAAGTGTCTGAGATGGTTTCATGGAGGTGATATCAGGCTGGGTCTTGAAGAATTGATCAGGGGAAGCCCAAAATGTGTTCCTTTCAAATGCTTGTGTTGCTTTGAATTTGAAAGTGAAATAAAATGTTGACCACCAGGTCACAGAATCTTCACATCTTTACAGATCCCCCACATTTTCAGCACTATAACTGTGCAGCAGTTTTGCTAAGATGTAGTTGATGTGTATGTGTAATTTCTTAAACTTAGAGTGAGGAAAAATGCTTTCCGTAACACTCTCTCCCCCTCACTGCCAGGTTTCACGCAGCTCTAAAGCCGAAGGGATTATCACGAAGAGTTCCTAACCTAACACAGGAGGTTGGTGATTTACTTACATGAACCAGACATCCACTTTGGGGCCATATTTCTGATGAGCAAGCAGTTCAGGGGCCGCATAGGCAGGACTTCCACCCTGAGTACTTAACTGCTCCTGAGAAAGACCCTCCAACTTCTCAGTATTACTCAATCAAAAGCCTGAAAGATTTACAAATGGACAGACCAAGAATCTCGCCTCTGGCCGAGAAATTGAATACTTCTGAGCAGCACTTGGATAAAGAGGGTCTATGAATAACTTGATAAAATAATTCAGTAGAAAATATTTTATAGCAGCAATTCTCATGAGAATAAGGATGCAAGAAAACAGGGTGAGGCACTGTTCTTATTTAAAATCATTTAGTTTATTGCTTCAAATTCTTGGGCTTTTATTTTTATTTATTTTTATTTTTTGCCAGCTCTCTAGAAATGTTTTCTTTAGGTTATGTGTGGTATAACATAACTTGCCATTTGCATTCCACTATGTTGCAAAGTTTACCTGTCTGTAGATCTTGATGAGTGCACTTAATGTCTGGCCTGTTAGTCCAGACTTTGCTCTTGGGTTACCACTCACCACTCTCTATTACCTCGGGAACTTGGGTTTACTCTACTCATTTTTGCTTTTTGCCTGACTCTTTTAGGGTTGGAATCACAGTTACACTGCTGCATGACTCAATTTCCTCATCTGCAAAATGGGGAAATATTAGTATCTACCTCATAGGTTTTTATATGGATTAAAATGCTAATAGAGGTTAAAGGTTTGGAACACATCATAAGTGCTCCATTAGATATCAGTTATTATTATTGTTCTTGTTATTTTTCTTGCACAATTTGTCTATTTATACAAAGTCAGTAAGTAGAACAGCCTTTGCTGATCGTTACATGTAAGGGGAGAGGACAGCCCCTGCTTTATGCAATCATGGTTCAGTAGGAAAAAGCTGTCTGCCGGTCCACCTGGATAGCCAAGGGTCCAGGGAAGGAAGCGGAAGTGAGAGGCCCTTTGGTCCTCAACTGAGGGCCTGCAAAGCTTCCCGAGTGACAATGGTAACCAGAAAAAACAGAGCGTCAGTATCTGGGGTCTTGGATCTTGGACTATATAAAATTACCCCTAGTGAGCATGACTGGCCTGGAAGGACTCAAAGCTGGGTCCATGTCCTGAAAGCTGTAAATTCTCAAGGATTCACACAGCAAGACTGACAGGCAGTCTCCAGGCTCCTCTGAAAGCCTCACTGCAGACCTCTAAGCTTCAAGGATGCAGGTTATTTTCAGAATTTTATTACTTCAGTGAGAATTGCTCAGACTTCACTTAGCAATTCTTGAAAAGCAACAGAAATGTTTAGGTATAAGAACTTCTTAAGATTATTTTTGCCAAGATTATTTGGAATAGAATAACATTTTGAAAAAAACGATGGAATGATTTTACAGACAACAGAATATGTATTTATGTCATATATAACTACACTTATAAAATGCCAAATTTAGATTTTTACTTAATCATACAATATTTTAAATGAAACATCACTTTAAGTAATTTGTTTCTTGATAGCTTAACATGATAATAGACTATGTGTGCATCGTACATTTTTATCTATGCTTCAACTGGGTGAAGGTATGTTTCCACCACTTTTTGAAATAGTATCACTCCACCTGGATAAAATAATATGACTCTTAATGCTGCCTTCTGAGATGCTTTAGGCCTGTGTTTCAAAGAATTTAAAATTTCATTAATTAAATAATTAACTAATCAATTATTTCATTAATCTGCTGAATTAATGAAATAGACAAAGACATTTATACTTATGAACAATTTTGATATTGTGTACATCCACAAGAAAATTTTCAATCTTCAAGCCCCTAAAGACATCAAGAAAAGTAAACCTTATATACCAATATTAGTGTTTTGTGTTTTAGAACAGGAGTCCCTATCCCCTATTAGGAACCGGGCCGTATAGCAGGAGGTGAGCAGTGAGTGACCAAAGCTGAGCTCTGTCTCCTGTCAGATCGGTGGTGGCATTAGATTCTCAAAGGAGCACAAACCCTATTGTGAACTATGCATGTGAGGGATCTAGGTTGTGTGCTTCTTATGGTAATCTAATGATAAATGTAACATGCTTGAATCATCCTGAAACCACCCGCCCCCTCACTTCTGGTCCATGCCTTCCATAAAACTGGTCCCTGGTGCCAAACAGGTTGGGGACTGCTATTTTAGAATATTGCACTTTATGCTAAAGTGGATCCTTTCTTGGCTTCAGCCTTAAAATTGATAATGGATTAAATTCCTCAAGTTTCCAGAAAAAAAAAGCACCAGCAGAGGAGACAATATTCTTTCAGCTTTCTGTTCATAGTTTTGACTTGACAAGGGCAGACCACTCATTTGGGAATCATCTTGTATTAAAATATGAGACCACAGAGGCTGGGAAGAGTAGTGGGGACTGAGTGGGGAGGTGTGGTTTAGAGAGAAGGTGGGAATGATTAATGGATTCAAAAAATATATAGAGTTAATAAGACCTACTATTTGATAGTACAACAGGGTGACTATAGCCAATAATTTAATTGTACATTTAAAAATAATGAAAAGAGTATAACTGGATTGTTTGTAGCACAAAGGATAAACGGGAAAGGATACCCCATTTTCCATGATGTGATTATTTCACATTGCATGCTTATATCAAAACATCTTATGTACCCCATCAATATATATACCTACTATGTACCTACAGAAGTAAAAAATAAAACATTTAAAACTAAAACTAAATAAAATAAAATATTAAAATATATTTATTTATAAAATAAAATTTTAAAATATATTTATTTATAAAATAAAATTTTAAAATATATTTATTTATAAAATAAAATTATTCATATAAAGTTCCTTACCATTCATTTCTTAGTAGGAGAAATAAATGATAAGGAGTCTTTATATGAATCATTAGGAAATTAATCAAACAAATGGAGTTTCTCTTTTTCTAATCAAGCCATAGTTGGAACGAACGCACTTAAAATCACTAAATAACTCCTAGGCAACCGGGCAGAATCTTGTATAAAGATAGCATCATTTTCAGGATTGTCTGTCAGGAACATGGGACTCAGGATAAATCATGCCGAGCACTTTTCTCCTGTCCAGCATTTTAGGCAGATAAAACTTGGCTTAACTGAACCAATACCCTAAATATCTGAGAAGGACCTCCTCAGGAGACTGTGTGGAAGAAGATTGGAGTATTATCATCAAATATTATGTGAATATAAGCCATTATATTTTTTGTTGTCTTTTAAAGAATGAACTAATTGAAAAAAAATAAAATGATAGTCTTCTAGGTTTTTCTCTCAGTCATCCACTTGTGTGAGTCTCACAGTGGGAGTGGGGCAGAGTCCCGTAAGCATGGTCCCTGAGAAGGACCCCTAATTTGTGAGGCCTCAGAGGCGTTAATGATGGCATCCAAATATCTGTGGGAATGGAGATTACCAACACTTCACTGGAGACTCAAGAGCATTAAATAACATAATATATTTGCATATGCATCACTACATAACAAAGATAATGTATGCAGTAAGTGATCTCTGTATATTTTAACCATAAGCAGAAGAAGCAGTTAGGGTGGGCTTAAAACAGAGAATTAAAGCATAAACACTAGAAACAAGATTATGTTTTCAGATGGAGTTTAGTCCTTGCCTCCACCGAGCATTTTATGGAAGTTGTTTGTTCTGTCTGTCTCTTCTGTCCTTTGGCGTGTAGGCTTTTCCAAGGAGGAGAAGGCATGGTTATACAGAAGGTAGGCAGAGAGTGGGGCCTTCTGAACTGTGTGAAGCAATGCATGGGAGGCCCCCTGAGTGGAGTTTTCTGCCTTCTTATTCTTGGACCTCACTGTGAAAAGCAGCAGGGACTTTCACCTTCTCTAGCCATGGATGTGTTACATACACACCCATGTGTAGTGATTATAAGCTTGACATCATTAAGCAATTGAATATGTGAACAAGTCATTTGTTTAAACAATAATCAGAAGTTTGTCAGAAACCATTTCCCTTACAAGACTCGTTTGGGTATGTATCTTTAGTGTGTCTCTGATATTAAATTCACTATTCTCCTTTTCTGGAGTTTCTCCCATTCAAGGAAACATATAAGTATTTTTGTGTGCTATGGAAAGGGGTCACATATGATAAGAATGCAAGGATGACTAGGGAAGAAAAACTCTAGCACTAAGTTACAGAATGACTTGAAATCCTTTTCTGGCCTCTGGAGTTCTACTGAAGTGAAAAGGGAGACACAAAACAACGCTGTGGAATGAGTTATGTATAGTTTAGTGTATGAGGGATCTTGGGAATTAGTATCTATGCTCTTTCCCAAATCATAACACATTTTATAAGGCATTTAAACAATCTGGATGGATGGGAAGAACAGACCACATTGTAAACCAGCTAATACCGTAAGCTGGCCTCAATTAGAGTTTCCTCCAAATCATTATGCCCACAAAAATTTGCAGAAATCCCTCCCACAAATATCAGTGCCACATTTTATGACTTTTATATATTTTGTTTATAAGAAAATTAAAGTTTTCCTCTAAACTACAATCATAGTTTTCACAAAATGTAAGTTTCTACCTAAACACTGTAAGGAGAGGAAGAATTGGTTACTCTTGGGTCAGCTCTGTGAGCCCTGTGAGCTGGTGCCTGCTTTCCCCTGGATGGCATACTCAGTGAGAAACTTCTCAAGAACACCGATCTTCCCTTAGTTTGCATTTAGCTATAGAGCCTATGCTGGGCTTACTGTCAGTGATTGACATGTCAAGGGTTTCATAAACTTGGGGGCTTTGGTGGCTTTTCCTGCCTGAGAAGAAAAAAAATGCATAATCCTTGTGTACCATTCCATGCCAGTGCACATGCTCCATTGCGGACAACATCTGCCTGAAGATCATCTTCACTTCCCTTTCACTTAGTTTCTTTTGATCCCAGATCCTGTTCATGAGGTTGCCACTGAGGCATAGCTCCATCATCACATAATAAGAGTTCTTAGTCTCCAGGGTTTGTAGCTGGGAAGCATTAGGGTATTTGACAATTTACTGGATCCAAGATTCACACTTTATATTCTTTAGAACATAGGAGTCTTGCTTGGCTTTCTTCTTGCTAATGCCTTTGATGGCTACCTAAATAATTGAGGATGTAAATGATGCTCAGTGAAGGTTACTAATAAAAACAGCCAAAGTTGGCTTTTTTTCTTTAAGCACAAAACCAGGAGAATAAGTAGTAACAGAAATTTTATAATGTAATTTTGTAAAATTAGGATGTGAATAAAGTATCATGCCTTAATAAATATCTAAAGCTAACATTTTAATAATTAAGAATTGATACTAACTATACTAAAATGTAATTATATTTCAGCAATCTATTTGGTCTTTTTGTCAACTTTTCTGACATAGCTCTCAGCAAAGCTGATATGATTGTCTTTTTAATTATAAAGAACGTATTTATTAATAAAAATAACATATTACGTCTTGGAACATATTTCAACCACAGCCAAAAAAAGTAGTTGGATCAGAAATAAAAATAATAGGAAAGAAGTTATATATGCCAATAAAATTAGCTTTAATGGATTCTAGGAAAACTCATTAGAATTTTCTATTAATTTTTCTTTTGATAGTTGTTAGTTTAAAGCAAGACTTTTTCCCTTTGTTTTCAGCAAAAACAGATAAAGAAGCATTTTATTTGGATAAGAAAATAAAACAAGTCACAATGTGATTTTTAAAATCTTATTTCTTTGAATTTATTTTTATCTGTTGTGAAAATAATATATGTAAACACACTTAGCTGGAACACACATGTTTCTGAACTAACAAACAGATAATCAAAACTTCAAGATTTTTATTGATTTAAAATGATTTGAGCCTTCTCAGAAAATCTAGGTTGTAGACCAAGCTATGAAATAGAAAAATTATCATTTTCTACTTAATATCATATCAGATAATGGATAGGCATGAGAGTTGGATCTATTTGTCAATGTGTACTTGCCTTTTCACCCATGGGGAGACCCAGCCCTTCTATGACTTTGGCAAAAGGACCCTTGTTGATCATTTTGCCAACCAAATAAGCCCCAACTTTCTTAGTGTAAGGGAAAGTCATTTGCAGATCATGGGAGAGCTTCCTGAAATACAGAGGCACCTGTAAATCCCTTCCCTGACTCTCCAGGCCTAGTTGTTCCCTGCCTAGGTGACTAGAGCTAGCTACGAAAACGTCCGCCATTGTGCTTACTGCTGTGAACATCTTCACTGACACCCTACTCTATAAAGCAGATCAGTCCTCCAGGGTAACCTGTGATGACTAACAGTTGCTGCAATTGATTCTGCACAAGTGTTCCTGAAGGCCCTGGGTAATGCAAATACCAACTCTTCACTCTCTTCTCCCGCCCTTTGTTCCTGATCTGTGTGCTCAGGCATGCAGGTTGATCAAGCAGAATCGATGTGTAGATTGTTAAGCTAACATGATACATATCAATGAATGGCTTCCAATTGCCTTAACACCCAATCCCAGGCATTGTACAGAATAAACTTTTTTCTTCATAGAGCAAAGGGTCAGACCAAGTGTAAAGCATCTCATCAGAGAATAATCAGCTAAATTAAAATACAGACTACTTGACTTGCTTTTCCTCCTTAATTCTTAGACTTTATTTTTTGGACATAAAAACTGAGTAGATAGTACAGAGTTCCCATATGCTATCTTCCCCTGCACACCAACAATATTTTGCACTCTTGTGGTACCTGTATTCCAACTAATGAATGATTAATATTGGCATATTACTGTATTAGTCCATTCTCATACTGATGTGAAGAACTACCTGAATCTGGGTAATTTAAAAAGAAAAGAGATTTAATTGACTCACAGGTCTGCAGGCTGTTTAGGAGGCATGGCTGGGGATGCCTCAGGAAACTTACAATCACGGAGGAAGGTGAAGGGGAAGCAAACACGTCTTCACATGGCTGGCAGGAGAGAGAGAGAGCAAAGGGTGAGATGCTACACACTTTCAAACAACCACATCTTTTTATTTTATTTTATTTTATTTTATTTTTTATTATTATTATACTTTAAGTTTTAGGGTACATGTGCACAATGTGCAGGTTAGTTACATATGTATACATGTGCCATGCTGGTGTGCTGCACCCATTAACTCATCATTTAGCATTAGGTATATCTCCTAATGCTATCCCTCCCCCCTCCCCCCACCCCACAACAGGCCCCAGAGTGTGATGTTCCCCTTCCTGTGTCCATGTGTTCTCATTGTTCAATTCCCATCTATGAGTGAGAACATGTGGTGTTTGGTTTTTTGTCCTTGCGATAGTTTACTGAGAATGATGATTTCCAATTTCATCCATGTCTCTACAAAGGACATGAACTCATCATTTTTTATGGCTGCATAGTATTCCATGGTGTATATGTGCCACATTTTCTTAATCCAGTCTATCATTGTTGGACATTTGGCTTGGTTCCAAGTCTTTGCTATTGTAAATAGTGCCGCAATAAACATACGTGTGCATGTGTCTTTATAGCAGCATGATTTATAGTCCTTTGGGTATATACCCAGTAATGGGATGGCTGGATCAAATGGTATTTCTAGTTCTAGATCCCTGAGGAATCGCCACACTGACTTCCACAATGGTTGAACTAGTTTACAGTCCCACCAACAGTGTAAAAGTGTTCCTATTTCTCCACATCCTCTCCAGCACCTATTGTTTCCTGACTTTTTAATGATTGCCATTCTAACTGGTGTGAGATGGTATCTCATTGTTCAAACAACCACATCTTATGAGAAGTCTATCACAAGAACAAAAATGGGGAAGTCTGTCCCCATAATTCAGTGACCTCCCACCAGACCCCTCCTCTGACACTAGGGATTACAATTTGACGTGAGATTTGGTTAGGGACACAGAGCCAAACCATATCAATTACTATTACCTAAAGTCCATAGTTTACATGAAATTATAATCTTTGTTTTGCATTGTTTTATGAATTTTCTCAAACATGTAATCTCATGAACCCATCATTAAAGTATCATACAGAATGCTTTCACTGCCCTACATATCCCCTGTGCTCACTATTCATCTCCACTCCTTCCAAACTCTTGGCAACAGCTGACCTTTTTTATTGTCTCTATAGTTTTGCCTTTTCTAGAATGCTATATAGTTGAAATCAGACAGTATGTAGCCTTTTCAGACTGACCTCTTTTACTTAGCAATTTGCATTTAAGGTTCCTCTATGCCTTTGTATGGCTTGATAGCTCATTTCTTTTTATCATTGAGTAGTATTCCACTGTAAGAACATACCACAGTTTATCTATTGGCCTATTGGAGGACATCTGTGTTGCTTCCAAATTTTGGCAATTATGAATAGAGCTGCTAAAACATTCATATGCAGTTTTTTTTGTGTGTGTGGACATAACTTCTTCAACTTATTTGGGTAAATACCAATGAGCATAATGGCTAGATCCTATGGTGAGACTACATTTAGTTTTGTGTGGACATAAGTTTTCAGCTCAATCAAGTAAATACCTAGAGGAACTATTGCCAAATCTTACGGTAAGAGCATGCTTAGCTTTGTAAGAAACTTTTGAACTGTCTTCCAAAGTGGCTGCACCATTTTGCATGTCCACCAGCAATAAATGAATGAGAGTTTCTACTGTTCTGCACCCTCACCAGCATTTGGTATTGCTAGTATTGTTTTTGTATTTTAGCCATTCTAATAGTGATATAGTGATAGCCCGTTGTTATTTTAATTTGCAATTCCTTAATAACATGTAATGTTGAGCATCTTTCATATGCTTATGTACAATCCATAAAGAGTTTGGGTTTTCTTTGGGGAGGTTTTCAGATCTTCTGTCCTTATGAATTGGGTTGTTTATTATCTTTTTGTTGAGTTTTATGAGTTCATTGCATATTTTGAATACAAATCTTTTATCACATAATATATTTTGCTAATATATTCTCCAAGAACTGCTTCGGTGGAGTTGGAAACAGTAATCTTTCTCCCTAAAAGACGTTATGCTAGATACAAGGGACAGTGAAATGCGATTAGTATACACTTGCAGTAAGAGCCTTAGAAGAGTTGAGGTTACATTAATATTTGTGGTTATAAAAAGTACCTAACTGAATTTTAGTGTAATAAAGCAATTATTTTTTGGAGTCTTTTCTGGAAATATCTATTTTGTATGGTGAGGCTGACTTGAGCTCCAGCTACAAATTGGTTAGGTTTTGGATATTAAAAATCCTTAATGTTCAAAGTATAAAGCTGCTGCATACTTCAATTCCAAAGGAAAATTTGAAGGTCTGTTACTATTTGAAGGTCAAAACTGTTTCTCCTAATGACATTCTAAATAAAGAATCATCTAGTGCAAATTCTTGTAACCACTTTAAAGTGTTTCCTGCCACATATCTAGAAGCATGCCATATAGGAGGTGATTTCCACCTTGTTTAGGAAGATGTGAGCACCATTGTGGCCAGGGGTCTAGTTGGCTCAGATATTATAGGCTCTAGGCATGCAAACTTTCGTGACGCATGTTCAGTTCTGCTATCGATGAATGTATTTCTTACTCAAGGATAACTTTTCCTATGTATAAAGAATATTGTTGCTGAACACTGGATAACACTTAATTTTTTTCTGTCACTTAGAGAAGCTTATATTTTCTTGACTGAAGAAAACAAACGATTTTTTTCTTTTTATTTTAGGTGGGATAGTCAGCATTTCCCATTTTTCTTAATTAACTTGTCATAAATATGCTTAGGAAAGAATTAATTGTGATGAAATTTGGCTAATAGTTATCAAGATAAAATATGATGTTTGCTTTGCAAAGTGGTGAAAATATGTGACATCTTATAACATTGATTATTTTCAAAAAACATGTCATATGAAATCCATAAATATGATACACCACATTAGCAGAAGAAAAGATAAAATCATATGCTTATTGTAATAGTTGCAAAAAAAGCATTTGACAAAATTCAAGATTCTTTCATGATAAAACCTCTCAACAAATTGGATATAGTAGGAGTGTATCTCAACATAATAAAGAGCACATAAGACAAGCTCACAGGTAACACCATACTCAATGGTGAAAAACTGAAAATTTTTTTCTAAGATTAGAAATAAGGATGCTTACTCTCCCCACTTCTATTCAACATAGTACTGGAAGTCCTGGCTAGAGCAATTAGGCAAGAAAAAGAAATAAAAGGCATCCAAATTGGAAAGTCAGAAGTAAAATTGTCTTTGTTTGCAAATGATGTGATCTTATAAGTAGAAAAAACTACTAGAACCCTGATGAACAAATTCAGTAATTTTGCAAGATAAAAATGAACACATAAAAATCAGTGGCATTTCTATGCATTAACAAACTATATGTAAACGAAATAAAAAATCCCATTTATAATAGCATAAAGAATATTTAGAGATAAATTTAAAGAAGGACTTAGAAGCCTGTACACTGAAAACCATAAAACAATGAGGAAAAAATGGAAGAAAACACAAATCAATGGAAAGATATCCTGTGTTCATGTATTGATGAAAAGATCAAGCTCTGTAAAATATTTAAAGGGACTTATTCTGAGCCAAATATGAGTGACCAATGGCCTGTAACACAGCCCCAGGAGATCCTGAGAACATGTGCCAAAGTGGTTGGGCTATAGCTTGGTTTTACACATTTAGGGAGACATAAGACATCAATCAATACATGTAAGATATACATTGGTTTGGTCCAGAAAGGGAAGACAACTGGAAGCGAGGGCTTGCAGGTCATAGGTGGATTCAAAGATTTTCTAATTGGAAATTGGTTGAAAGAGTCACTATCTAAAGAAATGGAATCAATAGAAAGGAATGTCCAGATTAAGATAAGGGGTTGTGGAGGCCAAGGTTTTATCATGCAGATGAAGCCTTCAAATAGCAGACTTCAGAACTCTTATTAGACCTAAAAAAGTGGGAGACTCTTAGTTAATTCTCTCCTGGATCAGAGGAACAACCTGGAAAGAAAAGGGTTCTCTACAGAATGTAGATAATCCCCACAAGAAATAGCTTTGCAAGGCCATCTCAAAATATGTCTAAAAATGTATTTTGGGGTAAAATACTTCAATTTCTTTCAGGGCCTGCTGTGTGTTATGTGATGCTATAGTAGAGTCAGGTTGGAATTTGGTATCCGATTGCTATAAAAAGTCTGTTTCTGTAATCCCAGCACTTTGGGAGGCCGAGGTGGGCGGATCACGAGGTCAGGAGATGGAGACCATCCTGGCTAACATGGTGAAACCCTGTCTGTACTAAAAATACAAAAAATGAGCCAGGCATGGTGGCGGGTGCCTGTAGTCCCACCTACTTGGAAGGCTGAGGCAGGAGAATGGTGTGAACCCAGGAGGCGGAACTTGCAGTGAGCCGAGATCAAGCCACTGCACTCTAGGCTGGGCGACAGAGTGAGACTCCATCTCAAAAAAAAAAAAAAAAAAAAAAAGTCTGTTTCATCAGTCTCAGAATCTCTGTTTTAATGTTAATGCTGGTCAGCTGTACCTGAATTCCAAAGGGAGATGGCATAATGAATCATGTCTGACCCTTACTTCCCACCATGGCCTTAACTAGTTTTCCAGGTTAATTTTGGAATGTCTTTGGCCAAGGGGAGGGTCCATCAGTCAGATGGAGGGCTTAAAATTTTATTTTTGGTTTACACATGGATTGAAAGAATATTGTTAAAATGTTCATGCTACCCAAAGTGATCTATAGATTCAATGCAATCCCTATCAAAAACCATGACTTTCAGATTCACCAAGGATGAAATGAAGGAAAAAATTTAAGGCAGCCAGAGAGAAAGGTCAGGTTACCCACAAAGGGAAGCCCATCAGGCTAACAGTGGATCTGTCTCTGCAGAAATCCTACAAGCCAGAAGAGAGTGGGAGCCAATATTCAACATCTTAAAAGAATTTTCAACCCAGAATTTCATATCCAGCCAAGCTAAGCTTCATAAGCAGAGAAATAAAATCCTTTACAGACAAGCAAATGTGAGGGATTTTCTCACCACCAGACCTGCCTTACAAGAGCTCCTGAAGGAAGCACTAATTACAGAAAGGAAAAGCTAGTACCAGCCACTGCAAAAACATACCAAAATGTAAAGATCATTGACACTATGAAGAAACTGTATCAACTAATGGGCAAAATAACCAGCTAGCATAATAATGACAGGATCAAATTAACACATAACAATATTAACCTTAAATATAAATGGGCTAAATGTCCCAATTAAAAGACACAGACTGGCAAACTGGATAAAGATTCAAGACCCATTAGTGTGCTGTATCCAGGAAACCCATCCCATGTAAAAAGACACACATGGGCTCAAAATAAAGGGATAGGGGAAGATTTACCAAGCAAAGGAAGGCAAAAAAAGGAAGGGTTGCAATCCTAGTCTCTGATAAAACACACTTTAAACCAACAAAAGTCAAAAAGACAAAGAGGGTCATTACGTATTTGTAAAGGGATCAATGCAGCAAGAGGAGGTAACTATCCTAAATATACATGCATCCAATACAGGAGCACTCAGATTCATAAAGCAAGTTCTTAGAGACCTACAAAGAGACTTAGACTCCCACACAAAATAGTGGGATACTTTAACACCCCACTGTCAATATTAGACAGATCAACAAGACAGAAAATTAACAAAGATATTCAGGACTTGAAATCAGCTCTGGACCAAGCGGACCTAATAGACATCTGTAGAAGTCTCCACCCCAAATCAACAGAATATATATTCTTCTCAGCACCACATAGAACTTCTTCTAAAATTGACCACGTAATTAATAGTAAAACAATCCTCAGCAAATGCAAAAGAACAGAAATCATAACAGTCTCTCAGACCACAGTGCAAACAAATTAGAACTCAGGATTAAGAAACTCACTCACAACCACACAACTACTTGGAAATTGAACAACCTGCTCCTGAATGGCTACTGGGTAACTAATGAAATTAAGGTAGAAATAAACAAGTTATTTGAAACCAATGAGAACAAAGAGACAATGTCCCAGAATCTCTGGGACACAGCTAAAACAGTGTTTATAGGTAAATTTTAGCACTAAATACCCACATGAGAAAGTGGGAAAGTTCTAAAATTGATGCCCTAACATCACAATTAAAAGAACTAGAGAAGCAAGAGCAAACAAATTCAAAAGCTAGCAGGAGATAAGAAATAACTAAGATTAGAGCAGAACTGAGGGAGATAAAGACAAGAAAATCCTTCAAAAAATTAATGAATCCAGGAGCTGGTTTTTTGAAAAGATTAACAAAATAGATAGACTGCTAGCCAGACTAATAAAGAAAAAAGAGAGAAGAATCAAATAAACACAATAAGAAATGATAAAGGGGATATCACCACTGATCCCACAGAAATACCGACTACCATGAGAGAATACTATAAACACTTTTATGCCAATAAACTAGAAAATCTAGAAGAAATGGATAAATTCCTGGACACATACACCCTCCCAAAACTAAACAGGAAGAAATCGAATCCCTGAATAGACCAATAACAAGTTCTGAAGTTGAGGCAGTAAT